>NC_000007.14:37115242-37740242 GCF_000001405.40 Homo sapiens | reverse complement strand
ATTTCCTATGAATGTTTGCATACCCTAGACCTAAAACACAGTAAGCCATTGATTCTTACTCTTTAATAGGAATAAAAATCGAATCTGAATCTTCAAGTTGCCCCCCAGAGAGATGTATGTAGATAAGACAATTTACATAAAACTTCAGGAGGATTGCAGACCATCTGGAGCTAGTACTTGGATACTAGTACTACAGTAACCCTTTAAAAAGTTGTGAGATGGATAGAAAGATCGATGGATTCATGAAGTATACAATTTTTTTTTCTTACGGGCATGATTATAATTCTCTAATTCTTTCTTACTTATTAGCAAATGACCCAAGAATATTCATACTTAATTCATTTAGAATACTGATTAATTTGACCAAAAATACCATCTAAGTCAAGAGAGCAGCAAGCAATAGGAAGGTTTACCTGAATTTCTCATTACAGTTATTTTATCTTCTAGCAGTGAGTGAGGCCTTGCTAAGCCTTCCCATGGGCCCCACTGAAATATAGCATGTCTTCCAACTCTCTCATCTCCTACTCTCAAAGGCCTTGCAAATTCGTGACAGAGCCACTGGCATTTATCCCCTGGACTCCTGAAAGATCCGCTCCACAATTACTCTCAGTCCTTTCTAATTCATTCTCCATATTCTTATTCATTGCTTGCTGTAAAAGATTTAGTAATCTTTTAATTTCACTAAGAAAGTCATGTCAGTTTCCTATCTAAATCCCTTCAACGGCTTCCCATCTCTCCTACGATAAAGATTGATAGCCTTACATGTCTGGAATGTTCTGGGTTACAGTGGCAAAATCTGATCCCTTGAGACAAGATTCAAGCAATAATCAAGAGATGAAATTGGCAGGCTTTAATGGATTTGACATGGGGAAATGAGGAAAAAAGAAGTGTCTTGATACTCTCAGATTTCTGACTTGAACAATTGTGTTATTAGAGGTATGTCTACTGACACCAGGGAGACTAAGATTTGAGAAAGAACTCACTCCCTGACCTTTGCAACACATATGCAATTATTCTTATTCATTTATTGAATGTCTCTTTGTATAATGGAATATTACCCAGCAATAAAATGAACCAACTTCTGATACACACAATACTGATGAATCTCAAACACATTACACTAAATCATGTATTCTCAATGGGGTGATAGCACCTTGTGAGGGGCAAAACATTTTGAGGTGTGAAAAAAATCTTACTCTGTATAAAGCACAGGTGTATACACAGTACATAGACATATAGATATATCTGTGGTATCAAAATTTCATTAAGTGGGGAGAGACAATTAGGGAAAAATACTCATTAGAGGGACCATAACAAACACAAAAAGTTGAGAAACATTACTAAATAAAAGGTACCAGCCACCAAGATTATATATTGTATGATATCTTTTTCTAGAAGAAGCAAAACTAATGTGACAAAAAGCAAATCAGATAGCTCAAGATCTGGGTTGTGGGGGAAAGGATTAGTTTCTGTTTTATATCATGTTGGTTACCATTGTAGTTATTCATCAAAGCTCATTGAATTGTACACTTAAAATTGGTTATTTTTATTGCATATAACTTATACCTCAATGAAACTTAAAAAAAAAAAGATAATAATAACCCAACCTCACAAAGCCTTTTGCATTTGTGGGCATGGAAAAAAATTTTAAGGAATTGTGACTCACTTAACTGAACATGATTTTTTTGTTGGCTCTGCAACAGCTGTCTCATGTTACACTGTGTATTTCATCCGTAGGCTGAAATCTCTCTACTTGCCTTTTATTTTTCCTTGTAGAAAAGTAGTTTTATCAAGGAGACATGAAATTATATTGTGTTCACATGTGAGTCAAGAATGAATGTGCCACTATAGGTTCTGCTCACCATTTCCTTTGGCTATTGGCCTAGTAGGATTGACTCCTAATTGATGAAAGTAAAGTAAGTAGCACATCACTTGTCCCAAGTCCTCTTTCTTATTATAAACTGCCATGATCGTTGCCAGATATGAGAAACACATCTTCGATGTTTCAGGACTACACTACATCCTTGCCTGTACTTTGTCTTATTTAATTTAACCCTTACAACAGTTAATTGTGTAATGTATTATTATACTGAATTTTAGATGACAAAACTGAGTCCTAGCAGGATAAGTCATTTGACCAAAGTGTCCAAAGCACACATACACTCCCGAAAACTCATTATTATATATTATGGAGAAGCATTGTGAATCTCCTAAGTCCAAGTTTCTAAACTGTAATACAAGAAGGAAAGGAGGCCATGAAGAAATTTGGTTCTACTCACATGGCTGTATGCCAACATATCTTGAAAGGTGCTTTTCTCTCTTTTTGGATATCTTACTTTCCCATTCCCTTTACTAGGCTTATAGTCAATCCCATAGGTTAGTTCACGCAATATCCACCCGAACCCTTTCTGGACTGCTTTTCTGTACAGACTTTTTGCATCTAGAGTGCTTGTATGTGCCTTAGTTTCTGCTAGTCTGTTGCACTATTGCAAAACTTGGAGGTAAAAGTGAACCAAATGAGGGATGTCAATGTGCAGACAGATTAGACCAGAGGTGTCTAATCTTTTGGCTTCCCTGGGCCACACTGGGGAAGAAGAAGAATTTTCTTGGGCCATATAGAAAATACACTAACAATAACTAATGAGCTAAAAAAAAAAAGTTAAAAATAAATCTCACAATGTTTTAAGACAGTTTACAAATTTGTGTTGGGCTACATTCAAAGCCATCCTGGACTGTATGTGGCCCATGGGCCGCAAGTTGTATAACCTTGGATTAGACCATTTGACAAGACAGTAGTATGTTTATCTGGTTCCTCTGGGACTGCTGTAATAGAATCCTGGATTTCAAATACTAACATGATATATTACACATAATTTCAATCACATTTTACATTAAATGTAAATAGAGTAAACAGTCCAATTAAAAAATAAAGGTTGTTATACTGTATCAAAGAAACAGGATCCAGCTACATGGGTTTTAAGAAAGACATTATAAACACAGGAATTATAATAAAAGTGATATATTCATTATGAAATTTCCTCTTTATTTCAAATAATGATTCTTCCTCAAGATCAACTTTTGACACACTCAAGCTTCTTTTCTTTAGTGTGTGTACTTTATATCTTTTCCCTTTTTCTTGCAATCTTTATGATTATTACATTTAAAATGTGTGTGTTGTAAATAGAAATTTTGACTCTTGTTTAAAATGTTATAAATTCAGAGCATTTTAATTCCATTTACCCACTCCCTTATTCTCAGTTTTCATGCTTTTTATTTCTACATATCTAATTAAACCCCACACAATATTATTGTATTGTATCATTAACATTCAATCCCTAGTCATTTATTTTTGTCCATTTAGTTTTCTTATCCATTGATTTTTATGTCTTCTTGAATTTCTGTGTTTCCATTGGGTATAACTTTCCTTCTGCTGAAGAACTCCATTTTAAATTTCTTTCAGTACAAATTTCTTAGGGATAAATTCTCTCAGCTTTCGTATGTGTGTGTCTGAAAATGTTTTCATTTCATCTTTATTTTTAGGATATATTTGCAAGACATAAAAGCCGAGGTTGGCATTTCCTTTCAGTACTTTAAAGATGTTATTACATTGTCTCTTGCCTTTCATCATTGAGACTTCAGTTGTCAATATTGCCATTGCTTCTATTATGGTTGCATGTCTTTTTTCTTTCTTTCTTTCTTTTTAAGAAAGATTTTTTTGCACTTTTGCCTGGGTGTTTTTTTTTTTTTCCTCTGTTTATACTGTTTGGGGTTCTTAAATTTATAGGTTAATGTCTTTTGTCACTTTTGGGAAATAATCAGTTTTACCCCGCCAAATATTGCTTTGTCCCAATCTGTTATCTCCTCTTAAAGTTCAATTATAGTTATGTTAGACATTTTAACTGCTTTCCTTCTGTCTCTAATTTTTTCTGAATTTTATATACATTTCATCCATCTCTTCTTCCCTTTTTCCATTTGCATATATTCTTTTTTTTTTAAAGAGTCTTGCTCTGTCACCCAGGCTGGAGTGCAATGGCACGATCTTGGCTCACTGCAACCTCTGCCTCCCAGGTTCAAGCAATTATCCTGCCTCAGCCTCCCGAGTAACTGGGATTACAGGTCTCCACACCCGGCTAATGTTTGTATTTTTAGTAGAGACGGGTTTCACCATGTTGGTCCGTCTGGTCTCAAACTCCTGACCTCAAGTGATCCACCCGCCTCAGCCTCCCAAAGTGCTGGGATTACAGGTGTGAGCTATCATGCCCGGCCTGGATATATTCTTGTTCAGTGCTTTTATCTTTGGCTGTTTCTATTCTGCTGCTAAACCAACTAGAATTCTTAATACCAGATATGAAATACTTTCAGTTCTAGGCTGTGTCGGTCTTACACATTCTACTTTGTGAAATTTTCTCATCTATTTCATTTTCTTCACCTTTTCCTTTAATTTCTTAAATACTTTAATCATAGTTATTTCAAAAGGCTCGTCAAGAACATTTATAGATATACTTCTATTATCTGTTTTTTTCTCTTGGTTTTCCATTATGTAATCTTTTCCTTTGATATGTCTAGTAATTTACTAATAAATTCTGTATATTTTTCTTAAAAAAGGTAGTGGTTCCAAGTAATGTTCTTTTCCTTGAGAGGGGTCATCCTTTCTGCCACTATACTAACATTATTTTGAGTCAAGCCTTGTTTGCAGTTCTAGTAAGGCTTAGTGTACTTCTGGGTCTCCTTAGCCCCCTTTGTAATTTTAGCTACAGTCAATAGTCTTATCTCTGACCACTTTTTCTGATGAATCTGGCCTGACTTCAAATCCTGGTCTTATAAAACTGCTGACATCTTTGCTATATTTTTCAGCTGTTTTAAGGCTTAGGATATTAGTCTCCCATCCCCCCAAGTCCCAGAATTCATCAAAATGTCTTCATGCATTGGTGAAGAATTTGGATTCTCAGCTCTGAATTGGAAAAGCTACTGTTGTGAAAGAAGTTGCTTTGAGCTTTTCTCTCCTTGGGAGTCATGACCTCTTCACTAATTGCCTCAGCTGTGCTCCACTGTCTTCAAGCAAATAACTTCTGTATTTTACTTTATTTGATTTCTTGGATTATTCCTGGTGGGAGCTCTAATCAGTTGATCAACCTTCCATCCCATGAAGATGCAGAAGCTAACGCAATTTTTAATGTTTCAGTAGTGCAATACATTCTTACAGTCTTGAAATTAATTGAATTAACAAGAGAAAGGTAACTTCCTCCCCAACATACAAAGATTAGTTCCCTAACTTTTATAAATTTCAATTATAATGTAAATATGTTATAGTACTGTTATTTGTACATTTTAAAGTGCATCATCTAATCCCTGCTGGCAGCAGCCACACTCCATAACACCTTATCTTCACTCAATGCCTCAAGCTCTTTCTTGCCTTAGCACCAACACCTCTTCTCTCCCCTCCCCATCCATCTACTAATCCTTCAGGTCTTAAGTCTACTATCAGTTCTTTAGGGAAGTTTTCTCTGACTCCCATACTAGGTAAGATCTACTTGGTAAGATCTCTTTCAGAAGATAAGTCAGAGAACTCCTACACTACATGAGATCTATCTGACCTTCTCTTTTCTCCTCTTCTGAAGATAAAAGAATCACCTCTACAAGGGTGATTAAATAATCACTTGGGTTAATGGGTGCTGGTTGCTGGTATCTTCCCTCTTTCCCCTAGATTGTAAGCTCCTAAGCTCCACAAGGACAAGGACTGTGCATGTTTTTATTATTTTCCACTCTTTTATCCATAGCAATAGCCAACACATAGAAGATAGTCTCTAAATATGAAGTGGAAGAGTAATTAAATATTCATAACATGTAGCTAAGAGAACAATGCGTTACTTCAATTCTTGCTTCTACTACTGTTTGCAGTGTTACTGTGAACAAACTACTTAACCTCTCTGAGGCTTATTTCTCTCACCTAAAATGTGGATAAGCCCTACCTACCTCATATAGTCGTTATGAGACAAATTAGATAATTTATGCAAAATTAAAACAATATACAACATAATAATTAATATTGATTAATTGAGTAATTAATGAGTTGGGACAGTCTTGTTCTGTTGCCCAGGCTGGAGTGCAGTGGCATCATCATGGTTCACTGCAGCCTTGATCTCCTGTGCTCAAGTGATCCTCCCACCTCAGCCTTCCCAGTAGCTAGGACTACAGGTGTGCACCACCACGCCTGGCCTAACTTTTGTATTTTTTGTGGAGACAGGGTTTCACCATGTTGCCCAGGCTGGTCTCAAACTCCTCGGCTCAAGAAATCCACCTGCCTTGATCTCCCAAAATGTTGGGATTACAGGCATGGGGCACGATACTCGGCCAATATTGATTAATTTATGAGATAAATATCCAACGTATGAAGTGGAAAAAATCTTCTAGGAATATTTTAAACATCACCTTTTGGCTGCAAAATTCCTGCAAACTTCTGTTTTTCTGAGGGGTCTAGCAAGTGGGCAATAACTGGAATGGTAACTAACAGTGATGCTAATCCTAGCAATACTTTTTTTTTCTTTTCTTTTTTCTTTTTTTTTTTTTTTTTGAGATGGAGTTTCACTCTGTCACCCAGGCTGGAGTGCAGTGCTGGGATCTCGGCTCACCGCAACCTCCGCCTCCCGGCTTCAAGTGATTCTCCTGCCTCAGCCTCCGGAGTAGCTGGGATTACAGGTGCCTGCCACCACACCTGGCTTATTTTTTGTATTATAGTAGAGACGGAGTTTCACCATTTTGTCCAGGCTCTTCTTGAACTCCTGACCTCAGGTGATCCACCCGCCTCAGCCTCCCAAAGTGCTGGGATTACAAGCGTGAGCCACCCTGCCTGGCTGTAATACTTATCTGTGGTTTTCCTCATCCACGTCCCTGCTCCATTTGCTGGGACAAGTCACCATGTGTTATGGTGACATCACAGTTATTCCCAGGAGCTGGGGCTTCTTCCCATCCCAAAACCTAGGACCCAAGCTGTTTATAATAACATTCCTTGCCAGGCTGTATGATAATAAAAGCACCTGTAGATATAGCTGCAAAACATTCAGCTAGCCAAGCACATAGAGCCAAGTCCATATCTTCTCAGCCCCGCCCAGACCTATTCATGTACTCTATGTTACTCATTCTTGACTTGTCACCTGATATCTGGTTTTGGTTCTCTGCCTTACCTGACACACTTTGGCTCACTCCCCACCAGCTCCCTGGCTCAGACTCAGCGCTCTTGATTGTTTCCCAGGCAAACCCATCTGCCTGACTTTAAAGCCTAATTTTCCCTTCTAGGAAATGCCTCTTCATGTCTCAGCTCCCCCATATATTCTTGCTACTTTCCTGTGACTACATCTCCACCTCAAGCTTTGTAATAACCTTCTCCCAATCAGAACTAAGTTTTATCTGCGTCTCAGGAGATTCTGCATGAACCACTGCTGTGCCAATCCTCTCCTTACGACCATCTAGCTCTTATAAAGAGTCCTGCTCTGCTCCTTTGTTACATATCTATTACTGAGACTCCTTGGTGGTGCTGTTTATCTGCTCATTATCTTCATAACCTATTTATTGTTCCTATAGTGTAACCTTGAGGTCAAGTTCCATGATCCCACCTACCTATGATCACTTGTCCTGAAATTGAGTCCTGATAGGTTTTCCAGATGCTGCCTTTTATGTCTGCCTGAACTCAGCATGTTTCCAACTTCCAAATTCCTTTTTTATGGTGCTCTGTCCACACTTAATCAGGACATTGCACAAGACTTTCAGATGATCTGCATCAAATTGCAACATCTCCATTCTGTCCCATGGACTACAGCTAAAATTATCCTTCTGCTAAACCATGCACTCTCTCAATCTGCCTGCTGGGGGCAGACTCTCGCAACTCATCACTCTCAAGGTGAGGGGGCTCTGACTCTAGCCTAGGTAATAGGTTGTTGCAAAAGTAATTGCGGTTTTTGCCATTCAAAGCAATGACAAAAACCGCAATTACTTTTGCAACAACCTAATAACAAAAAGAGAGGTTGCAGTGAGCCGAGATCACGCCACTGCACTCCAGCCTGGGTGACAGAGTGAGACTCCATCTCAAAAAAAAAAAAAAAAAGAGAGAGAGAAAGAAAAGGAGAAGTTAGAAAGTTCTTCCTTCACGTTGTGCACATGTACCCTAGAACTTAAAGTATAATAAAAAAATAAAATAAATAAATAAATAAAAATAAAAAAAACAAACAAAGAAACCTCTCTTCCTCTTTACTTTGCTTCTTTCTACAAGGCACTTACTCCCTTATTGTCCCCTTGAAGACCACTTCATCTCATGTAATGGGCACCCTACTCCCAAGATGGCTCCCCAGCATCTAAAAGCAAAGCAAGAACTAGGATGGGGCCAAATGGAGGAACACCATGAAGCAATAAACATTTCAAGATTCACATTTAGTAAGAAAGGACAGAAAGCGATTGGGGCACAATTTTTTCCTAATGGGACAAAAAAATTATATATCTGTATAAGAAGTATTCCTTTGCGCCTGTAATCCCCGCACTTCGGGAGGCCGAGGCGGGCGGATCACGAGGTCAGGAGATTGAGACCATCCTGGCTAACTCGGTGAAACCCCGTCTCTACTAAAAATACAAAAAAAAAGAAAAATTAGCCGGGCGTTGTGGCGGGCGCCTGTAGTCCCAGCTACTCGGGAGGCTGAGGCAGGAGAATGGCGTGAACCCGGGAGGCGGAGCTTGCAGTGAGCCGAGATCCTGCCATTGCACTCCAGCCTGGGCGACAGAGTATTCCTTTGCATATGGGATGCTATTCTAGAGATTGATGGGAATTTTTAATTAGTTGACCTAAAATTTTCTCTCTACATTTCTTTCAGAGAGACACCTCGTTCTCCACGTGCATGACTTGCTTGCAGCCATGACTACATCCAGTGCCCGACCAGCAGAGCTGGACAATCACCTCCCCACCTATGCAGGTACAAGGGGGATTGCTACATACTCGTAACAGCCTGTCTCTAATCCCTGAGAAGAGATGAGTATGCAGGATCAATAACATGATTTTATCAGTATTACATTAAAGAACTGAATTCTCCAAATTGAATTTGAAACATTAAAATCTGCAGATAATTCTCATTTGAGTTTTAATTTTAGCAGTGTCACATTTATCCTCCAGGGCATATTTCTTTGTACAGTGGTTTATTTCAATAGCAATTAATAGCAACATCAATTCAGCCAAAGTAAACATATTTGTTTGAACTTAGACCGTTAAATATTTCCTAGTCTATTAATTTATGTGTCTGTTAGAGTTGGATGCCCACAAAGAATGAAGGAAATTTCGAGCCTTTTCACAAAATGGAAAGTTCAAAGCTTAACAACCTTGAAAGGAAATGTCTTCATTGCTAAAAAATTGAGCACATACAAAAATAATAAATGCTTCTCAGAAATGCTTCCAATACCTCACTTCAGAATATTAGCTTGCTATTTAGAACAGTCCCTGAGACTGTGGGAAAGCCAAGAGAATGTCTGAGAGACACAGTGAGCTGTGAAGCAGTGAGCCTGCCAGGTATGAGACAGACAAGCCTGAGAGACAAACACCATGGCCATGGCCGGGCCCTGGGACCCTGGAACAAGCAAGCCAGCACCTGCAGTCACAAAAACAAGTGCAACTGATGGCTTTGACGCGTGTTATATACAGAACCTGCCAAGTGTGGTTAAAACAAACACTTGCAGGTAAGAAATATGCAGTCTCTGATCAAACGAAAAGCTCTGTTTTCCTGGATGCCAGCTTTAGATGATATATGTTTAGATTTCTTAATATTCAGGTTCAGGTTTTGAAATTTGTCCTGAGCTTTGGGACACAGGCACTTTGAAGAGAAAACAACTGAAGCTTACAAGGTGCCCAGGATAGACTGTTTGAGATACACTTGTTATTATTATTTAGAGATCCACCTCACACTTTATTTTGTAGAAAAATATAGCATGTGCCGTAGCTCAGAATTTGGAACATGGTATGTGTCAAGTACTTCTGCAATGATTCAGTGAATTCATGAAAGAGAGCGAGAGATCAAGAAAGTGAGGGAGGAAAAGAGAGAAGAGAAAGAAGGGGGGAAACAAAGAAAAGGAATAAGAAAAAGAAAGAAGAGAAGAAGATGAAGGGAAAATAGGAGAGTAGGTTCTGAGGGTCCCAGCCAGTGATGCTGGTGTTATACTTAGGCATTGAACTGACCGTAATATTTTCCTGGGATCTGGTCTTTCTTTACACCTAGAAATGATTGAAATGTCTCAGTTACTTTCTCAGTTGATTCTCCAATATACTTTTGCTAAGGAGTGCAGCTGATCCCAGGAAAACCTGAAAGAAGGTAAGAGAGAGGTAGTTTCTGCTTCCACGGAGACAATCCATTCCAAATACAAGAAGCCAGGGAATTGTTTTTTAAACAACATTAACAACAGTTATTTGTTGATGCTACTTAGATATTTCACCTATATATCTTCATTGCGCTTTCTCTTCCCAAAATATTACCCCCACTCACACAGTCTTGCACATCTTTGAGGTGTAAACACAGACTGCATTTTCTTTCAAGCCCTTCAGGCCCCCGGGACATTCTCAGCTCCTTTCTCAAAAAGCTTTACAGGTGCCTTTCAGTCCTACCTTTGTTGTCTTATTCTCTGTTTTAATTATTTTAGTCATTTGTGGACTTGTTTTTAACTTTGAATTTCTTTCAAAACTAGCATATAATTTTTAAATAGTGGTCATGAGTTGTTAACTGAATGGGTGAAATAATGGTGAAAAAGTGCCCTGACTGGATTAAACATTTTTTGGATATGGCCACATTTGGATCTAGACCAACAACTGACATCAGGATCCCAGAAATAAACTGCAAACCCAGAGCCAGCTCTCTCAGGGGACAGGGCTGCCTCTCTGGCTGGCTGTGGACCTCCTTGTTCCACATGAGGATCCCCTCTTTACCTCTGTGATTGACCTTGGAAGGTCATCATGAAGCCTGGCCTCAAACTCTGATTTTCCCCTGCCCTCTGTCATGTCTCTGCTTAAAATCCTTCTTTGGTTACTGTTAGAGAAAAGAAAAAACTCTGAGTTCCTACCATGACATGTAAGCCCTTTGCAAGCTGGCCTCAGCTTCTATTTCAAGGGACACCTCCTCTCTAACCCCCTTCCTTCAGCCTCGAGCTGTGACTCAGACTTACCTGTCATTCTTGGAATGTTCTCTTTCATACCTCCAGCTTGCTTCTTGTTTCTCTAGGACCCAAATGTACAGCTAAACAACTAGAATGAAGTCCAAATTGCATCATCAATGATTTCACTTCTCTTTTTAAAAACTTTCCCTGGCATCCCATTGTCTATGGGAGCTGTGGGAACTGACATATTAGCTGACCTGACATACCAGGCCAGGCCTTGCTGGTATTTGTAGCTCTAAACAAGCCTCTGCCCTATCCTGGTGCACCAGGATTCTCCCATCCTGCCTGCATGATTCTCTTGTGATTCTGGTCTGATCTCATCCCACACACAAGAGAGCTCCTCAGGTCTTCCTGAGGCCTGGCTGGTGGCTATTCCCTTGTATCTTATCAACCCCCTTCCCAAAGCCTTGCCCACAACCTTGCTTGGGTCTCAGTGGTCATTGTCCATGGCCTGAGGACTACATCAATGTCAAAAGTGAGATATGGAAGTGGTTTCTGTGGCTGTTTTATAAGAAACCTATGGTAGAGCCAACATCAGAGACCAGCCTACAAAATGAGAGTCCTACACAATTTATAGAACCCTGAAAAATAACATTAAATAATCCAAATGCTCATTAGCGTGTAGACCTTAGTCACCAGAACCCCTCCCTGCACCATTTTAAAACAGACAAACAAGTATAACCTACTTTGGGATTTCTCACTTAATTTATTAAACAAGTGATATCACTCTAACTGTCTACTGTACAGTAGGTAGCAAAGATTCTGAAATGAATAAAACACATCACCGCTTTTAAATCTCCTGTTTGGTAGGAGAGAAAGAGGCACATCAATTATTTACAGAAACACCTATGGGTACGTGAAAAATGCTGCAAGAATTCAGAAAGAGCAGTAATTATTTAAGAGGTACTTGAGGATGAAGGCATCAAAATAAAGTAAAAGATGCTTGGGTACAGATATGTAGCAGTTACTGGATCTTGAAGGGTGCATTGAAGTTCTAGATGTAGAGAGGAGGAAATAAAGCACTCCAGGGAAAGAGAAGATTCTGGGCAAAGGCTTGGATGCACATTCGGGGAATTACCAATAGTTTGATGTACCTGGAACATTTGACATATTAGGAGAACGTGGGTGAGAATCTGTACATGAGGATTCCCATATTTACGGCATGTTGCCACTCTAAGGATTTTCAATTTTATTCTGAAAATTATGAGGGATGCAGGGAATTTTAGAATACTAAATGACATCTTAATATTTCAATTTTGAAAGCTTGTTTTGGCAACAGATTGGATAGTTGGCAAAGGGTTATTCAAGTTTAAATATTATAAGGATTGGAGCAAGATGACACCCACCTAGGAGAGCTTGCCCCCAAATTAAACAAAAATTGAAGAGTCTGGGCTTGGAAAAGAAAAGTACATGCTTCAGGTAACTTCATCCACATTCAACAGTAAAAAGACAAAGAACAGTCACTGGATATTTTAGGAGAGCTAATGACACATTAGATGGATACCAAATTTCCCAGACAAAAGAACTAACAGATGGGTTGGTTTGCTAAGAGGGCAAAGTGGAAAAAAGTAACTTTAAAATGTCCTCAGAGAGAAGAGAATGGTGTGAAATAAGACTCAGAGTTGTTATTTTAATTAAAATGTACCAAACCACACAATCAATGAGCTTGTAAGAAGGTTGAGAATACTCCCACAGATAGAAGCAAAAAAGGTCAAGAGATGGAAGATTTAAAAGAAAAGCTAAAAAACCCCAAGAACAAAACTATTAATAGAAGTTCCAACATCATCTGGAGACAGCAAAAGAGAATGAAATGCTCAGATAAATAATTAAAGGACATTTTCTACACATAGAAAAGATAAAATGTTTATGTTGAAAGGTCCCACCCAGCACTGAGCTAAACTACTAGAAAAGACTCAGATTTAGACACATAAAGATGTTATTTCAAATCACAAAGAACAAATTAGCATATCCACTTCGATGTATAATAAACATCTCAAACTTAGTATATCCAAGGCTGAACTGTGCCCCAGACATACACAAAAACTTCTTCCTTGCAAAGTCCTCGCAGTTTAACTAGTAATACGAACTCCATTTTCTATTTGCATACGTGAAAAATCTTACAATTATCCCTAATTCCTCTTTTTCTCCCATAATTCACCTCCACTCCTTCAGCAACTCCTATCCCCTGTCTCTCATATTAGTCCACATAGAGTCCATGGGCCAGATTTTTTCTATAAAGGATATTACTGGTATAATTGGCCAAATATTAACACAGTCTGCAGATTAAATAATAGAATTGTATCAATGTTATTTTCCTGATCTTGACCATTGTATGTGGTTGTATAAGAGAATATCCTGTTCTTATATAATATACACCACATACTATAAGGATAAAGGCAGCATGCTTTCTATTTATTATCAAATCAATCCAAAAAATTACAATATGGATATACAAAAAGAGAAAAACCAATGTGGAAAAGATTACAATTGGGGAATCTGGGTGAAGGTTATATTGGAGCTCTTTATCATTCTTCTAACATTGTAAATGTTTTGTGTAAAATTATTTCTAAATTTAAAAATTATGAAAAATTACATAAAATAAACATAGAGTTGGTCAACTCTTCATTGCCTAAATTGCAACAACTGGGATTCAGCCACATTAACTCTTAATGGGATTATTACAGCAAGCCCATGAATTCTCCCATTTTTTACTCCTAACTCCCCTATTCCCAACTCAGCAACCAGAGTAATCTTTCAGAATGTAAATTAGAAGATGTCATTCTTCTTATCTCAATCCTCCAATGGCTTCTCACCTTTCTCAGAATCAAATCAAGATTTGGAAATGGTCTGAAAGGCCTTACAGGATGTGATCCCTCCTCCCCGCTCTCTGTCCTTTGATCTCACTTCCTACAGTCAAAATGCAGTGAAACACATTTTAAACCTAAAATGCTCATGTTCATACCAAATTAAAACACCCATTGGTTTCCACATGGTGGCAGTGAGGGAAATAAAAGAGAGAAATTGTATGTGAATATCTCAGTATTTTTTGGTGGGGAGGAGGTTAAAGGTACTGTTTAAGTGTAGAGAAATAAAAATGAATATAACTTCTTGATGAAAACTTAAGAGCAATCAATTAGTGAACCAAAGTTGCATGTATGGCTTGCAAATTATGAGAAGGAAAAATGGAACACAGTAATAGCAGTAACAGAGGCAGGAAGGAAAAAAAAAAACAAAGCAAACATGGTAAATAGACATATTTTAAAATAAAAGAATGAAAAGTCCAGACATCTGAAATCACACAATTTATAATTTGTTCCTTCTTCCACCTACAAAAAGAAGAAATTTTGTCTATCACTCTGTGACTACACTAAAAACCACTGAATTGTGGTTCACCAACCATAAAGTTGTCCTTTGAAAAAAGAATGACTTTTATAGTTGGTGAATTATATTTCAGTAAAGCCATTGTGCAAAAAAAGAGAGAAAGAAATTGCGTCTGAGCTGAGCCTTGGGGATGAGGGAGGAGGGGGAGAATTATTGACAGAGAATCAATGCTGCCGGTGACTGCCTTCATTCATTCATATCAAGGGCAGAGCAGGAAACTCCCTGGTTAGAGGACTAGGAGGATGCCGTGCCAGGAACCAGGAGCCCTGGATGCCTCACCCTGCTCAAGTTCGCAGGCCTGGTCCCTCTGATGTGGCCGCTCATTCCTCCTTGCTCCCCGCTCCATCCCTGGCTTCACTTCTTTCTGCTGCACCTTGAACAGATGGGACTGCAGATTCACCTTCTTGATTCTTGACCACTCAATACAAGGAACCAGCCCTACCCAAGCCATGTTCTTCATAACACTGATCACTGTCATCTCACTTTTTCTTTGTCATTCTCTATATTCACCCCTTCTTCCAAGAAGAAAAGATCCATGAGAGTGGTCATGGTGTCTCCATCTCCAGGAGAGAAGGAACCCTTGGACCAGGAATCAGAAGAAAAAATCACAAATTCTTAGTGTCAGAGTGAAACCTAGAGATTATAGCATCCAGTGCACCCATTTAACTAAGGAAGACACCGAGGCCCACACAGCGACCTTTGAAAGCTAGCACGGCTTGTCACTGGCTAAATTCCAGGTTCTGTGTCTCAGTCTGGGACTATTCCTGTGACACAGCACTACTAAAGGCAGACTCCAGAGGCCCAGCAGGACAGACGGCAGCTTCTAATCAAGAGAACTATGCTTTAAGTCCAGCCCCATAGGCCCCACCTCAAGGACACCAGTTGGGAGCCAGGATGGATGTCCAGCCCCAGCTAGAAGAGGCATCACAGGTTGTTCTGAGAAAAGGTTGTCAGCAGACAAATGGCTTCCTGCCTTTGAGCTCTCCTTAGAACGAATTATAGTTTGTTGTGTTTGCAGAAAACAAATAGGAACAGTCACTTTAATCACTCACTCAGGGAAACTCAAGCAGCAGTTCATCCAAAATATATTGAGAAAAGATTCTGGGATGGCAGCTCCCACATTAAGGACGAGCTCAGTGTAGCTAAAAAACCAAAACCAAAAAAATCTGTCTGAAAATATCTGAAGCAGTGTGGGAAACAATAAAAAAGAAATATCAACTCTAAAGAAATTCACTGCAGAAGGTTATATGCCTAAGTAACATATAAAAATTGCCCCCTGCTTTGTTCATATTCGAACTCTCTCTCACAGTCCTCCTCCTCTGTACATCCTATTTCTGAAGTTTGAAAGGACTCTCTTGGGTTTTCTATGGTTTTTTTAATAGCAAAAAAAAATGTATATATATATTTTTTAGGCAGTTTCAAGTAAAGTTAGATCTGCAGCCTCACTCATCAAAGACATCATTTTTCACCAAAGAGCAGGCTTCTGGATTTGAGCTATCCTTTCTCTCCTCACTTGAGGAGTTCACCATTGCTGCTGACTCTCTAAAGGTGAGGATGCAAGTTCTGGTTACCTACAAGGGAAGTGGGAGCTGAAACTCAGAGGCTTTGTGTCTGTGTAGAGTGAGCCACACTGCTCTGCAAGGCACCCAGGGCACCCCTGCTGCCACCCATGTTCTCGAAAATAAGGAACTGTCAGTGAGTTCTTTCCATTCCCAGGGAGAGCCTTGCATAGATCTGTAGGTCTGCAGATATTGAAATGTGCTATGAATTCTGATCTTTGTGAATGTCCATCTCCTTACCAGAAATTTTGCTTCAAAGAAATCTTTCATTGTCCAGGAACTGTGCTTTATTCTCAGAAACTGTTAAATCTGGGGGACTGTGTTCCTGGCATTCCTGAGTGTCCAGTGCTACTACAGCCTTGTTGCCACCTTTGACACACCATCTGGCCTACTTAATCCACCCAACCTCAAAAGACAGAGAAACATGTCTATACGGACATGTAAGGGACGAGGCCTTCAGACAGGCAAAACGTGGTATCCAACAATGCTGGTAACTTCCTTGCCTCCAAGCCTCCTTATGGCCCATGAAGCACTAAAATGTGATAGAGCAAGAATAGGACATCACTAAAGGAGGCTGCTTTTCACATCACCATTTCACAAGATTCACTCTGTGCTTCACCCAGTATCATAGTTTCCTCCCTCCCTCACCATGTCCACTTCAGGCATTTCACTATCTGCTTGCTCATCTTCCGTGCCATTCACTTTTTTTTTTTCTTCCTAGTAACTTCTAGGGTTTTATTTCTTTTTATTTTCTCAGTGTTTCTGGTATTTTTTATATTAATAAAAAAAGAGGCAACTAAAAGGCACTAAAGAAAAATTAGGCATTTCTGGACTCTTAGGCCAGGCACGGTGGCTCATGTCTATAATCCAGGCACTTTGGGAGGCCGAGGTGGGTGGATCACCTGAGGTTAGGAGCTCAAGATGAGCATGGCCAACATGGTGAAATCCCGTCTGTACTAAAAATACAAAAATTAGCCAGGTGTGGTAACACACTCCTGTAGTCCCAGCTACTCAGGATGCTGAGGCAAGAGAATCACTTGAACCCAGGAGGCAGAGGTTATAATGAGCCAAGTGGTACAAGATACCACTGTACTCCAACCTGGGCAACAGACTGAGACTCTGTCAAAAAAAAAAAAGAAAGAAAGAAAGAAGGAAGGAAGGAAGGAAGGAAGGAAGGAAGGAAGGAAGGAAGGAAGGAAGGAAGGAAAGGAAAAAGAAAAATTAGAACAGAATTTTTCCACTTTTTAAAATATTAGTGTATTTTCTGCTAATATCTTTCTATGCATCTGTGTTAGATTGTTAGATAGTGATAATATTGCACCTCAATTTTCAAACCATGTTTTTTGCTAGTAATGTATAATACCAAAGTACTTAGCCTTGGAGTTTCTGAACTTTTTTTTTTTTTTTTTTGAGATGGAGTCTGGCTCTGTCACCCAGGCTGGAGTGCAGTGGCATAAGTTGGCTCACTGCAACCTCCACCTCCTGGGTTCAAGCAATTTTCCTGCATCAACCTCCCAAGCAGCTGGGATTACAGGCACCTGCAACCATGCTCAGCTAATTTTTGTATTTTTAGTAGAGACGGGGTTTCACCATGTTGGCCAGGCTAGTCTCGAACTCCTGACCTCAAGTGATCTGCCCACCTTGGCCTCCCAAAGTGCTGGGATTAGAGGGGTGAGCTACTGTGCCCGGCTTTTTTTTTTTTTTAAGAGAGGGAACCTTACTATAGTGCTTAGGCTGGTCTCAAGCTCCTGGCCTCAAGTCATCCTCCTGCCTCAACCTCCCAAGTAGCTGGGACTGCAGATGCAAGCCAGCATGCCTGACCTGTTTCCGTGCACTTTTATACGACCGTATAACATCTCATCAAGTGGATGTCTCCAAAGTGATTTAATCAAATTTTCAATGATGTTATGTTTCTAACTTATTGTTATAAATAACTCTAGGACAATCACTTTTGTGAATTTAGTGTTTTACATATTTTAGATTTTTCCAGAAGGTGGTGTCCAATAAAAAAGTGGTCATATGACATGAAAGTATTTGTGGATATAGATTAATAGTGCCAAGTTGCTTTATGTTGACAGACATGAAATATTTCCTTAAAGTCAAAAGTTTATTTCTGCTTTCTAATTTAAACTATTCCTGTCAAGAAGTTTTCCAATATGTTATCCAGATGACTTCAATCAACCATTAATCTTTATTCACTGTAGGTGAAATATACTTGTAGGCAAAATTCTGAAATGAACAAGACAAAAAAGGCTGTGGATAAAATATATCCTTCAAGTAACCCATTGCCCCCTGAGACAGACACCATACTTTCAGGCCTCCACAGTCTAGGCTGACAGTGAGAGAAGACTCTCCCAGAAGTTCTAAAAATTGTGTCTCCACTTTACACCCAAACAGAGACGTGGAGAAATTGTCAACCTTTGTCTTGGAGCCCAATATAATCTGCCAACAAGTTCAGCTGCCACGCCAACAAAAAATCTAGGGAGGACCAAGAATGGAAAATAATTTTAGGACACGTTGGGCATGTTTCTAATGGGCATTTCATCTGTAGAAGTAACCAACATCTATGGATGGAAAACACCACACCACCAAAGGGAAAGCCGTTCAGAGAAGACCTTTCTTAAATCAAAGCTACTGAGACATTAACCAGGCCAATCTGTCCAAGATAACCCTTACTCTGTCTTCAGCCCCAGGTACCTCTAGGTTTATGCCTTTTCACCAATAACGGGCACATCTATTGTAGCATAATGTATTGATAACTTTTGTCACCAGGTCCTGAGTGCCTCTTCAGTTCCTGGCACTAAGATGGAAATTTCTTATATGATACTTATAATCCTCCCAAGAAATCCAGGACAAGGGTACTTTTATTCCAAATATTAGTTGAAGAAATGAAGCTCGGAAAAGTTAAGCAACTTTCTGGGTTCACTCAACTAACAAATGACAGCCCTGAAATTGGAGACCCAGGCTGTTTGACTCTGAAGCCTAAATGTTCTGCAGCACATCACAGGGTCACAGCAACACAGAAGTCCCTTTCCTATGAAAAAAGAGAAAAAGTGACATTTCTTCACTGCTCCATCCCTGCTCTCCTTCGGAGCTGTGGATTCCCCTAGACAATTGGTCCTTGTTTTTCAACTGTATTGTTTGTATCTCTATGACCAATTATCAGGGTATTGAAAAGCAGTTAATTAGAATACTAGAAGAGGACTTGGAGAAGTAATTAAAACAGGCCTACTCAAGTTCTCTAAAGCCAATAAATGTTTGAAAAGCAGTTCATCAGATTGCAATGTAAGAGAAAAATAAAACTGCACTAAAAATTTAATTCCCCAAATTTAATGTATCCCAGAGAGGGTTCTGAACCCTTTTCTTAATTTCTCTTTTTTTTTTTTTTTTTTGAGACGGAGTCTGGCTTTTGCCCAGCCTGGAGTGCAGTGGCGCAATCTCAGCTCACTGCAAGCTCCGCCTTCCGGGTTCACGCCATTCTCCTGCCTCAGCCTCCTGAGTAGCTGGGAGTACAGGTGCCCACCACCACCCCTGGCTAATTTTTTTGTATTTTAGTAGAGAAGGGGTTTCACCATGTTAGCCAGGATGGTCTCGATCTCCTGACCTTGTGATCCATCTGCTTCGGCCTCCCAAAGTGCTGGGATTACAGGCATGAGCCATGGTGCCGGCCTAATTTCTTTTCCTTTTTGAACTCTTAAGTACTTAACTCTCTGCTTTTGTTGAAACTGGAAACTACACTCAGAGATTATTATGGTGTGCTCAATTCACATGCTCAGCTCCAGGAAGACCTAGCCCAAGGTGGGCCATGTAAAGCCATTGATGGGCACCAGGGTCTGGTATCTCTAAGTGCCTGCCGCCCTGTGCCCTGTGAACCCAGGATGAGTGCCTGGGGCAGGCCCTCTTTTGAAAGTGCCAGGCTTGAGTCATGGCACACCTTTTCTCTGCCTGCCTTCTGCCCAACTCCTGGTTCACCTCCCAGGCCCTGCTGAGTCCCAAGCCTTCCTGAACCCCATCAATCTCCCGACACCCTGGAACCCTTTTCTTTCATGTCGTTGCCCTGGCAGTAGTTTAGATGTTCCTCTTTGACCAGTAACCCTCCAAGACTGGTCACCCCTTCAGAGGCTGGTTCCAGGCTGGCCCTGACACTCTCTGGGGGCTGCTTTCCCCATTATTCCTGCTGCTCCCCATTTCCAAAGGCTGCCCTGGCTCCCCCATCCTTGCCTTATTTCTAATGGGATCTCTGGAAGGATTCAAGCTCCTCCTCACACTCTCATTCCCTCATCTCTTCCAATAAGCTCATTCCCTGCTGTATCTCACAGGAGTCGAAGGAATGTTTTTCAAAAAAAAATTCCTGACTGGGTGGAGAATCACTAATTTCACTCATTTCCTCAGTTTCTCACCTAATTCTCAGCCCCCTTTTTCTGGTTTTCTGCTCAGCTGCCTATGAACTGTACATTCTAAATATGGCCAAGGCGAACTCTAAGATTAGACAGTTTAGTCCCTTACAACAATAACTCATAATTCGCAGACGTGTGTGGCAAAGGTGAGTGTCAATATTTTTGAGGAAAGGAACTAAGTTGCTAGAATCATTTTGATCCTCCATATAAGATGGGAGAGGACCCATCTGTCAATTATTAAATACAAGATGAGATCCATGTTAGAATGGTTAGAAGAAGCTACTAACCATCAATGCTGGATGAAGGAAGAAGAGATGCAGATATCCAAGCATTATCAGGAAACTTCTTGCCAAATTGAAAACTTGCAAGATACAAAAACTTATCACTGAGTCTGATGGTCAGACAAGATGACTAATCCCAAGAGTGTATGATTTGACAAAGCCCTGGCTTTTGCAGTCATATCTTACCACCTCTCATAGCTCACACAGACTTCCACCTTAGGCTCAATCAACACAACTGTCTTGTGATAGTGCTGGTTACCAAGCAGCCAAAGGCATTTGTTTCCGGGTCCAACCTTTGATTCTGGCATGGCAGAACCAACCAGAACTGTGTGGACATTTTTAAGTATAAACTGGCCATGCTCCACATCACAGCTTTCCCAGGTCACAGGAGAAAGCTGAAATCGTCTGGTGAAACTCTTCACGCACAGGCAAGAAAGCTTATTCTTCTTGCCTCCATAATGCCCTCCAACCCTATCCCCCACCCTGCAACACATATACACGCACACACAACTTATCAGGGAAGCCTAAAATAAAACAAATGTGAGCCCTGCTTAAGATACTGCATCTTCAGTTCTATGTCGCTGGTGTGCATTCAAAGCCTAACAGAAGCCCTTGGTTAAGGTTCAATGAGCCAGGGAGATCTACATAGGCTCTATCACCCTTGTGATCTCAGAAGAGCAATTGTTAAGTGGATGTAGACAGGGCTCTAGTATCAGTTTCTCTCTCATTTATGCTCAGGGCAAATGTTGTTTCCTTTGCCAACCAGTGGCTTTTTCATGCATCTCCATAAATGAGGATAGCTCAATTTGTCTTAAATCAAGCTCATCAGCAGAAATGACTTTCTAACCCACATTTTCTCTAAACCTTCTTTTCTAGAATCCCTTCCTTCTTTCTTTCCTTCCTTCCTTCCTTCCTTCCTTCCTTCCTTTCTTCCTTCCTTCGAGACAGAGTCTCACTTTGTTTCCCAGGCTGGAGTGCAGTGGTTCATAGCTCACTGTAGCCTCGAACTCCTGGGATCAAGCAATCCTCCTGTCACAGCCTCTCAAGTAGCTAGAGTAGCTAGGATTACAGGCACACGCCACCATGCCTGCTAATTTTTGTAGTTTTTGTACAGATGGAGTCTTGTTATGTTGCCCAGGTGGCCTTGAACGTCTGGCCTCAAGTGATCCTCTCACATCAGCCTCTCAAATCACTGGAACTGTTTAATTTCTTTATAGCACTTATACAATGTCTATCTGTGAATCTATTTGCTAATTCGCATATGAATTGACCATTTTCCTCACTAGACTATAGTCCCCATGAGGGTGCTGAGAGTGACTATTTAGTTCATCACTAGCATGATACTAGATACCTAGTAAACACCAAATACTTTGCTGAACATTTGCTGAATTTAGGGCTTCTAATCACCCTTACTAGTTATAAACTTTTTAACAATTCTAACTTTCAATATAATTGACTTATTTCACCCCAGAGAGAAGAAAGAATACTTCGCAAGGCAATTAGACCAGGGGATCCACTTCCTGGTACATTTATCACACAATTATATTTAACAATTATACTCATGAGCAATGTAAACAATCAGATTTAAGATATATGTGTTTGCCCAAGAGATGTATAAAGATTGTTCAGTAACGAAGGAGGGACACACAGTAAAAGAAGAGCAGTCCTGCCCTCAAGGAGCTTATAATTTAGTGAAGGAGACAGATGCATGTTGTAGAAATTCATGAAGGTAAAATAAGATAGTGCATCAGAGCATTGTTGTGGGAGAACAAGCCAAACTGGGAGAAGGGGGAATCTGAGAAGGCTTCATGCAGGAAGCTGGTTTTGGAGTGACACTTAAAGGCAGAAAGGATTTAGTACACAACAAGGGGGGTGAGAGAAAGAAAGAGGGGGCAGAAAATGTCAGGGATGGACAGCATGAGCCACAAAAGGCAGGCACTGATATGGAAACGTTTGTTAATGAACAAAGTGGTCTTCTCCATTATGGTCTGAAATGCATCAATCAGCAAATACACAACCTCCACCTAGATTTTGACTATCTACTCCTCCTTTTTCAGAAATGTCCTCAATCCTCTTAACCTTTGGGGGAAAGGGAGATTTCAATAAGAAATATATTTGCAATTATCTTTTATTGGTTCAGTTTTAGGCCACCTACTTTAAATGTAGAAGAAAGAAACTGAGCTTTCCTTTTGTAGCTTTGAAAACAGCTTTTCATTCTTCTTCTCGCAAGCCCTCATGCATATTTTCTGAACCACATTCCCTCATAGTGTCTATTATGTATTTAGGAAATGAAGCAAATTTTCACCTTAGTGGAAGACACACATAATTAGCAAGGCCTATCTGTCCTCAGATGCACCCATGGTTTGGACATGGCTTGATTCTCTTTTGATCATATCCATCCTGTAAATTTGAGGCTCTTAGATAGAGGACCTCTCACCTATCTTCCTGGGAAGCTTACATAGAGCTGAGCCCTTTTAAATGCTCACAACACCCTCAGCCCCTTGGCAGGCACTTTATCCATCTCCAATCTGTAAAGGAAAACCCTCCCCTTAATACCTAGAAACAAAGAATTTGAGTTGAAAACTTAGCTGAAAGCTCAGGTATTTTGTGTCTTCTTTTAAAGCAAAAGAGATATAAGTAAACAAATACAGTTGAAACTTTATTCAGAGATAGAAATTCTTAAGAAGGAATCAGATAAGCTGACAGAAAATATACTTTGCAATACACTGGTTCCCTGAGCAAACAGCTAACTCAACAAAGAATATAGAAGTTACCATTTTTCAGCCAACAAGAAATTATACTTTTGTCCACACACTTCTGATTTTTTGACCACACTTATTGGAAAAACTGATCCCAAGTAAAACAGTGAAATTGGGTAATTTTTGTTCTTTGGAGCCCTATATTTTCTACTAAAACCCTGGGCATTACCTCTCCTCATCTTTATGTCTATCTTATTCCCTAACAAGTCTTACTCTCCCTGTGTCCCAGTTTCTCTCAGCATCATATCACACAGAGTTAAAAAAAATTCCTAAGTACCCCTTCTAGCTCTAAGAAATCTTTCACCCCCTTTGAAAATTTTCCATTATTTGTACCAAAAAGTAATTCTCCTTCTCACTCTAATAGGTAGTTGCCACTTTTATGTCACAGCATTTCAGGTTTTGATTATAGTTATTAATTTAGCTCCTCCCTCTCCATAATAAATTATAGGCAGCCTGGACAGGAACTATGTCTAATTCTTGTCAGTTTCTCCCACCGTTCTTAGCAAGCGTGCTCTCTAGATGCGTCTTTGAAAGAATAAATGATGTTGTGGACAGCTGGGTTTGCCTGGCTCCCAGACTCCCATGTCTGTCTGCCTTCCTCAAAGCCTGCCACTTCCATTTCAAGATCCACGTCATTCTGAAAAGTTGACTCTGTCTCAACTCCAAGGATGGGATTCTTGACTTGGGCTATGTTAAATGGAGTAGTGCATTTCACCCCCGCCTCACCCCTAATCACAATTACTAGTTTGGGCTGCACATAAGGCTTATGGTGGTTTAATCAGAATGAATTTCAGGACTCGTTTCAGGAAGGGTGTCAAAGGCAAATTCTCTTGTTTTAGGTAGTGGAATGTGTGCATTGGCGGCCTACAAATGCTGCCACCATGTTATTAACATAACAGAGGTCAATATTTAAACTAATACTCACCTCCTGACGCTAATACCTGCTGGCCACAGTCTTCTAGGGATCTGGTAGAAGAACAGTGTTTTAATATGAAAGGAAACAAACAAAATTTCCTATCAAATTTTGAACCCATCAAAGCCTGACAACCAAAAAAGCTAAATTAGAGATCTATGCAGTTTGCATTATCAAAATGCCATTGTTTCTTCATCTGTAATATGGAACTAACATTGCGATAAACTAAGTAAAGCACCCAGCGTAAGACTGGATGCTGAACAATCACTCCATAAACATCATGTTTCCTTTCCTTTTCCTCCTCATCTAAAGGTTTGGTTTTTTTTAAAGGAGGAAAAAAAACACTATTTAAAGGAGAAAATAGACTGGGCACAGTGGTCCCCAGCACTTTGGGAGGCCGAGGTGGGAGGATTGCCCAAGGCCAGGAGTTCCAGACTGGCCTGGGCAACATAGTAAGATCCTTTCTCTACAGAAATAAATTGTAAACAAGAATTAGACACGTTTGGTGGCTCACACCTATAGTCCCAGATACTCAGGAGGCTGAGGCAGGTGAAGTGCTTGAGCCTAAGGAGTTCAAGGCTGCAGTGCGCTGTGATCATGCCACTGCACTCCAGCCTGGGCAACAGAGTGAGACTCTGTCTCTAAAACACAATCAAATAAGATAAATAATAAATAAAAAACTTTAAAACCACTAACATATATCAATAGCCAACAATTCTTGTTAATAATAAATAAAAAACTTTAAAACCAGTAACATATATTAATAGCCAACAATTCTTGTTATAACATGTTTTGCAGAATTCAGGATAAAGACAAATAATATCCAGAAAAGAAATGCTATTTTCTAACTTTCATGAAGATAAAACTAACCCAAATCAGGACTCATAGGGTTTTTTGAAACTCCTAATGCTTGAGACACAGATGAATGGGAAGCCATTGCAAAGAACATAATAGCTTACATCCTGTTTCCACACATCAAAGTAACTGCCATGGCGTAACAGTGCTTGCTACACGAATGGCATATGAAAACAACATGAAGAAAAATAAACATGTTTTTGGACCATATCTTTACAGTAAAACATATTCATTGGAAAGTGAGGACAATGGAAGGGAAGAAATTTCAATTGGCTTTCTTCAAGGTTATTTAGATAAATTGAAATTAGTTTGACTTCTTTTTGGGTTATTCTTTAACTTAAATTGTCCAAGAAGTTAGGTAAACGACCACTAGTAACAAGAGTCCCAAGTTATTCAAAAATCCTTTTATAAACCCAATACTCTAGAACCTAGTGGGCCGTATGGCTGCATAGTAACTATCCTCTGCCATCTTATTTCTATGTTATTGCAATGTGAAGAACACCCATGCTATTATTATTCCCAAACTCTTCCAGAACTGTATAAAGAAATATAGTTCTTTAGGTCCAAGTTCACTGGCTAGTTCCAGTAGCAAAATTATAGACTCTCACACCTTCGATTACCATGATTAAACATAGTAATTGAAATAAGAGAAGAGAAAAATATACAGAGTCTGCATCCCAGTCCCTGTAAATCTCTTCACTTCAAAGTACTAGTCCCTGCAGCTTTACAGAGGATAATAATAACACGTGTTTCCACACTCACAGGCTCTCAAGAGAATAAAAAGAGATGGCACTAACACTTGCCACCCAAACATTCTTTACTACATCTCAGAGAAAAATCTAAAAACTCAAGTATATGGGTAAGAGGACGGGACATGATGAAAAAAAAAAAGATAAGTGAAAAATAATAGAAAAACCATTGGCTTCATAGCCAAACCAAACTATGTGAATTCTGATCTTATTACCATTTCATCCTTAAGCAATGTATTTAATCTTCCTGAGTTCAGTTTTGTTTACATAATGGGGATTGCTCAATCAATACTGCAGTATTGTTGTAAGGTTTAAAGGAGATGACAAACAGATATAAAGGATTTAGTGTAGATTCTTCCATTAGAAGGTTCTCAATATGTGGCAACTAAAATTACACAGGAGAGAAATAACGTCTCAGTCACGTAAATATATAACTGATGGGTATTCTGCAGAATGAACTGGAGGCTTTTTCACAGCAACTTTAAAGACATAGTATCTTTAAAGTGGCAGAACAATTGCAGATATAGAGTCTGAGAATTTTAATTGAGTAATACCATTCAAGGCAGACAAGTATAGCTTTGGAAGCATGAGGAACACAGAAAAGAATTAGAAGAATCTATACACAGAGAAGCAAAATAATTCTGAATAACACCAATCAGATTTGGATACATTGACTAAAGTGTTTTAACAGTTTATTCATAGGAAAGCATTATAAATTAACATCAGGCCAGGCACAGTGGCTCACATCTGTAACTGCAGCACTTTGAGAGGCCAAGGTAGAAGGATTGCTTGAGCCCAGGAGTTTGAGACCAGCCTGGGTAACATAATGAGATCTCTAAGAAAATAAAAAATAACAATAAAAAATTAGCATCAGAATCTAATGGTATTTTATCTAAATTTTCTTACATGTATTTCACTTAATTGATAACACATGGTATATATTTGTGTTAGGGACACTATTTGCCCAATTCTTCATGCACTGCCTATATGAACATTTCCTGACATATAACTTTGCAGTTTCTTCCACTGTAGGAGCATAATGTACTTCTGGCCCTCTTGACCCTGTGTTTGGCCAGGTGACTTGCTTTGGCCCATAGACCAAAGTGGAAGTCACAATGTGCTAGCTTGTGGCTCTGGCATTAAGAGATGGTGTTTCTGTACATTCCCCTATGCCTCTATCATTACCATGAGAAAAACATGCTGGGCTAGCCCCTGGTTTTAAGAGGAAGATGAAGACACATGAAGCAAGTGAAATCATCCAGGACAGCCCAGCTAGAGTCAGCAGACACCAGACATGGAAGCAGGCCCAGCTGAGCTCTGCAGAGCCACCAAACTCAGCCTTGACCAACTGGCTGACCCTCGGCCAATACACAGGTCCATAAGGATAAATGATTGCTCTTTTGTGCTATTGAGTCTTGGGATAAACTTATTAGGTGGCATTTTGCTGGCAGTAGCTAACTAAACACAATGTTCTTCAGAGGCATCTTATGTATCTTATTTTAAAATTATTGTCCCCATCTGCTCATGCATTGCCACCAGAAGGGCAGCCACTGTTTCTCATCTTTCAGGTATCAGGTGTGCTTAAAAACAAAAGGCCTTTGATTCATGACCTGGTGTTCTTGACCTGAGGTATTACCTGGAGAAACAGAGGGGCAGGTAGTGTGAGGAGTAAATATCAGTCTAGCATCATTAGTCCAAACAGAAGCAATATTCAGTAGGCAACACTGATCACTTTATTACCCTCCTTGTCTTTGTTTCTTTCATCCTCTTTATTACTTGACCCACCCAGCCCTCAGACATACACACCCTGGGTCCCTTAATTCTTGGGTCCTCCTCCCTATACCATATACCACCGATTCAGGCCAGCCCAGGAGATATGGAGGTGAATAGTCACTGTTATCAAGGGGATCACAGGTGGGAATTTGATTGCTTCTCTCTTGCTGTGTACCAAAGGCCAGCCAGTTTCTCAGTATCCCAGGGATGCCCCCACCCACTCTCCCCCTTGGGACTTCTCTCTAGAGCAGATTCTGTCTCCCTGGGATCTGCCTTTTGGATTTTCATATTTCCCTGTTAATCAAGTAACGGGAGATGAGAAACTCAAATACCCAGGGAGAGTTACAAAGCTTCTAGCAACTTTAAAATCCTAAAGGTGCTTCCTGGACTTAGATTCCTGAATTGTTATGAAATGAAGGTATCTCCCCTGACTTTGAGGGCATCTGTCATCTATTTTTACCATACAGACAGGACTGAGTTTTCTAAACCTCCAGCACTCTGGCTGCAACAAATTAAACCTGGAAGCCGTTACTCGAGCGAATCAGTGTACTCTTTTGTCTGGAGTTTAAAACTTGCACCTCTGGCATAACCTAGGTATCTAGATCACTGCCTGTTCAAGAATGTCTAAACAGATGCAGTAGGAAGTACTCAGGGACAAGAGAGGGATACAGGCAAAGGCTGTGGGATTTCAGAGAAAGGTTGCCTCCAATTAGGAGATTCACATAAAGATACCTAGCAGTGTTTGCAACAGGCTTACATTGAGATCAGTGGCTTAAATTCGTCTGGAGAGGGAGAATCTTTCTTAAGGATTTGATTTTTAAAAGGAGGAGTTATCTCAAAGGAATGAACCTATGATGAAAAATTGACAACCCCCAGTAGTAGTGAGGCAGCTGAGTCTTCTCTATCTGTCACATCAGGTAGAAAACAGCCTGGTCAACCCACAATTCACCTGCTCCTGCCCCATGACTTGATTTTTCCACACTTACTCCCATGTAGCTCAAAGTGAGTTCATCTCTACTTTAGCAGGGCTGTAGCCAAGAAGATGCTCCCGTTAGCTGTTATTTAGGCAACACGTAGATGGATTAGTGCCACTAAATCAGTCAGTGCACTGGCAGCATCAGCATCACCAGGGCCCCACCCAGACCTGTTGAAACAGAGTCTCTGGGGTGAGGCTCAGCAATTGGGTTTTAAGAAGGCCTCCAGATGATTCCTGGTCATATTAAATTTTGAGAACCATTGATTTAGATCACCTTGAGCAAGTCACCTTTCCAGCCTTAGTGTATCTCTCTACAAAATGAAGAGATCAACTAGAATGATTTCAGTAGACCCCCGTAGCTCTGTGATTCTGTGATTTTAATTTAAGTAACATCAGTCTCTCCACTTGCTTTATTTTCTTTTTGATTCATTGATGTTGCAGAGTATAAAGGAAGATTTTGAAAGCCAGGTCACATGGTAAGTCATCCCTATTCTCACCCAAAAGAACCTAAAACACTATCAGTTACAGTAATCACACTGAGTATTTAACTAAGAAGATACAGAACTCTGATACTCAGGAGAGAAAAAATGTTGTACTGTTATATAAATAAGTAAATAGCAATCAAAATATTGTGTGTAAAATAAAAATACCCTCCTATTACTTTCTAGCTCTGTCCAGAAATAATAACCATCAGAGTTGCAATAAGCGTCCCTGGCACTCAGACTGTGGGCATTTATTTAAATACCATTTCCCACTAAAAGTACCATTTATTTATACTTATTAAAGTGAGTACAACAACAAATCAACAAATGCAAGATACAGATCTTGTGTGGAACCCAATTCAAGAAATCAACTGTAAAAATATGAGGCAATCAGGAAAATCTGAACAGTAGTTGGCTATTTGGCAATTTTAAAGAATTTTTGGGCAAGATGATAGGTTTTTCAAAAACCATCTTGTAGAGATATATACCAAAATATTTATGGATAAATGATATTACATCTGGGATTTCTGGGATTTTCTTCAAAATTATGTAGCTGCAGGGTTGGAGGGGAGACAGAGTAAATCACTCAGGGCAGCCTTGCATGGAGTCTATGTAGTTGCATGTAGCTGAGTAATGGGTACATGGGGTTTATTGCTCTCTACTGTGCTACAGATTTCAAATTTTCCATAATAACATTTTTAAATTAGTAATCTAAGAACAAAAGAGTAAGGGCAGAAAAAAAATACCCAAAAGAAAAAAAATCCAAACAATAACAAAAGATAGTTCTACTTCCATTTTCTATTATGAAGAGTGAGATGACTAAACTCAATGCCTCAAAAGGAAATGTTGCCTGTGGGGCATCCTCCAGGTCATCACGTACTCTCAGTTTCTCTACTTGCAACCCATTCTTGTTTTACTCTTTGCAGAGAGAGCTTCATGAACAGAGAATCCATGCTGTGAGAGAATGCTTACTGCGGGCGTGCAGGGAACCCGGCAGGCATTTGGCAACTGTTCATGCAATGAAAAATACTCAAAGTGGAAGAAAGAGAGGCAAGTTGACAAACAACAGACATCCTTTAGTCCCTGCTGCTGTGATCCCAGCTCTTGTATGCAATACCCAAGCCTCCCTCACCCTTGAGTACTTACCTTGGCCCATTGAGAGTCACTTTGCCATTGGAGGGAAACATCCAGTTAAGCTGCCTTTTACAGGGATTTCTTTTATCCATGTCTTTAATAAGTTGTGTGGACAACGTAAAGTGACCATGCAAAGTGAAAATTAAAACAACAATATCTTTTAATCTATAAAATTGGTGAATTAAAATATTGTGACAATCTTCAATGCTGGCAAGGCAAGGTGATGTTGCTCATTAGAGCTGAGCTTGGTACTACTTTCTAAAAGTCACTTTGGCCATATGTGGCAAGATCACTAATAGCAATCATGCTCTTTGGGGTGGTAATCCCTCTTCTAGGAATTATGAAGAGGGATACCAGCAATAGGTACAAAATACATATACTATATGCAAGAGATTTGTTAACAATAAGTTAAGTAAATTATGCTCCACTCACATAATCTACTATGCCATTAAAATGATGTTTACTAAGAATATTAAATAAAATAGAAAATTTCTGTGATAAAGAAGACAACCCTGTATGCACACTATGATCTTTACCAAATAATCCAAATATATTTATTTATTGGAAGTAACTGTACCAAATATTTAAGCATTGCTGCTTTGGGCAGGTGGATCATGAATAATTTTTATTTCTTTCTGTGTACGATGATCTCTCATTTTTCTGCAATAATAATAAGACTATTTTCATATGCTTTTCTAATATACCTTCACCATGCAAAATTATCCTATATTTCTTAGTTGCCTAATGACAGAAACAAAACAGTCTTAGATGCACTCAAAATAGGTGCTATAGCTTGTGGATATATATATAATTTTACTCGGCTTAATTAAAAATATAGTTTAATAATACCTCCATTTCAGAGTCATTTAGCACATAAATGAGATATTACATATGAAAAAACCTTCATAAGCCTTTACATACGCAGTTCGCTTTGAATGTAAAATGTTGAGAAGGCTTGAGTGAGATGTCAAACCTGAACACACATTGTAATCTATGAAATGTTGTAAAAATGGTAGCCCCTATGACTTATTTAAATGGGTGCTTTAAGGAAAGCATTTGAGCTTTGATACCTTATTGCTCTTCTACACTCTAGGTGGCTCTTACATAATGAAGCTAATAGTTATGCATGAAAGGACCCTGTCTGTACGAGGTCAGTATCCTATAAATGTCACCCTGATTTCCCTCTTGAGTTTCTTGGAGTTATGTGCCTCTTCCCAGAGGAAACCCCTGACTTTACTGTATGTACAGCATGATATTATTGCTCTCAGACAGGATGCGTACTCATTTTTCCCAGGTCTTATAAGGTCAGCTTTAGCTTTCACCACTCTCTGAACATGGCACCTTATTGGGACACCACCATTCCAGTACTTCTTCTAAAGCATAGAGGAAGAAATGTGTCTTCCTAGTACAAAAAATAAATTCAAGAACAACTCTCTGCTTAATTCAAATGCAGGCTGCTTTTGGCCAGCTTTTGCGTTTTTTTTTTTTTTTTTTTTTTTTTGCCAGCAATTTGTCAAGAGGCAGTATGAAAGAAATGCTGGCAAGACTAGAAATGCTCACAAGACCAGATTCTGAGCTGAGCTCAATGACTAGATTAGTCATTTACCTGGATTCAACCACATGTCCTCATCATGCTTCAGTATGGCCACTTATAAAATTTTATCATTACATCTGTCAGGCTGCTGTGACGGTTTCAATGAGCTAACTTCTATATCCAAAGCATCTGAGAGGTCACATACTAGCTTAGAGGTCATATACACTCCAATGTTCTCTTCAATTTAGGAAATTTCTTTAGCATCTGAAAATTTCCAAGGTCAAAATATTCACACTCTGTTTTGAGAGGCAGTCTGTGGTGTTGTTAAAAATAGTTGCTGGAAAGTCCTTTATCACATTGTGCAGAAATCTGCCTCCCGAGAAAAACCCTGTCGTAGCATTGCAATGTAATTGTTTTTCCTCTCTAGCTGGTATTTCCTTGTCAACTGAATATTCCTATTTTCTCTCTTTGCTCCCAACCTCCATCTTCCTCTGTGTCCTGTCATCCTTTCTTGTTCAGGCAAGTAACTAAAGTTTCTAGTGTAGTATATGACTATAAGCGTTGGCTCTAAAATCTTGCCTTTATTATTTACTAGCTGGGCCATCTTGGGCAATTTACTTAATGTCTCCATAATTTATTTTCCTTATCTGTAAATTGGGGTGATTATAATGTTACCCGTTTCATAAAGTTTTTGTACTTATAAAACACATCATAAGACTTGGCATAGAGTGTACACTTGATAAATGCTTATTGTTGATGAGAGTGATAAAGATAGTATGGTTTTCAGTACCTTCCTCAGAGGGCCAGGATATTTGGACACTGTAGTTCATCAATGACCTTCATAAATTATAATGCCACAACTAGAGTCATAAAAATGTTACAATCAGGGAAGCTCAGAGTACAGTGGGATATATACCACTTGATTTGAATATTAGCTATCTGAAATTGAGCAAGTTGTTTGACCTCTCTAAGCCTACATTGATAAAATGGGGATAATGGTAATAACGGTATCTACTTGTAAGGTACAAACTATGTGCAAATTACCATTCTCAGCACTAAATTTAAAAATACTTAGAATTGTCTTGGCAAGAAGTAAACATTCTATTATTATGTAGACGTTCTGGGAGGTTCAGGACCTGAGGTTACCCTGCCCCTGAGAAATCCCACAAGGCTCTGACTACAGTTCTGTCTGGCTCCACCACCAGACACTTTTTAACAGGAAGGAGGTAAAGGGGAGGAGAAGAGGGTCAGGGAAGCTCTGGAGGGAAAGGGAAAGAGGAAGAGGCAGTGGGCGTGGAAGAGAAGAAAACGTACCAGCTGGGTGGGTGGTTGCTCTCAGGAGAGAGAAGAGGGAAAGCCACCATCTCAAGAAGGGGCAGTTCTTATTTTCCTTTGTCCATGCCCAGGCTATTTGCAAGGGTCTCTGGTCAATCATTACGATTTATATGAAAAGAAAATGTATGTGAAAAAGCGTCCTACAAAATTCACGCTGTCACTTGCATATAGAGAGGCAATGATATGGAGAACAAAGGATGTGAACTTTGGTATCAACACATTTTCCTTTTGTATAGTCACATTTTCATGACACCCATCATGAAACCTCTCCATTTGAGTACTAGGTTCAGCTGAGCCTCTGCCAAGTGTGGCCTTTGTTTGGCTAGAATCCTCTTAAAAGTTATTTTTGCCATTGATTTGTGAATTCTTTAACGCTTCCAGATGAGCGGAAGGAACTATGGTGGGGGGTCAGGGAAGATATTCCCACTTCCTCCTGGTACTCACAGAAATCTGCAGGGTGGAAAAAAGCTCTTCACTGGGAGTGTTAAACCTCAAGCCTTCTTCTTGAATCTGGATAAATGCTTTTACAAATATTTTGCTGTTTAAAGTTCACTAAAACAACAGAGTACAACAGTGCTCTGAATTTTGGAAGTTCATCTATCCCAAACCAGTGATTCTCAATCTGGTTTTTAAATGCTCTCCAAGTATTTCTCAATCTATTGACAGACTTGCACCATCTTGTCCCTTCTATGCATCCGTAGAGTCCCTGGCCACAAAGGTTAGCGTTAGACGCCATGAATAATAAGAGCTGTTACTGTGACACCTGCAGGTAGAACTGAAGAGAAGCCATTATTTTTGTGTGTGTGTAAACACCATGCAGGCCCGAGAGCTTCTGGAGGAAGAAGACCTGTAGTTCGCCAGTGGGTCTCAGGCTTCTTCTAAACCACCCTCATTGGAGCAAAGCAGCTGCCCTCTTTAGTGGTAGTTTCCAAAGATTCTCGCATTTCCTGATTTCTGGAACAGGAGCAGCAGCTTTTTCTGGTCTTTCCTCTCTCAGCCCGTTCAGTGCTGTCGCAGCCTCTGATTCCCTACATTAGACCCCTTCCTGTTTCAAATACCTGGAGTGGTTTCAGTTTTCTCATGGCATCCGGATTGATGCATCAACTGTGGCTGCCCTATAGAATTGCCTGGGAAGCTTTTGCAAAATAGTGACACGTGGTTCTCACTTATGGGAATACCGTATAGCTGTCTATATTTTTTATTGCTCTCCAAATATTTTCAATAGGCATCCCAGAATGAAAACCATTTTCTTAATTGCAAATTTGAATTTTCAGCCTCAGGCTTTGGTATCTTTTCCCTCAGACCCCCATCTCATTGTCACTTCAAATCAGGTTTACCAAGTCAGAGAACTCACTTTATTTCTTGCCCTCAATATGTTTTCTCAACATATTGAGAAGAGGCCAGCAAGCAATTTCCAATGTAAAAACCCTAGATTTGCAGATGTACTTTCCTTCAGACAATTAGCATAAGCCAGAATCCAACTGATATATCGCAGTCCCCAGAATTTCCTTTCTCTACTGAGGTTATAGAAATAATATTATAAATGGAGAATACATTCTCTAGATGTATTTATGCTGTGATGTAAATAATTTATCAGTGATATAGGTTTTACCATTTAGTCTGGTGATCAAACCAACATTTAGAGTATTATTTTCTATGGCAGAATATTCTTCAAAAGAGCAAACACATGAATTGTGGACTGCCCATCTGAAGTCAGTAAAAATTCCTAAAGTTGCAGATTGAGGCCTGCATTCTGTTCAGAGCTTTAATAGAATGTTTTAAATTTAACATATTTTAATTGTCTTCAATATCAAAGTAAGCTTTCCTTGGGTTTTTAGAGAAATATCTAAATAATACCAGGGTTACATTCAACTATACATATATTTATTCATTTAATAAGTATTATTAGAGTGGCTATTGCATACTAAGTATTGGGCTTGTCACTGAGCACATAGCAATAACTCTGATGTGGAATTTGAGGCAGAGTCAGTTAGTGTTGACCTCGGTTCACAGTGGAAAGTACCCTAAAATGCGAAAAATCATTTTTTAAACATCTTTTAAAAACTCATGGATGAGTTAAAAATAAGTAGAAAGTCTTAGTAGAAAAGAATAATTTCATAATACATAAATCAAGAAAGGTAAGCGAGTAAATGAGTATAAAAGCAGAGGCAGCTCTGAAGTTATTCATCAATGCTGGAGACTTAGATCTTTCCTGTTAACAGACCCATATACACAGCACAACAGGGACAAAGCCTGGGCCCCATATAAGGTGTAAAGTCAGATTGGACTCGACCACACTGATATGATTTAGCTGTGTCCCCATTCAAATCTCATCTTGAACTGTAATCCCTACAATCCCCATGTGTCATGGGAGGGACTCAGTGGGAGGTAATTGAATCATGGGGGTGGTTTCCCCCATGCTGTTCCCATGATAGTGAGTGAGTTCTCACAAGATCTGATGGTTTTATAAGCATCTGGCATTTCCCCTACTGGGTCTCATTCTCTCTCCTGCCACCCTGTGAAGAGGTGCCTTCTGCCACGATTGTAAGTCTCCTGAGGCCTCCCCAGCCATGCGGAACTGTGAGTTAATTAAACTTCTTTCCTTTATAAATTAACCAGTCTCAGGTGTTTCTTCATAGCAGCATGAGAACAGACTAACACACACACAAAGCTACAACCTAAGAAAAGGAAAACACTTGGAAAAAAAAAAATCAACTCCAGAGAAAGACACAGTCTACTTACTTGTCCTAGTTTTAGCTTTGGGTGGAAAAGAAAAAATATATTCTCCCCACAAAAATTCATAACCATAAGACAGCTTTGTCAGAGTTTGGACAAAGGAATCTATACTATCAGTGGGTCTCAAAAAATCCCATGTTGAAAATTTAGTTTGAAATGGCCCAGGGTTTCTGGGTATCTGGCAGAAGGTAACTAGCAATAGCAAATGCCAATGCAAACGTACATATATAAAATAATGTAATATATTAAAAGTAAGTGATTTTTTAAAATGTATAGGCATTTTGAAAAATAACCAAAAATTACTTTTCGAAAGTTGTATTTTTGAAAGTGAAAAATATACTAATAGAACCAGAAAGAGAAAATAAAAATTGGTGAACCATATAATAGAGATGAAAAAAATTGCTCAGAATGCAACACAAAAAGAAAATAAGAGCAAATACACTGTGCAAGCTTCTTAGCACTTTACACATATTTCATCTTGCAATCTTTACAACAATCCTATGAAGTAGATACTATTGCTCCCTCCATTTTAGAACTGAGGGAACTGAGGCACAGAAAGCTTAAGAAACTTTCTTGAATTTATATACCAACTAAGAGTTAAAGGCATCATTTCAACCCAGAGTTTGGATTCAATTCTGTTTCTTAGCAACTATGCTATGTTCCTGTAAGAAAAATGAAAATTACAAAAAGGAAGTCACATGGAGGTTAAATTTGTTCCAGAGTAGAAGATAAAGAGAGCCAAGTGAAGGCAGTTTTTTTGAGAGATAATAGCTGAGAAATTTCCAGAATTGATGAAAAACATCAATCATCAGATTCAGTAAGGCCAAAAGTTCTTAAGCAGGGTGAATAAAAAGAAATCATACCTAGACACAGCATAGTGAAACCACAGAATACTAAGGAAAAAGAAGCTGATATTAAAGGCAGCCAATTAGAGAAGACAGACCACTAAAAAAAATCCTCTACACAGACAAACAGCTTCTTAAAAGTGGCAGTGGAAGCAGGAAGACAGTCGACTACTATCTTTAAAAAAATGAGTGAAAATAATAATCAACCTACAATGTGTACACAGTAAAATTCTTTGAAGAATGTGAGCAAAATAAAGACCTTTTATACAAATGAAAATTGAAAGATAATACTACCGGTTTACCCTTACTAAAGGTACATATGGAGGATACATTTGAAAAACAATGAAAGTTACACAGGAAGGAAAATCAAATAATAAAGGAAGAAATGTTACCTCAAAACACTGTAAATATGTGGGTAAACATATTTTATATGAATCAACAATATCTGATTTATCAGTTTAAAATACTAGAAAATACTAAAATACTAGGCAACAATATTATATGACTTTGGGGGGACTTTTTTTTTTAATTTTTATTTTATTTATTTTTTTTTTTGAATTGAACTGGGTTTTAATTTTTTATTTTTTTATTTTTTTATTTTTATTTATTTATTTATTTATTTTTTATTATACTTTAAGTTTTAGGGTACATGTGCACATTGTGCAGGTTAGTTACATATGTATACATGTGCCATGCTGGTGTGCTGCACCCACTAACTCGTCATCTAGCATTAGGTATATCTCCCAGTGCTATCCCTCCCCACTCCTGGGGGGACTTTCTGTCTATGTGTTCCGAGATATGTGTATTGTTTGAGAAGAAAGTAAGATTATTTAACTTCCGTTTTCTTAAACTAATGTGAAAATTTGTATTTGACAGCAATAAAAGAGTAAAAATAGAGTGTATATCTTCCGAACTAGTAAAGGTAAAAAAACGAAGTGAAGAAGAAAAAAGTTTACTTGATTAAAAAAGAAATGAAGGAAGGAGGAAAGGAAGGAAGGAAAAAAAGACAGAAGGGAGGAAGGGAGAAAAGGAGGGAAAAGGGAAGAAGAAAGGAGAGAAAAATAAAACCTAAAACAATATTGACAAATAGTAAACAAAAAACTAAAAGGCAGAAATAGATGTACATTTTATCAATATATAATTTGTGTACCAAACTCTACAGTTAAAAATGAGATTTTTAAAATCAGACTTTATGTCTAAAAATTACTTAGAAGGCCATTATTTAGACATGTTTTAAATAAGATGACTTGGAAAGTTTTGAAAGAAAAAAATCTTAAAAAGTTATGTCTGACAAAACACAAACCAAACAAGAAAGAAATTGGTATGTCTATGTCATTATTACAAAACAAGCCTTAAACCATGTAGGTTGCTGCAACAGAAAGAAGTACAGCCTGTTGAAAGGGAAAAGGGAGGAGCTCCTTATTCTTCCTGGAAAGGTTAGGAAAGCATTGAAATAAGTTTGAGAGGAAAAAAGAAAATAAACATTTACCTAATGATTTTCGAGCAGCTGCTGAATCCTAACCTGAACCTAGATTTATTTGCATTTTCTCCATTTAATCCTCATGACAACTCTACGATATGAATTATTAGCTGCAGGTTAAGCAAGTTTTCTAAAGGCTTATGTGTGGTTGTGCAGAAAATTAAGTACAATTCCACTGAATGAGAAAACTCTCCACATGAAAACTCAGAGCCTTAAGGATTTGTGTGTAGGGTTGACAGATAAAATGCAGGATAACCAGTTAAATTTGAAATTCAGGCAAACAACAAATGATTATTTTGTATAAATACCCCATGCAATATTTGGAACATAGTTGTACTAAAAAAATATTTACCATTAATCTGAAATTCAAATTTTACTGGGAGTCCCATGTTTTCATTTTCTAAATCTGGCAAGTCTGCATAGGAAGTGAAATAGAACAGAAGACAGAATTGAGCTGAGATCTAGTGGTGCTTCTCAAAGGCCTTTCCCTGGGTCATGAAGCAAGTCTCCCTCCATTCCTCTCCCAACAACCCACTCAAACATTAAAGTCAGAAATACATGGATGACCATTTTTCTATTATGATTTATATTTCCTATTATTAATAGTTATTACTATTTTCGTAAATGAATGTACAATGAGGTACTGGAGAAAGAAAGAGACTTAGGAAAAATAATCATACATTTTCTTCTATATTCCATTTGAAGCACTTGGAAGACTTTTCTTTGCCAAATCACAACGAATCATAAGATGTATTGTCCCCAAGTTTGCAAATGGAACTACTAGGAGTATGTTCACTATAATAATGTCCTACCACAATGACATAGTTCCATGTACAATGGGGTATATGATCACTTTTCAGCATAAGCTAAGGATGCAAATCCTGTCTAGACTGGAAGAATAAAGCATCCACGCTCAGGTTAATCAGACACAATTTCCTGGGGCAGGTGAGTTTACTAGGCTGGTAGTAGGAGAAAAATATAGGTTGGACTCTTCTAAAAGAGAATACTGTTTAGTGGCGATATTAAAGATTTGAAGATTTGAAGATCTGGCTTCAAATTTCATCTTACATATATAATATACTTGTGATAATGTTGGGATATCTTCCATATTTATCCATAGAAATATGTAGGAGCTGGGTATATGGTATAAATGAATGTATAAATTGTATGACTAGGAGGTTGTTTTAATTAATTTGCATGAAAAATATCATTTGTATGTTATTTGACTATAAACATAAAATCATAACAATGTACCGTACCAGTTACCTATATATGTTTGTATTTGTTTTCCACATTTACAGAATAGGAGATTCTAGTTGAAAATTCCTTTTGCCTGAGATCAGTGGCATAGCATGTGGTAGAGGAGGTTCACAGTGAATCTCTCTCATGATATGCCTTACCTCATCTTTCTACCATCAAGCTACAGTGGAGACAATCTGACATGGTGGCGGTAGATAATCTTGGTTTTCAGGTGGGGTTATTATGCTATGCTTTGCCGAAAGAAGAATCTATAAAAAGGAAATTAGCATGCTGAGGCTCAATATGCAATGACCTTCAACACTATGGTACTGAATTGTGATTTCCACATTTAGCCTCTAATCCTAATTTTTCAAAAAAGTAAAATGTAACAAAATACACTCTGCACTAAATTCAATCTGATCACATCATTTTAGTTCGATGATTCAGAAGATAATCCAAGATCTTCTTTTGGCCCAGAACATCAATTGAATAATTTGTAAAAATTGAGGGATAAGGTATAGTGGAAAAAGTGTGAGTTTCAGCACCAGCTCTACCACAATATCTGGATGACTGAGGACAAATTGTTCACCCTCTCCAAGCTTCAGTTTAGCAAACAAGAGTTATCATTTAAGGAATAATAAAAGGAAGGGCCAAGTATGGTGCCTGATAGACTGAAGGACAGAAAAGCTATTCAATAACCACTTTGGCCTCACAAGATCCAGTTGTCACTATACAGATGGAAAAAGCAAATGGCATGAGGCCCCATGCTGATTCTCTGTCGTGTTTGGAAATAAGCATTTTTAAAAATAAGTAAATAAATAAACCCCTGAAAAAACAAAACCTCACAACATTTATATTTGCTCATATTTATATTTATTACACATATTTACTTATTCAAAGCAACTTTAAATGTGTTCAATACATTTTTAAAAATCCAAGTTCATTTGGGATCTTGTTTACTTATCATCTAGATAAAAAGTTTGCAAACTATAGCCAAAGGGCCCAATCCCACCTGCCACCTGATTTTATAAATAAAGTTTTACTGGAGCATAACTACACCTATTTGTTTTGTTTTGTTTTTTGAGTCGGAGTCTCGCTGTGTTGCCCAGGCTGGAGTGCAGTGGCACGATCTCAGCTCACTGCAAGCTCCGCCTCTTGGGTTCACACCATTCTCCTGCCTCAGCCTCCCGAGTAGGTGGGACTACAGGCGCCCGCCACCACGCCCGGCTAATTTTTTGTATTTTTAGTAGAAATGGGGTTTCACCGTGTTAGCCAGGATGGTCTTGATCTCCTGACCTCGTGATCCACCCGCCTCGGCCTCCCAAAGTGCTGGGATTACAGGTGTGAGCCACCATGCCTGGCCCACCTATGTGTTTACATATGATCTATGGCCACTCTTTCACTACATTGCCAGTTGGGTAGTCCTACTACAAACTTTATGGCCCACAGAACCACAAATATTTACTATCTGATTCTTCATAGAAAAAAAAACTGCCAATCCGTGATTCTGGATCAAAGTATGTTTTCTATTATAAGTAAAGTCAAAGCCAGGCCATTTCAACAGACAGGCAGGAATTCATTCACATGCTCTAATGGTGCCCAAAGCACAGCTCAATAAGGTGACAGCACACCAGACTGGGAGTTTCAGTGGTTAAAAGTCAGCTAGATCTGGCTTCAAATCCCACCTTATGTAGATAAGATACTTGTGACATTCTCAGAAGGATCAAAGTTTATCTTGACGTAGGATACAGAAACTGCTCAACAAATATTCAGTGTCTCAACACTTCTTCACCTTTCACAATTCAAATATATATCAGCTTTGCTCCTACATTTTCTTTTATTTCAGATGTGAGAAATTAAAAAAAGAGAGCAGCTCAAGTAAGATCACTCTAAGGCCATGACAAAGTGGTACAAAACAAGTCTATTGCAAAATTTTGTCTAAGCACAGACAAAAACAAGGTCATTGGGCCACCCATAAAATACCAAATACCCCCTTTTCTGGTTAAAATTAGTGACTGACATTTCTTTACCTAATCATAAAGTTGTCCCTGCTTTCTGACAGCATCCAATACATAGCAAATCCCCAGTTACCCAACCAAAACCCAAATCCTTCCACAGACTGTTTCTAATACTCCCTTACTAAGTTGCCTCAAGATTCCCCATGGCGTGTGTTTCCCCTCCCCGCAATGAGTCATAAGCCCTACACACAGGTTCTCGTGGCCTTTGGCTGAAAATCGTTGACTGATGGAATAGTGAGACAGGATAGTTTGTTTTTATTTATAGATGTTATAAAAACTAAAAACTGTACCATGGTGGTAGGAGGGAAGAAGGGTAATAATTTTGAATAATGCTCTGTCCTAGGCATTTTTCACACATTATTACTTTTGATCCTCACAATTTTCATTTGAGTTAGATATCACTCTCTTCCTTTTACTTACATGAGAAGCTGAGGCTTGATGAAGCTGACCAAGGCCATGCATCTGGAATATGGCAGGTGTGCTTGTTTCTTTAAAGTACTCAATAGCAGAGAGAATCATCACGGTTTTTATAAAGAAAGTCTAGGCAATAAGGAATAAACTTACTAGCCTATATTTCACCCTGTGGCATAAGCCTCCTGTATGTATCCCATGCTGCCAGGCACGGGGGCCAGGATGCACAGGGTGTCTCTGAATATCTTAGAAACTTCTCTATTCCTCCTTCTCTTAAACTTAAGCCCTCAGATCGGCTGTTAGTTATGTCCTTGGTATTGGCACTTACTATACAAGATGAGAGATAACCAGGCTCCTAACCACTAGCCTTCATAATCACCTAAAGAGATTAATCAAATCCCTCGTGCCCAGAGCCTCTTCTCAGACCACTGGATTAGAATTTGTGGAGAGACTGGTGCTGATAAGTGGTTCAGGTGATTCTGAAACAAACCCACTTTGAGAATCACTGCCTTAATGTGCCTGAGTGTCAATTTTCTTGTTGTTTATCCAAATGCCATTTGTACATTGAGACTCAGTGAAGAGTCAACCTTCTGATCTCGCCACCTTCACTGATCTCCCTCCTTCCTAAACCACCACAGCATTCAGGGTCCACATCCGTAACTCATGCCTGAGCATGGAGGCTGCTGAGACACACTTAGAGCTGGAAGTCAAAATTCACTCTCCTGACTGGCTAGGTGACCTTGAGCCTTGATTTTTCCATTTGTATTATAAGGCTTTAAAGTTTTTAAAATAAACTTTAATTGTATTAGGACATATTCTAGAAAACTAGCTACAAAACTAACTACCCACTCAGTCATTTGGTTAATGATATTTACTCAATGTTCTTTTTCCATTTATGCTAACAAAGATTATCTAATCACTCTGTTTTTCTGCAAATGTCTCCGAATTGGCCTGTTTTAGATCTGTTCCTGTGAAGAAAATTTGACGCTTAACTTGTAATTTCTCGTAATTAAGTATCTGGGAAAAAAAAACAGTAAAATAAGAATTATTACTTCTACCTCCTCTTTATAAATCATAAAGCATTTTACAAGTATAGATTTTCAGAAAGTCTTCTGATCTTGGCATTAGTTTTACATATATAAATTGTGTCCTTCTAACTAATTATAGTCTCCTGGAATGCATGGGTTATAAAAATATCTTTGAATCTCTCTGTCTCTCTCACTCTCTATCTATCTATGGTATTATAAAGATAAATTAGGTAAAATCATTTCTATTTTACTATTAAAATTTTTTCCAGAAAACGCAACTAAGAAAACCTATATATGTTTGTGTCAAATTTACTGCATCTGAAATGAGTATGAAGGGTGACTGGGGAGAGGAGAGAGAGAGTAGGCATCAAATTAATGTGACGATTGTTTAACTTTTTAAAACATTATTGCATCTCATGCCAAAATTTTAAGCAAGGCCATCACATAGCATAAAGACTGGATCCTGTTCTACAAGGAGATTACAACCAAATAATAAGATTAAACCTAAACTAAAATTATCTTTGTAAGGCAGCATAGATGTGCTATATGAGTGCCATTATACTAGATGACACAGAGAAATGAGAACAATTCCATATGTGCACATCAGTGGTCCTTGTGCTGGGCTGAATAACAAGTCGCGCTGAGGAAAATGAGGTGGTTGAATGCCAGGCATAGAGCATAACATTCCAAAGAAGGGAATTGACAATATATGTTTGCAGGAGCAACAGGTGGAGGACAGTGGGCGGTAATGCATGAAAAACACATAGCAGGGTATTCTTAGACAAGATTCCAATATGGATGCTCCTCAATTTTCAAAGGGGTTTTGTCTCTAAAAACTCATCGTAAGTTGAAAATACCATTAAATTGAAAGTGTATTTAACATACCTCACCTACCAAACATCATAGCTTAGCCTCAACTACTTTAAATATGCTTAGAAGACATCCATTAACCTACAGTTGGGCAAAATCATCTAACACAAAGCTATTTTATAATAACGTTATTATAAATGATTTTTAAGCAAAACTCAAGATTCAGAGTCTGTTTTCTACTGAGTATTGCTTTCACACTATTATAAAGTTGCAAACTTATAAGTCAACCATTGTTTATATGGGGAATTGTCTGTACTTCCAAACCAGAGGTGGCTGGAGGCCAAGGTATATGGGTAACTTATTTTTTCATGTGATTCCAAGAACAGATGCAAGAATTTATCTTTAAGGAAAAGAACAAATATTATGTAATTTCATTTATACAAGGGACCTAAAATTGTCAAATTTATAGAGACTGAAAGTAGAATAGAGATAATCAGGGGATAACCTCCACCGCCACACAGTGACAACACGGCATGTTGGCTTGTCAATATACATTTTTAAATTCAAACACTACATAAGTGTTTAAAGAGAAAGTATAGCTGAGTGACAGAAAGATGGCTGACTAGAAGCCCCTAGCACATGTCCTCACCACAAAGACAGACAAAACAATGAATAAATAACTACATTTTAATAAAAAAGGCTAAAGCAGAGTGGCGGAGTTCCTAAAAGAAGTAATAGAAACCTGAGTGAACACGGAAACTTAGGATACCCACATAGAGAACGGAAGGAAACACAAGGACTCCTACATCCCATCCCCCACCCAGGATCAGCTGGGAGCCAGGAGGAATTTCTCCCATTGTCAGAAAGGTGAGCAAGAGAACCCTAGCCAACATCATCCACACTTTGGACATCTACAGACCTTGCCAGTGGGTCTCTACAGTCCTCACAGGCATTAAGTTGAGCTGAGGGAGCTGCCTGGAGTCCACACAGCTGTGCTCTTAGCAGAGGAGTGGACACAGTGTCCCACCCCCAGTGGCCTGCATGGCTACTGTGTTATGCCATTTTGGAACTGGAACTATGTTGGAGTGTGTCTTGCTCCAGGGGCATGGAGCTATGGGTGCCTCTTCATCCCTGAAGTTAAGCTGCCACAGAACCACCCCCATTCTGTGGCCTGAAATCCCCAAGTTGAGCTGTGAGCAGCTGTTACACCCTTCCCTGGAGACCAAGCAGCAGTGGAACCACTCTACCTGCTCCTCCATCTGCCCCCTTGCCTGGAGCTAAAGCTGAAGCTGTGCAATCCCTCCTAGGGAAACCTTGCTTTGGCAGAACAGCTCCATATACATCTCCCAGTCGTGGCTGTGCCCTGCCTTCAGGGCCCTAAGCTGAGGCTGTACACTGCCTGCTGGGAAAATGGTGCCTTAGTGGAATTCCTTTATCTACCCTTCCCAGTCACTGAGCTCTAGCCTTAGGATAGAGCTGTAGTTTGGATATTTGACCCTCCAAGCCTAATGTTGAAATTTGATCCACAATGTTGGAATCCAGGCCAAACAGGAGGTGCTAAGGTCATGGGGGTGGATCCCTCATGAATGGCTTGGTGCTCTCCTCATGGTAATAAGTGAATTCTTGCTCTATTAATTCCTGTGAGAATTTCCCTGAGAGCTGGTTGTTAAAAAGAGCCTGGCACTTTCCCCATCTCTCTTGCTTCCTCTCTTGCCATGTGATCTGCACACCTGCCATGTTTCTTGTACAGGCTGCAGAACCATGAGCTAAATAAACCAATCTTCTTTATAAACTACCCAGCCTCAATATTCCTTCATTGCAACACAAATGGACTAAGACAGGGTCTGACCTGCAGCTGCACGCTCCCTGCTAGGAAAACAGTTCTTCAGCAGAACAGCTCCATCTACCTCTCCAGTTGTTGCTGCGCCCTGCCCCTTGGGGCCTGAGCTCAAGTTGCACAACCTTTCCTGGGGAAATGGTGCCTTGGTGAAGTTGCTTCATATACTTCTCCCAGTTGCTGCTGCACCCTGCCCTGAGGGGCCTAAGCCAAGGCTGTGCATTGCCTCCCAAGTAAACAGTGCCCCGGCAGAGCTGCTCCAAAAGCCCCTCCCACTTGCTGCTGCACCTGTCCCACAGGACCAATACTGAAGTTGCACACTGCTTCTCATCCCTTCCAGTTACTACTGTGCCCTGACACAGGTTTCAGAGCTGAAGCTATGCCTGACATCCCAGGGAAACAGTTCCTTGGCTGCCCAAAGCAGTCATACCTCACCAAAGTCTAAGTTGAAGCAACAACCTGCCTCCCAGGAAATGGTGCCTTGACTGTCTGAAGTGGTCATACCCTGCAGCACCTAAGCCGAAACAGTGCCCTATATCCCAAGGAAATGGTGCCCGGGTCATCCAGACTAGTCATGCCTTCCAGGACTGGCTGAAGTGGCTCATTGCCCCTTGGGAACTTTGTCTTTACAGACTTCAAGCTAAGAAGCTGCACATCTAAGGCTGAACTGACATGACACCCTACATCCAAGGGAAACAGCAGTGGCTGAGCTGAGACACCCCACATTTACAGGCAAAACAACTCCAGTATTCTGCTTCCCTGGAGTTGGACTAGCCCCCTAGAGTCTGAACTACTGAGATACCCCTCTTCCCAGGGAGTAGAGTCATTGTTGTGCTGCTTCATGCTCCCCCAGGGCCCCAACAGCTGTGCCCCACCATTCTGGGGTACTTGCTGCCACTGTACCTGCTCTCACAAGTCTGGGATGCTGCTAAGCCCCACCATCCCAGGGTCTAGACTCACCACTACAAGGTGCTTCATCCCCTTTGTCCCAAGTTGCCACTGAGGCCTATTGGTTCAGTTTACAGAAACACAGCCGTATGTGACTCCTCAAGCCCATATAACCAAGACAATCCTAAGCAAAAAGTACAAAGCTGGAGGCATCATGCTACCTGACTTCAAACTATACTACAAGGCTACAGTAACCAAAACAGCATGATACTGGTACCAAAACAGACATATAGACCAATGGAACAGAACAGAGGCCTCAGAAATAATGCCGCATATCTACAATCATCTGATCTTTGACAAACCTAACAAAAACAAACAATGAGGAAAGGATTCCCTATTTAATAAGTGGTGTTGGGAAAACTGGCTAGCCATATGCAGAAAACTGAAACTGGACCCCTTCCTTACACCTTATACAAAAATTAACTCAAGATGGTTAAAGACTTAAATATAAAGCCTAAAACCATAAAAACCCTAGAAGAAAACCTAGGCAATACTATTCAGGACATAGGCATGGGCAAAGGCTTCATGACTAAAACACCAAAAGCAATGGCAACAAAAACCAAAATTGAAAAATAGGATCTAATTAAACTAAAGAGCTTCTGCGCAGCAAAAAAATAAAACAACTGTCATCAGAGTGAAAAGACAACCTTCAGAATGGGAGAAAATTTTTGCAATCTATCCATCTGACAAAGGGCTTATATCCAGAATTTACAAGGAACTCAAACAAATTTACAAGAAAAAACAAACAACCCCATCAAAAAGTGGGCAAAGGATATGAACAAAGACTTCTCAAAAGAAGACATTTATGTGGCCATCAAACATATGAAAAAAAGCTCATCATCACTGGTCATTAGAGAAATGCAAATCAAAACCACAATGAGATACCATCCCACGCCAGTTAGAATAGTATCATTAAAAAGCCAGGAAACAACAGATGCTGGAGAGGATATGGAGAAATACGTATGCTTTTACACTGTTGGTAGGAGTGTAAATTATTTCAACCATTGTGGAAGACAGGTGTGGTGATTCCTCAAGGATCTAGAACCAGAAATGCCATTTGACCCAGCAATCTCATTACTGGGTATATACCCAAAGGATTATAAATCATTCTACTATAAAGACACATGTACATGTATGTTTATTGCTGCACTATTCACAATAGCAAAGACTTGGATCCAACCCAAATGCCCATAAATGATAGACTGGATAAAGAAAATGTGGCACATATACACCATGGAATACTATGCAGCCATAAAAAAGGATGCGTTCATGTTTTTTGCAGGGATATGGATGAAGCTTGAAACCATCATTCTCAGCAAACTAACAGAGGAACAGAAAACCAAACACTGCATGTTCTCACTCATAAGTGGGAGTTGAACAATGAGAACACATGGACACAGGGAGGGGAACATCACACACTGGGGGCTGTTGGGGGATGGGGAGCTAGGGGAGGGATAGCGTTAGGAGAAATACCTAATATAGATAACAGGTCAATGGGTGCAGCAAACCACCATGGCACATGCATATCTATGTAACAAACTTGCATGTTCTGCACATGTATCACAGAACTTAAAGTGTAATAAAAAAAGAAAGAAAAACAGCATGCAATTCAGCCCACACAAAAAAAAGAAGTCAAAGACAGCGAGAATTCTTAAAACAGCAATAAAAAGTATAAAGTCACTCTAAAGGAATCCCCGTTAGATTAACAACACATTTCTTAAGAGAAATCTAACAGGCCAGGAGAGAATGGGATGACATATTCAAAGTGTTAAAGGGGGGGAAAAAACTCCACTCAAGACTACACCCAGAAAAGCTATCTTTCAGAAATGGAGATAAAAACATCTTTCCCAGACAAAGAAAAACTAAGAGAATTTACTACCACTCACCAGCCTTACCAAAAAATGCTCAAGGGAGTCCTACATCTAAAGCAAAACGACAATCATCACGAAAACATGCAAAAGCATAAAACTAACTTGTACAGCAGATACACAAAGGAGAAACAGAAAATAATCAAACTTTATACTACAGAAAATCATCAAACCACAATACTAAACAATAAGAGAGGAAAAAAGAACAAAGAACATACAAAACTACAATAAAACAATTAACAAAATAACAGGAGTAAGTCTTCACCTATAAATAATAACCTTGAATGTAAATGGATTAAATTCTCCACTTAAAAGATATAGACTGACTTGAACCCGGGAGGCAGAGGTTGCAGTGAGCCAAGATGGCGCCACTGCACTCCAGCCTGGGCAGCAGAGCGAGACTCTGTCTCAAAAAAAAAAAAAAAAAAAAAAAAGGATATAGACTGGGTAACTAGGTTAAAAAAAAAAAAAAAAAAGGACCCAACTATATGCTGTTCACAATAAACTTACTTCACCTGTAATAATACAGATAGACTAGAAGTGAAGAGATGAAAAAAGATATTCCATGTAAACAGAAACCAAACGTGAGCAGGAGTAACTATACTTATACAGATAAAAGAGATTTTAATCAAAATTCTAAAAAGATACAAAGAAGGTCATCATACAATGATAAAAAGGATCAATTCAGAAAGAGAACACACCAATTGCAAATATATATGACCCAACACCAGAGCACATAGATACATAAAACAAATGTAATTGAATCTAAAGGGAGAGATAGACTACAATACAGTAACACAGGAGACTTCAACACTTTGTTCTCAGCATGGCCAAATGATATAGAGCGAAAATAAACAAAGAAATATTGGATTTAAGCTGCACTTTGGATGAAATATACCTAACTGATATTTACAGAACATTTCATCTAGCGGCTGCAGAATACACTTTTTTTTTTTTCATCAACACATGAAACATTCTTCAGGATAGGTTACATGTTAGGCCACAAAACAATCCTCAACACATTTAAAAGAATTGAAATAATATCAAATATCTTTTCTTACCACGATGAAATAATCTAGAAATGAATAACAAGAGTGTATTAGGTTGCTCTTGTATTGCTATAAAAAATATCGGAGACTGGGTAATTTATAAGAAAAGAGGTTTATTTGGCTCATGGCTCTGCAGGCTCTACAGTAAGCATAGTGCCAGTATCTGCTTCTGGGGAGACCTCAGGAAGATTTTACTCACTGTGGAAGGCAAAGCAAGAGCAGGCACGTCGCACTGTGAAAGGGGAAAGGACAGGGGAAGTGCTACACACTTAAATGAGTGGATCTTGCGAAAACCCTCTCGCTATCAGGAGGACAGCACCAAGCCGTGAGGGATCTGCTCCCACGACCCAAACACCTCCCACCAGGTCTCACCTCTAACGCCGGGAATTACATCTTAACATGAGATTCGGAGGGGACATCCAAAGTATATTACAAGAGAAATGTTCAAAACCGTAAAAATGCATGGAAATTAAAAACAAAAACAAAAACAAACAAACAAAAAAACATGCTCCTGAATGACCAATTGGTCATGAAGAAATTAAGAAGGATATCTTAAAATTTCTTGAAATAAATGAAAATAGAAACCTAAAATTCCAAAATTTATGGAGCACAGCAAAAGCAGTATTAAGAGAGATGTTTGTAAAAATAAATGCCTACATCGAAAAAGTAGAAAGATTTCAAATAAACAATGTATCTCTAGGGACTAGAAAAACAAAAACAAAACAAACCCCAAATTAGAAGAAGGAAAGAAATAATAACGATCGGAGCAGAAATAAATGAAATTGAAACTGAAAAAAAATAACAAGAGAAATGAAACAAAAACTTAACTGTTTGAAAATATAAATGAAATTGACAAATGATTATCTAAACTAACCAAGAATAAAAGAGAAAATACCCAAATAAATAAAATCAGAAATGAAAAGAGACTGTACAATTAATAGCACAGAAATTTTAAAAAAAAAGGATCACTGAAGACTACCATGAACAACTGTACACCAACAAGTTGGAAAACCTAGCAAAAATGGATAAATTCATGGACACATACACCCTACCAAGACTGACTCAAGAAGAAACAAAAACTCTGAATAGACCAATTATTAATAATAAAACTGAATCCATAATTTTAAAAAAGTCTCCCATCAAAGAAAAGCCCAAGACCTCATGACTTTGCTGCTGAACCCTACCAAACATTCAGAAAATAACTAATACTATTTCTTTTCAAACTCTTCCATAAAATTGAAGAGAAGGAAAGTCTTTTAAGCTCATTCTACAAGGCCAGCATTAACCTGTTTCCAAAACCAGACAAGGATACAACCAAAAAAGAAAATTATAGGCCTATATCCCTGATGAGCACAGATGCAAAAATCCTCAACAAAATACTAGTAAATGGAATCTGGCAGCACATTAAAAAGATTATTCACCATGACCAAAAGGGATTTATCCTAAGGATAGAAGGATAGTTTGACATATGCAAATCGACAAATCTGACATATCACATCAATAGAATGAAAGACAAAAGCCATGTAATCATCTCAATAGATTCAGAAAAAGCATTTGATAAATTTCATCATAGCTTCATAAGATTACCAGGGGCCTGAGAGAAGGAAAGAATGGGGAGTAACTGTTTAATGAGTAAAGAGTTTTAGTCTGGGATAACGAAAAACTTCTGGAAATGAGTTGTAGTCCTGGTTGCACAACAAACTGAATGTATTTAAGCCACTAAGCTATCTGGTAAAATATTTAAAATGGTAAATTTTATATACTTTACCATAATAATAATTTTTAAAAGAAAGGGGAAAAGAATTGTCTTTATGGCAGACTCTCTCTTTAGTCAAGAAAGGAAAATTTTGATAAGCCCTTTAGTGGTATTAATGGAAGGTAAGTGCTACTGGTAGTTTCAGAGATGCTTCCGACCTCCATGGACCACATTTCTATTCAATGGGCCTTCCTCTTGTCAGATGACTATGACATGAACTTGTTTTTCACATCCCTAGCTGGGGCTTAACCTGTGCGGAGAAGAACCTGAAATTGTGGAAGTGAAGGCAAGGAGGAGAGAGGACTTCTGGCCAGGAAGGATGAGTGCGTCTCAGTAGCATGGCCTCAGGCCAGGGCTAAAATGAATGATGGACACCTCCAGGAAGGGAAGTGCTGATACCTCTGGAAGGCATTCTCTAACTGTCAGTTTTATATCTCTTTTTACTACATTGTAATTTTATTTATTTATTTATTTATTTATTTTCTCAAATGGAGTTTTGCTCTTGTTGCCCAGGTTGAAGTGGAATGGTGCAATCTTGGCTCACTGCAACCTCTGCCTCCTGGGTTTAAGTGATTCTCCTGCCTCAGCCCCCTGAGTAGCTGGGATTACAGGCGTGTACCACCATGCCCCAGCCAATTTTTGTATTTTTAGTAGAGACGGGGGTTCACCATATTGGCCAGGCTGGTCTCGAACTCCTGACCTCAGGTGATCCACCCACCTCCCAAAGTGCTGGGATCACAGGCGTGAGTCACCGCGCCCAGCCTACTACATAGTAGTTTTTAAAAGTTGACACGAAGCATTCAATATAGTTCATGGGCCAGCAAAGTACATCCCATGGGCTGGCCACTCGTTTTTGTAAACACAGTTTTTATCTGATCACAGCCAAGCTTATTTATTTATGCATCGTCTGTGGTTGCATTCACATTGCAATTGTAAGTTGTATCGTTGCAACAGAGATTGTTTGGCTCACAAAATCTAAAATATTTATGATCTGGTCCTTTAAGAAAAAGTTTGCTCCAAAAATAGCTTTGTCACAGATTTAAGTTTACTTGTGTTTGAGAGGGAATGGAAGGGGTCTTGACCACGTTTTGGAGTAAAGCCTTCCAGGGAAGTGCAGGGGTCATCTGAAAATGGAGCTTGGGACAGCAGTCGAAGCGAGAGGAGTGTGTGCTACCAGTCTTGAATTTGTAGAACATGCAAGCACTGCCCAGGGAGTCTCAGAAATCCTCAGAGAGGGGACTAAGCTTCCTGCCACATCCAAGTGAGACCTTGGATCATAAGACATATTCGAGCTCCCATTCATGAAGCATGTGGTCTTTGGATTATATTTGGGACTTATCTCAATCCTTAAGGAGATCCGGGAATATGTCCTCAGTAGAACTGCTAAATGTGTGAAGAAAATGGTGCTATTTAATATAGAGTGATACTGCACAGGCTCACTGTATAATTGTATCCCAAAGCAAATAGTATATTTCTATTTCCTAACAGCTTCTGAGATGAGAGGATGACAAGAGTAGAGGTGAGAGGCACTTTTTTGAATAAGGATGTCTCAGGCATGACACCAACTATATACAAAGCTACTCAGGTTTTTCATTACCATTTCTCAACATTTTAAATCTTAAATTTCCCTAAGAAGTGAATGAATCATATACTAGATATTATAGATTGGATTTCCTTTAGTGGAATTGTTCCTGGAGTGAGAACAGAGCTACAATTTGATTGATCACAAGTTATTCCCCTGCCCTGGGTAGCTGTGGGAAATTCCCAGGAAACAGTGCTCCGACTGACATCATCAATTGGGCAGGCAGTGGAGCTCAGTCTGAACTTCTTTATCAGGGAGCAGAGTGGTGCCCTAAATTCTACCAGACTTGACTTTTGGATTTCCCAGAAAAGCTACCAGTTATGCATGATGTTCCAGCTGATACTATCTTCTACCCAGTCTCAGGACACGAGGGGCTCAGATGCTGATGGCAATGCTTTTCATTAACAAAATTTCACTCTCCACTCACGCCATCCCAGAGAGTAGGTTACTAGCAACCTTGTAAAAAGTATTTCTCTCTCCTATGTTAATTAAATTCCACAAATTTCACTCTTTTTAAAAAGTGACTTAATCATCAGGAACTGCAATATTGAGTTGGCCAATTATTTTGAAATCACAGTTACATCCAATTTTGAAAAGAGAAGCCATCTTTGGACTTAGCAACTACTGCTTTTAGACCATCTGGAGTTCCAAGCCTTCACTATCTATGGTACGTAATCTCCATGATAATACCTTCATCATTTCATTCACTTATTCACTCATATAACCATTCCAAAGATGCTGGGTACTTATTATGGGTCAAACCCTGTTCTAAAATATAAAGGTAGCAAAGGCATAGTTCCTGCCCTTAAGGAAATTATGTTTTTAGGAAACAGACTATGCTTAGATTAAGTTTGATTATGACTGTCACGAATAATAACATTGTCATTCAAAATAAGATGGGACAATAACATAATTTGGAAAATACTTTGGTATAACGTATGAACTAGCTTTGAAAACACTTTGCAAAGCAATGTCTCAGAAATCTTTGATCAATTGAAAATTGTTTTCAATGTTATTACTTTGAAAGACAGCACAGACTTGCACATATTCTAACTTCTTTAAAATATTTTTAGTCTGAGTCTGAGTCAGGAAGACTGCTTGAGCCCAGGGATTTGAGACCAGCCTTGGCAACATAGTGAGACCCCCTCTCTAAAGAAAAAAAAAAAAAAAAAAGGCAGGCAGGGTGGCTCACACCTGCACTCCCAGCTATTCGGAAGGCTGAAGTGAGAGGACCACTTGATTCCAGGAGGTGAAGGCTTCAGTGAGCTGTGATTGTGCCACTGCACTCCTGCCTTGGAGACAGAGCGAGGCCCTGTCCCAAAAATATATTTTTTAACATATTATTTAACAATATATTTAACACATTATTTTAGTCACAACATGCTACGTCTCTTATAGTGCTAGCACAATGGCTTACCCATAGTAGACACCAGTAAACATTTCACAGGCTCATTGATTTTAAATTTGGAAAGCACTTTTAGAAATTAGCTAGACCTGTGGTCCTTAACTACAATTGGATTTTGGACCACTTTGAAAATCAATCCGTGTTTTTCTTATTTAAAAAAAAAAAAAAAAAAAAAAAAGTGCTGCCAGGCACAGTGGCTCATGTTTGTTATCCCAGTACTCTGAAAAGCCAAGGCAGGAGGATCACTTGTGCCCAGGAGTTTGAGACTAACCTGGGCAACATGAGCAAGACCCTGTCTCTATTTAAAAAAAAAAATTAATTAATTAGCCAGGTGTGGTGGCAAGTACCTGTAGTCTCAGCTACTGAGGAGGCTGAGATGAAAGGATCACTTGAGCCCCGGAGGTCGATGCTGCAGTCAGTGAGCCATGATTGAGTCGCTAAACTCCAGCCTGGGCAACAGAGAGAAAGGCCCTGAAGAAAGAAAGAGAGAAAGAGAGAGAGAGATGGAGGGAGGGAGGGAGGGAAGAAGGCAGGAAGGCAGGCAGGCAGGCAGGCAGGCAGGCAGGAAGGAAGGAGGGAGGGAGAGAAACACACACACGCACAAAAGGAAGAAAAGAAAAACACACACTTACATTTTTGCATGCAATTTCAGAGGATTGGTGTATCAATCTAAAGACCATCCAGGAACTCCCTTAGCTGAGCATCTCTTATCCAGTCTACAACTTCCATTTTATAATTGTTGAAAATCATTGCTAGAAGAATAGTTGGAAAATTGTGTCACCTAAGCCAAAGCTGGCTCACTTCTTGTTTTTATACAGCCTGTGAGCTACGAATGGTTTTTATAGTTTTAAATGGTTATGTAAGTACCAATATATTAGCCTCAGTTCTACCTCTTGGCTTGCAAAGCCTAAAATATTTACTATCAAGGCTTTTGTAGAAAAAGTTTGCCAACCCCTGGTCTGGAATCCTTAGACAATATTCCCCCAAATTATGCAGCCAATTACTAGAAAACAGAGGACTAGAATTCACACCACCTGATTCCTCATCCATTGGTCTTCCCATTACTTCTATTGACTGATTAAAATCCTAATTAACTGATTTAAACCCAATAAAACAGAAAACAAAGACATGTAATTCTGGAGTACTTAATAAGTAATTTCTCAGATAAGTAATTGTGCAGTTATGTAGAACGCTGAAGTCCAGAGAATTAAGTGACCTATCAAAAGTCATATAACAAATTTGTAAAAGAAACAAAATTAAATGCCTATATTCAGGTTAGGCATTACTGACTTATTGTTTAAAAACTTTGCATTATATTTCATTCCACATATTTGAAAAATATTACTTCTTGGAAGTAGAAAATACTGGTATAGAAAGTATTTTACTTAAAGTAAAATTATTTGAACAGATGTTGTTCTTTTTATTTATCTTATTTAAGAAGTTATTTTCAGATCCTTCCTGTTAAGTAGTACTTTAAAAGTGGGATGGAAAGAATTATAATTACCATTATTTCACATGTTATTTTGAATATACTTCTTTTAGAAATTTCTAAGTACTTGATTGCTTACAGATTGTTTCCTTCTATTGACTAGGGCTGCCTGAATAGTTTCAAACTCTATCTGAAAATAATGCAGTAATAGAGTTAAAGGATTTTCATAACAAAAGGAAATTAAGACATCACTTAAAAGATAAGCATTTGAATAATTATACACAAATTCAATAGTGCCAACTGCTCTAAAAAATTCTATGATATGTTTAGCTGGTTTTTTGACAGAGAGATTCTGAAATCATTTTTGTTCACATTTACCCATAAATATTAGGTTTTACTTTCAGAGCAGCATATCCTAAGCAGTAAGAATAGAACAATTCTTTCTATAAAGGAGGAGTTGTGGTCAGAGAATAAGCTTGCTTTTTAGAGCAGAACCATTTGAAGATTCTGAATTAGGACTATGCCAACAAATTAAGTGTGCTTTATTTCTATAGCACTTTCATTCATGTCTCCCCAAACCTAAGTCATCTGCACTTACCTTGAAAATCCAGATTTCTCAGTGATGGCTACAGAGATGGGCCACATGTCTGCCTTCCAAATAGGATTCTGTTTCAACAGCAGGGCAGCTGGGTCATTTCCATGCTCTGCATGCATTTGCAAAGGCTCTGGACAGCTCACCAAGCAAAAGGAAGTGAATGTGTTCTAAGTTCCTCAGAATGTCAACAGACCATAAAACCTCAAAACCATTTGAAACACAATAGTCTTGAAAAACCAAGCTCTTAAACATGAGTAGTCCAGGTTGCAAACTACAGAGAGGCCAATTGTCAAGAAATATTTATGAAGGATTGATGACTACGATGAATCAAGTTTTTAAAATGTTCTTCAAACTAAATTTTGTAGAGAATGGGGAACAAAGTGGTATTATCAAAAACAAAAAGGGAAGGTAAACTGTGTATTGTTCTTCTGGTGAAGGAATATGTGTAATATTTCCTTTCAGTAAGGAGAAAATTTCCAGAGTTGCTCTATACCTCACTGGTAACTTAGGGCTCCCACTTTTATAATTGTGTTAATTAGCTGTCACTGATAAATGGCATTGACTGGGATATGGCACTATAATTATGTCATTTAATTAGAATTAAGAGAGAAAATATTTAAAATCAGAGTGTGCTATAGGGGCAGGGGAGGGGAGTAAATCGTCACAGCTTAACTTTTTAGACTGTCAACATTATCTCCAGAAGAAGCTGCCCATACAGTCATAGAGATGCACTGCAAGTATTGAGAAAAAAAAACATCAGTTCCTCAAACTGCTTGAACTTTCCTACCATTTGATGACCACTCTATAAATTAGGATTTTATAAACTTTCTAATTATGTAAATCGGTGGTCCCCAACCTTTTTTGGCACCAGGGAAAGGTTTCATGGAAGACAATTTTTCCACAGACAGGGGTGGGGATGTTTTCTGGATGATTCAAGCACATTACATTTATTGCGCACTTTATTTCAATTGTTATTACATGATAATATATAATGAAATAATTATACAACTCATCATAATGTAGAATCAGTGGAAGCCCTGAGGTTGTTTTTCTGCAACTAGATGGTCCCATTTGGGGGTGATGGAAGACAATGATAGATCATCAGACATTAGATTCTCATAAGGAACACTGCAACCTAGATCCCTAGCATGGACAATTCAACAATAAGGTTCATGCTCCCATGAGAATCTAATGCCGCTGCTGATCTAACAGGAGGTGGAGCTCAGGCAGTAATGCAAGTGATGGGGAGCAGCTGTAAATATAGACGAAACTTTGCTGGCCCACTCGTGCACTGCTCCGCTCCTTCTGTACAGCCCAGTTCCTAACAGGCCACGAACCACTGCTGGTCTGTGGCCCAGGGGTTGAGAACTCCTGATGTAGACAGCATGTTAATATTATATAGAAATTGGTCAATTAAAAAGTACTAATTTATTAAATATCAACATTTTCAACATTCCCCTATTTTTAAAATCCATTGTGACATTTCACTATTTCAAAAAGAAATTTTAAAAGGCATCAAAATGATACTGGCCCTGGGTTCTTTCTATTTTAAGGTCCCTAAGTAGAATGATAACTTTGGTAATTTGGGGTGATTCCTGGTATTCTTTACAGTGCTAAAACACTCATTATTTTAGGCGAAATTTTTGCAGTTCTGTTTTCATCAGTATTCACATTTCTTACTCCAAACATAATGTTCTAAGTGCTTCCAACTTTGTTTCTTAGTTTGAAGAGAAGGCCTCTGCATCAGGAAACTCTTCAATTTCAGCAGATGTGCGTTCTTTCTGCCATATGAGTTAAAATGCTATCTGCTTCAAAATAACTCATGCTAGAGATATTTCAAGCTTTATTAGTTGTAGAGAAGATTGTTGCTGACAAACCCTCCTGCTGAGAGCAGCTTACAAAAATGAACAGAATGCAAAACCTATAAGTTTGAAGGCTTCAGAAAGCTGCCCAGGCAATGACACCTTGAAGAAATAAAATCCCCAGAAGACAGGAAGTACAAATCAGTGAATCTGATTTTCAACTCCTGAGTACTTTTTACTCAAGGCACTGCTGATTTGAAACTGGACACTGAGAGGTGAAGAAACAGGTGAAATACAGTGGCTAAGATGCTCAGAAGTTAAGGAAATCTAGTTTAAGAAGCAAACAGAGACCACCAAGGAGGTGGTGCCCTTATAATTACCTCAAATTTTCAGTTAGGACCCCTGAAGGGCTACACCCTAGGAGACAGCATGTGCTAAAAATATTGTACCATCACAAAGTGGGAGCCCAATTTCAAATCACCTAAATTGCTGAATTAGGTAGACAATCACTGAATAGATAGGAGATTTGCCATCGTCATAACGACCTCCTCACACACATCAAGCAAAAGTAAATACTCTCTGGAGGACGATAACACTAACCAGATCAATGAATTGACTCTCAAACTTTTTAAACACAATGTCCAAATTTCAATAACTATTAAAAGCCATGTCTGAAGATAAGTCTAGAAAAACAGACCATGAAAATAAACAGAAAATAGAAACAAATGCACAAGGGCATTCAGAATTGATTGGTTTTAAAATAGCTGTAATCAATGTTTGAAGAGAGTACACAAAATATAGAAAATTTACACTAGAGAATTTTTTTAATAAAATAGAAATTCTGAAACTGAAAAATAAAACAACTAAAGTTACTTAACTGATGAAGACTAATAGAAGATTAGACACAGAGGATGATGGAATTGAAATATAGGTCAGTAGAAAGTAGCAGATTGGGCTGGGCATGGTGGCTCACACCTGTAATCCCAGCACTTTGGGAGGCCAAGGCAGGTGGATCACCTGAGGTCAGGAGTTCAAGACCAGCCTGGCCAACATGGTGAAACCCTGTCTTTACTAAAAATACAAAAATTAGCTGGACATAGTGGTGGGTGCCTGTAATCCCAGCTACCAGGGAGGCCAAGGCAGGAGAATCGCTTGATCCCAGGAGGTAGAGGTTGCAATGAGCTAAGATCACACCATTGCACTCCAGCCTGGGTGACAAGCGCAAAACTCAGTCTCAAAAAAAAAAGAAAAAGAAAAAAAAGAAATACCAGATTGAATAATGGCAACAAAAAAAAGATAAAAATTATATAAAATCACACAAAAGTCATGAAAGACATAGGGCAAAGTTTTAACATGCCTATAATGTTGCTCTGGAAAGAAACAAGAGGAAGAATTTGGAAGAAACGATATTTTAAAGGGCAATACATTTTTTAAAAAATCATAATAAAAAAAGACATAGACTCAAGAAGCACTATGAATCCCAAAGAGAATAGAAACAACAACAAAAACTCTACCAAGGTCCAATATATGAAATAAAAAAATGAAGAAAGAAATTTTAAAATTATGTTACACGAGAAGCTGAGATGATAGGATTGCTTTCAGCCAGGAGTTTGAGACCAGCCTAAGCAACATAGTGAGACCTCCATCTCTAAAGAAAAAACAAAAACAAAACTTAAAATCTGTTCGGAGGCAAAAACTTTTAAGTGTGCAACAATAAGATTGAAGACAGCCTTTTCAACAACAGCAATGGAACCCAAAGGAAATGGAACAACATCTTCAAAATTGTAAAAGAAAATAACTGCTAATTTAGAGTTCTTTATGCAATAAAAATATCCATCATCTTGATGACACAATAATATTTTCAGACAAACTGAAACTATGATGATTTGTAACCCACCAACATGAACTAAGGGAAATGCTAAAAGGAGTGATTCCAAAAGTGCAAAGGCAATCCCAGGTGAGAGCCAGAACTGCACAAAGAAACCAAGAGCAATAGAAAGAGCAAATGTGTGGGTAAACCTATGTACATATCAAAGATTTACAATAACAATAGTAATCACCTAACAGGATTTGAAATATAGGTAGAGTCAAAATTCCTGACAATAATGGGATAAAGCATGGAGAGATATAAATTGAATTCAAGTGTTCTAAAATCTTTGCATCTTCTTGAAGGTGGTAAAAGTACTAATTAACATTAGACTTTAATCAATCAAGAATGCTCACCATCATCTTTGGAATAGTGACTAAAAAATAACAACAAAATTAGCAAGATAAAACAGGAAAAAATGGAATGAAGAAATATTATCCAAAAAAATGCCAAAAAGTACAGAAAAGACATATAGAATGAATAGATAAGTAGAAAACAAAGAGTAAGAGAGCAAATTTAAAACCCCAAATTTGATGATAATAATATGTAAATGCACTGAGCACTTACCAGATTAGACTTTAAGGCAAGAAACATTATTGGCAACAAAGAGAGGTAATTTCATAATAAAAGTGTCAATCTTTCTAAAACATTACAATTCTGAATTTGTTGCAGTTTTAGTCTCAAATATGTGAAGCAAAACAATGACATGACGAAAGGGAAAATGGACAAATTTATTATCATAGTAGAAGATTTTAACAAACCTCTCTGTGATACAACAAGCAAACAAAAATTCAATGTGAATATAGTACACTTGAACAAGGCAATCAATAAACTTGACCTAATTCATATTCCTTATACTCAGCAAATGCAGAATTCACATCATATGAACAACCTCAATTAACCCAATGGTAGATATAAAGCAAATATAACAAATATAATAAGACTGAAACTATACAGAGTATATTTTCTGATAAAAGGCACAATTAGGCTAGAAATCAGTAACAAAAAGATAATGTTAAAACCTTTATATGTTTGAAAAGTACTCAATATACTTCTAAATAAATCACAAGCTAAAATGTGAGTACAAATGAAAATTAGGAAATACTGTTATTTGAATGATAATGAAAATTCAACTTATAAAAACTTTAATATTACAATTAAGGTCATATTTAAATGCATATAGTAGAGGTGGAAAGGTGAAATGAATGAAACTCGAGGTAAGCAGCAAGAAAGAAGAAAAATCAAGCAGAAGTCAATGAAAGATAAAACAAATATATAAAAGAGAAAATAAATCTACAAGTTCATTCTTTTAAAGACTAATAAATTCAATGAATCTCTAGAAAAATAGAGAAAAAAAGAAAGAGGGCACAAAATCCAAGTATCAAGATTTTTTTAAAGAAGGGGCTTAACTACAAATCCCTCAGGTAATAAAATGCTAACAAAAAGATATCATAACAGTTTTAGAGCAATGATTTCAATAAAATGGTGAAATAATTTAAAAAGCCATAATTTATATACTATACTGCCACATGAAGAAATATATAATACAAATAGTTAATATCTAGTAAAAGAAATGAAATCTGTAACTACAACCCTTTGAAAACAAATTTCCAGGCCTAATGATTTTATGTGAATTCTTCTAAACATTTAGAAATAACATCAATTTTACATATATTATTCCAGAGCACAGAAAAAAAAGATTTCTAACTCATGTTTTGAGGTTATCGTAACTTTGATAGCAAAATCCAGTGAGGAAATTATAATAAAGGACCTAAGCAAAGTCTACTCTGATTTATATAGACACAAAACTCGTAAACAAAATATTAGCAAATAAAATCTAGTGATACATATATATAAATTATAGCTGGGCATGGTGGCTCAAGTCTGTAATGCCAGCATTTTGGGAGGTCAAAGCAAGAGCCCAGGAGTTCAACACTGCAGTGAACTATGATCAAGTCACTGCACTACAGCCTGAGCAACAGAATGAGACCTGACTCAGAAAACACACACACACACACACACACACACACACACACACACACTAAGGCATGGCATTATGGTCAGGCGAGAATTATTCCAAGAAGACAACACATGTAAAAATCAGTGAGTGCAATTCACCACCTAGGCAAAATAGAGGAGAAAAATCATAGGATCTTCTCAAACAGAGGCAGAAAAATCGTGATAAAATTCAACATCCATCCATGATTTTTTAAAAGGCACCTACAAATGAAGAATAGATGGATACATACAAAATCCTACAGCAAACGACCTGCTTTAATGGGAAAATATTGAATGCTTTCCTCCTGGTAGCAAGTATAAGTCAAGGATGCCATCTGTTGCCACTCTTACTAAAGATGTTTTATTGGATCCTAACAGAATGCAGTGAGGCAAAATAATTAATAAAAGGTATAAATATTGGAAAGAAAGAAATAACACAATCTTTATTTCCAAGGGACATTATTTTATACATATAAAATACAAAGACTCCATAGATAGACTTATAGAATAAATTTGTTAACTATTGTAAAGCCAAAAGTTACATATTAATTTTCAAAAATCAATTGCATTTCACACTTGCAACAAAGAAGCAAATAATACAATTTTTTTAAATAATACCATTTTAATTAGCATCAAAATGAAAAAACTTCAATGCCTAGGAATAAATTTAACAGTAGATAAGCAAGTCTTCAATGTAGAATAATATAAAATATTGAGAGAAATTAACAAAGATCTCAGTGGGTGGAAGACTATGCATTACTTTCACATAAAAAGGTTCAATATTGTGAAGATAGCAGTGCTTCCCCAAAACTACCTATGTTCAATATATTCCTAATAAAAACCCAAATAAATGATTTTGTGAAAATTAACAAGTAAATCCAAAAATTTATATGGCAATGTAAAGCGCCTTAAATGTCCAAGAAAATGGAAGAAAATTAAAATATTTGAAAGACTGAATTACCAGATACCAAGATTTATTTTAAAGCTAAAATTATTAAAACTGCATGGTATTAGCACAATCATAAAGAAATATAGTATAGAGTCCAGCAAATGATCCACACGCATAGATGAACACTTATTTACAAAAACGGTGGCAATGTAAAGCAGTGGGGAAGAAGAAGAGAAGAAAGAGGGAAAGAAAGAAAGACAGGGAGAGAGGGAGGGAGAGAAGGAAGGAAGGAAGGAAGGAAGGAAGGAAGGAAAGAAGGAAGGAAGTCTTTTTAATAAATGATGTTGGGTCGATTAAACATTCAAATCAGGGGGAAAAATGAATCTTGAGTTTCTACCTCACATTATTTGCAAAAAATCAGTTCCAGATAGATTGTTGACCTAAATGTGAAAAGTGAGACAATAAGGCTTCTAGAAGATAACAAAGATTATCTTCTTTACCTTGGAGTATAGGAAAAATTTTTTAAGAATACAAAACTCACTAATCACTAAAAAGGAGACTGAGTCAAACTACTTTAAAATAAGACTTTATACTCATCAAAGATATCAAGACAGTAAAAAGAGAAACCATGGAATGAAAGCAGATATTTGTAGTTCATATAACTGACCAAAGATTCATATCAAATATGTATAAATGAGAAAAAAGATAGATAATATAATAAAATTAGTACATACAAAATACCTGGATAAGCAATTTGCAAAAGAAGGTTTTCTCATAAGTACAGGCGATGTTACTCATCTAAATTAGTCACTTGGTAAATGATAATTAAAAACAGCCATGGAATACCACTAAATATATACCAAATGGCTAAAATTAAAAAAACCACAATACCAAGTATTGAGGAGGATGTGGAGCAAATAGAATTTGCATACGCTGCTAGTGGTACAGCTAAAGCTTTACTTCTCAAGCTCAACATTCCTTTGTCTCATGATGCAGCAATTTCATTATTAGATATGTACCCAACAGAAAATGCATATGTATATGTGCCAAAAATACTACAAGAATGTTCATAACAGAAAAAAGCACAGTAGTCAAAATCTGGAAATAATCCTTGATGTGGCTTAACAATAAAATGTATTCTTTTTTAAAAAAAATATGGACGCGTAGTTGCTCTTTAACAATGAAAATGAATGAAATAATGTTACATGCAAAAACATAGATGCATTTCACAAACATAGTATTGAGAAAAGAAGCCAAAAACAAAGAATTCACTGTGTGGTTACATTTATATGAAGTTTAAATACAGGGAAAACTGATCTATGATGTTGCAAGCCCTGCCAGTGGTTACCACTGAAGGCATGGGAGGAGTGGGAGCAATTAGGGGAAGAAGGGGTACTTCCCTGCTATCTCTTGATCTGGGTGGCGAGCACTCAAATGTGCTGACATTGTGATAACTCATCTGGTTGCACTCTGTGATTTGTGCATTTTTCTGTGTAAACAATATACTTAAATAATAAAAGTTCATTTTTAAATGTTCCACACTAAAAATTTACTGGTACAGGTGATTTGACACTAATTATTTTCACAGTTCCATTATTATTATCGTTATTATTTTATGATGGAGTTTTTGCTCTTGTTGCCCAGGCTGGAGTGCGATGGCGCGATCTGGGCTCACTGCAACCTCCACCTCCTGGGTTCAAGTGATTCTCCTGCCTCAGCCTCCCTAGTAGCTAGGATTACAGGCGGGTGCCACTGCACCTGGCTAATTTTTGTATTTTTAGTAAAGACGGGGTTTCACCACCTTGGCCAGGCTGGTCTCGAACTCCTGACCTTGTGATCCACCCGCCTCAGCCCACAGTTCTATTATTTCTAAATAATGATTCAGCCAACATTCTGTTTTCTCATATGAAGCTTCACATTAAGTGTCCTCCTTTTCTGAATTACCTGCATGCTAGAGCTCATTTTCCTGGGAACAATGCTAAAACATCCTCTTCCTCACTTTGAAATATATTTGTCCAATGCTTTATCTCATTGAAATAGATGCCAGAACAATTAGTTCCAAATCCATATTTAGAGCTCATTTAGAACAAATTTGCATATGGCATTTGTGAGCTTCCAGCTCTCACCTATTAAATCAACGTGCAAAGTAAACTCTGGTTGAACCCTGCTGCAGATCTTCAAAATTATCTGAATCACCTAAAAAGGATGATTTCCATTATTGGGACTCCACACAAAAAAGAGGGTGGTGATAACATGCCAAATATTTAAAGAGCAAAGGAGGGATCTGTGAAGCACAGAATCTCAGTGTTCAGAACTACTCACTGATACTGGAGATACCCCTCCAAGTACCATCCAGTCTCTAGTTGTTCATCTTCTGACAGCTCTGGCATTTAAAGTTATTTATTACTTACAAACTGAAATGTTTCCTTATACTAACGACCCACATTTTAAATTCCCATCTTATAGCCAAGGAGAAAAAAAGTTTAATCCCTTTTCTCCCTGACAGCCCTGCAGATGATTGTCTTGTACGGTCTGAGTCTTCCCTTCTCCGTGTCTGGAACTGTGATCTTCTAAAGCAATATTCACATGATGTGGTTTTGAGTTCCTCCATTCTCCCAGCCACTCTGTTTACAACATCCTTCAGTTTCCGTAAGTTCCTCTTTCTTAAAGTGTTCATCCAGAACTGCACCAAATGCCTTCAGTGTGCTCCGATTTGTGAAATAAAATTTCTCTCCTCTTATGTGGTGCTTTAAGAACTGCCTTCAAGCACAGCTTTCACCATCCTGTGATTTGGGACCCAGGAGAAGGACCTTTTATCAATCATTATTAAACTTTAGTTTGCTCCTGCCTTCTTCAGGACTTTTTAGATCCTAAGTCTGACCACTCACCTCATTCAAGATGTGAAAAACTGTCCAAAACAACAGACCTGAGGTACAAGTCCTCCACCAGCTACCTGACAGTCTCCAGTTGGGCACCAGTTCATTCACGAGTGTCCTTTGCCTGGAGGTATTCTCCAAATATCATACAGGCTGTGTTTCTGTAAGGTCAACATAGCCAGCAGCGGCCTTGCCAAATGCCTCGCTGAAAACCACATACCTGTGACTAATGAATATTGTCCATCTTCATTCTGATAACCTGTCCAAAATATCCCTTTTGCAACTGAGCTTTCCAGCCATGTGAATTAGGATGTAGATGCTGCATTCACAGTAGTACAAAGAGATTTGGAAGTTCATCTGCACTCAATTCCTCCCCTTCATCTAGTAAACTGAGTGCCTGTAGAAAGACCATATAGACTTTCTGAGCGTCATTTTGCTAATTACAACAGTGGGGTAATTGCCTATATCTCTATTATAGATTTTTTGAAAATTTCTTTGTTTTACAATTTGGTGACCTTTGTTTAAAGCAGTATTTTCTCTTTAAAGTGTTCAACAAATTTCAAACTTCACACTTCAGAATGATCTGAAACAGAGGCCACCAAACATCCCCACCAGTGCAGAGGCAAAGGTTCTTACCATTTAATGCATTCAGATACTATATTTAGTTGTAGAAACCTTTGTCACCTGTAAAGAAATATTGTGAAAAGAAATAGTGATATCATGAAGATGACGAAGATGATGATGATGATGATGATGATGATGATGATGATGATGATGATATCCTGGCTTCCACCCTGAAGTCTACACCTGGAAGACTTCTGATGTTGGAATAACTTATGTCACTTGCTTGGCTTCTCAGAGTATGAGAAATTGTATTTATACTCATGTCAGGATACTACAAGGTATTTTAGGGCAGTTGCTAGGGTGACAAACATATTTTATGGGGAATATGAATGCACCTCAAATCTGTACTTCATCTCAGCAAAGGACTAGATTCAAGTCGTGTGTAATTCTCAGGAAACAGAGTTACAGAGTATCATTTTTAAAGCAGAATGTGTTTTTCCAGAAACAAAGCAGCAGGCCCTGCTCTGTGGGAGAGAATACCCCTATAAATAGAGAAGAAATCTAATGGTATTTTGTCTTAGGCAGGAAGGCTTAGAATATCAGGGCAGAATTTCAATTTTTAATGTATTTATTCATCAATAAGTTTCAAACACACACATGTACACATATCAAATAGATCTAGTAACTGAATCACCAAACAAGAGCTTTTAATCCAGGCTAAGCCCAGTCAGCTCCCATTTATGAGCTTCAGGCATCCTAGCCACGTTTACTGGAAGAGTCTCTGACCTTTTCTTTTGACCTTAAACCTTAACTTCTTGCCTCATTGCCTACATTAGTCAGGGTTCTCTAGAGGGACAGAACTAATAAGATAGATGTATATATGAAGGGGAGTTTGTTAAGGAGTATTGACTCACACGGTCACAAGGTGAGGTCCCACAATAGGCTGTCTGCAAGCTGAGGAGCAAGGAAGCCAGTCCGAGTCCCAAAACCTCAAAAGTAGAGAAGCCCACAGTGCAGCCTTCAGTCTGTGGTCAAAGGTCCAAGAGTCCCAAAGCTGAAGAGTTTGGAGTCCAATGTTCGTGGGCAGGAAGCATCTAGCATGGGAGAAAGATGGAGGCTGGAAGACTCAACCAGTCTAGTCTTTCCATGTTCTTCTGTCTGCTTTTATTCTGGCCATGCTGGCAGCTGATTAGATGGTGCCCACCCAGACTGAGGGTGGGTCTGCCTCTCCCAGTCCACTGACTCAAATGTTAATTTCCTTTGACAACACCCTCACAGACCCACCAAGGAACAATACTTTGCATCCTTCAGTCCAATCAAGTCGACACTCAATATTAATCATCACACTGCCAAGTCTACATTTACTCAGCTCTTGACAGTTTAGCCTTAATTCCTTTTAGTGGCCCTGGGCTGCACCCTGGACTTGAAGGTAGATTTAGCTTCTTCAGTTCCAGGCAATCTCTCTCTCTGATGGAGTCCCGGCTTGGAACTCATCATCAATGATAGTTTTAACACTCACTCATTCCCTGAGAGGTTCAAAGAGAATGGCCAGCTCTTGCTTGAGAAAGATAAGAAACAGCTACACTGTGTCTTCACCTTAGTGGCTTTAAAAGAGTTTTACTCTCTTTAAAAAAAAAAAAAAAATTCTGTGGCTTACTGTTTACTTAACATCCTTCTCTTAATCCTTTATTTTGGTCCCTGAATCTTCAGAGTGTATTTCCTCCAAGGATGACTTTATCAATTCATTCAAAAATGCTTATTACACCAGGCATTGTACTTAACAGCGTAGGTCCAGAAGCTGCCTGTTAGTTTGATTCTGCCTTTGCTAGGGAACGTGTCATCTGCTTGTGCAATGTCACTCAACAGCCTCCTTGCATTTGCCAGCACTCCATTAGACACAGTCTCTTTGCCTTTGAATTCCTTCACCTTTATGCACCAGTCTCCCTCTCACACACTCTCACTTTCACTACCATTTCAACTTGCACATCAAAACCTTAAATTATCTACCATAATAAACTCAATTGTTAGATTCGATATCCATATTTTGTATACAGTTCAACAGAAAGGTGGGTCTATGAAATTAGGAACTATGATTTATCTATTTCCCTATGTTATCCTAATTTCATAGGGAATATCTGGATTATCCTAATTTCATAGGGAATTTTCTATGAAATTAGGAACGATGATTTATCTATTACTGCTTCACCAGCACTTAGCACAGTGGCACCAAACACACTGTATGTGCTCACATGTTTGCTTAGTGGGCAGATGGACAGATGCTTACTTTGTGCCAGGCAGACAGTAAGAATTTCATAATTTTTTAATATTATCCTCACAACAATTTTATGAGGGTAGGAATCATCAGTTTCGTTTTATAGATAGGGAAGCAAACTAGAAATATTGTGGTAATTTGCTCAAGGCCATTATTAACAAATACTATTATTACTTGGTATTATGTTAGTCAGATTTGCATTTATGATATTTATAATCCTATTGCTAGCGTTTATTGGATACTTATGCCTTCAACAAATATTTTCTTCCTATTATCTTATAGAGTCCTCAGGCAACCCTGCAAGATAGTACAATTATTACATTCATTGTATGTATTCTCTACGTGCAGGACAATCTAAATGAGAGCTGTTAAATGCGATCTTTTCACTTACATTTCTCTCTCCATGGCCAACCCAGGAAATGGAGCATACAAAAAAAACTTCTGCTTTCCTAGAAACAGCATTACCTAAAGAAAATTAAATCAGTTTACATCTACAGTTGCTCCTCTGGTTCTCCATTACCAGAAAGTCATCAGGATCACTAAATTGTCATCACTAAATCAATTTGAAACTTCATCTTCCATTATTGATAGGGACCAGGATGGAACCACAGGTTTTGACATGCTTTGATATTATTAAATATATGTATTTGTTTTTTCTTACACATCATATCAGTTAAATAGGAAATAAAACTGTGGTGTGTTTTATGATAGGAAAACTCAACTATGAATCAGGTTTGTCTAATTTCCTCATTCTTCATTTAAATGTACTCTACCATCAAGTCAATATATCTATCAATTGTTTTCAGGTATTGAATCTTTCCTAGTCTTCTATTTCCTTCTCTTCATCTACAGAAACTAAAGTAAGTACCAAACACCATGAACCAAAAGTTGACACAAGGATGAAATTTCCTCTATATTGACATTTTTGGAAAACACAGCTATCGCTCACCCAGGGATTTTCCCACTTCCTTTCAAATGGGATGTCAATTGTGTTTGGTTGGCAAAGTGCCCAGCTCTGGTGGATCTATTCTCAGCCAATAAATTTTTAGCCAGCCTTGGTGATGCACATCCTCCTTGCTGGTGATTGGTCTAAAGATAGGAATATGACACAGGCACAGCCACTGGAGGTTCCTGAGAAAGACTTTGCTCTCCCATTTTTTAGGGGGTTAGCAGGGAGATAACAAAGACACCTGTCCTTTCTTTTTGAAACTGAGTTATGAGAACAAGCTTCCATAGCTGTACCCATGCAGGGGGTACTTCTAAGAACAAGTACCCAACATGCTGAGGTTGGCGTACTGGATTATTAAAGAGCTGGGTCTTTGACATCTGTCCAGGCACTGCACAAAACCCCTGTTCCTCCATGCATTCTAAAAATTCTTCTAATATGAGATAATTTAATGCCTGTAACTTTTGTCATATTTAGTTAAGCTTTCCATTTCTTTAAGTGCAAAAAAAAAAATCCCTAACTTAATCAATATGTGTTACTAGTTGCAACTGAAGAGAAAAAGAGACCATTTGCATCCTTAAGAGACAATTTAACTGTGCTGCCAGCAGCCAGAGCTAACATGTGTCATGTCCCTCTGTCGACTTGGCCAAGTTGACAAACCACAATTTCTTCATGAAAAAAAAAAAACCACAGGAATATAATACTTACCTCACCTGATTACTGTGAAAAGAAAATGTACATGACACATACCTGATATATAACTAGTGTCAGGTAACTGATAAATACAAGTTTCTGTGATTTCTTTAGAATTATCTCAGTGGGTGATGAAGTATTGCTGAGTAATTGATTGTTCTTTTTGCACTTAACTGATATTTTTTGTATGACAAAGGCTACAGGAAAGGCAGGAAAATCCTCTCTCTCCATATTTCGAGAAACCCCTCTGAAGAGCTTTTTTCATGAATGCCCACTGTGCCTTTTTCATTGATGCCACTTGCTATTTCAACCTTTCCTGTCCTAATTCATAGACAGTGTCCTACCACGGCAAAAACAAGCAAACAAACAAAAAACAAAACACACAGACACATACACAATTTTCAGACCTTCCACCATCCAGCTAATTTTACTGAAAAGCTGTAAAATAAACCTGCAGGCAAGTAAAAGTAGGTATTAGTGAAATTTCCCTGTTTTTTGTTTGTTTGTTTGTTTGAGACAGGGTCTTGCTCTGTCACCCAGGCTGGAATGCAGTGTCGTGATCATGGCTCACTGCAGCCTTGACCTTCCAGGCTCAAGCAATCCTCCCTCCTCAGCCTCCTGAGTAGCTGGGACTACAGGTGTACGCCATCACACCCGGCTAATTTTTTGTAGAGATAAGGTCTCCCTATGTTGCCCAGGCAGGTCTTGAACTCTTGGGCTCAAGTGATCCTCGTGCCTTAGCCTCCCAAAGTGCTGGGATTATAGGCCATGGCAACTGACTTCCTGTTTTTTATCTTTCTCTCAGCATTTTTTCTAGAAAATAAATATTGCAAGACCTCATCTGGGGAAAACTGGAGCAACATCACGAACTCATCCCAATAGTATTTCTCTGAAGGGACACTGGTAAGCTTGTCCAATACCCAATATAGGTGAGCACTAGACACACCCAAACTGTGGCTGCACATGCCCTGAAAACTTGCATATGAAATTTTCCCATTCTCCTCAGTTTTGGTCTAATTTTAGACAAGAAATCTTTTCCTATCTAGCTTTCTCATCTGAAAAAGGAGCAATCAATATCGTCTACCTTTTAGCCATTGAAGGGATTCACAGATTGCAGGAAAAACAAAGTACTTGTCACGAAGAAAACACCAGTGACTCAAATACCACTCTTAGAGGTGAGAAGACCAGATACATATGCAGATTCCTTCTTCCCCAGATATGATAAAATGCGTAATGCCAATGTGAACTTCTTGGCAGGGGGATTCTCCCTGTTAAGTGTATGTTTACCAGTCTTGGACTCATGACCATGAGTCTTGACTGACAGACATCCCGGTGAGCCTAAAATCAAGAATATTTTCATGGTCTGTCTCCTTAACTTGCACTCCCATTGTGTTTCTGCTAACATATTTTGCCTGGGATACATTTTAGAAGCTAGGACTACTGTGATAAACTTTAAAAATATGAGGCACTCAATGACTTAACATTGAATTAATAACTTCAAAGGAACTATATTCTTCCAACTTCAAGACCGCAGAAAAAAACGTCAACTCCACCTTGTATCAAAAACCCATCAGGTTGACAGAATAGATTAAGAATTGACTAAGCTAAATCTGGAAGCTTAGTTTCTTTCAATTTTAACTTTCAGAGCCAAGTAAATTGGGTGTCAGGCCTTACTTCTTTTGGTCTTTAATGTGTTTGGATTTTAACTTGCAAGAAAATTTATTCTTTGAACTAAATTCTCTCCCTTGGGATATCATGATGGAAGTCACTTACATTCCAAATTGGGGTGTCTCTCTTTTTTTTTTTTTTTTTTGAGGCGGAGCCTTGCTCTGTCACCCAGGCTAGAGTGCAGTGGTGCGATCTCGGCTCACCTCCCAGGTTCAAGTGATTCTCCTACCTCAGCCTCCCAAGTAGCTGAGATTACAGGCATGCACCACCATGCCCAGCTAATTTTTGTACTTTTAGTAGAGATGGGGTTTTGCCATGTTGGCCAGGCTGGTGTTGAACTCCTGACTTCAGGTGATCTGCCCACCTTGGCATCCCAAAGTCTGAGATTATAGGCATGAGCCATCGCGCCTGGCCTTGGAGTTTCTCTTCTAACTCAGCATCTTCATGTTATTATCTGATCTCAATGCAGAAGCCTATATTGAATTATGTAGCTGGATACAATATGGGATGAAAAATAATATAGCCAATAAAAATTTTAGCTTTGGGAACAGAGTGGCTACAGGGTTAATTTTATTTAACATTTTGTCCTGATCCTTTTCAGAGTGTTCAGTGAAAAAAAATAGTTAAAGTCCTAGGAGGACCCTAAAATGAAGAGTGATTGATATTAGAGGAGGAGATCTGTGCTAATAGAATCATAATCTTCCCTCCCAAAGGGGTAAACACAAACTCCTTGATTAGCATGAGCTTAATGGTTAACCCCACTGAATTAAGAGAAGCAGCAGCTGAGAAAATGTTAGATGGTTTCCAGAAGAGGAGGTTTTTCCTTATGTTCTCTTGCCTACCTCTTAATTCTCCCCATAGAGGTGAGAACAATTATCGTATTGATGAACAATAGCAGTTGGTCTCCATACTTCCATATTGGGTGGAGCTAATTTATCAAAAGCCCTAGACATGGAAGAGATTATCTTTTGCTTCTTTCTCCTCTTCTACCTGGGACCTACGGAAGTCAGCCCCTCAAAGTTTCCTCCCTGAAGGCCATTCTCTGTGATCATGAAGTTGGCAAGCCCATTTAGCTCTCACACCAAAACCACGGCATTCAATATCACTTTATATGCACGATAATCTTTATTTGGTCTCTCTGGATCCTTCATCTTATATCTCCAGTCACGTGGACCTCATGCAAAGAAATGGGCGCTCTTAGCCTCCCCTCCTCCTCCCACAGCCTGCACGTTGGCCAGTTTCTGTCTTCTTTCAGATTGTATCTTATACTCTTATCCTGTTTTGTCACCTTTCATCTCATTTCAGCATCCACGTTTTCTTGTTTGTCCTTGAGAACAGAGTAAATGCTCTCAAAGGCATTGTCTTTTCTTGTGAATAATCATCAGAAGAAGTTAATTGTTAGGATTCTTATATTTCTCCTCCACATGCCTTCATGAGCCTTGAGTTTGTGCTGTTGCCTCTTTCTCTAAGTGAATGAGAGTAGAGACATAGTGATGAGGCTGCAGGAGAGAAGGAGGGTGAGGAGAGAAGAGGAAGGAGAGGGAGGAGGTAAGCAAAGGAAGAGGGGAGAGAATCCTCACTGCCTCAGAAAGGAGGTCCGCACAGTAAGTTAGGAGTTTCCTGATCTTTTTGCTTGAATATGCTAAGGATGCCTTTGTCCTGTCTGGCTCTGTAGTTTAGTTTCAAAATTATAATAAATGTTGGGCAACAGTGATTGCTCAAGACAGGACCAGTCATGCTATACAAACAGGTAATGCCTCATAGGGTTGACAAATCATTGAACAGTATGTGAGGTTCTTTCAGAAGCAATTGTTAAGAAAGAAGATTCATGCCGGGCAAGGTGTCAGAGCCTCAGCAACAGAAAGTGATTGTCTCACAAGTAGTAAGAAGAATTTACCAACAACAGTATACATTTGAAGAGGAAAGTTTTATTAGATAAAAGAACACCGCAGAAGAGTGCGGTGGGGTGCCTCAGCAAGAGAGAACTGAGCACACAGTGGTGGATTTTTCCTTGAAAGTATTTATGGGCCTTAAAGCGGGAGCTTAAGAGTAAATTGGACAACATTAGCCATGTAAATAATGATAAATGATTACATTTGCAGGAATTTTGGTGCTTTGACGTCAAGAAGGGTTATGCAATGAGCTTCGACATGCAAGCATTCCAGAGATGTATAGAAATTCTAGTTATAAATTGTGGGGAAAGAAGCCTGAAACCAGGTGCTGGCTTTAGATAATAGGGAAGTCTAATTACTTCTGAATTCCCCGGATGAGGAGTTTGCCTCTGGATGGTCTGCCTGATGGCCACCAGGTGATCTTTGCTTTCCTCAACGCAGAAAATAATAAAGTCGAACTAATGGGTTTGACTCTCAGTCCACAAACTAGGCAATAAGAAATGTCCTGTTTATATTCTAGTCACATGATTTTCTGACTTCAAGCCCCCATTCCCACAGGCTATAGAGAAAAACTTAACACAGTTCTTTCTGGAGATTCCTTATCTGCCCTGAGCAGTGCCTCATGTCCAGAGTCTCCAATGCTGCCAAGGCCCAGCAGGGCAGAAGGAAAAAGGCATCCGATCCTTCATTGCTTGTCTGTCATTGCCCTATCAGGTGGCTTTAAGAAGACATTAAGCTCTCTGTCACTGCAGCTGATGAAAAACACAGGGAACATCTGCAGGGTACCCACAGCCCCATCTTTCCAGAAACACCAGGTAGCCTTTCTCTTGTATTCGGCTGCCCCTATGGCAGTATACCACCAGGACAGCACAGGATCCCTCTTTTCTTACAGCCAATAAACCCGGCTCCTGCACTGCCTCCAACCTGGGCAGACTGAGTCCTTCTCTAATCCCCATCAAACCACTTCTCTATCCACAGATAATCTCCCTGAGGACCTGAGAATGTACAAACAAAAACCACATCTATTGTTTTTTAATCTCGTGACAAATTTCTGTGCTTGTTTCAATGTGGGGAAGAAAAAGGGGAATAGATCAGTAGAAAAAAATATATGAAACACTAACCAGCCATCCACCATCCTAACTACAAAAACGCTCCTCTTATCTTTCCCCGCCCCCTGCCTCACAGCTTTGTGTTAACCGCATATTTGCCATAACAAGGATTCAATTAAATGTAGAATTTTAAAATAATAATTGTGTTTTTCAAAAAATGGTATGTAAGAGTACCCCCATTTTTCTAAGAGATAGTTTGTTATTTTTCTCCTTTTCTCCTTTCCCCTTACCCCTACTTCTCACTTAGCCCTTTCTGAAATGCAAAATAACCTCTTGCCTCTCCCTCACCAGATACTCCCTAGAAGGCAAGCTCATCTCTGTGCTCTGGATCTCTCCTCTAGAGTTGACAGTCTATTTCCAGATCAAAGCATGTCCCCATGGAGCTCCCACCTCCAGGTGCATGCTTTAGGCATGCCCACTTGGCTACTTCAACAACTGACTCCTGCCCAGAAAGATGCCAACTCAACTGCCTAGTTGATAATTTCTGGGTATCAGAAGACCCCCTGCCCTTGCTTACTTCATTCCTTACCTAATAAAAGTGCCCACTTTTTGTTCCAAAAGCAAAGGGGCACATTCAAAGCAGGGTGAACTTCCCCCAAGCTAGCTTCAGAAATAAATTCCTTTTCTTGTACCAATGAGGCAGGAGAACAGGGTCTGGAGACAGGGAACTTAAGGCCAATTTGTGCTAACTTCCTAAAAGAGAAAACACCAAGGTCTGGGGGCAGGAAATCTACGGCCAGTTCACACTGACTTCCCAATACCTCGCTTTTGTTATTTGGGCTCTTCATGCAGAGGGCAACTAACCTGTTTTGTGGCTACAAATACATATTTCCTTTGGATACTTTGGAAAATTCATAATACTATAGTGAAGAAAATAGTAATATACAATGCCACCACTCTGAAATAAACACAAATGAGGTATTGATATGCACACATATGGGTAGTTTTCAAGAATTTTATGTGGCAGGTTAGCTGAGTTGGAAATTAAGGGTTTGATTTTTCTCAGCTGTAAGAAATATTGTAGCCAATATTTCTATTTAGTTAGGCATTATACATTTCAATACTCAAAAATTTGGAGCCCAATATTTTATGAGGTTATTTTTACTATGGAATGTTTCTTTCGCTAATATAGAGTAACATTAAATTGTTCTGTTTAATTTTTAAATTTTTGCCTTAAATATGCTTTTAATATTTCTATTGTCTTCCTTGAGTCTGTTCATGGCTTCCTAATACCTAAATTTTACTTTTAAGTTAGTTCTGATTTCCCTGTTTTAACATTTGTTTTAGTTTGAGAGTCTTTTATTTAGTAGGTAACTTTACTCATGACAGATATTATCACAATTTCTGTTTCGTCTTGCTCCTTGTAAGGCTTAACAGGAAGTACGGCTAGGAGGACTCAGGAAACTTACAATCATGATGGAAGGCAAAGGGGAAGCAAGCACATCTGACATGGTGGTAAGTGAGAGAGAGGGCGGCGGGGGGAGGGAGGGAGGAAGAGAGAGAGAGAGAGGAGAGAAATTGCCATGTATAAAACCATCAGATCTTGTGAGAACTTACTGACTATTCTGAGAACAGCATGGGGGGAAATGGCCCTCATGATCCAATCACCTCCTACCAGGTCCCTCCCTCAACATCTGAGGATTATGATTTGAATAACAATTCAAGATGAGATTTGGGTGAGGACACAGAGCCAAACCATATTACTCCCGTAACCGCCCAAAGGGTTCACCTTGCCCAATGCCTAGGCAGAGTCAATTTGTCAAGAAAGGGGAATTATGATGGAGAAAAAGTAATTCACACAGAGCTGGCTGTGTGGAAGATGGGAGTTTTATTATTACTCAAATCAGTCTCCCCAAGCTTTCAGGGATAGGAGTTTTTATTTATTTATTTATTTTTTGAGATGGAGTCTCACTCCGTCGCCCAGGCTAGAGTGCTGTGGCGCCATCTCTGCTCACTGCAAGCTCTGCCTCCAGGGTTCACATCATTCTCCTGCCTCAGCCTCCTAAGTACCTGGGACTACGGGCGCCTGCCACCACGCCCGGCTAATTTTTCTTTGTATTTTTCGTAGAGACGGGGTGTCGCTGTGTTAGCCAGGATGGTCTTGATCTCCTGACCTCGCGATCCGCCTGCCTCGGCCTCCCAAAGTGCTGGGATTACAGGCGTGAGCCACTGCACCCAGCCAGAGATAAGAGTTTTTAAGGATAATTTGGCAGGCAGGGGCTCGGGAAGTGGGGGGTGCTGATTGGTCTGGTAGGAGATGGAATCATAGAGGGTCAAAGTCAGTTTTTCTTGCTGTTTTCTTTTCCTGGGTGGGATTGTAGAATTGGATGAGCCAGATTACTGGTTTGGTAGTGTCAGCTGGCACATCAAGTGCAGGGTCTGCAAACTGTCTCAAACACTGATTTTAGGTTTTACAATAGTGATGTTATCCCCAGGAGCAATTTGGGGAGGCTCACCAGTGTATGTGAGGTGGATCTGTTTACACACTGGTGAAGTCTTTGACAATAAATGTCCTGATCACGTTTCACTAATAAGAACAAATAGAATTGGTATAGGAGGCGATCACACTGTGAAACAATTTATTTTAAGATCGCTCCATCTTGTCAGAACCAGGTGTTGTCTCTTTGCCCAAATGTTAGCTGTCACTCTTCAGGCTTTTTCAATTGAGACAAATGAGGCTTTCATTCCTATTGATTACCAAGTCCAATCAACAGGTTAGCACAATCAGTTTAGGGTAACTATATTTAAAAGAGCTGAATAGATTTAGCAATAACAACACAAAAAGGTTTCCCTCACATTAAGTATAAGATCTGACAGAATCTGTTATACATAATTTTGTGTATGTTCTCCTAACTCTTTTGCCTACAGAATAAATTCCAGTGCCTCTCAGGTGAAAACTAAAACCCGGCTCTCTTTGTATGTACTAAATCTGTTTGTCTCCAATCACTCCACAGTTATGACCACAACTTTTCTACTTGCCAGACCTGATTATTTACTATTTTCCAATTTAACTACAAGCTTTTATATCTTGATGACTTTACTCAGGTTTCCAAAATGTATGCTCCCCTGCCTGTCCAAAGAGAAGACTTTTGTTTCTCATGACTCAGTTCAAATATCTCATTCTTTGTAACCTCACCTTCCTTTTGAGTAAAATTATTTGTTTCTTCAAGTTTATTCCTATAGCAATTACCACACTGCACCACATTAGTATGTAACACTGATATCTTTGAGAGAAGGAACTGTGTACTATTTACATTTGAATCCCCAGACCTAGCACAAATGGAACAGACATCTATTCCTTCACTCATTTACTGAAAAAACAATTCATTACTGTTAAATCAAGTTTAGCCTAAAGCTGCCTCCTTACATGTTTAAGTTCGGCCTGAAGGTTTTTCTGTACATTGTGAACTATAACAAGTGAAGGTGTAAATCAACCACAGCCCACACCTGTGCCAATCACTGAGTTTTGGCCAATCAAATGTAGCCAACTGTTCAAACCATGTTCAAATAAGGCAAACACAGAGCCGTAAACAATCCAGTTGCTTCTGTACCTCACTTCCGTTTTCTGTACATCACTTTTCTTTGGCTGTCCGTAAATCTTCTTCCACCACGTGGCTGCGCTGGAGTCTCTGAATCTGCTGTGATTCTGGGGTCTGCTCAATTTGAGAATCATTCATTGCTCAATTAAACCCCTTTAAATTTAATTCAGCTGAAGGTTTTCTTTTAACATGACTTACCGTATTCCAGACACTATTCTAGGCTCTCACAATACAATAATGAAAGAACAAAGTCTCTACTTTTTTAGAACATCCTCAATAAAAAACAGTTTAGTGGAATCGAAACTTTTGAAAATATTATATATTTTAGATTGTATCCTTATGAAATTGGATGGCTGACTTTAAAAGAAATTTAGTCTAACTGATTTATTCTCCATCTGACTTATATGAGAAATCATTCCTTTGTGATGCTATTTAGCTGCTTTTTTGGAATTTATTGAAATAATTCAGTATTTTTTCTTCATTAAAACACACTTAGCATAGAGTTATGAGCTTCTTTCAGAAATTGTAAAATGAATAAAGTAGGCATGAAGGTTTTACTGAAACTTGAAACTGGGCTCAGCAGGTGGCCTTAGCACAAAGTAAGGGTTCACTAAGTATTTGCAGAGTGAATGAGTGAACGAATGTATTTACAGAGCAATGCCTCTGTTATAAGATAGTTATCGAGGAAGGTAAAATGATAACTACATACTGGTTGCTTAAAATAGATACAATTTCTATATACAGTATATTTCTATACATATGAGTCCATTTTTTTTCTCAGAAATTCAAATTTTATATTCACCACAAGGTAGGATAGATTCTACTTGATTATTTGAAAAGATTTTATTTCTACAGCAGAAAAGGAATGAATCCATCTGTCAGAGGTGTTTGAACCAGGGCAATTCCATCTTGAATAGGGGCTGGGTAAAATAAGGCTGAAACCTACTGGGCTGCATTCCCAGGAGGTTAGACATTCTATGTCATAGGATGAGATAGGAGGTCGACACAAGATACAGATAATAAAGACCTCACTGATAAAACAGGTTGCATAAAGAAGCAGGCCCAAACCCACCAAAACCAAGATGGCCACGTAATACATCAGCATGCTAAGAGACACTCACACCAGCGCCACGGAAGTTTACAAATGTCATGGCAATATCAGGAAGTTACCTTGTATGGCTTATAAGCCAGAGGGGAGACCCTCAGTTCCAGGGAATTGCCCACTCCTTTCCTGGGAAACTCATGAGTAATCCACCTCTTGTTGTCCATAAAAATGGGCCATCAGCAGGCCTCAGGGATGCTTTGCCTATGAACTAGCCATTCTTTCATTCCTTTACTTTCTTAAACTTGCTTTCACTTTACTCTATGGACTCCCCTCGAGTTCTTTCTTGAGCAAGATCCAAGAACCCTCTCTTGGGATCTGGATTGGAAGCGCTTTCCAGTAACAGATTCATACCCTTAGTTGTATCCAACTACATATAAGTTTCTGAACATTCAAAACAAAACAAAACAAAAAAACAATGAATGTATTTGAAATAGAATGTAAAAGGTGAAAGAATACAGTAAGAAGTTTTAACACTGATGTCATACAAAAGAAGCATGTCAAAAGAAGTCATTTATAAGTACAGAGGTGGTGTACTCTGAAATGAAATGGACTAATATCCTTGGCATAGTTGAGGTTTTGCATCTCAGTTCATCTTGCTGTGCACCAGCCTGTCAAATTGAAGTGATCTCAAAAATGGTGTGAAAAATACTGTCTGGGTTTAGACAGATTCTTTTGTTTTGATTTTGCAATGTTCTTATATTTTTGACACATCTAACATTTTTCCTTCCTGAAGTATTAAAGAAGACATTTTTAAAGGTTAAATATCATATGACTATCTTATTTTAAGAATCCCTGTATTTCTAAATTTCCAGTTGTCACTTTCATAGGTGGGTAATTTGAGACAAAATAAACACACACATACACACACACACAAATATACAAAATTGTATACTTTTTACAAATATAGAAAACTATATTTTTATAGTTTTAAAGTGAATTTAATAGATAATGTAGTTACGTGATTCAAAATTCAAAACATACAGTAGAGTGACAATCTCTCACCCCTCTCTCTTCTTCCTCAGAGGCCAATAATATCATCAGTTTCTTGTTTCTCATTCAAGAAGTATTATTTTCTATTTCTCTACTCCCCCCACTTCCTTTCCATACATGGAAGCATAGCAACATACTACATACAATGTCATGCATGTTACTTTTTACTTAATAATCTTGGAAATTGTTCAATATTAGGACACAAAGTAGGTCTGCCATCTTTTCCTACAGTTGCATTGTTTTCCATTGTAAGAATGGGCTACAAATTATTGAAGTAGACTATTAACAGAAAGTTATGTCTCCAACCTTATGTTACTGCAAATTCTTATTAAAATTCTTCAATAGATAGCCTATGTGTGGATATATATATGAGATAAATTCCTACAAATGGAGGAGTGGTTATTTTGGGGTTTTTTTAACATTTCTTTTAGGTTCAGGGTACATGTGAAGGTTACATATGTAAACACGTATCACAGGGGGGCGGTTTGCTGTACACATTATTTCATCACCCAGGTATTAAGCCCAGTACCCAATAGTTATCTTTTCTGCTTCTCTCACTCCTCCAACCCAAGGATGGTTATTTTGAAAAATTATTGCCATATTATACTCTAGAGAATTCATTCCTATTTGTCTCCCTTACACCCATATCAAAGGGATGTTTCCCCACACCTGTCAATAATGTGTGCTGCCAAACTCTTTTGGTTTTGCCAATATGATAGGAGAAAAAGACAACTTCAATGGAGTGTTAGTTTATATTTTATTACCATGAATGATGATGACTATCTTTTTAAAAGCCTTTCATGTTTGCCCACCTGTAAACTCTCAGTTCAATTCTTCACCCTCTCTTCTATTGAATTACTGGCAGCTTTTTTTCTTATTTAGTATATATTTTCTATTTTAAGAAAATTTGCCCTTTGTTTTTTTCAATAAGTTGCAAATAATTTTCCCAGTTTGCTGTACGACTTTTGACTTTGCTTATGATATTTTTGCTATACAGAAATGTTGATTTTTAGGCACTACATTTATGAATCTTTTATATCACAATTTCTGGGTTTTATGTCCTAATTGAAAGGACCATTTCTACTTCTCACAGTTTCTTCTAGAACTTAAATGTAACTTATATTTATATATAAATATATACATATATATATTTACATATGCTTGGTCCTATTTCTAGACATTTATTTGGTTCTATTCATGTTGACATTACCAGGCTATTTTAATTAATTAGTTAGTTGTTATAGCCTTAGTATATGTTTTAGGGTTTGGTAAGGATAAATCAACTTCAGTACCTGCTTTTTACTGAAAAATTTTATTACTATTCTTGCTTATTTTTTCCCACTTGAAATTCAGGATCATCTTCCCTAGCTATAACAGTTTTTAAAGTATTTACTGTGATCACATTACATGTATACTTTAAAGATAATTTACATCTCCATGATAGTGACTATTCCTATCTGAGTTTACAGTATATCTTTTTCTATGTTTGCATCTTCTTTTAGTTCACTGCTGAGCATTTGCATTTTCTTCATATAAGTATTTATAATAAAGGCACATATTTATTTCTTGGTGTGGCAGTTACTGCAATTTGACACCTACTTCCACCACTTCTCACACATCCTCCTCCACCACAGAGGAGATAAAGCTGGAGGTCCTTCCACCAAACAGAAATGTTCACACAAGACTTAGAAGGCAGAAGTGAGCAGTGTGAGATGACATCTAGACTCAGGGAGATGGAATTTCCATGGGCATCTGCAGCAGAGGTGCCACTATCACAAGTACTGAGGAGGAGGTGGCAGCTTCGAGGTTTCCACTAAACAAACAGTGGATTAATCTGCATCAATCCTGCCTGTGAAGTAACCAAAATAGTTTCCCTGATTCTTGCCGAAATTCTGTAAAAAAAAATTCTTTATGATTATTCTACCTGATATCCTGTTTCCTGCAATAATTAGAACCCCCTCCAAAAAAGTTTGCAGGCAACAGACCATAAAGGCAATTGGAATTTAGAATCAGCTCTCTGACTCAGTCTGGGTTAAAGAGTTAGCATTAATGGGTGGGACATCATATTCCATAACTCAAAGTGGTAAAATAGTTATGTCAAGGATCATCTTTGGGAGAGTAAGTGGCATCTGTGATAGACTACTTTGATGTGGCACTAGGTATACAAGGATCATGGAGTGGGCTGGCTGCATCTAACTACACTGGAAGGTTAAATAATAGAACTCCATTTTTGTATTTTGGGGTTAAGACATGGTTGGTAGCCCTGGTAGACTGAACTTCTTACTGTGGACAGCAAGTGACTGTCTAATTTATTTAGATTCACACACCATTAGGCTGGGTGTGCCCAGCAGCATTCTACCCTCAAGAGGAAGTGGTCTATATGAGACTGAGTTTGAGGAGATCCTGAAAGCACAAGTACATTGCCTGAGCAGCTGGTGAGCACTCCCAATGTGCCTACTCCTGCCACACGGCCTCTTCACTCTTCTCCCATATCTACAGCTCCATAGGGATCATCCTGCAACCCCCTTACTAAGGCCAAAAACAGTTAAGCACTGCACTATGTGCTGGCCCCAGTGGACTACTGAAGAATTACTCTCATCTCAGGGCTATCCCTAATGACTCAGGAATCCTCACAGTACTCACACCTCCAAGCAGTATATCTCTTTAAGCCCTTTCCCTGAAAGGACAGGTGGCCAGATATTTATGCTCCTGTGTTGATGCTGGTGATTTGGTAAGCAATCAAAGGTTCAGGAGGAACAAGATTTGAAGATTAATAACAAGGTTTGGAGAAGAGGTTTGTGCAGGTGCCTCTCAGAATGCTAGAAGAGTATGAGTATATTTGCATCCTAGAGAACACTCCTCAGGAGGTGTCTATAAAAGAGATTCTAGATAAGAAAGTGAGCAAGAAGACATGCTCTATGAATGTCAGTCAGCCTCTTTCTCCAGATACACCATTGATCACAATGGGCTAATGAAGAGATGACAAGAGGAGGCAGGGAAGGAGATTCCATGTGAGTTTCACAACATGTACTTCCCCTCACCAAGTCTAACCTAACTTCAAGTCAACCAGCAGGGGAGACCAACACTAATTCCCAAATATAGCCCCATAGCCCAGGGGAACCAGATTGCACCTGGTGGCAGATCAACAGAATTGGATCCCTTTCATTATGTAATGGGCAGTGACACATCACATTCAAATAGAAACCTATTTTTGTTATACTCTGTTGCCTGCAATTCCTTTAGCAATACCATCCATGGACTTAACAAAATCCTTATTCATCATAATGATACATGGCTTCTAACCAAGGATCACATTTTAGGCAAAAGAAGTAAATGCAATAGGCTGATGCCCATGGGATTCACTAATCTCACTATGTAATCCATCATCCAAAGATCGACATTATAGAAGGGTAGAATTACCTATGGGAATCTAAGATGTAGCCTCAACTAAGTTTTTAAAAAGCCTGTGAGTTTGGGATACTAGCCAATAGGTACAGAATATACTCTGAACCAGCAGCCGATATGTGATGCTGCTTCTTTTATCACTGAACTATAGGAGGAGTCTGAAAACCTAGGGATAGAAGTTGAAGCGTCTCTTTTTAATATGGCACAAAATGATATGACACAATATGAAAAATTTTCCTTCCTATTATCACAACTTTGAGCTGTGTTGGTTCAGCAGTCTTAGTACCCAAGAGACTAATGCTTCCACCAGGCAATACAACAATGGTTCCATCAAATGGAAGTTAAGAATGCAACTGGCCATTTAGTTCTCCTATGACATTGGAAAATCCGGTAAAATACATGCTTACTGTGGCATTTAGCTGACGTGATTGATCCCAAATATGAAGAAGCGGGTTTCCAGCTACATAATGGGAACTGAGATGAATATTCTAGAACATGGAGATTCTCTAGGGTGCCTCCTAATACCATCATGTGTAGTGGTTAAAACTAACAGAAGACTCCAGTAATTCCATACATTGCAGGACTCCAAGGGCTCAAATGAACAGGAATGGAGGTTTGGTTTACCTGAATTTTTAAAGATTTGTACAATATAAAGGGAATGTGGAAAGGACAGGCAAGAAGTTATACAAACTTTTCCCTTATGACCATTTGCAGAAAGAAGACTCAATTCGCTACTCATATTCTTCCCGGTTTTCGTATGTGGATGTGCTCTTAGATTCTGTATGTGGATGTGTAATGTGCTCAGTGGCCACAGTGGGGTCTCCACTGGCACCAGGTCTCTTGGTGTGTTTGTGCATTTTGCCTTGTTGTATTACTTCATGATGTGTTGCTTCCAATACCAGTTCCCTTTCCCTTGTGGACATTCTGTAAGCTACTTAATACCATGTGCAATTGACTGAATGTGTCCCCTCCAAATCTTGATGTTGAAACCTAATCCCAATGTGATGGCACTTGGAGGTGGTAGCTTTGGGAGGGGATTAGGTCAAGAAAGTAGAGCCCTCAAGAATGGGATTAGTGCCTGTGTAAAGCCCCAGAGAGCTAGATTGCCCCTTTTACCATGTGAGTACACTGCAAGAAGGCAGCAGTCTATGAACCAAGACGTGGGCCCTCAGCACACACTGAATCAGCCAGCACCTTGATTTTGGATGTGCATGCCTCCAGAACTGTGAGGAATAAATGTCTGCTGTTTACAAGCCACTCAGTCTATGGTATATAGTTAAAGCAGCTCAACACACTAATACATCATGTATTTTCTCTTTAAACTAGCACAATTGGGTTATGTTGTCTGCAGTTAAGACAGACAAAAAAAAAACAAGAAATTTTTATTTTCTTTTATTTATTTTTGCTTCAGAAAACAGCTTCTTTTCTTTTACTATGTCTTCGAAAGTGCTATTTCTTCCCTTTTTGCGGTGGATGCTTGGGTATACAATTATGTCATCTGTACATAATAAAGTTTACCTATTCTTTTCCAATATTTATACATCTATCTATTAGTTCACTAAGACTGCCATAACAAAGTACCAAAGGCTGTGTGGCTTAAGCAATGGAAATTTATTGTTTCACAATTCTGGAGGCTAGAAGTTTAAGGTCAAGGTGTCAGCAGGGTTGGTTTCTTCTGAGGCCTCTTTCTTTGGCTTGTAGAGAGCTGTCTTCACCTGGTCTTACCTCTGTGATTCTCTGTGTCCTAATCTCTTTTTATGAGGACAAAAGTTATATTAGATTAGGGCTCATCCTGATGACCTCATTTTAAAACTGAATTAGCCCATTTACTAAACCTATCTTCAAAGGCAGTCACATTCTGATGTACAGGGAGTTAGGAATTCAACATGAATTTCTGGAGGACACATTTCAGCCTATAACAATCTACCTCTTGTTTCATTTTTTGACAATATACTTATTTGACAAAATAATAGAAGTGATTATTGACAGTAAATACTGTCAATAGTATTTACTGTCAATAGTATTTACTGTCAATAATCAGGAAGCTGATTTTGAAGGAAGGATTCCATTGTTTCTCCATTAAGTAGGATTCAGGATTTTGAGTTAAGATATAAGTAGATCTTATCATGTTAAGAAAGAATCCACCAGATCCAGCAATTCCACTTCTGAGTATATATCAAAAGGTATTAAAATTGGAATTTTGAAGATATGTCTTCACTCCCATGTTCATTGCAGCATTATTCACAATAGCCAAGACATGAAAGCAACCTAAATGTCCATAAACAGAGAAAGAAATAAAGATTATGTGGTATATACACACAGTGGAATGTTAGTCAACCTTATAAAGAAGGAAATCCTGCCATCTGTAAGAACATGGATGAATCTGAAAGACACCATGCTAAATAAACTAAGCCAGATGCAAAAAAAACAAATACTTCATGATATCCCTTACAGTCATACACTGCACAATGATAATTTGGTCAACAATGGATCACATATATGATGGTGGTCCCATAAGATTATAACACCACGTTTACTATACTCTATGTTTAGATGCACAAATACTTGCCATTGTGTTGCAACTGCCTACAAGATTTAGTACAGTAACATGTGGTATAGGTTTGTAGCCTAGGAGCAATAGGCCATACCACGTAGCCTATTAAATACTTACAGATTTAAGTAAGTACTGTACACTCTATGACATTTACACAATGATAAAATCGCCTAATGACAGCATTTCCCAGAATGTATTTCCATTGTTAAGCAACACATGATGAGTCGAAAATAGAAGCAGAGTATAGAGGGGTAGTTGTCCATGATCAAGTGGGCTTCATCCCTGGGATGCAAGGCTGGTTCAACATACGCAAATCAATAAACGTAATCCAGCATATAAACAGAAACAAAGACAAAAACCACATGATTATCTCAATAGATGCAGAAAAGGCCTTTGACAAAATTCAACAGCCCTTCATGCTAAAAACTCTCAATAAATTAGGTATTGATGGGACGTATCTCAAAATAATAAGAGCTATCTATGACAAACCCACAGCCAATATCATACTGAATGGGCAAAAACTGGAAGCATTTCCTTTGAAAACTGGCACAAGACAGGGATGCCCTCTCTTACCACTCCTATTCAACATAGTGTTGGAAGTTCTGGCCAGGGCAATCAGGCAGGAGAAAGAAAGGGTACTCAATTAGGAAAAGAGGAAGTCAAATTGTCCCTGTCTGCAGATGACATGATTGTATATTTAGAAAACCCCATTTTCTCAGCCCAAAATCTCCTTAAGCTGATAAGCAACTTCAGCAAAGTCTCAGGATACAAAATCAATGTGCAAAAAGCACAGGCATTCTTATACACCAATAACAAACAGAGAGCCAAATCATGAGTGAACTCCCATTCGCAATTGCTTCAAAGAGAATAAAATACCTAGGAATCCAACTTACAAGGGATGTGAAGGACCTCTTCAAGGATAACTACAAACCACTGCTCTAAGAAATAAAAGAGGATACAAACAAATGGAAGAACATTCCATGCTCATGGATAGGAAGAATCAATATCGTGAAAATGGCCATACTGCCCAAGGTAATTTATAGATTCAATGCCATCCCCATCAAGCTACCAATGACTTTCTTTCACAGAATTGGAAAAAACTACTTTAACGTTCATATGGAGCCAAAAAAGAGCCCGCATTGCCAAGTCAATCATAAGCCAAAAGAACAAAGGTAGAGGCATCATGCTACCTGACTTCAAACTATACTACAAGGCTACAGTAACCAAAACAGCATGGTACAGGTACCAAAACAGAGATATAGACCAATGGAACAGAACAAAGCCCTCAGAAATAATACCACACATCTACAACAATCTGATCTTTGACAAACCTGATAAAAACAAGAAACGGGGAAAGGATTCCCTATTTAATAAATGGTGCTGGGAAAACTGGCTAGCCATATGTAGAAAGCTGAAACTGGATCCCTTCCTTACACCTTATACAAAAATTAATTCAAGATGGATTAAAGACTTCAATGTTAGACCTAAAACCATAAAAACCCTAGAAGAAAACCTAGGCAATACCATTCAGGACATAGGCGTGGGCAAGGACTTCATGTCTAAAACACCAAAAGCAATGGCAACAAAAGCCAAAATTGACAAATGGGATCTAATTAAACTAAAGAGCTTCTGCACAGCAAAAGAAACTACCATCAGACTAAACAGGCAACCTACAGAATGGGAGAAAATCTTTGCAATCTACTCATCTGACCATCTGACAAAGGGCTAATATCCAGAATATACAAGGAACTCAAACAAATTTACAAGAAAAAAACAACCCCATCAAAAAGTGGGCAAAGGATATGAACAGACACTTCTCAAAAGAAGACATTTATGCAGCCAAGAGACACATGAAAAAATGTTCATCATCACTGGCCATCAGAGAAATGCAAATCAAAACCACAATGAGATACCATCTCATACCAGTTAGAATGGCGGTCATTAAAAAGTCAGGAAACAACAAGTGCTGGACAGGATGCAGAGAAATAGGTACATTTTTACACTGTTGGTGGGACCATAAACTAGTTCAACCATTGTGGAAGACAGTGTGGCGATTCCTCAAGTATCTAGAACTAGAAATACCATTTGACCCAGCCATCCCATTACTGGGTATATACCCAAAGGATTATAAATCATGCTACTGTAAAGACACATGCACACATATATTTATGGCAGCACTATTCACAATAGCCAAGACTTGGAACCAACCCAAATGTCCATCAATCATAGACTGGATTAACAAAAATGTAGCATATATACACCATGGAATACTGTGCAGCCATAAAAAAGGATGAGTTCATGTCCTTCGTAGGGACATGGATGAAGCTGGAAACCATCATTCTCAGCAAACTATCACAAGGACAAAAAACCGAACACCACATGTTCTCACTCATAGGTGGGAATTGAACAATGAGAACACTTGGACACAGGAAGGGGAACATCACACACCGGGGCCTGCTGTGGGGTTGGAGCGGGGAGGGATAGCATTAGGAGATATACCTAATGTAAATGACGAGTTAATGGGTGCAGCACACCAACATGGCACATGTACACATATGTAACAAACCGGCACATTACGCACATGTACCATAGAACTTAAAGTATAATAAAAGAATAATAAAATTTAAAAAATAGTTGTGTAATCACTTACAGTGTATGAACAGAATATTTACAGCATTATAAAATATTTTTATAGTTTTAGTTTGTAGAGTTTACTAAGCTTACTTTTTAGACATTAATGCAGTTTAAATCGTGGAATAATTCTTTACAACAATAGGATGCATTTCAAATTTGACATAAGAAAGTCCTAATTTCACAAATACTTTTAAAAATCGCTTTTAATTTTTACTTGTGTCTAGACTTGAGGCTTTTTGTTAATTCTGCTCTAGAAAATGTTGGATTAGGAACCCCTTTTCTTCACTCCAGATACATACATAAAATTTTAATTATAAAATGTGCTATGGCTTTAAAGTGAAATCTAAGGTAATATGACTTTAAATGGGTTGCATGGTAACATATACTTGGTGGGCTTTTTTGTACTGTTTAGAAATTTGAGTTCAATAAACAATGTACCGTTCTGTATGTCAAAAAAAAAAAAAAAAAGAAGGGTGGTTGTCAGGCGCTGGGGAAAGGGGGAAACAAGGAGGTATTAGTCAAAGGGTACAAAGTTTCAGTTAGGCAAGATAAATAAATCCTAGAGATCTACAGTACAACATAGTGCCCATATAGTTAATAATATTAATAATATTTTATTATATATTCAAAATTGCTAAGAGGGTATTTTGTTGTGTTCTTATTATACACATACAATAATAATAATAACAGAGAGGGGGAGGAGGAAACATTTGGAGGTAATGGATATATTCATGGCATAGATTGTATTGATTCTTTCATAGGTGTATGCTTACCTCCAAACTTGTCAAGTTGTCTACATTAAGTATGTATAGCTTTTTGTAAGTCAAAACACAAACAAATAAAAACACTGCTGATGACAAAAGAAAAGGAAAGGAAGGAAGGAAGGAAATAAGGAACGAAGGAAGGACGGAAGGAAGGGCGTATTCTACTCTTCCTTGTTTATTAAAGGTTATTTTTCAGAAAGCGATGTAAAAATTGTATCAGTTATTTTAATATCACTGATACAAGTGGTCACTTTTTAAAATTTTTTCCTTTGAGCTGGGTGTGATGGCTCACACCTGTAATCCTAGAATTTTGAGAGGCCAAGGTGGGCAGAGCCCCTGAGTCCAGGAGTTCAAGAGGAGCCTAGGTAACATGGATAAACTCTATCTCTACACAAACAAACAAAAAAAATTAGCACAGCATGGTGATGCACACGTGTAATCCCAGCTACTACAGAGGCTGAGGTGAGGTGGAAGGATCCCCTGAGCCCAGGAGGTCAAGGCTGCAGTGAGCCGTGATTGCACCACTGCACTCCACCCTGGGTGACAGAGTGAGACCCTGTCTAAAAATATTAAATTAAATTAAGAAATAATTTTTTTTTGCTTTGAAGTAATTGTAGATCCTCAGAAACTTATACAAATAGTACAGAGGGTTATATCATTTTTACCAGTTAGTATTATTGATCTAATAAATTTCCGTGATAGATTTCCAAATGTTGAACTATTTCCTGCATTCTTGGAAAAAAGTCTACTTGGTCATCGTCTACTTTTCTTTGTAATATGCCACTGGATCCTACTTGCTAAATATTTTGTGTAGTACTTTGGCATCAATATTCTCAAGTAAGATTCATCTTTTTTAAGCAATTATTAGGTGTAGATATCAATTATGCTCTCATCTTCAAAAGAATTTATAGACTTATCTTCCTTTTCTATGTTTGAAGCACTGAAATTACTTAATTTTTCAAGGTTTGGTAGAAGTGTCTCAACTTGCTTTGTTTGCTTTTATCGTTGCTTGTTTGTTTTTGTGGGGAGTCGGTAGCTTTTAGATAAATTTCTCTATTTCTTCTAAGATAACTGAGCTATTTAGATTTCTTTATATCTGTTTAGAGTTACTTTTGATAAATTATATTTTCCTGGAAAATTATTCATTTCATCTAGCTTTTCCAAACTTATTAACATAGGCTAGAGTAAATTAGCTCTTCATGATCCTTTTAATTTTCTCTGATTCTATAGTTATTTTCTCATCCTTGCTTATTTTTGCCTATTTGTGCCTTTTGTCTTCTTAATTAGGGTAGCTAATGATTCATTTTCTTTTCAACAAGCAGTACTGAGAACTTTTAATTAATTCTGTCACTTTTCTCTTTTATAATTTATTTTAAATTTTTATCTCTATTATTCCCAATCTAACTTCTTGAATTATATGACTAATTTATTGACTTTCATTATTTACTAGTAGAATGCCTAATGCTGGCCGGGCACAGTGGCTCACGCCTGTAATCCCAGCACTTTGGGAGGCCGAGGCGGGCAGATCACGAGGTCAGGAAATCGAGACCATCCTGGCTAACACGGTGAAACTCCGTCTCTATTAAAAATACAAAAATAAAATCAGCCGGGCGTGGTGGCGGGCGCCTGTAGTCCCAGTTACTCGGGAGGCTGAGGCAGGAGAATGGCGTGAACCTGGGAGGCGGAGCTTGCAGTGAGCCGAGATCGTGCCACTGCACTCCAGCCTGGGTGACAGAGCGAGACTCCCTCTCCAAAAAAAAAAAAAAAAAAAAAAAAAAAGAATGCCTAATGCTATGCATGTTTCTCTGTGTGCTGCCTTCATGTCTAGATTGTTCTGCCATCTCATTTTAATTTCTTCTATACCATGAGTTAGTTAAGAAAATTTTTTTATTTCCAAGCAGTAAGGAATTTCTGATTTTATACTTAGTTTGCATTTACTATCATTTTTCATATTTTATTTTCAACTTTATAAATCACTTTGTGTTAAAATGTCTGAAATATACCATACAGAGTTGATTTTTGCTTGGTGATCCTATACAACAATTTCTTTCTTTTAAAGCATGTATATGTAAATATAATTTGCATTTATCAGTATGATAGTTATGTTAGGATTTAGCTCTCCTTTGTGACATACTTTCTGCTTTTATAATTCTGTTTTTAAATCTGAGACTATTGGGCTCTTTGTTTTGTTTGAGAGTATGTGCTTCTTCTGATAATTGGAAAGCCTGTATTTTTCTTCTAATGGTTACTTTGTGGCTTTTTATAATATCAGTAATAGTCTGAATCTTCTATTTCATAATAATATAATATCAGGAAACTTTTGTTGGTCTGATTTTGATAATTCCCCACTCTGAGCAATGACTAATTGAGAAAGTACCCCCTTTCTCCTTACCTATCTCCTCTGTCACAACAGTTTGGTTTTTGCCTTCTCATTATGTGTTTTGTGTTGTTAAATATACATATTCCTCTACTACTTGGTTTATTTATTTAAAATGATGTCTTTTGGTTCCTGGGAATGAAAAGATAGATAAGACCATCAAGAAATTTTGAGCACCTACCAATGCTTTTTTTTTTTTTTTTTTTTTTTTTTTTTTGAGATGGAGTCTCGCTCTTTCGCCCAGGCTGGAGTGCAGTGGTGCGATCTCGGCTCACTGCAAGCTCCGCCTCCTGGGTTCACGCCGTTTTCCTGCCTCAGCCTCCCAAGTAGCTGGGACTACAGGCGCCCGCCACGACGCCTGGCTAATTTTTTGTATTTTTAGTAAAGACGGGGTTTCACCGTGTTAGCCAGGATGGTCTCGATCTCCTGACCTCGTGATCCGCCTGCCTCGGCCTCCCAAAGTGCTGGGATTACAGGCGTGAGCCACCACACCCGGCCTAGAACACCTGCTAATTCTTATTAGTAACATCATATTAATATTGTCAGAGTTTATAACATTTACATGTCTTTAACCATACTGTTTCCATTTATCTCTTAATTCGTTGACAATCTCAAGTAGTGTCTTCAAGAAGACACAGGGATAATATTTATAGGAACAACATTCCCTGGACATTTGCATGTTTTTAACCACATCTTTCTCCACTTCACATTGGCATGGCAGTTTGACTTGGCTTTAAAAAAATATTTTCTCACTTTCTTTCCATAAGGACTTTTTCCCTGAGGATATTTTGACCGATTTAGAAGGTTGTGTTGTATCTGAGACAACCCGACTTGCTTGTTTGTTTGTTTAATTATAAGTTAGTAGATCCTTTTAGTCTGGCTCACCTAAAGATTTTTTTCCTTGGAAACCTAATAGGTCTACTGAAATCATTCTCCATTTTGACACATCTCTATTTTTCCTAGATCATTATATGCCTTATCAAGCATAGATTCAAGTTACCTTCTATATTTTGGAATATTACCTTGAATCATATTGTAGAATATCTGTATACCTCCATTTCTTCTTCTAAGACTCCAATTTTAAAAGATATTAAATCTCTTTTGCCTATCCTCTGTTTCAGGTGTCAGCAAGGTATGTCTCATTGGCCAAATTCAGCATACCACCTGTCTTTGTAAATAAATTTTACTGGAATACAAGCTATTGTTTATGACTATTTTCATACTGCAATAATAGGATTGAGTTATTATGACAGAGAACATATGGCCTTCAAATCTGAAAATATCACTACTGTCAACCCCTGTTCTATATCAATCCTTTCTCTCTAATCCTTTTTAACTCTTTATTCCTATTTCATTTTGCTGGGCTTTCTTGTTCCTGTCTTTTATGTTCTGTGTTTTTTCATTCAACAGTATATTTTCTCCCCAGAGTTGTTTCCAAATGCTTTTATTTATATTTTAATTTTAGTCTTCTACATTTTTCTGAGTTCCACCAGAAAACGTCACTTCATCTCCTTTTCTCTCAACATCTCTGATCACTGACTTCAGCATATATACACATATATGTGTATATATACACACGTGTATGTATATATACACATATATGTATACACATATATTTATATATACACATGTGTGTATACATGCATGTGTGTATATATGTGTGTATATGTGTGTGTATATACATGTGTGTATATATATGGAATTTCTTTCTAAATATATTTAAATTTGTAGCTATATAACAGGTCATAACGTTAGACCTTCTCCATGGCAAAATTTTTCAGGTAACCGTTCTTTATTTGCTATTTGCTTTTCCTTTCTCTTTCTCTGTACTTCTTTTCTTGTAGCATTATTATACAGGTATTATTCTGATTCCTGTTTTGTTTCAGACATCTATTTGGTTGATTTGACTTGGCATCTTTTCAGAATCAGCTATTTTCAGGAAACAGGGACTATGGGAAGTACCAGGCCTTGTTTTAGAAAACATTTCTCGTGACTTGAGGACTTCTGTATTCAATATTTGGCCTTTGCTTCTTCCCAGAAAATGAAGCTAGGCAGCTGTGCAGTTGTCCACCAAGCCACAGTTTCTGCGTAACTCCTCCACATGGATGACTATTTCTAGTAACCACAGCTTCTCTACGTCGGCTTCATTTCTGCCTCTCTGGCTTCTGAAACCCAGGCTTCCATCATCAGCCTGAGAGTCCGTGCACACCTTTGGCTTTACAGGCTCTAGAATCCATCTGTCCCTGTGTGGCTCCTGAGAGGATTCTGCTTTCCCCTTTCCCTCCTAATTTGCACTTTGCTGGGTCCTTTTTCCACCTATTTTGTGGTTTGGCATTTCACGTCTCCTTTTTTTTTTTAAGAGTTTACATTTCTGTTTTTTTTTTTTTTAATATCTCCATGTTGCTTTTTGTTGGTTTTCTAGAAAAGGTGGTTGAAATGCTGACTTCATACTGCATCATCACACCGATATCTGTCCTTAATAGTTTTAAGTTTCACTTTCTCAATCTGTTTAATGAGGTATTAGCTGCCCCATGGAGTTACTGCAAAATGTATTAAGCAGTCAATGTAGATTTCCTAGAACATCTTTCTCTACCATCCTTAGTATCTACTCAGGAAAGGGTAAGAGGCTAATTCTATTGCTTCTCAGTCTTTCTTGCTAAGGTTTAATTTCAGAACCATGCTGCAAATGTAAAGTTGCACTCATGTTTTCTGGTTATCGGGTAAACTTCATGTATATAAAAATTAAATTAAATATTTCCCTTCTCAAAGTCTTTATTTAAGATGTTATTTAGATAATTATAGTAAAATACTGGGACTAAAATTTTAGGGCAAAAGTAGAAGTTTTCCAGATAAAAGGTGTATGGAAGAAAGCATTGTAGGCAAGGCAACAGAATGTATATAGCAAGAGAACTACCAAAGATGGTGGAATGTTTGAGACCTTAAAGAAATTCAGCATTGATGGCTGGAAAGCATGAGATCACAAAAGCCCTTTAAGGACCTAACTGTTCTGATCAAAACACTGCATCAATCGTTTAGTCTATTGTGAATTTAGCTGTGTTGATATACTATCTAATGGATTAAACTTACAAATTGGACATTTTTAGCACCCCCTTGAGCAGTCCAGCGTATGAATTATACATTATGATACCCTCATTGGAAGAACAAAGTTGCTTCACCTAATAGTTTATTAATATAAATGTCTTCATTTTCTGAATAAAAATACTGTTAAAAATTATGTATATGTATATGTATATGTATATGTATATGTATATGTATATGTATATGTATATATTGAGAAGAAACAGAATTAGCCTCTTACCCTTTCCTGAGTAGGTACTCAGAATGATAAAACAACGCTGTTCTAATACACAAATGTGTGTATATGTATATTGTTTTAAAATTATGCATTCTGTATGTGTGTGTGCATGTGTTCAGAAATGGCACATATCAAATTAATTGTGGTTAACTCTGGAGAGAAAAGAACTGGAAAAAATAAATAAGACTTCAACTCTATCTAAGGTATTTTATGTTTTCTTCCTTTATTTAAAAAAATCTAAGAAAATGTTAACCGTTAACTCTGTAGAGCAATCAGGTGTCAAGGTGGAAAATTCAGTCAACAAGACAAACTGAAAGCAACAATCAAGCTTCCTATTCACTTACACAACAATGCAAGCAAGAGGTGCAAAGGGGCTCCACCTCCCCCAGTGTTTCATTTTTCCTCCACAGAATGGAACTGGGTGAGGTTCAAGAATGAGGGGGAGTCATCTCACTGCTGAAAAGCCCCAAACAAAAGGCCTTTGTCTCTTCATGGACCCATGGACCTGGGAGAAGAGGAGAAGGGCTTTAAGGAAGAAAGTACTAAGTCAAAATGAGGAAAAGTGCTTCAGTCAAGGCTGCTGAGCAAGAGGCCTCTGGATGGCAGCAGCAGGGTGAGGAATTAGATATGCAGGTGAGCATGGCTGGTGGTGGTGGGGAGAGGGGATGAATTCTTGACTGCAACTCCCTGCAGAGAACTGCAATGCGCTGGCTGTGCACCAAGTCTGTAGGAAAAGCCATTTCCTCCCATAAAGCTCCAGGCTAAGCCTTGCATTTGCCCATGGTTAGGCCTAAAATATATGTAAGATTTTAACCTGGAGACAGACTCCTCAAATTCTAGTTATAAATAAAGTCATTTGTTCTCTATACCTTTCTGTATTTTATACTCTGTCGAAAATTAAAGTTATACATATACATTGAAAAAACAATTCAAATAGATACATAAATGAATAAAGTAAATAGTGAAAGTCTCACTGTAATCACATTACCCAGAGATATCCACTGGTAGCAGGCTGGTGTCTTTGCTCCTGAATATTTTCTGTGCTTCTATATACAAATGTATATAGAGAGACATATTTACAAAAATTGAGTAATTTTTAAATGTATTAGTCTATAACCTATTTTTACATTTAATAATATAGTACAGCATCTTTCCAAGACAAGAGGTATTGATCTAGCTCATCTTTTAAAATGGCTGCATAATTACAATGTACACAGCATTGCAATATTGCAGTGATGTGGCATAATTTTTTGCCCCATATCTTACAATTTTCTAAATTGAAAAATGTAATTTATTATCACATTTGCTACAATTATAAAAAACTGCAGTGTATATTCTTATACTTATGATGTGCACATCTTTGTGTGTTTAGCTATTTTCCGAGTAAACCCTTAAGGTAGAAATGCTGAGTCAAAGGATATATTAATGTTGACATATTGCCAAACAGCCTTCCAGAAACTGTGTGCCACCACATGCATCTTCCATGAAAAAATGTCTTTTAACACACTGTTGCCAAAACTGGGTGTTTTAATAATTTTAATTCTTAACAACTGATAAGCAAAAGATTTTACTTTCAATTTGAATTTCTTTTACTAATAAGGTTTAGCATTCTTTAATGTTCACTGATCAGAACTAGCAATTTTGTGAGTTCCTTATTCATTTTCTTTGACAAATTTTTCACCAAAGCTTCCTATTTTTCATATTAATTTTAGGTTGACATGTATTAGTACTACCTAGCTAGATAGATGCACACATATTTACATATATAAAATGCTGTCATAAGTATGACAAATATATTTTTATATTGTCATATTTTATATGTGTTCTTTGCTTTTCATATGTGTTCTTTGCTTTTCAATTTTGTGATACTTCTTGACAAAAGAAACTTAATTCTTAGAAAACCAAATTTGGAGGAGGGGCAAAGATGGCCCATTAGAAGCAGTTGTAGTCCCAGCTCTCACAAAATGGCCAGTGAATTCTGCACCTTCAACCTGAGGTATCCAGGTTCTCACATTGGGACTGACTAGGCAGATGGCTTGACCCACAGAGAGTGAGGAAAAGCAGGTGGGGTGACAGCACACCCAGGAGTCCCATGGAACAAGGGAAGCCCATGCCCCCAGCCAAGGGAGGCAGTGAGTGATTATGCAACCCTGCCCAGGAAACCACTCTTTCCCTATGGATCTTTGCAACTCATGGATCAAGAGATCCCCTCTTGAGCCCACATCACAAGGGCCTTGGATCCAAAGCACAGAGCTGTGCAGAGTCTCAGCTGAGCAGCTGCTCACTCACTTGCTTGCTTGCTCAGGCACGCAGGGAAACCTGGGAGTTTTGCATACTCTGGCCACAAGAATTCAGGCAAGGCGAGAGATCCCGTGCATTCCCCTAGGAAGGAGGCTGAATCCAGGAAGCCAAGCGGTGTTGTTCTGTGGGCCCCACTCCCACAGCACCTCACAAATTAAGACCCACTGGCTTAGAATTCCAGCCAGCCAGTGGCAGCAGTCTGGAAAGACTGAGACAGCAACCTGAGACAGACTGAGTTCCCAGTGGGAGGGGTAGCCGCTATACCTGCAGTTGGAGTAGGCCATTCTAACGGGCCAGCACTGGAGACTGGGAGGAATTCCCCACAACTCAGCACAACTGCTGTGCCTCATCATGGCCAGTCTGCTTCTTTAAGTGGGATCCCAATTTATCCCTCCTCACTGGTGGGGCCTCCCTGTGGGAATTTCAGCAACTCCAGCCAGGTTTATACAGACAGAACTCTGATTTCTCCCTGGGATAGAGTCTGCCAGGATGCCGGTTCTGGAGAGGTCAGGTAGTCAGTGCAGTGCACCTGCTCTGCCAAGGGGCAGCCATACTGCCTCTTTAAGCAGATGCCTGATCCTGTTCCTCCTGACTGAGTGAGACTTCCCAACAGGGGTCACTGAACACCTCCTACGAAAGTGTTCTGGCCAGCATCAGGTCAGTGCACTGCTGGGTTGGAGCTCCCAGAGGAAGGAGAAGGCTGACATGTTTGCTGTTTCACAGCCTTCACTGGTGATACCTCCATGTTTCAGGAGGGACCACGATGACTAGGGTCTGGAGTAGACCCCCAGCAAACCACAGCAGCCCTACAGAAGAGTGGTCTGACTGTTAAACAAACAAAAAACAATAACATCAACAAAAAGACCCCACAAAAACCCCAATCAAAGGTCAGCAACCTCAAAGATTAAAGGTAGATAAGCCCATAAAGATGAGAAAGAATCAATGCAAAAATGCTGAAAACTCAAAAAGCCACAGTGCTCTTCTCTTCCAAATGACCACAGCACTTCTCCAGCAATGGCAAAGAACTGGGCTGAGGCTGAGATGGCTGAATTGACAGAATTAGGCTTCAGAAAGTGGATAATAATGAACTTTGCTGAGCTAAATAAGTATGTTTTAACCCATTGCAAAGAAACTAACAATCATGATAAAACTAAACAGGAGCTGATAACCAGAATATCCAATTTAGAGAGGAACATAAATGACCTGATGAAGCTGAAAAACACACGAGAAACTCACAATGCAATCACAAGTATCAATAGCAGAATAGACCAAGCAGAGGAAAGAATCTCAGAGCTTGAAGACTATCTTTCTGAAATAAGACAGGCAGACAAGAATAGAGAAAAAAGAATGAAAAGGAATGAACAAAACCTCTGAAAATGGGATTATGTAAAAAGACTGAACCTAAAACTGATTGGGGTATCTGAAAGAGACAGGGAGAATGGAACCAAGTTGGAAAACTTACTTCAGGATATCATCCTGGAGAACTTCCTCAAACTAGCAAACAGGCCAACATTGAAATTCAGGAAATCCAGAGAACCCCAGTAAGATGCTCCACAAGATCAGTCCCAAGATACATAATCATCAGTTTCTCCAAGGACAAAATGAAAGAAAAAAATGTTAAGAGCAGCCAGAGTGAAAGGCTAAGTAACCTACAAAGGTCAGCCCAACAGACTAACAGTGGGCCTCCCAGTGGAAGCCCTACAAGCCAGAAGAGATTGGGGGCCAATATTCAACATTCTTAAAGAAAAGAATTTTTAACACACAATTTAATATCGCCAAACTAAGCTTCATAAGCAAAGGAGAAATGAGATCCATTTCAGACAAGCAAATGCTGAGGGAATACGTCACCACCAGGCCTGCCTTGCAAGAGCTCCTGAAGGAAGCATGAAGTACGGAAAGGACAGAAAGGAAAAACTGTTACCAGCTACTACAAAAGCACACTGAAACACGCAGACCAGTGACACTATAGAGCAACCACATAAGCAAATCTGCAAAATAACCAGCTAGCATCATGACAGGATCAAATTCACACATAACAATATTAACCTTAAATGTAAATGGAATAAATGCCACAATTAAAAGACACAGAATGACAAACTGGATAAACAGTCAAGACCCAGCAGTATGCTGTCTTCAAGGGATCCATCTCACATGCAAAGAAACACATAGACTCAAAATACAGAGATAGAGAAAGATTTACCAAGTAAATGGAAAACAGAAAAAAGCAGGGGTCACAATCCTAGTCTCTGACAAAACAGATTTTAAACCAACGAAGATCAAAAAAGACAAAGAAGGGCATTACATAATGGTAAAGGGTTCAATTCAACAAAAAAAGCTAACTATCCTAAACATATAGGCACCCAATACAGGAGCACTGAGATTCATAAATCAAGTTCTTAGATACCATCAGAGAGACTCAGAGTCCCACAGAATAATAGTGGGAGACTTTAACACCCCACTGACAATATTAGACAAACCACTGAGACAGAAAATTAACAAAGATATTCAGGACCTGACTTCAGCTCTCAATCAAGTGGACCTGATAGATATCAACAGAATTCTCGACCCCAAAACAACAAAATATACATTCTTCTCATCGTCACATGATACTTACTCTAAAATTGATCACATAATTCGAAGTAAAACACTTTTCAGCAAATGCAAAGAACTGAAATCATAACAGACAGTCTCAGAACACAGCACAATCAAATTTGAACTCAGGATTAAGAAACTCACTCAAAAACCACACAACTATATGGAAATTGAACAACCTGCTCCTGAATGACTGCTGGGTAAATAATGCCATTAAGGCAAAAATCAAGAAGTTCTTTAAAATTAATGAGAACAAAGAGACAATGTATCAGAATCACTGGGACACAGCTAAAGCAGTGTTAAGAGGGAAATCTACAGCACTAAATGCCCACATAAAAAAGCTAGAAAGATCTCAAGTTAACAACCTAATATTACAACTAAAAGAAATAGCGGACCATGAGCAAACCTCAAAGCTAGCAGAAGACAAGAAATAACCAATATCAGAGCAGAACTGAAGGAGATGGAAACACGAAAAAACCCTTCAAAAAAATCAATGAATCCAAGAGCTAATTTTCTGAAAACATTAATAAAATAAACTACTAGCTAGCTAGACTAATAAAGAAGAAAAGAGAGAAGAACCAAATAGACACAAATAGAAGTGACAAGGGGGATATCACCACTGACCCACATAAATACAAACAACCATCAGCAAGTACTATAAACAACTCTATGCATATAAACTAGAAAATCTAGAAGAAATGGATAGATTCCTGGACACATACACCCTCCCAAGACTGAACTAGGAAGAAATCAAATGCCAGAATAGACCAACAACAAGTTCTGAAATTGAGGCAGTAATAAATAGCCAAAAAAAAAAAAACCCTCTAGGACCAGACAGATTTATAGCTGAATTATACAAGATGTACAATGAAGAGCTGGAACCATGTTTACTGAAACTATTCCAAACAATTGAAAAGGAGGGACTCCTCCCTAACCCATTTTATGAGGCTAGCATTATCCTGATACCAAAACCTGGCCAAGATACAACAAAAGAAAGAAAACGTCAGGCCAGTATCCCTAATGAACATTAATGCAAAAATCCTCAATAAGATACTGGCAAACTGAATCCAACAGCATATCAAAAAGCTTATCCACCATGATCAAGTTGGCTTTATCCCCAGGATACAAAGTTGGTTCAACATACACCAATCAGTAAATATAATCTATCACATAAACAGAACTAAAGACAAAACCCACATGACTATCTCAATAGACATAGAAAAGGCCTTTGGTAAAATTCAACATATCTTTTTGTTAAAAACTCTCAATAACCTAGATATTGAAGGAACATACCTCAAAATAATAAGAGCCATGTATGACAAGCCCACAGCCAATATCATACTGAATGAGCAAAACCTGGAAGCATTCCCCTGGAAAACCAGCACAAAACAAGGATGCCTCTCTCCTATTCAACATAGTGTTGGAAGTTCTGACCAGGGCAATCAGCCAAGAGAGAAAAATAAAGGGTATTCAAATTGGAAGAAAGGAAGTCAAATTGTCTTTGTTTGCAGATGACATGATCCTATATCTAGAAAACCCCATGGACTCAGCCCAAAAGCTTCTTAAGCTTTTAAGCAACTTCAGCAAAGTCTCAAGATACAAAATCAATGTGCAAAAATCACTAGCCTTCCTATACACCAACAACAGGCAAGCAGAGAGTCAAATTATGAATGAACTCCCATTTACAATTGCTACAAAGAAAATAAGATACCTAGGAACAATGCAGCTAACAAAAGAAGGGAAGGACCTCTTCAAGGAGAACTTCAAACTACTGCTCAAAGAAATCAGAGAAGACACAAACAAATTGAAAAACATTCCATGCTCATGCACAGGAAGAATCAATATTGTGAAAATAGCCATATTGGCCAAAGAAATTTATAGATTCAATGCAATTCCCATTAAACTACCATTGACATTCTTCACATAATTAGAAAAACCTATTTTAAAATTTATATGGAACCAAAAAAAGCCCAAACAGCCAAAACAGTCTTAAGCAAAAAAAACAAAGGTGGAGGCATCATGCTACCTGACTTCAAACTATACTACAAGACTACAGTAACCAAAACAGCATGGTACTAGTACGAGAGCAGACACACACACCAATAGAACAGAATAGAGAACCCAGAAGTATACCACACACCTACAACCATCTGATCTTTAACAAACCTGACAAAAACAAGCAATGGGGAAAGGATTCCCTATTTAATGAATGATGCTGGGAGAATTGGCTAGCCATATGCAGAAAATTGAAACTAGACCCCTTCCTTACACCTCATACAAAAATTAACTCAAGATAGATTAAAGACTTAAATGTAAAACCCAAAACTATAAAAACTCTAGAAGAAAATCTAGACAGTATCATTTAGGACATAAGCATGTGAAAAGATTTCATGACAAAAATACCAAAAGCAATAGCAACAAAAGCAAAGATTGAAAAATGGAACCTAACTAAAGAGTTTCTGCACAGCAAAAAAAAAACAAAAAACAAAAAACAAAAAACTACCATCAGAGTGAACAGACAACCTACAGAATGGGAGAAAAGTTTAGCAATCTATCAGTCTGTCAAAGGTCTAATATCCAGGATCTACAAGGTACTTGAACAAATTTACAAGAAAAAAAAACATTAAAAAGTGGGCAAAATACATGAACAGACACTTCTCAAAAGAAGTCATACATGCAGCCAACAAACATGAAAAATAGCTCAACATCCTGATCATTACAGAAATGCAAATCAAAACCACAATGAGATATCAGGTCACACCAGTCAGAATGGTGATTATTAAAAAAGATGCTGGTAAGGTTGCAGAGAAAAGGGAACACTTTTACACTGTTGATGGGAGGTAAATTAGTTCAGTAATTATGGAAGACAGTGGGCAATTCCTCAAAGATCTAGAGGCAGAAATGCCATTTGATCCAGCAATCCCATTACTGGGTATATACCCAAAGGAATATAAATCATTTTCTTCTAAAGATATGTGCATGTGTATGTTCATTACAGCACTATTCACAATAGCAAAGACAAGGAATCAACCTAAATGCCCATCAATGATAGACTGGATAAAGAAAATGTGGTACATATACACCGTGGAATACTATGCAGCCATAAAAAGGAATCCTATTATCCTCAGCAAACTAATGCAGGAACAGAAAACCAAACACTGCAAGTTCTCACTTATAAGTGGAAGCTGAATGGTGAGAACACACGGACACGTGGGGGTGAACAACACACACTGGGACCTGTTGAGTGGACAGTGGGGACAGAGAGCATCAGGAAGAATAGCTAATAGATGCTGGGCTTAATACCTGGGTGATGGGTTGATGTGTGCAGCAAACCACCATGGCACAGGTTTACCTATGTAAAAAACCTGCACATCCTGCACATGTACCCCAGAACTTAAAATAATAGTTGAAGAAAATAAAAGAAAACCAAATTTGTCTTTTTATGGGTCTGCTTTCATATCTTCAAGGTCATGTTTCTTTCTGATTTGAATTACCATATCTGAAAATGTGAAAATCTGAAAATAACTAATTAATGGCTAACGTAAAAATAAGTACAGGGGGAGGGAGGGAATTTTTGCTTCTGGGATGATGGTACAGACATATTTTTATCTGTTCTTTCCACTAAGTAAAAGTAAAAACCCTTCTCATTTTATATTAAGCAGACATAAGTAGACACTGAAAGGTGGAAAGACTAAGGCAGAGTGGCTGGGGTTCTCTGGACCCAAGCAATGACAAAGCAGTGAGTTTCCTGGGCTTTCTTTTTGCCTCATACATCCCAGATAGATTTCTGGAGAAGCTGGAAACTCAGTGTGCCCAGACAAAGAAAGTTCCAAGTAACTTACTCTGTCTAGCAAATAGATAAAGAGGGAGCTCTTTAGCAAGACAGAAAATTTTTAGAAAAGTACTGCTTTATGGAAGCCATAAAACCACAGGACAAAAAAAACCGGCTCCATCCCCAGCCACACCAGCGAGAGCTGAGCATGAGCCTAGGCTCCCACCATTGCCGGGCCATAAAGAAACACCACCCACTGCTGATATGGTGTCAGACTAGACTAGAGAGCTGCAATGGCATCAGCAGAGAGCACATGGGCAGCTTGGACTTCCACTCCAGCCTGGCATAAATGAGGCTCCCTCCTGCAACTGAAGTGTGTCAAAGGAGGCCTGGGGAAGCATCAGGACCTTCCACACCACCCAGTGGTAATGATGCCACCCACCTTATTGTGTCAGGGGTGCCATGTGAGCATCAGGAATGAGGCATGCCTACCACTCCCAGCCACTCCCAGTGGAGGCCTACTCAGCTACTGAGCTTCCACTTCCACCCAGTAATAATGCAAAGCCCCAGCTTTGGATGTCAATGGAGGCTGAGTGAGGAACCTGGATTTTCCCCTATCTGGCTGTAATGAGGACATGCCCCTTCCTTGTCCTTCCAGAATGGTGTCACAAAGAGCCTGCTAAAGTGGAAAGCTAACTGAGATGCAGTCTCATAACATACTACCCCAAATGCCCAGGCTTTGGTCAAAAATCACTCCTTATACCACGACCAGGAAGATCTCAAACTGAATGAAAATGTATGACATACGCCAACACAGAAATGACAGAAATATTACAATTATTCGACGACAATTTCAAAGCCACCATCATACAAATGTTTTAATAAGCAACTATGAACACACTTGAAACAAATGAAAAAAAGTCTCAGCAAGAAAATAAATGACATAAAAAATAAGCAAGGGGAAATTCTAGAGCTGAAAAATACAATAAGCAAAATAAACAACTCAATGGATGGACTCAAGAGCAAAATGGTGAGACAGAATTTTAAAAAATCCATGAACTTGAACATAAAGTAATAGAAATTACCCAATCTGAACAACGGAAAGGGAATATACTAAAATAAATAAATAAATACATACACACATAGAAAAAACAGAACCTCAGGAACTATTAAATGATAACAAAAATCTGAAGTTCAGATTACTGGGGTTCCAAAAGGAGAGGAGAAAGAGAACAGGGCTAGACAAGTACTCAAAAAAATGGAAGAAAACTCCTCAAATTTCACAAAATACATAAATCTACAGATTCATGAAGCTGAATGATTCCCAATCAAGATAAGTGAAAGAAATACACACCAAGACCCCCCACAGTTAAATTTTTCAAAACTTAAAATGAAGAAAATGTTTTTAAAGAATCAAAAGAGAAACAACTACTTCTTATAAAGTAAAAACAATTTGAATAGCAGCATACTACTCATCAGAAACTATGGAGGCCAGAAAGAATAGCCATATTGTTTTCAAAGCACTAAAAGAAAAGAACTGCCAATCCAGAATCCTATACCCAGTGATAATATCTTTCAGGAATGAAGGGGCAATAAAGACTTTTTTTAATAAGATGAAGGGAAAACAAAAAAAAATCATTTTTTTTAAATAAAAAGAATAAAAGAGTAGCTAACAGAAGTTTCCTAAATAGAAAATAATAATAATAATAAAAGAAGCAGCCTTGGGACATCAGGAAGAGAGAAATAATATGATAAACAATAAGATGGGTAAATACCATTTTTCTCCTTTTGAGTTTTCTAAATTATGTTTGACAGAAGAAAGAAAAATCTTAACATCATCTGATGTTGTTCTAAATATATGTAGAAAAAATTTTTTTAAATAATGTTATAAATTGGGAAAAGTAAAGCAGCTTAAAGAGAAGTAAGCATATTTCATTCAAACTGGAAAAATGATGACAGTAGACTATAAAGAGTTACATATGTGTAGTGTAATACATAGAACAACCACTGAACAAAGCTATACAAAGTGATACACTCAAAAACACTATTGACAAATTAAAAGAGAACTCTAAAAAGGTATAAGTAACCCATAAGAAGGTAAGAAAAAGCAAATAAGAAATGAAAAACAGAAAAAACAAGCAGAAAATAAAAAATTACAAATCTCTTCCAATTAAAGACAGAGGTTGGCAGAGTGGATAAAAAGCATGACCCAACAATATGAACTCTATTAGAAACTCACTTCAAATATGACAATAGAGGCAGGCTGAAAGTAAAAGATATGGCATGCAAACATTAATCAAACAAAAGCAAGAGTGGCTACATTAATATCAGATAAAGTAGACTTCAGAGCATAAAAAAAAGAAAATCTTCCAGAGACAGAGAGTAACATCATATAGTGATGATTTCATAATCCATCCAAAAGACACAGCAATCCTAAATGTATACATACCCAACAACAGAGATGCAAAATATGTGAAGCAATTTTTCAGTTCAATCAATTGAACTGAAAAAAGAAATAGCCAAATCCACAATAATAGTTGGATCTCTCAAAACTCCTCTATCAATAATTGACTGAACAACTAGACAGAATATTAGCAAGGATACAAATAGTAACACCATCAACCAGCAAAATCTAATTAACACTTTTGGAATACTCCACCCAAAGACAGCAGAATAAACACTCTTTTTAAGTGCCAATAAAACACATACCAAGAAAGACCACATCCTGGGTCATAAAACAAACCCCAACAAATTTAAAAGAGTTGAAATCACACAAAATATAATATCCAACCACAATAAAATGAAACTAGAAACCAATAATGATAAGATAACAGGCGAATCTACAGACACTTCAAAAATAACAATTCATGTCCAAATAATTCATGGGTCAAAGAGAAAGTCTCAAGGGAAATTTTTTATAATAAATTAAAAAGAAAATAAAAATGTAACATATTAAAATGTTAGACACAGCTAATGCAGTTTTTTTATTAGTTTCATCTTTGCTTGTTTTTTACTTTGCTTTTGCAATCAGTATTAAGTTGTCATTAGTTTGAAATATTGGGTTATAAGATATTATTTGCAAGCCTCATGGTAACTTCAAATTTAAAAACCTACAACATATACACAAAAAATAAAAAGCAAGAAACATACCACCAAAGAAAATAACCTTCACAAAAATGAAGGAAGGAAAGATGGAAGGAAGAAAAGATCACAAAACAACCAGAAAACAAATAACAACAAAAAAAGAAAACAAATAACAAAATGGTAGGGATAAGTCCTTACTTATTAATAACATTGAATGTAAATGTACTAAACTCTCCAATCAAAACACATAGAGTAGCTGAAAGAATAAAATAATAACAAGATCCAACAATCTGTTGCCTATAAGAAACAAACTTCACCGGCCAGGCACGGTGGCTCACGCCTGTAATCCCAGCACTTTGGGAGGCTGAGGCAGGCGGATCATGAGGTCAGGAGATCGAAACCATCCTGGCTAACACGGTGAAACCCCGTCTCTACTGAAAATACAAAAAATTAGCTGGGTATGGTGGCAGGTGCCTTTAGTCCCAGCTACTCGGGAGGCTGAGGCAGGAGAATGGCGTGAACCCAGGAGGCAGAGCTTGCAGTGAGCCGAGATCGCACCACTGCACTCCAGCCTGGGTGACAGAGCGAGACTCCGTCTCAAAACAAAACAAAACAAAACAAAACTTCACCTATAAATACAACACACACAGAATGAAAATAAAGGGATGAGAAAAGATATTCCATGCAAATGGCAACCAAAAAACAGCAGGAGTTTCAAAAGAACTATAAAAAGAGACAAAGAAAGTCATTATATAATGATAAAGGGGTCAATGCAGCAAAAGGATGTAACAATTGTAAATGTATAAGCACCCAACATTGGAGCATCCAAATATATAAAGCAAATATTATTAGAGCTAGAGAGAGATAGATCCCAATAAAATAATAGCTGGAGACTTAGGATGCCACTCTCAGCATTGGACAGATCTTCCAGGCAAAAAAATCAGCACTCTACACCAAATAGATATTTACAGAACATTTCATGCAGCAGCTACAGAATACACATTCTTCTTCTTAGCATATGGATCATACTCAAAGACAGACCATATGTTAGGATGCAAAACAAGTCTTAAAACATTAAAAAAAATTGAAATCGCATCCAGTATCATCTCTGACCACAATAGAATAAAACTAGAAATCAATAACAAGAGGGACTTTGGAAACTACCCAAACACATGGAAATTATACAATATGGTCCTGAATGACCAGTGGGTCAATGAAGAAATTAAGAAAAAAACTGAAAAATTTCCTGAAGCAAATGAAAACAGAACCACAACATACCAAAACCTATGAGAGACAGCAAAAGCCATACTGAGAGGAAAATTTACAGCAATAAGTGCCTATATCAAGAAGGTAGAAAAGCTTCAAATAAACAACCTAAGGATGCATCTTAAAGAACTAGAAAAGCAAGAGCAACCATACTCAAAACTAGCACAAGAAAAGAAATAATTAAAATCACAGGAGAAATAAATGAAATAGAAACAAAAAAATACAAATGATCAACAAGATGAAAAGTTGGTCTTTTGAAAAGATAAGCAAAATTGACAACCTTTTAACTAGACTAAGAAAAAAATAATGAAGACCCAAATAAATAAAATCAGAGATGAAAAAGGAGACATTAAAACTGATGATACAGAAATTCAAAGGATCTTTAGAGACTACTATGAGCTACTATATGTTAATAAATTGGAAAACCTAAAAAAATGGATAAATTCCTAGACACATAAAACCTACCAAGATTGAACCATGAAGAAATCCAAAACATGAATATACCAATAAGTAATAAGATCAAAGCTGTAATAAAAATTATCCCAGCAAAGCAGCCCAGAACTTGATGGCTTCACTGCTGAATTGTACCAAACACTTAAAGAACTAATACGAATTTCACTCAAACTATTCCAAAAAGTAGAGGGGGAGGAAATACTTCCAAACTCATTCTATGAGATCAGTATTACCCTGATACCAAAACTAGACAAAGACACATAAAAAAAAAAGAAAGAAAACTAAAGGCCAATGTCTCTGATGAACATAGATGCAAATATCCTCAACAAAATACTAGGAACCTGAATTCAACAACACATTAAAAAGATCGTTCATCATGACCAATTAGAATTCATCCCTGGGATGCAAGGGTGGCTCAACATATGTAAACCAATCAATGCGATATATCATATCAACAGATTGAAGGATAAAAACCATATAATTTCAATTGATGCCAAGACAGCATTTGATAAAATTCAACCTTCCTTCATGATAAAAATCCTAAAAAATCTGAGTATAAAAGGAACATACCTTAACACAATAAAAACCAAATATACAACACACCCATAGCTAGTATTACACTGAATAGGAAGAAACTGAAAGCTTTTCCTCTAAGATCGACCAAAAAACTGGAGAACTGATAAACAAGTTCAGTAAAGTGGCAGGATACAAAATCAACGTATAAAAACCAGTAGCATTTCTATACTCCAACAGTGAACTATCTGAAAAATAATTTAAGAATGTAATCCCATTTACAATTGCTAGAAATAAAATAAAATGCCTAAGAGTAAATTTAACCAAAGAAGTGATAGATCTCTACAATAAAAATTATAAAATATTGATGCAAGAAATTAGAGAAGACACAATAAAATGGAAAAATATTCCACATTTATGGATTGGAAGACTCAATATTGTTAAAATGCTCATGCTACCCAAAGAAATCTACAGAGCCAATGCAATCTCTGTCAAAATACCAATGACATTCTTCACAAAAGTAGAAAAAAAAATCTAAAATGTATATGGAACCACAAAAGACCCAGAATAGCCACAGCTATACTAAGCAAAAAGAACAAAACTGGAGAAATTATACTACCTGACTTCAAATTATACTACAGAGTTATAGTAACTAAAACAGCATGGTACTGGCATGAAAACAGACACATAGACCAATAGAACAGAATAGAAAACACAGAAGGAAACCCATACATCTACAGTGAACTCATTTTCGACAAAGGTGCCAAGAACATGCACTGGGAAAAAAAGTCTCTTCAATAAACGGTGCTGGGAAGACTGGATATCCATATGCAGAAGAATAAAATGAGACCCCTGTCTCTCACCATATTACGAAAATCAAATCAAAATGTATTAAAGACTTAAGTCTAAGACCTCAAACTATGAAACCACTACAAGAAAACATCAGGGAAACTCTCCAGGACATTAGGCTGGGCAAAAAATTCTTGAGTATTACTCCACAACCACAAGCAACTAAAGCAAAAATGGACAAATGAGATCATATCAAGATAAAAAGCTTCTGCACAGCAAAGGAAACAATCAACAGAGTGAAGAGACAACCCAAGGAGTGGGAGAAAATATTTGCAAACTACTCATCTGAGAAGGGATTAGTAACCAGAATATACAAGGAGCTCGAGCAACTCTACAGGGGAAAAAATCTAATCATCTGACTTAAAAATGGACGAAAAGGTCTGAATGGACATTTCTCAAAAGAAGACATACAAAAATGACTAACAGTCATACAAAAAGGTGCTCAATATCACTGATCACTAGAGAAATGCAAATCAAAACTACAATGAGATATCATCTCACCCCAGTTAAAATGGCTTATGTCCAAAAGATAGGCAATAACAAATGCTGGCAGGGATGTGGAGGAAAGGGAACCCTCGTACACTGTTGGTGGGAATGTAATTTAGTATAATCACTAAGGAGATTAGCTTGGAGGTTCCCCAAAAACCTAAAAATAGAGCTGTCATGAAAAGTCGCAATCTTACTGCTGGATATATACCCAAAAGAAAGAAAATCGGTGTATCAAAGAGATATCTGCACTCCCGTGTTTGCTGCAGCACAATTCACAACAACAAAAATTTGGGAGCAGCCTAAATGTCCATGAACAGATGAATGGATAAAGAAAATGTGATACACACAAACAATGGAGTACTATTCAGTCATAAAAGAAGAATGAGAGCCTGTTGTTTGTAACAACATGGATGGAACTGGAGGTCATGGTGTAAAGTGAAATAAGACAGGCACAGAAATGCAAACATCGCATGTTCTCACTTATTTGTGGGATCTAAAAGTCAAAATAATTGAACTCTTAAAGACAGAGTAGGATGGTTACCAGAAACTGGGAAGGGGTGGGAAGGTAGGGGAGAGGTGAGGATAGTTAATGGGTACAAAAAAAATAGAAAGAATGAGTAAGACCTAGTAATTGATAGCACGACAGGGTGACTACAGTCAATAATAATTTAATTGTACATTTTAAAATAACTTAAAGCGTATAATTGGATTGCTTGTAACATAAAGGATAAATGCTTGAGGGCATGAATATTCCATGTTATATGATGTGATTATTGCATGCCCGTATCAAAACAACTCATGTAATACTCCATAAATATATACACCTACTGTGTATACACAAATATTAAAAATTTTTTAAAAATGGCAAACAGGTATATGAAAAGGTGCTCCACATCATTGATCACTATAGAAATGCAAATCAAAACTACAATGAGATCTCATCTCACCCCAGTTAAAATGGCTTTTATCCAAAAGACAAGCAATAACAAAAGCCAGCGAGGATATGGAGAAAAGAGAATCCTATTACACTGTTGGTGGCAATGTATATTAGTACAGTCACTATGGAAAACAGTTTGGTAGTTCCTAAAAAACTAAAAATAGAATTACCACATGATCCAGCAATCTCACTGCTAGACATATACCCCAAAGAAAGGAAATCAGTATATCAAAGGGATATCTGCACCCCCATGTTTATTGCAGCACAATTCACAATAGCCAAGATTTGGAATCAACCTAAGTGTCCATCAACAGATGGAGAGGGAGAGAAGTGAGGATGTTTAGTGGCTATAAAAGTATAGTTAGAATGAATAAGATCTAGTATTTGATAACACAACATAGTGACTACAGTCAACAATAATTTATTGTACATTATTAAATAACTAAAAGAGCATAATTGGAATGTCTGTAACAGAAAGAAATGATTAAGTGCTTGAGGTGATGGCTATCCCATTTATCCTGATGTGATTATCACACACTGTATGCCTATATCAAAATATCTCATGTACTCCATAAATATATACATCTACTATGTACCAACGAAAAATTTTAAAAATTTCTAATTAAATACAATTTCTAATTGTTCAAAATAAAACATCTACTTGTATATCTAACAAAATATGTACAGATCTTATATGCTGAAAACTACAAATATTAATGAAGGAAATCAAAGAATACTGAAATAATGGAGAGACCTTACATGTTCATAGATCAGAAGATGCAATATAGTAAAGCTGTCAGTTCTTCCTAAATTAACATACAGGTGAAATTTGTAGACAAAAGTTTACAGCATCTTTATGCATAATAACCCAAAATGAGAAACAACTCAATATCCTTCAACAAACGTGCGGTTAAGCAAATTGTGGTACTTTGTACAATGGAATATTACTCAACAATAAAAAGGAACAAACTATTAATCCACACAATGGTATGAATAAATCTCCAGAGAATTGTGCTGAGTGAAAAATGCCAATGCCAAAAGATTATATAGTGTATGAATTCATTTATATAATATCCTTGAAATGACAAAAGTGTAGAAATGGAAAACAGATTCATTGTTGTCAGTGGTTAAGGAGGGAGTGAGGGTAGGAAGGAAGTGGATATCACTATCAAACAAATCTCAGGTGTATTCACTTTCCCTGTAATGAGGGCATGTTTCCTTTTCATTCTAGTGAACTTACATAGAGTCATTTTCATACAAAGTATATACATCTTTTCAAAATGCACTTATGCACAGCTAAATTGTGGAAAACCAACTACACAGAAAAGTCTTTTATTGAGAGCCTTTCTTTCTAAGGCCCCACAGAATCAGAGAATCATTTTTCTAATGATTTCGGTGCATTTAATATGATTAAGCACATTTTTGTAATGAGATAATATGTTGCTAATGGGCTGAAAATTTTATAAATGACATAAAAATTTAAGGAACAATTATGATTATCCTTACAGTCATCACTATTTTGACATGTAGATTCATATGCACTATTTTGACATTGTATTTATTGAAGAAATATAATTAACTATCTATTATCTCTTCTCAAGACTCAGGAACAACTTAAGATTTTACCATATTGTTAAGTGCAAAGTGATTCAGGAAATTTTATTCCCGTGTTGTTTTATTTTTCTTAATAAATATTTAATGTTTAGCCATTATTTTGTGACACAATTATTTTGAGGAAACAACAAGCCATATTATATTCTTAAAATATCGTCATCTTAAGCTCTATTTAATTAGAATAAACCCGTTCATTTTGCTGACTAATTCAAGATAAAAAACAACTTGATGAAATTTGTTTCTAGAGCATTATCATTATGCTAAGAATTGTATTATAATACTGTTAAGAATAGTGATATAATGCCATCTACTTGTTACTTTGGAAAATAACTTACTGAGAAAAATAACTGCTAAAAAAATTGCAACCCACAAAATTTTTCAAATATATTTTAAATTATTATGTCAGAGATAAAATAACAACCACCAGGTATTTTTCTGTAATTTTTCAAATATTTTAAACGTCAAATCTTCAAAAGTCACAAATGTATTCATTGTAACACACATTGTTATTTTTTCAGTTGAAATTGTATCAGCACTGTCCCCAAATGCCCTAGCTGCTCTCCCATATTTAAAAAGTACACTCCATGAATGTTTATACTTTACCAAAGTATTAATAGTTTTGATAGTGTTAATTATTTTAATGATGTAAATTTTTGTGGTTTATGTAAGAAATGTAGTTAGACTTAAACCCTAAAACTTTATAATAAACACAAAAGTATTTCTTTGCTTTTCTTTTAATAAGTAATCATGAAATAAACTTTTCATTTAATCCTTCATTAAGCTACATTACCTAAGAGCATTTTACTTGGGCTACATGCTAGATTGGTAAAAACAAATAAGACATGATCTCTCCCTAATGAAGTTCTAAATTTATAGCATAAAATGAATATATCATTTATAAGTACCATGTGCTAATCTACTGTGCAACTGGAGATACTAAAGATGCCATTTAAATTAAATGCATGGCATTTCTATATATATTTTACTTCAGTTAGTCCAATAACATTTTAATAATAAGTAATAGTAAGCTAACTTACATAGTAAATGTGCCAAGCATTTGCATATAATTCATTTTGAAGTTTTTTTAACATTTTCTTTTTCAATATAGAATGATGAAATTCAAATAATACATAAAGTTGCATTATAAAATATCTGAAAGAATAAAAAATTTTAAATACATTTACAATGTATTTAATTATGTGATAATTTATACCAACAAAAATACAGTATATATTTGAAATTGATGGGTTATTTTAACAAAATCAATTCAAGATTAAGGAGAAAACATAAATAACATGAATATACCAGTAATCATAAAAGAAATGTAGAAGTTAGGCAAGCTACACTCTCAAAATGAAAACATACCCAGATATGTTTACAGCATGTTTTATTAAACCTAAAGAAAGGCATATTTGTTGTTACCTAACCCGTTCCAAAACCAGAAGGAAAACACAGAAAGTTAACACCTCACTTACAGGAAGAGAGAAAAGCTATTGTATCTCATTCTGATGCCAAAATCAGCCAAGGAGAGCACAGTTATCACACCATCCCTATCCAGCACACACACACCTAGAGAGCAAGCTTATTAAAAAGTTTTAACATCATATTTTTAGGTTAAACATTGTAGTTTATTAAGAGAAGAATGCGTTATGATCAGTAATGTTTTATATAAGGAATATAAGGATGGTTTAATGTCATATTTTTAGGTTAAATATCATAATTTATTAAGAGAAGAATGCATTATGATCAGTAATGTTTTATATAAGGAATATAAGGATGGTTCAACATTTAGAATTCTATTTCTGTAGTCACTACATTCATAAATTACTAGATTAAGAAAAATATTATTGTCCTGATAGAGCCTTAAAAAAATTTGACATATTCCTAATTTAAAACTCTCAGTAAAGTAGGAATAAAAGGAAACATCCTTAACTTAGAGAGTCACAAAGATGAAATGTTGGAGGCATTCACATCAAAGACGGGAAATACAAGGAAACCTATTATTATTATTATTGTTACTAGCCAATGAAATGGGAAAACAGATTTTAGAAAAAGAAATGATGTATAAAAAATTAAAAAGAAACTTTTAAAAGTTATTATTTTCACATTATATAAATGTTTCAAGAAAATTACCTGGAAAACTATTAGAGTCAATAATTCTAATAAGGGAGTTACCCCCAAATTGTATCTTTTTAATGTATATGCAACTGTCCAATTTTAAAGTGGAATCAAAACTGTGCCCATTCAAAATGGAGATAAAACTAAGACATCCAAAAAAATACCCAGAAATATTAAGACTTGAAAAGAATTGTACAAATATGCTGAAAAGTGATTTTCAGGTAAGAGAAAACCTGACATACCAGGATCTTGCATGTAACGACATCAATTCTCATCAAATAAGTTAATAAATTCAAAGCAATTCAAATTAACCCCTCAATATTTTTCCCTTGGAACTTGACAAGTAGATAAGGAATCCCATCTGAAAGAAAAGTGCAAAAATAGTCAAGACAACTTTTTTTAAACAAACAGGAGCTTGCCATACCAGGTATCAAACATTCTATAGAGTCACATGAACCACTGTAGGTGGTATTGGTGGGTAAACAAAGAGATCATTGACTTCAAATAGACTCAAATCATGTACCCAAATATATACGCCAATTTAGTGTGTACTGTAGGTAGCCCTCTAGTCATATCTACCTACAATCTGTCCTTAGTTTTCACCTAGACACCAATGATTCCCATATTTGTATCTTGAACACTGTTTTCTTCAGTTGCTTTATATGATGTTTAACAGCAACTCGAATTTAAAATATCAAATAGAACTTTTAATTATCAGCCCCAGAAAATTAGTTCCTGACTCCATCTTCCTCACCTTAAGAAATGGCAATACTTTCTAGCCAATTGCTTAAGATGAACATATAGGTGTCATCTATGATTACCACTTTCCTCTCAACATCTTTAAGCAAGGCTGATTGACTCTACCTCCCAAATAAACCTCGAATCCAACTATCTCCATTGCTATAAGCCTAACCTGAGCCACTGCTCCTCTGACCTGGACTCCTGTTAATAATTTTTCTCTTGCTTCCACTACAGCCCTCTACAATCTATTCTCCCATATCAAAGTGGTCTTCTCTGAGGAAAAAACAGAATCCATTCATTTGATATCAATATCCATTGTGCTTCTACTATGGGTCAGGCACTCTTCTAGGCAAAGACTTTTCTATTTTATTCTTTGCTATAGTCTTTCTACCTAAAAGAGTGCCTGGCCCCACCAACCACATTCTAGTGGTTGGTGCAGACAAAAAAAATTAAAAAGTGAAATACATCATAAGTTAGAGAGTGATAAACGCTAAAAAGAAAATAAATAAAGCAGGGAATAGAGATAAGGTATTTGGTTGGGTGAAAATTTAAATAAAGTAACGAGAGAAGTCCTTTCTAGGAAGACTTTTGAGGAGAAGAACAAAAAGGGAAAAGGAGGATGAAGAAAAGAATGTGTGAGCCATATTGATTCCTTGGGGGCAGGGAGGAGGCAGTCCAATCAACAAAAATAGGAAGTCCAAAGGCCCTGATATAGGATCATGCCTATTATATTCAAGGACAGTGAGGATACCAGACAAGCTTAAACAGAATGAGGAAGATAAAGCATGTATAGATTATGTCAGAGAGATAAGAGGGAAGGTGTGGTGTTGGCCAGTGCTATGGACTAAATGATTGTGTCCCCCAAAATTTATCTGTTGAAGCTCTAAACACCAATGTAATGATATTTGAAGGTAAGACCCCATGATGGAACTAGTGTCCTTATAAGGAGAGAAAATGAGACCAGAACTCTCTCTCCTCCATGTGAGGACTCAGCAAGAAGCTAGGAAGGGAGCCCTCACCAGGAGTCAAACCTGTTGGCAATTTGTTCTTGTTCTTGGACTTCCCAACCTCCAGAACTATGAGAAATAAATGCTGTTTTTTAAGCTACCCAGTCTATGGTATTCTGTTATAGTAACCTGAGAAGACTAAGACCAGCAGAGAGCAGATCATGTAGGGAGTATGTCATAATAAGAACTCTTCTTTTACTTTGAGTAAGATGGGAAGCATGGAGGGTTTTGAGCAGAAAAATGACACGATCTGACCATGGAAACTGTGATGACAGGATCACTGTGGCTGCTTTGCTGACTGAAGACAGGCAGAGTGGGAAATAGTAAGGAGATAATGGAAACAATCCTGGCAGGAAATGATGATTGCTAAGCCCAGGTGGTGGCAGTGGAGATAAATAAGAAGTAATAGGTTTAGGAGAGAGATTTAAATATGAAGCCGAATGATGTACTATCAGATCAGATGTAGAATGTGAGAGAAAGGGAGACAATAAGGACAGAACCATGGTTTTTGGCTTAAACAATTAGAAGGACAGAATTTATTTTTTTATTTTTTTATTAATTTTTTTTTTAGATGGAATCTCACTCTGTCACCAGGCTGGAGTTTTGTGGCTCAATCTCGGCTCATTGCAACCTTGGCCTCCTAGGTTCAAGCGATTCTCCTGCTTCACCCTCCCGAATAGCTGAGACTACAGGTGCACGCCACCACATTGGCTATTTTTTATGTATTTTTAGTAGAGATAGGGTTTTGCCATGTTGGCCAGGATGGTCTCGATCTCTTGACGTTGTGACCCACCCACCTCAGCCTCCCAAACTGCTGGGATTACAGGCGTGAGCCACTGTGCCCAGCCCAGAAATGGCTTTTACTGAGATGAGAAAGACTGCAGGAGGATCAGGTTTGAGGAGGAATCTTGGGAATTTTATTTCAAACATGTTAAGTGTAAGATGCCAATTAAATATCCGGGTGGAGATGTTGGTTAGACAAATGGATATGTAAGTTTTGAGTTCAGGCTAGAGACAGAAATTTGGGAGCCACAAGTACAGAGGTGGTATTTAAAGTCATGACACTAGATGAGAGGAAGTTAATGAAGAAAAATAAGATATCTAAGAACTGAGCTCCAAGGAACTACAATATGTAAAGGTCAGGAAATGATATGGATGATTCAGAAAATAAATTGAGAAAGTAGAGTCAGAAAGACAGAGAAAAACAAAATAAAATGTAGTGTCCTGAAAGCCAGGTGAAGGAAATGTTTCAAAACAGCTTGATCAAATAGGCCAACTTCTACTAATAGCTCTGGTATTATGAGGATTAGTACATGAATATTAGAGTTAACAATGGAATGTCATCATTGACTTCGACGAGAGCAGTTATGGGTAAAATAATAAAATAAAATCCTTCCTTGAGTGGGATCAGGAGAAAATGAGGATCAAAATGAAGCAACTAAATCTCACCCTCCACCCCCAGCACACATACACATACAGAGAGAAAGAGAAAAAAAAAAAAAACCAACAACCAGAGCAAAACAGACAAAATATATGAAACAATGACATTCAAGACACTTAGTGTTAGACAACAAAGGATACTAATCTCTGAGAGATAGGAAATAAATGAGGTCAACTCTATGATTGCCCCAAAGTCCTGCCTTGGGAGTTTCTAAGCTATAGCCAAGGAAGGGGGAGCCCCGGAGGAGCCCAGCAGATCCCTTGATTTGAGATGGAGATAAGAATCCAGTGAGAACAAGGTGGCTACAGCACACAGAATTGAGTACTGCAGAGGAGAGGGCTGCAGAGGACCCTTGTTGAGTTTTCATCTGAGTAGCAATCAGTCCATGAATGTGAGGAAACTATCAGAGGCTGTGGGAAAAATTACCAGAAAAGATTAGAGGAAACCCAGTAATAACACAGGACCATAATAGTGACTGTACCTGCCAGCCAAAGACTGGAAATCCACAGACTGGAAAATGGACAATGCATACAGTACTCAGAAGGATCTTGCCTCAGTAGCGGTGGAAAAATAAATAAATTCATGAAATACCATTAAATGCTTACATTAGAAAAGAAGAAAGTTCTCAAATCAATGACCTTAGTGTCTATCTTAAGAAACCAGGGAAAGAAGAGCAAATTAAATCGAAAGTAAGCAGATGAAAGAAAATAGCAAATATCAAAGTGGAAATCAATGAAATAGAAAACAAAAAAAGAGAGAACATTAAAGAAACCAAAAGCTAATTCTTTGAAAAGATAAAATTGAAAAACTTATAGCTAGATTGACCAGGAAAAAAAGAGAGAAGGTACAAATTTACCAACATCAGAAACAAGAGGTGACATCACTACAGATTTTACACATATTTAAAGGATGATAAAAACTTTGTAGCAATAAATTTGAAAACTTAGATGACATGGATAAACTCTTTGAAAGACACAGACTGCCAAGCTCATTCAAGATGAAATAGATAGGTTGAGTAGCCGTATATTTATTGAGGAAATTTAATTTCTAGTTTTAAAATTTTAACTTGTAGTTCTAATAAGTTAAATTTATTTTATAATGTAAAAGTTGAATTTCTTCCCATAAACTACAGTTTCTTAACTAATGAGTTCCACCAAATATTAAGGAGGAAATAATAACAATTCTACACAAACTATTCCAGAAAACCAAAGAGGAGGCAATACTTCCTTCTCATTCTCTGAGGACTAAGACATTTAAGCAGGTGTTGCCCCAATTTAAAATATTAAAAAATTGAAAAAGACAAAGATATTAAAAGAAAAAAACTACACAGATATAGATATAGATAGATATACATCTTATGACCATAGATGCAAAAACTCTTAAAATCAGAAAATATAATGAGAATAATATATCACAGATATTATAATAGTAATATATGAAATATATTACATAGTACGATTATGTGATATATTTTGTCATAATATATTGTTATAACAATGTATAACAAAGATAACATTATGACCAAATGGAGCTTATCCAAAAACGTATAAGATTGGTTTAACATGCAAAAATTCATTCACCATGTCAAAAAACTGAACAAGAAAAACCATATGATTATCTCAATAGACACAGAAAAGTCATGTCACAAATCCAACATCTGTTAATGATATGTATGTATGAAAATGTCTTGGCCAATTAGGAATATATGAAAATGTTTTCAAGCTGGTTAAGGGCATGTACTTTCTTTTGAAAAAATTACTATAAGAGCAGGAATAAGACAACAGTGTTCACTCTTGCAACTTTTATTCGACATCATCCCAAAGGTTCTAACCACTGCAGTAGACAAGAAAAAGAAATGAAAGGCATCCAGATTGGAAAAATCTACCAAAAAGGCAATTAGATCTAAGTGAGTTTAGCAAGATTGCAGCATCAAGATACATACTTAAAATCTATACTATGTTCATGTACTAGCAATGAACAATCAGAAATTGAATTTTTAAAATATCATTTATAGTAGGGATAAATCTAACAAAAGATGTGTAAGAACTGTACCCTGAATAGTATAAAATATTACTGAGAAAGATTCAACAAGATTTTAAAACAGAAAATATATGCTTAGTCCATGTGTCTGAAGGTTCAAGGTTGTTAAGACATTGATTATACCCAAATTTAATTGTACTAGTGCCCCCTTATTTGTGAGGAATATGTTCCAAGAACCCCAGAGGATGTCTGAAACCTCAGATAGTACTGAACCCAATATACACTGTTTTTTCCTATACATACATACTTACAATAACATTTAATTCATAAATTAGGCACAGTAAGAGATTAGCAACAGCAACAAATAATAAAATAGAACAATTATAACAATATACTGTAATAAAGGTTATGTGAATGTTCTCTCTCTCTCTAAATATTTTATTGTACTGCACTCATTTATTTTCAGACTTCAGATGACTGTGGGTAACTGAAACTGAGGAAAGGAAACCCATGGATAATGGGGGACTACTGTATTGTTTCAATGCAATTTCAATCAAAATCTCTGCAGGCTTTTTTGGAAAAGCAGACAAGGTAAGTCTAAAACTCATGTGTAAATGCAAAGGACCTATAATAGCCAAAACAACTTGTAGAAAGAACAAAGTAGAAAAGCTAACTCTGTATGATTTCTAGGCATATCAAACTACAGTAATAGAGAGTATACTATTGGCACATAGATAAACAAATGGATGAGTGGAACAGAATAGAGTCCAGAACCATATCCACACATATATGAACTACTGAATTTCAACAAAGTTACAAAGGCAATGCAGTAGAGAAGACAGAGGCTTCCAACAAATGGTACTAGAACAATTGGATATTCATACACACACATACACAAAATTTTGATACTTTATTAGTAGAGTTCTCCAGACAAACGGAACCAATATATAGATTTATAAATATAAGAGCAGACTTATGGAAATTGGCTTACCTGATTATGGAGGTGAAATCCCACAATATGCCATCTGCAAGCTGAAGAACCAGGAAAACCAGTGGCATAATTCGGTTCAAGTCCAAAGGCCTGAGAACCAAGAGCTTTGATTTCCCAGGAAAAGATAAATGTCCTCACTCAAGAAGAAAGAGAGAATTTGTCCTTACTCGGACTTTTTGCTCTGTTCAGGTTCTCAACAAATTGGAGGATGCCTGCTTACATCAGCAGTGATCCTTTTTACTCAGTCTAGTGATTCAAATGCTAATCTCTTCTGGAAATACCCACATAGACACACTCAGAAATACAGGCATATCTCAGAGATATTGTGAGGGGTTCCATTCCAGACCACTGAAATAAAGGGAATATCACAATAAAGCAAGTCACACAATTTTTTGGTTTCTCAGTGCATATAAAAGTTATGCTTTCGGAGGAGCCAAGATGGCCGAATAGGAACAGCTCCAGTCTACAGCTCCCAGCCTGAGCGACGCAGAAGAGGGGTGATTTCTGCATTTCCATCTGAGGTACCGGGTTCATCTCACTAGGGAGTGCCAGACAGTGGGCGCAGGTCAGTGGGTGCGCGCACCGTGCGCGAGCCGAAGCAGGGCGAGGCATTGCCTCACTGGAGAAGTGCAAGGGGTCAGGGAGTTCCCTTTCCTAATCAAAGAAAGGGGTGACAGACGGCACCTGGAAAATCAGGTCACTCCCACCCGAATACTGCGCTTTTCCGACGGGCTTAAAAAAAGGCGCACCACGAGATTATATCCGGCACCTGGCTCGGAGGGTCCTACCCCACGGAGTCTCGCTGATTGCTAGCACAGCAGTCTGAGATCAAACTGCAAGGCGGCAGCGAGGCTGGGGGAGGGGCGCCCACCATTGCCCAGGTTTGCTTAGGTAAACAAAGCAGCTCGAACTGGGTGGAGCCCACCACAGCTCAAGGAGGCCTGCCTGCCTCTGTAGGCTCCACCTCTGGGGGCAGGGCACAGACAAACAAAAAGACAGCAGTAACCTCTGCAGACTTAAATGTCCCTGTCTGACAGCTTTGAAGAGAGCAGTGGTTCTCCCAGTACGCAGCTGGAGATCTGAGAACGGGCAGACTGCCTCCTCAAGTGGGTCCCTGACCCCTGACCCCCGAGCAGCCTAACTGGGAGGCACCCTCCAGCAGGGGCACACTGATACCTCACACTGCAGGGTACTCCAACAGACCTGCAGCTGAGGGTCCTGTCTGTTAGAAGGAAAACGAACAAACAGAAAGGACATCCACACCAAAAACCCATCTGTACATCATCATCATCAAAGACCAAAAGTAGATAAAACCACAAAGATGGGGAAAAAACAGAACAGAAAAACTGGAAACTCTAAAAATCAGAGCGCCTCTCCTCCTCCAAAGGAACGCAGCTCCTCACCAGCAACAGAACAAAGCTGGATGGAGAACGACTTTGACGAGCTGAGAGAAGAAGGCTTCAGACGATCAAATTACTCTGAGCTACGGGAGGACATTCAAACCAAAGGCAAAGAAGTTGAAAACTTTGAAAAAAATTTAGAAGAATGTATAACTAGAATAACCAATACAGAGAAGTGCTTAAAGGAGCTGATGGAGCTGAAAACCAAGGCTCGAGAACTACGTGAAGAATGCAGAAGCCTCCGGAGCCGATGCGATCAACTGGAAGAAAGGGTATCAGCGATGGAAGATGAAATGAATGAAATGAAGCGAGAAGGAAAGTTTAGAGAAAAAAGAATAAAAAGAAATGAGCAAAGCCTCCAAGAAATATGGGACTATGTGAAAAGACCAAATCTACGTCTGATTGGTGTACCTGAAAGTGATGGGGAGAATGGAACCAAGTTGGAAAACACTCTGCAGGGTATTATCCATGAGAATTTCCCCAATCTAGCAAGGCAGGCCAACGTTCAGATTCAGGAAATACAGAAAACACCACAAAGATACTCCTCGAGAAGAGCAACTCCAAGACACATAATTGTCAGATTCACCAAAGTTGAAATGAAGGAAAAAATGTTAAGGGCAGCCAGAGAGAAAGGTCGGGTTACCCTCAAAGGGAAGCCCATCAGACTAACAGCGGATCTCTCGGCAGAAACCCTACAAGCCAGAAGAGAGTGGGGGCCAATATTCAACATTCTTAAAGAAAAGAATTTTCAACCCAGAATTTCATATCCAGCCAAACTAAGCTTCATAAGTGAAGGAGAAATAAAATACTTTACAGACAAGCAAATGCTGAGAGATTTTGTCACCACCAGGCCTGCCCTAAAAGAGCTCCTGAAGGAAGTGCTAAACATGGAAAGGAACAACTGGTACCAGCCGCTGCAAAATCATGCCAAAATGTAAAGACCATCGAGACTAGGAAGAAACTCCATCAACTAACGAGCAAAATAACCAGCTAACATCATAATGACGGATCAAATTCACACATAACACTATTAACTTTAAATGTCAATGGACTAAATGCTCCAATTAAAAGACACAGACTGGCAAATTGGATAAAGAGTCAAGACCCATCAGTGTGCTGTATTCAGGAAACCCATCTCACGTGCAGAGACACACATAGGCTCAAAATAAAGGGATGGAGGAAGATCTACCAAGCAAATGGAAAACAAAAAAAGGCAGGGGTTGCAATCCTAGTCTCTGATAAAACAGACTTTACACCAACAAAGATCAAAAGAGACAAAGAAGGCCATTACATAATGGTAAAGGGATCAATTCAACAAGAAGAGCTAACTATCCTAAATACATATGCACCCAATACAGGAGCACCCAGATTCATAAAGCAACTCCTGAGTGACCTACAAACAGACTTAGACTCCCACACATTAATAATGGGAGATTTTAACACCCCACTGTCAACATTAGACAGATCAACGAGACAGAAAGTCAACAAGGATACCCAGGAATTGAACTCAGCTCTGCACCAAGTGGACCTAATAGACATCTACAGAACTCTCCACCCCAAATCAACAGAATATACATTTTTTTCAGCACCACACCACACCTATTCCAAAATTGACCACATACTTGGAAGTAAAGATCTCCTCAGCAAATGTAAAAGAACAGAAATTATAACAAACTATCTCTCAGACCACAGTGCAATCAAACTAGAACTCAGGATTAAGAATCTCACTCAAAACCGCTCAACTACATGGAAACTGAACAACCTGCTCCTGAATGACTACTGGGTACATAACGAAATGAAGGCAGAAATAAAGATGTTCTTTGAAACCAATGAGAACAAAGACACAACATACCAGAATCTCTGGGACGCATTCAAAGCAGTGTGTAGAGGGAAATTTATAGCACTAAATGCCCACAGGAGAAAGCAGGAAAGATCCAAAACTGACACCCTAACATCACAATTAAAAGAACTAGAAAAGCAAGAGCAAACACATTCAAAAGCTAGCAGAAGGCAAGAGATAACTAAAATCAGAGCAGAACTGAAGGAAATAGAGACACAAAAAACCCTTCAAAAAATCAATGAATCCAGGAGCTGGTTTTTTGAAAGGATCAACAAAATTGATAGACCGCTAGCAAGACTAATAAAGAAAAAAAGAGAGAAGAATCAAATAGACACAATAAAAAATGATAAAGGGGATATCACCACCGATCCCACAGAAATACAAACTACCATCAGAGAATACTGCAAACACCTCTACGCAAATAAAGTAGAAAATCTAGAAGAAATGGATAAATTCCTCGACACATACACTCTCCCAAGACTAAACCAGGAAGAAGTTGAATGTCTGAATAGACCAATAACAGGAGCTGAAATTGTGGCAATAATCAATAGCTTACCAACCAAAAAGAGTCCAGGACCAGATGGATTCACAGCCGAATTCTACCAGAGGTACAAGGAGGAACTGGTACCATTCCTTCTGAAACTATTCCAATCAATAGAAAAAGAGGGAATCCTCCCTAACTCATTTTATGAGGCCAGCATCATTCTGATACCAAAGCCGGGCAGAGACACAACCAAAAAAGAGAATTTTAGACCAATATCCTTGATGAACATTGATGCAAAAATCCTCAATAAAATACTGGCAGACCGAATCCAGCAGCACATCAAAAAGCTTATCCACCATGATCAAGTGGGCTTCATCCCTGGGATGCAAGGCTTGTTCAATATACGCAAATCAATAAATGTAATCCAGCATATAAACAGAGCCAAAGACAAAAACCACATGAATATCTCAATAGATGCAGAAAAGGCCTTTGACAAAATTCAACAACACTTCATGCTAAAAACTCTCAATAAATTAGGTATTGATGGGACATATTTCAAAATAATAAGAGCTATCTATGACAAACCCACAGCCAATATCATACTGAATGGGCAAAAACTGGAAGCATTCCCTTTGAAAACTGGCACAAGACAGGGATGCCCTCTCTCACCACTCCTATTCAACATAGTGTTGGAAGTTCTGGCCAGGGCAATTAGGCAGGAGAAGGAAATAAAGGGTATTCAATTAGAAAAAGAGGAAGTCAAATTGTCCCTGTTTGCAGATGACATGATTGTATATCTAGAAAACCCCATTGTCTCAGCCCAAAATCTCCTTAAGCTGATAAGCAACTTCAGCAAAGTCTCAGGATACAAAATCAATGTGCAAAAATCACAAGCATTCTTATACACCAACAACAGACAAACAGAGAGCCAAATCATGAGTGAACTCCCATTCACAATTGCTTCAAAGAGAATAAAATACCTAGGAATCCAACTTACAAGGGATGTGAAGGACCTCTTCAAGGAGAACTACAAACCGCTGCTCAAGGAAATAAAAGAGGATACAAACAAATGGAAGAACATTCCATGCTCATGGGTAGGAAGAATCAATATCGTGAAAATGGCCATACTGCCCAAGGTAATTTACAGATTCAATGCCATCCTCATCAAGCTACCAATGCCTTTCTTCACAGAATTGGAAAAAACTACTTTAAAGTTTATATGGAACCAAAAAAGAGCCCGCATCACCAAGTCAATCCTAAGCCAAAAGAACAAAGCTGGAGGCATCACACTACCTGACTTCAAACTATACTACAAGGCTACAGTAACCAAAACAGCATGGTACTGGTACCAAAACAGAGATATAGATCAATGGAACAGAACAGAGCCCTCAGAAATAATGCCGCATATCTACAACTATCTGATCTTTGACAAACCTGAGAAAAACAAGCAATGGGGAAAGGATTCCCTATTTAATAAATGGTGCTGGGAAAACTGGCTAGCCATATGTAGAAAGCTGAAACTGAATCCCTTCCTTACACCTTATACAAAAATCAATTCAAGATGGATTAAAGACTTAAACGTTAGGCCTAAAACCATAAAAACCCTAGAAGAAAACCTAGGCATTACCATTCAGGACATAGGCATGGGCAAGGACTTCATGTCTAAAACACCAAAAGCAATGGCAACAAAAGACAAAATTGACAAATGGGATCTAATTAAACTAAAGAGCTTCTGCACAGCAAAAGAAACTACCATCAGAGTGAACAGGCAACCTACAAAATGGGAGAAAATTTTTGCAACCTACTCATCTGACAAAGGGCTAATGTCCAGAATCTACAATGAACTCAAACAAATTTATAAGAAAAAAACAAACAACCCCATCAAAAAGTGGGCGAAGGACATGAACAGACACTTCTCAAAAGAAGACATTTATGCAGCCAAAAAACACATGAAAAAATGCTCACCATCACTGGCCATCAGAGAAATGCAAATCAAAACCACAATGAGATACCATCTCACACCAGTTAGAATGGCAATCATTAAAAAGTCAGGAAACAACAGGTGCTGGAGAGGATGTGGAGAAATAGGAACACTTTTACACTGTTGGTGGGACTGTAAACTAGTTCAACCATTGTGGAAGTCAGTGTGGCAATTCCTCAGGGATCTAGAACTGGAAATACCATTTGACCCAGCCATCCCATTACTGGGTATATACCCAAAGGACTATAAATCATGCTGCTATAAAGACACATGCACACGTATGTTTATTGCGGCATTATTCTCAATAGCAAAGACTTGGAAGCAACCCAAATGTCCAACAATGATAGACTGGATTAAGAAAATGTGGCACATATACACCATGGAATACTATGCAGCCATAAAAAATGATGAGTTCATGTCCTTTGTAGGGACATGGATGAAATTGGAAATCATCATTCTCAGTAAACTATCGCAAGAACAAAAAACCAAACGCCGCATGTTCTCACTCATAGGTGGGAATTGAACAATGAGATCACATGGACACAGGAAGGGGAACATCACGCTCTGGGGACTGTTGTGGGGTAGGGGGAGGGGGGAGGGATAGCATTGGGAGATATACCTAATGCTAGATGAGGAGTTAGTGGGTGCAGCACACCAGCATGGCACATGTATACGTATGTAACTAACCTGCACAATGTGCACATGTACCCTAAAACTAAAAGTATAATAATAAAAATAAATAAATAAATAAATCCCAGCAACAAGACTTAAGCAAAAAAAAAAAATTATGTTTTCACTATACTGTAGCGTATTAAGTGTACAATAGCATTATGTCTGATAAAACCATGTACATGCTTTAATTTAAAAAATACTTTATCACTAAAAATGTTAACAATCATCTGAGCATTCATAATCTGCTTGCTGGCGGAGGGGCTTACCTTGATGCTGATGGCTGCTGACTGATCTGGGTGTTAGTTGTTGAAGATTGGCATGCCTGTGGCAGTTTCTTAGAGACAACAATGGAATTTGTCACATTGATCCCTCTTCCTTTCACAAAAGATTTATCTGTAGGATGAGATGCTGTTTGATCACATTTTACCTAGTGCAGAATTTCTTTCAACATTGGAGTCAATCCTCTCTAGCCCTCCTGCTGCCTTATTGAGTTTATAGAATATTCTAAATCCTTTGTTGTCATTTTAACAATATTCACAGCATCTTCACCAAGAGTAGTTTCCATCTCAAGAAACCTATTCTTTGTTCATCCACAAGAAGCAACTCCTCATTCACTAAAGTTTTATTATGAGACTGCAGAAATTCAGTCCCATCTTCAGGCTCCACTTCTAATTCTAGTTATCTGGATATTTCCCTCACTTCCTTAGTTTATTTCCTCCACTGAAGTCCTGAGCCACACAGTCATCAACAAGGGTTAGAATCAACTTCTTCCAAATTCCCATTAATGTTTATATTTTGACCTCGTCTCATGAATCATGAATGTTCTTCATGGCATCTAGAATAATGATAATGTTAGGCTTTGTGTTCCCAGCCAAATCTCATCTTGAATTGTAAGGTGTTGAGGGAGGGACCTAGTGGGAGGTAATTGGATCATGGGAGCAGTTTCCCTCATGCTGTTCTGGTGATATTAAGTGAGTTTTCATGAGATCTGATGGTTTTATAAGGGGTTCTTCCTCCTTCCCTCTCTCTCTCTCTCTCTCTCTCTCTCTCTCTCTCTCTCCCTCCCTCTCTCTCTGTGTCTGTCTCTCACCTGCTGCCATGTAGGATGTGCCTGCTTTTCCTTCCAACATGATTGTAAGTTTCCTGAGGCCTCCCCAGCCATGTGGAACTGTAAGTCAATCAAACCTCTTTTATAAACCTCTTCCTTTATAAATCACCCAGTCTCAGGGAAGTTCTTCATAGCAGTGTGAAAATGGACTAATACAAATGGTAAATGCTTTCCAGAGGTTTTCAATTGACTTTGCCACATCCATCAGAGGAATTACTATCTATGCTAGCTATAGCCTAACAAAGTGTATTTCTTAAATAATAAAACTTGAAAGTCAACATTACTCCTTGACCCATGGCCACAGAGTGAATATTGTGTTACCAGGCATAAAAACAACATTAATCTCCTTGCAAATCTCCACCAGAGCTTTTGTGTGACCAGGTACATTGTTGATGAGCAGTAATATTTGAAAGTAATTGTCTACAGCCATACCACCCTGAATGCACTCAATCTCCTCTGAAAGGAATCTTTTTCCTGAACAGTAGGTCTCAACAGTGGGCTTAAAATATTCAGTAAACCATGCTGTAAACTGTCATCTAAGCTTTGCTTTTACATTTCTGAAGCACAGACAGAGGAAATTTGGCGTCATTTTTATGGGCCCTAGGGTTTCAAAAATGGTAAACAAACATTGGCTTCAACTTAAAGTCACCAGTCACATCAGCCCTTAAAAGAGAGCCAGCTTGTCCTTTGAAACTTTGAATCCAGGCATTGATGTCTCTAGATGGCATCTTCTTCCAACAGAAAGCTGTTTCATCCACATTTAAAATCTGTTGTTTAGTGTAAGCCCTTTCATCAATGATCTTAGCTAGATCTTCTGTATAACTTGCTGCAGCTTCTACATCAGCACTTGCTGCTTCACCTTCCACTTTTTTTTTTTGAGACGGAGTCTCGCTCTTTTGCCCAGGCTGGAGTGCAGTGGTGTGATCTCAGCTCACTGCAAGCTCTGCCTCCTGGGTTCACGCCATTCTCCTGCCTCAGCCTCCTGAATAGCTGGGACTACAGGCGCCCACCACCACCCCCAGCTAATTTTTTGTATTTTTAGTAGAGACGGGGTTTCACCATGTTAGCCAGGATGGTCTCGATCTCTTGACCTCGTGATCCACCCGCCTGGGCCTCCCAAAGTGCTGGGATTACAGGCGTGAGCCACTACCCGGACTCACCTTCCACTTTTATGTCATGGAGTTGGTGTCTTTGCTTAGATTTCATGAACCAAACTCTACTGGCTTCACGCTTTTCTTCTGCAGCTTCCTCACCTCTCTCAGCCTTCATAAAATTGAAGAGAGTTAGGTCCTTGCTCCAGATCAGGCTTTGACTTACGGGAATGTTGTGGCTGATTTGATCTACACTGACCACTTAAGCTTTCTCTGTAGCAGCAATAAGGCTGTTTCTCTTTCTTATCATTTATGTGTTCACTGGAGTAGCACTTTTAATTTTCTTCCCAAACTTCTTCTTTACATTCATACATTTGCTGTTTGGTGTAAGAGGCCTAGCTTTTGGCTTACCTTGGCTTTCAACATGCCTTCCTCACTATGCTTAATCATTTCTAGCATCTGATTTAAAGTGAGAGACATGTGACTCTTCCTTTCACTTAAACCCTTAGAGGCCTTTGTAGGGTTTCCTAATTGTCCTCATTTTATTTTTATTGTATCTCAGACAATAGGAAGGCTTGAGGAGAGGGAGAGACATAAGGAAACCGCTGGTAGGAGGAGCAGTCAGAACACATATACCATTTATCAACTTAGTTTGCTGTTGTACATGAGCATGGTTTGTGGCATCCCAAAACAGTAACAATAGTTATATCAAAGATCACTGATCACAGATAATCATAACAGACATAGTAATAATGGAAACGGTTAAAATATTGTGAGAATTATCAAAATATGGCACAGAGACACAAAGTGAGCAATGCTGTTGGGAAAATGGTGCTGACAGACCTGCTCGATGCAGGATTGCCACAAACCTTCCATTTGTAAAAGATGCAAAAATCTATGAAGTGTAATAAAGTGAAGTGCAATAACACGAGTTGTGCCTAGACACAAATTGTTTTGGTTTTGTTTTAGTTTAAGTTTTAGAATAAAACAACTTGTCTGTATGATAGTTGGAATGACTCCATTGGGATGAGAAATTTAATTACGTAGAAGCACAGAGGGAATATGGCTGGAAAAATGACATTAGTGACCATAAGGGAATGGCATCTGGGATATATGGGGAAATTGGTTTAAATAGGACCAGGCACAGTTTATCTCTAATAATAGGAAAGAAGGGGGACTGTGTGGGCTCCGATGTAGGCAGATGGGTCAATGTCACGGTGGCAGCCTATGAATAGTTGCATCACACTCACCCATACCCCAGACACTCCCAAGGATCCAAGTTGAATTTAGAATAATAACCAGATTCCTCTAAAATGCTATCTGGGCTGGCTCTGCCCTGCTGTTCTGACGCTATTTCCTGATTCACTGGGCTCTAGCACTTTGGCCTTCAATCTCCTATGTGAACTTGCCAAGTTCAGTCCTGCCTCAGGCAACTTGCACTTTCTAGCCCTCTTCTGTGGAATCTTCTTTCTGCAGATCTGAGCTTCCTGGCTGCTTCTTGTCCTTTATCTCAGTAACTACCACCTTGGAGAGCCCTTCCCATACTACACCATTCAAATTAATTCCCATCACTTAATCTTTCTTTATCACATGACCTTGTCAGTTTTTGTTATGCACTTCTTGGTATTTGGAATTTTCTTACTTGATTACTTGTTCATTTTCTTCTTTCACCAACTAGAAGTCAAGCACCATGAGAGCGGAGGAGGCCATGCCTGTCCTGCTCATCACTGGATGCCCAGCACCTAGGAACAGGGCATGCTGTTCAACAGGTTCTCAATACAACTTCTTGAATAGGAAATTACATTTATCTCAAATCAGTAAGGAAATGATATTGAAAAAATTGGGTATCTATGAGTAAATAATATAGGTAGACTCCTAACTCATATCACATCCCAAATCAGTTCCAGATGAAATAATATTTTAAAGAAAATATACAAGAATATTTTTATAATCTTGGGATAGAGAAACTCTTCCTAAAGAAGATTTCAAGCCCTGAATTTATTTTTTAAAGATTGATAAATTGTTAGAGCTCACAATTGTTTAAAACTATCTATAAAAAGAAAGAAAAATTATGGTTAAATATAGACTAGAAAGTTAAAGACTGCCAAATTCATAAATAACAGATTAACAAAGATGCTAAAAGTACATTTAAAAAAAATCATCCAATATTTTGCTTAATTAATAATTTAAAATATTCGCAGGAAATTAACAGAACAAATTCAAATGACCAGCAAACAGAAAAAGCTTCTCAATCGGGGAAATAGAAATTTTAAGTGTCAAGATTATTCCCCTCAATGGAAAATCTTTAAGTGACTGGTAATATTCAGTATTAGACTCTAGGTGAGTTGGCTCTTTCTTAGAGTGCTGGTGTAAATACAATTGGTGCAATTTCATAAGGACAGTTTGGCAATATCAATTAAAATTTAAATGTGCATACCATTTGAGACAGCAGTTCTAATTCAAAAATTTATTCTACAAATGTGCACCAAAAAACACATACGAAAGTTATTACTGACAATGTATAAGTGCTATTCTGAACATTTTAATTATATTAATTCAATGAGTTAGGCACTATTATTATCTTCATTTTACAAGTGAGGAAACTGAAGCACAGAAAGACAAAATACTTCGTCCAAGCTCATTTGCTTAAACATGCAGCTTAGGTTTGAATTCATCCCAAGCATGTACAGAGGCTGCATCCTTAACAACTATTGGAAACATGTTAAGGCCACCAGCTGGAGAAGGGTTAAATAAACTATGAACACCTTGGCCGGGCGTGGTGGCTCATGCCTGTAATCTCAGCACTTTGGGAGGCCGAAGCAGGTGGATCACCTGAGGTCAGGAGTTCAAAACCAGCCTGGCCAACATGGTGAAACCCCATCTCTACTAAAAATATAAAAATTAGCCAGGTGTGGTGGCAGATGCCTGTAATCCCAGCTACTCGGGAGGCTGAGGCAGGAAAATCACTTGAACCTAGAAGGTGGACTTTGCAGTGAGCCAAGATAGTGCCATTGCACTCCAGCCTAGGCTAAAAGCGCAAGACTTTATCTCAAAATAAATAAATAAATAAATAACATCCAAATTATAAAACTTTAATTTTAGGCCAGGTATGGAGGCTCATGCCTATAATCTTAGCACTTTGGGAGGCAGAGACAGGTGGATCACTTGAGCCCAGGAGTTCAAGATCAGCCTGGACAACATGGCAAAACCCCGTCTCTACAGAAAAAATAAAACAAAATACAAAATACAAAAATTAGCCAGGTGTGGCTGTACATGCCTATAGTCTCAGCTACTTGGGAGGCTGAGGCAGGAGAATTGCTTGAGCCCAGGAGTTTGAGGCTGCAGTGAGCCAAGATTATGCTATTGCACTCCAGCCTGGGGTATGGGAGTAAAACCCTGTCTCAAAAAAAAAAACAAAATATATTCTTTTTAAAGATATGTTGATAGGTAAAGATTCCAAAGACATATTATTGAAGATCAAAAGAGAAATTATTGAAGAGCAAAATCACAGAATAATATTTGCATAGGACTTGGATCATATTTATGTAAAATGTTAAAACCTCTGTATATATATATGTTTGTGTACAAATTATATGTTGATCTGCAGAAAATTGTTTGCAGTCATATAGAGTACAATATTGGAGGCTGGAGGAGAAGAAATGGAGATTTTGGAGCTGAAAGGAGACTTTTCAGGTTTTCTCATGTACTTTTTTGCCTTAGTTTCTTTTCAGTATTGTATCGGCAAAAGTAAATCAATATACAGTTGACCCAGACAATGTAGGCGTTCTAGGCACCGACTCCCTGCACAGTGGAAAATCCACAGGTAACCCTGACTCCCTCCACACTTTACTAATAGCTTACTATCGACCAGAAGCCTTATCAGTAACATGAACAGCCAATTAACACATATTTTGTAAGTTATATGCATTATATAATATATTCTTATAATAAAGTAACCTAAGGAAAAGAAAATCATTAGGAAGAGAAAATACATTTACAGCACTGCACTATGTGTATCGATCCTGTAAGTTTCCATCTTCTGCTTACAACATGAATCATCTGTCTGAAATAGCAATACCTGCAGCTGCAGACCTCAGTCTCTGGTACACACCAAGCGGTTCAACTCATGACTTTTCTCTGCTTGTTGGTAGCACTTCCAGCATCACTAGTGGTACTTAGTATGGATGCCATGGTGTCATTCAAGGTTTACAGGATCGCACTAAACACGATGAAAACAAAATATGCAAAAACCTCAAGAGCTCACGTTTTGCTGTGATACACAATTTACTTGAGAGAGAAACTACTCACTCGGAGATGATTATCATCACACAGCAAGTGGATACTCACAACCCTGGAGCTCACCACAACAGCAACAAGAGGCAGCTAAAAAGTTACTATAGGAGTACAATATGCTGTACAGTTAATTTTATGCAGTTATAATTTACTACTGCGTCTTTACATTTCTCTCAACTTCTATGCGCCATGCATGGTCTGTAAGTGTTTGTGTGTGTTTGTTTTGATAAATTTAAACTTCTTATAACAGATTTGTGTATATTTTATGGTAGTAAATGATAAAATAGACTAGTGTCTACATGTATTTTATACATTCATGACATACCTAACATTTTCTTAATTTTTTGATATTTCTAGACTACAATGTTTATATGAAAGTCTTTTTCAAATTGTTGCAAATCTCCAAAAAGTTTTCCAATATATTGATTGAAAAAATCTGCATATAAGTGGACCTGTACAGTTCAAACCCATTTTGTTAAAGGGCCAATCATATATACAATATAAGTAGAATTTAAAGAAAAAACAGTAATAGCCTGTACCCACCAACCAGCTTAAACATTATAACCTGACTTCTCTGAGGGTTCTTTGTGCTCTACTAAATCCATGTATGGAAATTACCCTAGAGGCAAAGGGATACATGCACACTGCCAAGCAAGTGTGATGGCTGTTTTATATCACATTATATTTTTTCATTATCATTACTTTTTTTTTCAAAGGTGGGTTTGAACTATATGGAAAATATGTGTATATGGTTTAATGTGAGTGCTCTGTGATTCAATTTATTGTTGAAATAAACAGCAGCAACAATATTATTCCTTTATATTCACATAGCCTCATTCACAATGTCATGGTCTCAGTTGTCTATTATGTGAATATGGGAAAAGCAACAATGAAAAAGCAGCACCAGAACCAGCCACCACTACAAGAAGGTTTAAAAAAAGTGCTAATGTCATAAAAATGTGTGTTATTGTTACTTACATTTTGCTAAATTTAATATCTAGATATAAAAATATTACATTGCAATCTAAGTGGTGTGATATAGAAAACCAGAAAAGAAAAAAACGGTATGATAACACTGCAGATTTCTCTAGACTGTAAAGAAAATACTTGCAGACTTACCGACTCATAGTTGGAAATGAGAATATGATATTAGTCAGGATATAGTAAGCCATATTCATGACAAAGTGTTAGCATAGATTGAGAGGTCAGCATATCAAGCCTTCTCCAAGATGTGGTCAGCCTCATATACATTGGATGTGCAGCACCTGTGGGGTTGAAGAGCTTTTGGCCACCTCTTCACCACCTCCAAACTCTGAAGCCCCATAACAGGGTTGGGAGAGCCTGTGGTTGCAAGTAAATTCCAGAGCTACGATGCAGCCTGGCATCCCTTGGACTCACTCCACACAATCCCAACACACAGTCCCTCAGAATCCTCAGAAAATAAAAAAGGAGGTTCTGAAGTCACTGAGAGAAGAAAAGGGTGATTAAAATGACAACAGACACTAGGAAGATGGGCCTTGAAAGAACATCAAATTATGGTAGATGTTTCCAAAATGTTGAATATTACAATAAATATTGAGTTTTTAAATAAACTTATCCAAGATACCATCATTTCTAGAAGACATGGAAGTGATTAACTGGAACTTGCAGAGATTCATTTATGAGTTTCATAGGAAATATTTTAGTAAGTTATGTAATTAAGGTTTTAAACAATCCTCCTCTTGTACAGACCAAGGACTGGCGAGCTAAATGCTTTGGAATTTCTAACTAATTTTGCTAATGTGGTACAGAACAATACAGAGTTTATCTGTGCTGAGTTGTTTATGTTAACAGTAACAACAGTAAGAACTTTGCAGGGAGTGAGGGCAGAAAGTTTCATCTGTAGAACCAGTGCCATGTTGACAACTGGAATTACCTGGAATTCAGTAGTTCACTTTATTGGGATCACTAATATCCAGTATTGATTATCTGGAATTCAGTGGTTTCACAGCAGCCCTTTTTAAGGGTAGACTGCAGTCAAACTGATGTCCCAAACAGAAAGGCTTCAAAAGACATTGAGATTTTTCATTTAGAAAATTATCCACCTGAGTGCAGTCTGTGTGTAAGGGCTACCTAGCCTTTACTATTATCATATTCTATAACAGGCATAGGCGAGAGCAACCCTGTTGTTACCTGCAGTCCCCAGCTTGTAGTGATGCAAACAGTTTTTGTGCTAGACCCAAGGATGATTTTATGCCTGTGCATGTAGGATCTTCAGGTGATGATTCCATCTGTGATCAGTGTCACAGTGCTCTTTGACACAAACCCAAGGATTGTGATAAATCAGTGTTGTGGGGAGAAGGGTGGAGAACCCATATGGATACTCCCAGTCTGAGGCCATCTGCTGCTCCAAACTTTGCTTAAAATGGCAGAAAGTGAAGGCTGCTGGCGGGGAAATGAGACATAAAATATATTGTTTGGAGAGTGCTTCAGGGATTTCCCTCCCCAGGAAAATGAAAGTGAAGCCTTTTATTATGGTGTCCCTAAAAAGTCTGCTTTAAAATTGATAAACATCTATTTTCTGGGGCTATGGGTTTGGAAACTCTAAACTCTCCAAGGATTAGAGTGTATGTGATTTCGACTGTAAGTAAGAAACTGAGATAAATACCCAAATTCTATGTATACTACACACCTGTTTAAGAGAAAGTGAGAGTGGGAATTTTAGATTGTATGTTATGCTTGGTTGTTTATAAAGAAATCTATGACTGCTGATTTTCTGGGGCATATATTTATCACCTATTATTTAGTGACAGGTGCTGGATAATTTGATTAAATGCTCCTAAATTTTATGACACAGATGAGAAGTTATGTTCAGAGACATCAAAAAATTAAATATCACTCTTTATATTTCATACAATTATTTGTATTTCTACTTTTGAAGCTAAGTAAGCTTTCACAAGATGTGAAATTTCTAGGAAGTAAGGACACTTTCCCCATTTTGTAAACATGGTTCAGAGTCAAAATTATATGACTCCTATGCTGATTCTAACATAACTCTCAGCATATTATGCCATGAAGAGAGAAGGGCTTCTGAAGTGGTACCAAAAATAAGCAGTGGAAAGAGTAGTAGCATTTACTCTGTAGCGGATGATGAGATTAGAAGAAGGCCTTGAAGAGATGACCCTAATGGCCTTATGCAAAGTTTCAAACATGCACATCAGGGCATTGCTGCTTAAATTAATATGTTTAATCAGTAGCAAAGGACACATGGACACTCTCAGTATGTGAGGCCAGCATCCATTCTGCACAGCTATGTACAGGCAGATCGCCAGATGCCTTGGTGCTTTTCATTTCTGAAAGTTACCATCAGCACCAAAAGCAATACTGACCCATAGCATCTGTATGAAGCATTGGGATATCCACATGCCATGCTTCCAGGTGGCCACAGTCCATCAGGCCATATTTTGATAACGATTATGGTGCTCTTTAAGTTTCATGGATATAATGTTAAAGGCTGTCATCCTACCCACTTCAACAACACTATTCTCAGAGCTTCCAGTTGGGTCTATGTGGAAAGACTCACTTTTGCTTCTCGAGTTCACTTTTGGAGTCTCTCTGGGGGTCATACAAACAACATCTATCTACACCATGTTTTAAAATGTGGTTACTAGAGACATTATTATGTTGTCACAAACCTGTATCTTTTTGTAGATAAGTCCAAGAAATACTTGCAAGGCACACACAAACAAATCCTGATAATTTCAAAAATCTTCAGAAATCCCACTTGGGGCTGCTGAAGGTGAAATTTCACCCAGGCTATAATTTTCCCATACTGCACTCCAGGGCCAGTGGAGAGCCTTCTACTTTACCGAATCTATTCTGAAATTTCCCAGCATATCAAGGGCAACCACATGAATAAAGAGCACTGCTCAGCGAGAACCTGACGCAGAGTGGAAGTGAATGTGGTACTGAGATTTATGAAGTTTGGCATTTAAAAGAAACTTCCATGGACCTCTTTAGTGATCTTCGTGCCCACACCTAAGAAATAAACAAGAGGCGTCCAGCTTTCCCAGATGTATGAGACTCTATGCCAGAAAACACAAATGTCTCGAGGATTATCACCCTGTAGGGGATTTGCTTGAATCCCCAGCAGCTGTAAAAGAAGCCCACAGGAGACAGATTGCCAAGCCATTTTTTATTTCACGGGATTATAAGGTTGCCCAACAGTTAAATCTTTCCAACATTGCCTTAGTGAAGATACATGTAGAGCTTGACCATTTCCTGTTGTCTCTTTCTTATGCTATGTTCTGGTGCCAATTCATAAATGACTATACCTCTATGATTTGTTGGAAGGGTGATTTTAGAATCACCTGCCTAATAGAGAAGAGGGCTAAAACTGTCATTGCCTACTTTAATTTAGCATTCATTCACAAGGAAGTATAATCTACTTGATTGCTTAAATTAATATGTTTAATCAGTAACAAGGAATTCCTTTATTTTAGCAGCACAGAACAGAGACTGGAACCATCCTGGAGCTGATAAGCTGGCTGAATTGAGTAGGGGATTTGTTCCTCAGGTGTATATTGCAGAGACTTCTTCTGGGGACCTCGATCCATCAGGGCTAATGGTCTGCCCCATCTCAGAAGCATTACACAGAAAGCTAGAACAGTACCAAAGTCAATGTTGATGTCTTAAGGAACTCATGCTTGTTTACTTCCTCAAAAAGGCAGGTAAATATGAAGACATTTTTAAAAGAGCAGCCATTGTTTGACCAATTGAGACAGACCATGTGAAAAAACATCAGTTATCTGTCTACAACATAGTTTGTTGGCTTTAAGACACTTTCTTACTGCTGAGATTTCAGTAGTCTGTGACAACACCGCTTTTCGAAAAACCGAACAAGCCCTCTAAGCTGGGAAGGATGGAGCTGCTTGTGTGAGTGTGTGCAGTGTAATGTTCAGAGCAACAGGGCCCATGGCAACAATAAATTTTTTAAAAAATCCCACCAAGTATGACATCTCTGAATCTCAGCCTCTTTAACATGGTTCAAAATGTATTTTGCAGGATAAGGGAAACTGTGCCACCATAAGAAAAAGTCATGGTTCTTTTTCAAAATGCTTGGGACTAATTACAGGTAACACTGGCCCCACAGATGTCCATGAACCAAGCACTCTTTTTTTCTGTAACCTTGCATGATGCTACCATAGTCTCCAAGGATACCTGTGCTGATTGTGTTCATTTCCTGGGGCTGCCATAGTAAATTACCATGAAGTAGATGGCTCAAAAGAGCAGAAATTGATTCTCTTACATTTCTGGAGGTCCCTAGTCTGAAATCAAGGTGCCAAGAGGACTTCCGTAGCCTCTAAGGGAGAACCTTCCTTGACTCTTCCGGCTTTTGGTTGCTCCAGGCATTCCTTGGTTTGTGGCAGCATAATCTAATCCTAATCTTCCTAATAATAGAATAATCCATAATTCTAATCTTCATTTTTTTAACGACCTTCTCTATGTATCTTCTCCTTCTGTCTCTTATAAGGACACCATCACTGAATTGAAGAGCCAACCCAAACTAGGATGATCTCATCTCAAGATCTTTACCTTAATTACATTTGCAAAAGACTAATTTCAAATAAGATCACATTCTGAGGTTCTGGGTGAGCATATCTTTTGGTGGCCACAGTTCAACCCACTGCAGTAGACCTAAACACAGCTGCATGAACACAAGCTGCACACTTGCTTATGCCTCCCTGGAGGGTCATGACTGTCTTTTCTTTGAGACGGTGTTATAAGTACATTCCCACAGGGAACTGCTACCATATCTTCCTGAATCCATGTGGCAGAGTCATGTCTTGCTATGTGATGGGAAGCCCAAAACTTTTGGAATTACTTCTGCAAATATCCTGACAGAGAAAAAGCATGTTCTCAGGTGTATTTGATGATCTAGTTTTTGCTGTCCTTGAGACTGCCCTCAATACTCTAAAAGGAAACATCCCCCCGATAGCACACTGTTTTCAGATTTTGAAAATAACGCAGGAATGACCAAAGATTTGGGTAGTACTACAGCCCCCTTAAAATGACAAAATGTCCATGGGGCAAGAGGAAGGTTTTTTGTATCCCAAAGCTTAACCCACCTTTGCTTCCAACCACCGAGCAGTCAGTGATGAAGGGTCCAGAGAAGCTGTATTTAGCAAAAAAACTAAAGAATATACCTGCTGAGGAAAACGTGGTCACCACCATTACCCATATCATATGGATATGAGCATTAAAAAGCCTTAAATACTCTGAATGTCTGAAAAAATACTTTTAAGAAAAGATATAATGAGCCCATACTTCAACAAAGCTCTATGTTTCACACCAGAGTAAACAAGAAAAAGAGACTACACCTTTTTTTGAACTAAGAGATCCATCAATCAACTTTTACCTAACCCAGCATAAATCAACCATATAAAAAAAAAATACTGAGCTGCTTCTGAACAAGATGAAGCAGGTATAGAGGTTAATGTATGGCCAGAAGGGCCATTAGAATGCAATAGGAAGCACAAAGCTGCTACCCCTGACAACAGGGACTTGGTCTGTTTGCCAAACAGTTGAGCACAGCTAAGCAACACCCTTAAGGGTGGGAGATATTTATGAGACTCTTATCAGAACTAAACTTTCTATTTAATATCTTGAGGAAACACGCTCAGAGATATCAGCTGGAGCAGATGAAACTTAAATCACTGGGCAACGTTCTTCTCAGCAAAATTGCCCAGTACATTGGCTCTGAGGAAGTGAAAGATTATCCTGATATAGGTATATCAGAACTAAATATTTTGAAGAAAAAAAAAATGACTTGGTTTGTTAAAAAATAGAGTTTTGTTTTCCTAAAAATAAGGGTTTTATAAGCATTGTGCTTGCCCTCCTTAAAAGGGAAAAATAAGAGGTGTCAAAGGGCAGGGGAGAGAAAAAGGAGAGCCCAAGCCTCAGGGCAAGGTGGTAAAATGGGTGATATTGGGCTGATGATGGCAAGCGCTGTGAGGCTGGGCTCATGATGGACATACAGCAGAGGTCATAAACTTTTTCTGCTAAAAATAAGATAGTAAGTAGTTCAGGTTTCACAGGGCCAGATAGTCTCTGTTGCACTACTCAATTCTGACATTGCAGGATGAAAGCAGTTGTCGATCACACATAAACACATGGCTGTGGCAGTGTCCCAATAAAACTTTATTTACAAAAACCAGATATGGCCCATCCACATTCATGTAGAGAAGGGATGATACAAATCATTCATGGAGTAAAAAAAAAATCAGAAACAGATTCTATATTATCAATCACAGCAATTTTTTAATGTTCATATTCACAGATGACCAAACACTTCACTGGTCCATCTCTTGGTAAGCAGTGAATGGAGAAAATATTTAAAATGTTGCCCCATATCTGGATGTTTCAGTTACATGGCACTAAAATGTAACTCTCCATGTTTATATGTAGTGAAATAATGCATTCCATCTCTGAGTGACATCTATGACAGCATCCAAAACACTATAGGTGACCATGTTAACACCGTCAGCAAAAGCTCTGGTGAACCAGTATCTGCCCTCAGTTGCTCATATTAGGCAGAGAGCAGTGTTCTGGGAAGAGGAGACTGGACCATTCAGTGACTGGTCTAATGGCAAAATGTGTGATCTTGACTTTACTCTTCATGGTTCTCAGACAGCACTTGTTCCTTTCTGTGTTGTTCCCTAGCCTGCAAGAGAGTCACCTCCTGATTAAGTTCCTGGGTTCCCCACCCACATCCAGAGTCCCTAAGTCAATACCATAATCTTTAAAGTCAAGAGGATTTTTATAATAATCCCCACCAATGGTGCCATTATCCATGGATGACAGAACCCAACATGAGTTCTGTTAGCAACTGCCTCTGGAATGGATTTTCCTGTTTACATTCTTGGCTTCCCTGAGGTATGCTAAATACCTTCCTACTTTCCCAGTCCACCAGGTACAGAGCATTGGCTGGGGACAAAACTCCAGCAAGACCCTAACGTACAGCAAGCACCACCAGGGTCTCTCAGCAAACAGGGAAGCTGAAAGGATGTACAGTTTATAGAGTTTATGGGTAACATCTATACTATTTAGCAGTATTTTTTCTTGAAAATATATATGTAGTCAGGGTGAAGATTCAAAAAGTGGAAATATCTACGTCTAGCAGTGAAATATGAATGTTTCTTAATGTCCTCATTTCCTCTTTGCTTTGCTATGTATTTCTGCTTACTGGCAGCATCTTTGTAAAATTTACCTTCTTGTGTATCAGTTAGACTTTACTGCGTAACAAGCTTCCTAAAACTTAGTGGCTTTAAACAACATTGATTATTTGTCATGATTGGGTTAGTCCTTTGAATGGTTCAACTGGCTTGGGTTAGCTTGGCTCATTATTGCAGTCAGCTAGTGGCTCAGTGAGGACTGGATAGTCAAGTCCTCATACGCTCATACGCTGATGGCTGGCAGGCTGGTTGCTCCAGGGGGCCTCACTGGAACAATGGCTGGGACCATTGGAGTCTTTCTCCACATGGCCTTTCATCCTCTAGGGGCCCAGGCATGGCTGTTCACACAGTGGCCAGAGATGGCAAATCTAATGTGCAAGCATTTTTTTCAAAGCTTTCTTGATTTCCAGTGCTAATGTCCTATTGGCCAAAACAAGTCCCATGGCAAAGGTCAGAGTCGTGAGGGTGAGGATGCAGGAGGCATTACAAAATTGGGTACCACTTCTGCAACAATTTACTTGCTCTGGAAGATGTGTGAGGGTGAATGCTCACTGCAGTTGATTTGAGTGCAGGTTTAATGAAGACCCTCATGATTTGGTTGGTCTTACTGATGGTAGTGCCATGAGTGTAGGTCAGGACTACACAACTTTCCTGTACATGTCAGCTTGTCACACTTTCCTATGAATGGAAAATGAGCAGTTTTTAGCCCAAGGTCATCGTCATTTTGGAGAACATAAAATTCAAATTTTTCCAATCCTAACTATATGAGTTGTATCTTTTAAAGGTCCAAATCTAACTTGGTATTTTTGAACTTCAATGTACAAGTGACATTTGCATAAGATCTTTTTAAAATTTACTATTTAAAAAAAAATTAAATAAAACCTGTTGCTATGGACTGAATTGTGCCATCCTAAAATTCATAAGTTGAATCCCTAATCTGCAATGTGATGGTATTTGGAGAAAAACGGATGGTAACTGGAGCCTTTGGGATCTAATTAGGTTTAGGTGAGGTCAGGAGGGTGGGGCTCTTATGATGGGATTAGTGGCCTTATAAGAAGAGACACCAGAGAGACTCCATCCATGATATTTTGTTATGGCAGACTGAGATGAGTAAGACATCTATGGAGGAATAATTTGTTCATCTTGATGTCTCCTCTCTTCCTCTTGGTGTCCCCTATGAAGTCTGAAAAAGCTAACTTGTTCACTTGGGGATTTTTGCTCTTCTGAGGCATAAATATCCTAAGTTTCATCAGGAGTCTTGAAACCCACCCCTTAATTTTCTATTTCTTTCTTTTCTATATTTTTAATGTGTGTGGCTTTTTAAGTATGCACCAACACATCTCCCCAGGATTATTTTTAATGCTTTTTAGTGACCTCAAGACTTTTTCTTTAAAAAGGCATTACCTTCTACAGGCAACAATAATTTATTGTACATTTCAAAAAAACTAAAACTGTATAACTGGATTGTTTGTAACACAAAGAAAAGGTAAATGCTTGAGGTGATGGATACTCTGTTTACCCTGATGTGGTTATTATGCGTTGCATGTCTGTGTCAAAGTATCTCATGTACCCCATAAATATATACAAAATATATACACCTACCATGTATCCACAAAAATTTAAAATTTAAAAAAATAAATAAATCAAATAAATAAAAAATAAAAAGAAATGATCTTAAGGTGACCAATTTGTCTTGGTTTGCCTAGAACTTTTCTAGTTTTAGCACAGAAAGCCCTACATGCCAGGGCACCCCTAGCTAGCCAGCAAGCAGGGATGGCTGGTCACCCTGCATGCCCTTCAAAACAAGCCTCCAAATGAGCCCCACACATATTTAGTGTTCCATGAATATGTGTGAATCCACAATTCTCCTCTATTTAGAAAGCCACATTTTTTTCTTTCTATTAAATAGTTCATCTTTTTCAAAGTACAACTCTCAATAATATATGTTGGTCCTGCTCAGCCTTTATTGTGATGCTGCTGCTGCTGAAAGGATGGTTGCTTACCAGCTATGGTGAGAAGTGTGAAAAGTGAGGCTCTCACCATGTCGTAGCTCCTGGCTCATGTGTTGTTGGTGATGAGATGTGCCTCAGCCAGGACATACCTCATCGGTGGCACAGGATGATTTCCAGCCAACCGATGCTACATCATAAATATGTGGATATGCAGAGGATTAAATCTCATACAGCTAGGATGCTGGTAGACTCCACATCCATAGTTACTCTCTGTAACAGGACCAGAGTGTCCCTGATGATAACATAACGGTGACCCCAGCAGGCTTTAGAGGCACCACAGGGTGGGGTCAGAACAAAGTTTAGTATGAGTTTAGTTTATAGTTTAGTTGCTTAGCTTAGTTTTATCTATACCAATGCACTCATTCACATTTTGTACCAAATTGTTGTTCCCCACTCTTGTGCCCTAGTTTGAACTAACATGTTCAGGGAGCATGTATCATGTTCTGGGATGCTATAGGTAGGAGTCAGCACACTTTTTCTATAAATAGCAAGATAGTGAGTATTTTAGGCTTTCTGGGCCATATGAGCTCTGTTACGACTATTGAACTCTGCCATTGTAAAGCCAAAACAGCCATAGGCAATACACAATGAATGGGTATGACTGTGTTCCAATAAAACTTTATTTATAAAAACAGGCAGCAAGCCAAATTTTGCCTGTGGGCTATAGCTTGCCAACTTGCAATCTAGTGAAACATAGTCAGATGCAGACTTCTGAAGCAAACAAATGTTAAAGTATTTTTGGGGATTGTAATAGAGAATCCAGTTTTATCCATCTTTAGACTGCTAAAGATTTCAAATCATTATTTAGAAAGCCATATTAGTATTTTTGGGGATTGTAATAGAGAATCCAGTTTTATTCATCTTTAGACTGCTAAAGGTTTCAAATCATTATTTGGAAAGCCACAATTAGATCTTGATCTAATTGTTCAACTTTGGGGGCCACTCCAGAAATTTCACCAACACATTGCCACACTTCTTGACCAGGGGCTTTTGGGAGCGTGAGTGCAGATCTTCTGAAGCTCATCTGGGTTAAAAAACAAAAAACTCTCTGCACTCTTTGAGTATATAAACTGGGCAGAGCCCATGTTAAAATCTTTTGCCAGGCTGGTGCAGTGGCTCATGCCTGTAATCCCAGTGCTTTGGAAGACCATGATGGGGGGATCACTTGAGGCCAGGAATTTAAGACTCCATCTCTACAAAACAATTTTTTTAGTTAGCCAGTTTTGTTAGCCCGTTTTGTGTTCCTATACGGGAATAACTGAGTCTAGGTAATTTATAAAGAAAAGAGGTTTATTTGACTCACAGTTCTGCTGGTTGGACAAGAAGCATGATGCTGGCATCGGTTCAGCTTCTGGTGAGGACTTGAGGAGCTTTTACTCATGGCAAAAAGGCAAGGGAAGCTGGTGTGTCACATGGTGACAGAGGGAGCAGAGAGAGAGGAGGAGGTTGTGGGCTCTTTTAAACAACCGGCTTTCATGTGAACTAACAGAGTGAGAACTCACTCATTACCATGAGGACAGCGCAATGCCACTGGTAAGGGATCTGCTCCCATGACCCAAACCTGCCCACTAGGCCCCCCTCCAACACTGGGGATCACATTTCAACATAAGATTTGAAGGGGACAAGCATTCAAACTGTATCACTGGGAGTGGTGGTGTGAGCCTATAGTCCTAGCTACTTGGGAGGCTGAGGTAGGAGGATTCCTTGAGCCCTGGAATTTGAGGTTGAAGTGAGTCATGATCACACCACTGCACATTCCAGCCTGGGCAACAGAGTGAGACCCTGTCTCTTAAAAATACGTATATTTAGCCAGAATAAACATCTCATCTAAATGTTGCTCTAACACTTTTCAAATTTTGCCTTTAACTTAAAGGTTCTCATTTCTTCAACTGTTACATAGTGGGCCTTGCCAATTGTTCTCATGTCTGGTGCCATGCACAAAAATGTTCCAAGCCTCTTTGGAATTTGCCTCAATAACATCTAGGGACCTGGGAGGGTTGACTAGGAGGCTGAGTGTTTGTAGCCAATCATAAAATCTTGAAGGCCACTTGATATGGTTTGACCATGTCCCCACCCAAATCTCATCTTAAATTGTAGCTCCCCAAATTCCCACATGTTGTAGGAAGAACCCAGTGGAAGATAATTGAATCATGGGGGTGGTTTTCCCCATACTGTTCTCATGGTAGTGAACAAGTCTCACAAGATCTGTTGATTTTACAAGAGGTTTCCCCTTTTGATTGGCTCTGATTCTCTCTTGCCCAGCACCATGTAAGACATGCCTTTTGCTTTGCTTTCTGCCATGATTGTAAGGCTTCCCCAGCCACTTGGAACTGTGAGTCCATTAAACCGCTTTTTCTTTATAAATTACCCAGTCTCGGGTATGTCTTCATCACCAGTATGAAAACAGACTAATACAACACTTAAACTCACCCATTTTAAGTGTCAGGGTCTTGGTAAATCATTCAACAGTCTCTACCTTAACTGAATCATTGTGAACAAAATGGACTCATTATATAAAGGCTTTTTAAAACTCACACTTTTTGAAATGTTGAAACCTACTCTCTGTTCAATTTCTCATCCCTTTCCCCAAAATGTTCCAAAATAAAAGAGACCTCCATTTTGGCTGCCAGTGGCTCCCCCAAAATAATAAATTTCTTTTAATAGTAACTTCCTTTTAACATGTGCCACAGTTATGTTAGAAAACTTTGTCATAAAAATAAGCATCTTTATTCACATAAGTTAACTCTAGGGGAAAAGCACCTATTTATCACATGAAGGAAGGTTTTTTCAGACAAGACCCATCTTGGGGACATGTCCAGACAAGCTGCAATGCAGTCGCTTTGGTCAGGTGGCTCCCTGGGGATGTCTACTCTGCCACAGCTCTGCTTTAATGATCTTGCAGAATGCTCCCATAACATCTGCCAAAACATCAAACTGAGCTGTGAAATTGTTGCAAACTCCTGTACGAGTTTGTCTATAAACAGTCCAGATTTGCTATCATAAAATTAACAGCTTCCCTAGTAAAACACAACATCTGCATCAGCCCCAGCAGAGCAGGTATTTTGAGTTTGCCTCCTCCTCCTCACTAGGTGCCAGGTAAAGCAGTTCTGAGCCCCAGATTATATGGCCATCCACCAGAAGGTATTTAGAAATGACCTGCTCAACCATGGTGAGCAGGAGATGGTGGAGGCTGATGGTCCATTCACACTGTCAACCATACCTAGGTTCTTACTTTCTTGGTCAGCCATAAAACCTTAGCATAGAAAAGGAAATGACATGAAACAAATGAATTCCTACAAAAAGTTAAGCCAACCCTATTAATATATAAAACCCACCTCAACTGGAGTTTCCTGCACACCAGCTTTACTGATACATCAAAGCCCCAGATAATAATTTGTTGCACAGTCAGGGGCCAACCTCTTGAAACCATATCGGCCTACTTTTCCTTCTGCAGTGAGTTCTGGGAGACTTTTTCTTTCTGTCTCTTAGACCACTAACTCATCTTTACCCAAGGCAACTACCCTATCTAATCTACCTATTGTTTGTTTTTAATTGACCAGAATTCTGTCTCATTCTTGACAAGTTATGAGCCCTCTTTTGTAAATATTTTCTGTTGCATCCCCCATTAACTCTGCTTCCTCACATAGTTCTTGTGTTTTCATAATATTGGTGACTCTGTTTACATTAGTAGTTTTCTAAAAATTTTTGGAGATTTTGGACTGTATGCTGCTATTTTAAGTTGATGGTTTAGTTGACCACAAATGTACTTTCATTATCCAAAGAGAATTCCTATTCACCTGTGTGTGACTAGAAGTCCTGACTATGGACTGTGGTGTTTGCTGAGAGGAGGGGCCAGGCAGAGATGAGGCTGGGTGGAGTGCAGGCTGCCACATGATGAGGGAAGGGTTCTTTCTCCAATCTTCCTGTCCACCAAATGTTTTTGTAGGAGTCTCTATCAGAACTTTCTCTGGAGGAATTTATGCCCTTGCTTTAAGCTAGGGGCAAAAGTGCCACTTCCTCCAACTTAAAGCAGAAGTTTCAAAAGGTTATTTAATCTTGTTATTATAAAAGGAAATTAAATCTTGGAACCCTAAACTCATTAAGCCAAAGGGAAAAGTCAAGCTGGGAACTGGGTCAAGCAAATCTGCCTCCCCCTTTTTGTTCCTAAACAAGATGGCTACAAGATGAAAAGCTACACGTCTCCCCCGTATTTTGCCCACAAGGAAATTCTTAGTGAGCTGCAAGATCTTTTAAGATGTTTCTGTGAAAATTTCACCATGGCAATGCAAATTGATAGCTTATCTTTATAGGCACAGTCACCCCAGCCCACCACACACAAATGCATATCTGATTGTTCCCCTGCCCAATTTTGTCTATGTTATCTTATGTAAAATGCAGATTTCCTACATCTTTCCTCTGCCACATTTGTCTATGTCATTTTACGTAAAAAAAAAAAAAAATGCAGATTCACTGAGCCAGACAAAGGCATGAATAACCGTTTTTCCTACCCCCCTCTTACATGAAAATTGTGTACTTCTTAATATCCTTCCCTTATCTCCTTGAATTTGGAGCCCTCAAATTCATCTTTGGAGAAAGGCATAGACCTGTCTCCTGGGCATGTCCTTAATTTTGGCAAATAAACCTCCTAAAATGATTTGAGACTTGTCTCATCATTTTTCTTTATTGACATTATCAAAAGGCAACTCTTGGTAAAGACATATGGGTTTGCTTTATCACTCTTTCTCTCTCTCCTGTGTCTCTTCCTCAATCTCTCTTTACCTCTCTCTCTCTACACATTTACAACACATATATATAATTTTTATATTTATTCAATCCTTAAAATATTTTAAAGTATTATGATCATCAATTTTTATAGATGAAGAACTTTAATTGAAGGTTAAGAACTTAGTTAACTTGATCTACTTTGAAATAAGTAGGAAACTTTGTACTACACCTTACCTAATGTCATAGAAATAGACTTTAAAATATATTTGTATCTATTTTTAAGTGATTTGCCCCAACTAGACTTTGAATTCTATTGGTCAGGATAATGGTTTATTGATTTCTGTCACTGGTGCCCAACAGGTGCGTACCACTGGCTTCCAGATGGTAGGTAAAGTTTAACACAGAGTGTGTGCCATGAGCATGGTCTTCATTTCTGCTCAGAACCAATTAATCATCATGGCTGTAGCCCTGTGAATTAGTGCCTTGATGATAGGGCCACAGAACAGCTACAGGACACCCATGGAGACCTTGATGTCCAGCAAGAGAGGGTAGGAGCCCAGTGGATACTTGCACAGGAGAGCAGTAGTACCTGGCCCAGACTGATAATGATTGTGAAAACAAATGGGATACCTCGTGGAGCTCTCTCAGGATTATTGTAGGGGGCTGCAGAAAGTGAACTTCGTATGGGACTGCATGTTCTATGAGATAAGGCAATCAGCCCCCTAAAACTTGAGAATTTATTTATTTATTTCTAACTTTTAAGTTCAGGGGTACATGTGCAGGATGTACAGGTCAGTGACATAGGTAAACAAGTGCCACGGTGGCTTGCTGCACTGATCATCCCATCACCTAGGCATTAAGCCCAACATCCATTAGCTATTCTTCCTGATGCTCTCCTTCCTCCCAACCCCCACCCTCCTACAGGCCCCAGTGTGTGTTGTTCCCCATCATGTGTCCATGTGTTCTCATCATTCAGCTCCCACTTATAAGTAAGAACATGTAGTATTTGATTTTCTGTTCCTATATTAGTTTGCTGATACTGGCTTCTGGCTCCATCCATGTCCCAGAAAAGGACTTCATCTTATTCCTTCTCATGGCTGCATAGTATTCCATGATGTATAATATGTACCACATTTTCTTTACCCAATGTATCACTGATGGGCATTTAGGTTGATTCCATGTCTTTGCTATTGTGAACGGTGCTATGATAAACATATATGTGCATGTATCTTTATAACAGAATGATATATATTCCTTTGGGTGTATACCCAGTAATGAGATTGGTGGGTCAAATGGTATTTCTGCCTATAGGTCTTTAAGGAATTGCCACATGGTCTTCCACAATGGTTGAACTAATTTACACTCCCACACACACTGTAAAAGCATTCCTTTTTTTTCCAAAACCTGGCTAGCATCTGCTGTTTTTTGACTTTTTAATAATTGCCATTCTGACTGGTGTGAGATGGTATCTCATTGTGGTTTTGATTTACATTTCTCTAATGATTAGTGATGTTGAGATTTTTTCATAGTGTGTTGGCCATATGTATGTCTTATTTAAAGAAGTGTTTGTTCATGTCTTTTCCCCACTTTTTAATGGTGTTTTTCCTTGTAAATTTGTTTAAGTTCCTTATAGCTGCTGGATACTAGATCTTTGTCAGATGAATAGATTGCTAAAATTTTCTCCCATTCGGTAGGTTCCCTGTTCACTCTGATGACAGTTGCTTTTGCTGTGCAGAAGCTCTTTTGTTTAATTAGATCCCACTTGTCAATTTTTGCTTTTGTTGCTATCACTTTTGGCTTTTTTTGCCATGAAATCTTTGCCTATGTCTATGTCCTAAATGATACCATCTAGATTTTCTTCTAGGGTTTTTATAGTTTGGGGATTTACATTTAAATCTTTAAACCCTCTTGAGTTGATTTTTGTATACGTGTAAGGAAGGGGTCTAGTTTCAACTTTCTGCATATGGCTAGCTAATTCTCCCAGCACCATTTATTAAATAGGGAATCCTTTCCCCATTGCTTGTTGATGTCAGGTTTGTTGAAGATCAGATGGTTGTGTGTGGGGTCTTATTTCTGGGTTCTCTGTTCTGTTCCATTGGTCTATGTGTCTGTTCACATATTGGTCTATATGTCCATGGTACTGTGCCAGTACTATGCTGTTTAGGTTACTGCAGCCTTGTAGTTAGTTTGAAGTTGAGTAGTGTGATGCCTCCAGCTTTGTTCTTTTTGTTTAGGATTGTCTTGGGTATTTGGGCTCTATTTTGGCTCCATATGAATTTTAGATAGGTCTTTTTAAAATTCTGTGAAGAACTTCAATGATAGTTTAATGGGAGTAGCATTGAATCTATAATTTGCTTTGGGCAGTAAGGCCATTTTCACGATATTGATTCTTCCTATCTGTTAGCAAGGAATGTTTTCCCATTTGGTTATGTCATCTCTGACTTCGAGCAGTGGTTTGTAGTTCTTCTTGAAGAGGTCCTTTACTTCCCTTATTAGCTATATTCCTAGGCATTTTATTCCTTTTATGGCAATTGTGAATGGGAGTTCATTCATGATTTGCCTCTCAGCTTGCCAGAAAAGAGTACCTAGAAATAAAACTGCACACCTAAAACTACCTGATCTTTGACAAACCTGACAAAAATAGAGAGAATCGGGGAACAAGATAGCCAAGAAGAGTTCTCCCTGGGTAAAGCCAGATGTAAAGACCACTCTTGCAAAGGAACCCAACTTTAATTGGATCAGACTGGAGCAATGTATGGCCCAAAGTGTTGTCAAAAACAATGTAGTAATCAGCTAGCAATTGGAGGAGGCTACAAGTTAGATGTGATATCAGCCTCAAGCTTAACTGAGTATTCAGGGAAAGAGATAGTCCAAGAGAACTGGACTATGTATAGTCATCTCTGGGAAGGGAGGTCAGAGAAACTGTGTACATGCCTAAGGCTGCGCCCTCTGAGGAGTGACATCAGAGCATGCACACTGCATGGGAAATAGCATGCACTGAAGTAGTCAAACCATGTCACTAAATAAATAAACAAGAAAGCAAACAAGAATCTTCAAAGGGTTGGAAGGTTAGGAAGATCAATATTTATAGTTGCTATACTATATTATTGAAAATGTCCAGTTTTTAACGAAACATGATGAGACATGAAAATAAACTGGGAAGTATTACCCATAAATAGGGGGAAAAAAGAGCAGACAATAAAAAATGCCTTTGAGGGACCCAGATGTTGGACTTAACAGAAAAAGACTTCAAAGCAGCTATTATAAATATCAAAGAGCTAAAAGAAAGCACGCCAAAAGAACTAAAGGAATATATGATAACATCTCACCAAATAAAGAATATCAATAAATAAAATTTATTTAAAAGAACCAAATCAAAATTTTGGAGTGGAAAAGTAGAATGACTGAAACTAAAATTCACTAAAGAGGATCAACAGTAGAGTTGAGCTATGAGAAGAAACAATCAGGCTGGGTGTGGTGGCTCAATGCCTGTAATTCCCAGCACTTTGGGAGGTTGGGGCAGGCAGATCTCTTGAGCCCAGGAGCTTGGGACCAGTTTGGGTAACATGGCAAAACCCTGTTTCTACAAAAAATACAAAAATTATCTGCATGTGGTGGCATGCGCCTGTAAGTCCCATCTACTCAAGAGGAGGAGGTGAGAGAATCACTTGAGCCTAGGAGGTTGAGGCTGCAGTGAGCCATGATCATGCCACTGCACTTCAGCCCAGGTGACAAAGCAAGACCCTGTCTCAAAAAAAAAAAAAAGAAAGAAATGAAAAAACAAAAAAAGAAAAGAAAGGAAGAAACAACAAACATGAAGATAAATCAATAGAAGTGTTGTAATCTGAAGAACAGAGAAGAAAATAAAAAAAAAACAACATGATCATCTCCATACACACAGTTAAAATATGTTTCACAATATTCAACACACTTTTATGAGAAATAAATACTCAACAAGCTAGAAATAGGAGAGAATTTCCTCTATCTGATAAAAGACATCTACAAAAATCCCACAGCTAATATACTTAATGATGAAAAGCTGGAAGCTTTCCCCCTAAAGTCAGGAACAAGACAGCAATGACCAATCTCACCACTTCCATTCAACATTGTAGCGCAGGTTCTAGCCACGTAATTAGATAAGAAAAATAAATAAAAGATATCCAGGTTATAAAGAAAGAAGTAAAGATATCTTTAGTTTCAAATGCCATGATCTTTTATATAGCCAACCTGAGGAATCCACTCATAAATGAGTTATTGTTGCAAGATATAAGACTAACCTACAAAAACCTACTGTATTCTACACAGCAGTATGAGCAATCCGAAAATAAAATTAAGAAAATGGAAGCCAAGATGGTGGCCAAGTTGGAGTATGAGTCTGTGCTGTGTGTGAAGCCAAACATCAGCGTCTACTGGATTCCTCCCTGGGCCTCCAACTGTGATTACAGGGCATCTGACTGGAAATTAGACCAGCCTGATTGGACTGTTCACCTCCGAATCATTTCAAAAGGGAAGACTGCCTATATCAAACTCGAGGATAAAGTTTCAGGGGAGCTCTTCACTCAGATACCAGTAGAACAATATCCTGGTATTGCTGTGGAGACAGTGACAGATTCCAGCTGCTACTTTTTAATCTGGATTCAGGATGGTCCTGGGCAGAGTGCTGTCATTGACACTGCTGGCTTCACAGATCGGGGAGATGCCTTTGAATTTAATGTCTCCTTGCAGGATCACTTCAAATGGGTAAAGCAGGAATCTGAGATTTCCAAGGAATCTCAAGAAATGGACGCTTGTCCTAACTTGGATCTGGGCTTCAAAGAAAGACAAACCATCAAGTTGAGTACGGGGAACATTACAACCAAGAATGGATGTGCTTCTAAGCCCAGGACTGCAATGGGTGGGGGCCTGAGCTTACTCGCATCCCCACCAGGAGGCCAAGTCAGTATTCCCCCACTGTCCTCCTCAGTTGCATCAGCAATCATGTCACCCTACCAGCCATTCCAAAATCTAACCATGGAGGCAGTGATGCAGATATCCTTTTAGATTTGGATTCTCCTGCTCCTGTCACAACACCAGCACCAACTCCAGTTTCTGCAAGCAATGACTTGTGGGGAGACTTCAGCACTGCATCCAGCTCTGTTCCAAACCAGGCACCACAGCCATCCAACTGGGTCCAATTCTGAATGGCATTGGCAGGACATTAAGGCAGACTTGTGGAATAAAAATGACCTTGAGGGCACCAATCTGTGAGGGAAGTCAGAAACCCATTTCCTCTACAGAACCAAAATGACTGGACAATCTTTTTCATAGCTTCTCCATTACATTCAAGCTGGTTTATGTCACTCCCCTGTGTTGTTACTTGTACAGCCAAGAGAGTATCTATTATCTCCTGCTTAGTACCAAGGTAGAGGACTAGTGGATCTTATCATACTTTTGGCTGACTATGCAGGGCTCAAAAGGCCAGTATCTCTTTGAGGAGGAATGATCTAACATCTGTAAAATTTGTCTTATCTTTTAAATTCTTCAACTTATTTCAAAATCATCTCATGACCCTTGTGTGCCTCTTTGTGAAGCCCTATTTAGCAATTCCAGGGAAGTCAAAAACCTTGCAACTTCCTTCTCCACTAACCCAGGACTAAAAATGGACAGGCTGACCTCAGTGTTTACAAATTCAGAATTTTGATAGGGGTAGATATGGAGTGTAGGGAGACCCCCTGAAACTATTGCTATGGAATAAAAGATGAAATGCTTCTAATTATTGTAAATACAAAGTTGCATGCACATTGTGTAAAGACAATGCCAGGATGGACTGCCAGAATGAGCCAACAGCACGTGATGTGCTTCCCCCTGCAGAGAGCCTATCAACAGACATGCAGTCAGGGAGGTTTCACATCACTAAGATTCCTATCCCAGAAAAGCAGATGTTCATAGCTCTGGGAATGGAATGCAACCCTTGTGGAAAGCCTATAAATGGACGCATGAGGGGCGCGTGTCCATATGGATAAGATAGGGCTATAAAGGCCCTCATCTTGCCACGGCTCTTCTAGGCCTCTTTAGGGTTAAGGCATACTCCTTTCTGAGAATTTCTGGTCTAACAGGTTGTCTAGCTTCACGTCCTGTTTCTATGGATTGTTTGTAACCAGCTTTTGCTGCAACTGTTACTGCTGATTAATATCTTCATAATCATAGGTTATGGAAAGACTGTGTTTCTGTTTCAAGGCTCTGTTAGAAATTACTGATGCACACACTATATTGTAAATTCTTATCTCTGTATACTGTACTTCTGCATACAGGTGTTACATTAAAGAATTACTTCATCCCCATGTGACCATCTCACCTCATAATCAAATGACCCTAAATCCCTCACTAACCTATCCCTGCCCTCACTAAACTTAATAATAAATGCTGGTATATCCAGTGCATTGGCGGCATCACAGTACCAGAAGGCGATGACCCCCCTGGACCCAGCTTTCATTATCTTGTGTGTGTCTATTATTTCTTGACCTGCCGATCTGCCTGGGAACAAAGAAAGAGCCCCATTGCATTGCAAGCTGCTGGCCAGATCCCACAATAATGGAGAAAGACCTATTTCCTGGGTCTCTGCTGTATAGCCTTCTTCAGGCTTATCGTACTCAGTGAACATCCAGTGCTGGGTGCAGCTCCATCACCCTCTTGTGTGTTTACATGTATCTTTCTATGACAAGAGGGTTGTGCTGGTGGCACCTCCACTCTTCTTTTCTGTTTGCTGAATTTGAATTGTGAAACATCTTTGACCAATGGGTGTCTCTGTGATGAAGGAGGTTCAAGAGGCTGTGCTTTCCAAGTGATATTCTATAGGAGTGTTTAATTTCTTGCAGCTCCATCTAGTTGCTGCATTTGAAGCATGGCATTAATTTGTATTTGCCATGTTATTTGACCTGAAGTTGAAGAGTATAGAGTTTTTAACCTGATCTGTAGAGCAGAGAGGCTGAAAGCACTTAACTCTTGTTTAGTACCCACATTGTCTTGCTGTCTGGGTATCTGGCCCCTTTCCATAAACATTTCTTTTCAGTTCATGTAGTTCTTTAATAGAAAGCTGCTATTATTTGTATTGTCATTTGTGAAGGAAGTTGGAGAGTCACAGCTTTACCGTGACAGGTTTTGCCCAAGGCTTTGATACCTGTCACCCAGGGTTAAAAGCAAGTTGTTCTCCCATCACTTTCTTTCCCCTCTGCCCTGCCATTCCTTTTACAATGCTGTGAAAAAAGTTCTGCTTCTTAGATGAATGGGTACTTTCTATTTTGTTTCTAAATGAGCAATGTTGAGGATTAAATGGGAAGATATACTTGCTTCCCTTTTGTACCTATTTGGAACGTACACTCTGGCAGAAGGGAGTCCTTATGTTTAGTTTCAAAATATATTACTTTCCTGGATTTCCTTCTTAACTTTTTCTGACTTTGGGTCCATTTTCTTTTCATTGCCTCATTTTCCAGGAAGCTCTATTCTTGAAGAGCCATGGCAAGACATATTAAAATTCCAATAGAAAACACTAAAAGGAAAGTCTGTAGAAGCATTAGTGACTAAATACTGGCAACCTATTTTCTCAATCTTCCTCCACGTTGTGTTCTTTGTATTCTAAGATGATAATATATTATGTATTTGAATTCCTGAAAAATGGGAAATGTTTAAGATATATCTATATAAAGTATATGCTGTATTGGTGCAATAATGGTAATTAAAAATATGAAACAAAGAAAAAAATTCCATTTATAATAGCATCAAAAAGAATAAAATACTTAACAATAACTTCAACAAAAGAAATGCAAACCTTGCACTGCAAGTTTTTGCAGTATAAAACATCACTGCAAATTACAAAATTAGAAAACTATAAAACATCATTGAAATAAAGTAGAAAAACCTAAATAGATGGAAAAACATTTAATGCTTGTGGATCAAAAACTTAATATTTTTAAGATGCCAATACTCCCAAACTGACCCACCAATTCAATAAAACCTTTATCAAAATTCCAACTGGCTTTATTATGGAAATTGAAAAGCTCATTCTAAAATTTATATGGAAATGCAAGTGACATAGAATAGCCAAAACTACCTTGAAAAGGAAAAAGTTGTAGGACTCAATTTTTCTAATTTCAAAACTCACTATAAAGCTAGACAATATGGTACTGGCATAAAGACAGATATATAGACCAATGAATTCAGAACTGAGAATCCAGAATTAAACTGTTACACTTATTGTCAATTGATTTTTGAAAGTGTGTGAAGACAATTCAGTGGGAATAGAACAGTCTTTGCAAAATACATTATCGAGACAATTAGATATACACATGAAACAGAAGGAATTTGGACCCCTACTCATACCATATGCAAAAAAATCAACTCAGAATGAAACAAAGATGAAAATGTAGGAGCTAAAACTATTAAACTTGTAGAAGGAAGCATAAGTACACATCTTTGTGCCCTTAGATTAGGCAACGGTTTCTTAAATATGACACTAAAACACACACAAAAAAAGACATAAACTGGACTTTATCAAAGTCAAAAACTTGTGTGTGTCAAAAGACACTATCAAGAAAGTGAAAAGACAACCCACAGAATTGGGTCTGATAAGGGCTTGCTATCCAAAATATATAAAGAGTTATTATGACTCAATAATAGACAACCCAATTAAAAATAGACAAAGAGTTTGAATATAATTTCTCCAAAGAAAATGGCCAATAACACATGAAAAGATATTCAATATCATTAATTAAAGAAATACACATCAAAACCACAATGAGCTATCTCACACCCACTAGATTGGCCATAATCAAAAAATGAAAGAAGATAAAAAGAAGGAAGGAAATAAGTACTAGCGAGGATGTAGAGAAATTGGAACCTTCATACATTGATGATGGGAATGTAAAATGTTGCAGCCGCTATGGAAAACTCTTTATTTTAGCAGCTCCTCAAAATTTAGACATCGAGTGTCCATACAATCCAGAAATGCCTCTCCTAGGTATGTATCCAAGAGAACTAAAAACCATATTTTCACACAAATATGTGTACATGAATGTATATAGCAGCAGTATTCATAATAGCAAAAAACTGGAAATAACCCGCATATCCATCAACTGATAAATGGATAAAACAAAATGTAATCTATCCATACAATAGCCATAAAAAGGAGTGAAGTACTGATACACTCTACAACATGGATGAGACTTCTAAACATTATGGTAAATGAAAAGAACTAGATACAAAAGGTCACATATATGATATGATTCCATTTATATGAAATGTCCAGTATAAGCAAAACCCTGGTGGATTAATGAGTGCTGGTGGTTGAAAGGAGGGGTAATTAGGACTGACTGTGAATCGATATGGGGCTTCTTTTTGGAGTGATGGAAATATTCTGGAATTAGATAAGGACAATAGCTGCACAATATTGTGAATATGCTAAAATCCACTTGTAAAAAATCTAAAATCATGAATATCACATTATGTGAAAAAAATTTTTTTAATTCTTCAGAAGCTTGGGTTATGGAAAGCCTTTTCAGATATAACATCAAAGGCACAAGAGACAATGAAAATAGATACATTTGAGTTCATCAAAAACTTCTTTTGGGGTATAACAAAAATGTTTTAAAATTAGCTTGTGGTGATGGCTGCATTCCTCTGTAAATATACTAAAAACTATTGAATTTTATGGTATATGAATTATATCTCAGTAAAGCTGTTAAAACCAAAAGCACTATGGGGACTGTGTTGCAGAGAACAGATGCAGGCGGCCAGAGTGGAGGTGCTGAGCCCAGTTTCCAGGCAATCCCACCCATGTGAGTGAAAGATGCTAAGTGGCTGGACTGGGCTTGCAGTGGAGGTGGACAGATGTGATTAGATTCAAGAGATAGGTGGTGGGAGAAATCTGCAAAAGTGTGAAAAGAAACATGAGGATAAATAATATGAGTCAGAAATTAACATGGTATTGGAATAATTTACTCTAATGAGCTCTTCAGAGAATAACTGCCAAATAAATCTAAATAAATAATGAGAATCTGCGCCCTGACGAAGATGCAAAATTATTCTTCAGTGAGTGTTCTGCATAAAAGGCAACATCTTTCTTGATTGCACTTGGCAACTTCCCAGAAATTCTCATTTAATTGTTTTATTGTAAAGCTGGAAGTCTTGCTCTATCTACTAACACCTCCTACCCTAAATTAAAGTTTTTGGCAGGATTTAGCGGGGAAGAACAGAACAGGCACTCAGGATTCTTAATAAAAAACTAGAAAGCCATTTATTTCAGTATAGATATTTAAGCCTATTATGTTGTTAACTTAAAGGATTCAATAAATGGAGGTCTAAATTTTTAAGCATGTTTTTTTACCTCACATCTTCAGGGTCTACAATAGTTAGCAAGAAAGAAACAAATTGGGTAAGTCTTCATTGTCTTGTAAATATGAGTTATTTCTCAGGATGCTAAATCAAAGGGATTAAATCTGCTGATGCTCATCCAATCATTTAAATAAGTAATGATATATTTGACTTTTAGCCTCACATCTTATACTTCAGGTGTGAGCTTTAGTTCTATCAGCAAAATTCATCTTTTTAAATTTATTACCTTCCTTTTAATTATTGATTTCTTTACACAATGTATTAACTTCATTTCTGTTCCTGAGATTATCTAATTTGAAACTCATTTTATCAAATACCATTTTAACATCTGATTTAGTGTGTGTGTTCAGAATTAGATAGCCCAGAGGGAACATGCTGTGCTGAGCCAACAACAAAAACATTATTTTAAAAAAAATGCTACACTTTCAGATGCAGTTGATATGAATTATTAAAAAACTTAGTTGACTGTGGTTGTCCCTGGGTTTCATATTCACTAGAGTCAAAGCCCATGTTCTAATTGTCTTGTTATTGTTGGGCAGTGCTTTGTTTTGTTTTGTATTCACAGCCGTGCTAAATAGAAGCTGAATTCCATCTTAATATCAAAATTAATGTATTATTATATTTGTCATTTATGCCACAGCATTAGGATGTGAGAATTTTTTCATCTGATAAGCTCTGCAAAGTGTTTATAGGAATTTCAGGATGCAAAAATCAGATATCTTTAGGGAAAGATTTTTGTTCCAACTAGAATTTAATATAGCTTACAAAAATATAATATAACAGAGTAAATTAAATTCTAGCTAAGGAAAATCAGGGAAAGAGTTGATTAATGAAGTTAAGGAAAGAAAAGAATAGGTCCATACAGAAAGCCTTCTATGGAAATGTGCTTGAATTAAGAACATTGCAGTACAGCAATATGTATCCATTTAAGTAGACTTCAGATATAACCAAGCAACTGTGACAGGCTGTTACACTGACTGGAGTAAGATTCCTCCTATATTCTGATAATAACCCTTAGGCTTAAGTCACACTATGTATCTTTCCTTAACCAAATTAAGTTAGAGGGGAAAGAGAACAGTAACAGTTACTTTGTGCTTATGATAGGGCTTGGTCCTAGCTTTATAAATTGATTTCAGACAGTTAGGACACCAAAAACTCCAAAGTGTTTTTTCTCAATGGTAGTATCAGTAATAGTAATAGCAACACAATTAACTCCAAAGATGCCAAGCCAAATTATTACCACAAGTAAAAAATTAAACATACAGTTATATAGCAAAGAGCTATATAACTCTGTTATACAGTAGTGCAAAAAGGCAAAGTTGAAAATGTTAATAATTACCCACAAATATTACTAATAGCAAGCACTCTACCAAAGTTACTTTGGAAAAAGGTAATAGCAAAGTTTCTTTGGAAAAGAAACATTGGATGAAGCTCCGTGAACACAGTGGGTCAATATTTTCAGTTATTTGGTCCCAGAGCAGCAAGTATTACAAAACATGTAAGCTACAATGTAAGATATAAACACAGGATGCATAGGTGAATGGATATTTATTTAGGTAGAAGCCACTATTTCTTGAGTACTTACTATGTGTCAGCCATTGTATCTGGTGCTATGCGTAATCTACTCATTACAATAGAACTATTTTCCTCATTTTTAAAATGTTTAAATAGTGAGGTTTATTATTGTTCCAAGGTCAAATGTGGGCAGCAAGCATTTCAACCCAGGCTTGTCTGTCTCTAAATCATGTGCTGTTAAAAAATTATTACATCATGCTCTGTCTTATAATATTAACAGTTATAAAGGAAATGTTTACTGAGTGCCAATGTGTTTACTCTTTGATTACATGTTATGTGTTTCAAATACATGATCTCATTTGAGCTAGGTATTATTTTACATGTAAGATTTAGAAAGGTCAAATACTAAATGGTTTTATGACCACCAAATCCTTGGGGTCTTTTATTGATCTTCCAAATGCAATCATTTGAAAATTAATGTGTTTACTCGTAGAATTATAATAATCAATGCACAGGAAAAACGAGAAATATCTTTTTCTGTTTTAAAACTTTTAGATGAGGCAACTGAATTACAAACAATTCAGTGGCCTGCAAGGTCTGTAGACAGTGAGGGGTAAAGCCAAAATTATAGCTCCTGGGTCTGAGTCATGCTGTTTCTCTGGAATGCTCCTTACCTGAAGAAGCTATAGCGTTTGTTATTCCACTGCCCATCAAGCTTTTGTGACCTAACCGTGGCTTTTCTCCTCTGGTGGTCTTTAGGGAGACCAGGAAGCCGTTGCTTGGTGGAAATAGTGCCTCTGTTGTAATACATCATAAGATCATGATGGGTCTGTTGGCAGTTTGTTTTTTCTCTGAGGGTGTGTGTGTGTGTTGTTTTCATAAAAGACACTTTGGTGGAGATAATGTGCTGTTTAACTTCAGTTTAAAAATAAGCTTGTTTTTCAGCTTCTAACGTCAAAGACTCTCCAAATATGTGGAAATCTAATAAAAATCCATGATAAAAGACTTACATAAGCAGAATTTATGCTACACATCCATGTGAGACCCCAAGGAGAAAACAGAAGTGCTTTGCAAAGCAGAATCTAGAGAAAATTCAGCTTCCTTCTGAACCTACATATGCTGTGGGAACACAAAGACCTGCTCCCTGACTGGTCTTGGCAGAGGAGAACCATGATTCACTCTTATTACCATGACAGTGGGTAACATGGGCTGTCATGGGGGACAAAGCAAGGCCAGTCTCCTGTACTGAACTCTGTAATGGCCAATATGAATGAGGAGGACAAAACAGCTGAGGACGGTTACATAATCCCTGTTCCTACGTGCTTTAGTAAAAACAGAACAAACTTCACTAGGTAATCTGAACTCCTTACCTTTCTTGATCAATATGATGATGATTTAAAAAATTAATACCAGTGATAATGATGACCTCACAGGACTGTTGGGAAGATTTTTTTTTAAATCTTGTGTCTGTGTTATATATAAATATATGTACTATATGCATGTGTACTGTATATATAGATGTAATACATATACACATATAAAGCACTTAGCACAGTATTCATCCAATCAGGCATTCACTCATTCAAACACTCAGTATAAATACTGGTTTCCTAGAGATTTATTTTTTTTTATTCTGCCCTCCTTCTTTATCTCAACTTGATTTAAATATGTTTGATATGTTTCAATTCATTATAGTTGTTATTGATGGTTCAGTTATTCCATTTTTTGAGACAAATGGGAGCCAATTTAAGTTGGTTCCTGAGTCCTTTTGATATGACTTCAATGATTTTCAATGATTTCCTTACTTTCAAGATTGAGGTTTCAGGCTTCTTCTGTACATTTGCTGCCACAGACCTGGAATCAGCCATTTCTCCAAAGATCCCTGGTTCCTTTCATTAAAGTTGGGATTTAGAGACTATAGTCCAGACACTTGGGATGGTCATCTGTTCTGAGTCAGTAGTTTTTCTAGAACTTTTCAGTGGAAAAACTTAGAAAAATGTAAGTTTTTATTTTGTTTTGTTTTGGTTTTGCTTCATGAGACAGAGTTTCACTCTTGTTGCCCAGGCTGGAGTGCAACGTCCTGATCTCGGCTCACTGCAACCTTCCCCCTCGGGTTCAAGCGATTCTCCTGCCTCAGTCTCCCAAGTAGCTGGGATTACAGGCATGCGCCACCACGCCCGGCTAATTTTGTATTTTTAGTAGAGACAGGGTTTCTCCATGTTGGTCAGGCTGGTCTTGAACTCCCAACCTCAGCTGATCCACCTGCCTTGGCCTCCCAAAGTGCTGGGATTACAGGTGTGAGCCACCGCACCTGGCCGAAAATATTTAAGTTTTTAAAGAGAAAATGCATTTGATATTTATAAAATTTACACTATTTTACCATTCAAATTTAAGACAACAGGTTCTGATGTAATGTCTTTGATTTTATATTTGTATCTCTTCCCTTACACTGAAAATATTGAACCCTAACAGCATTAATATAATTAACATCATTACTGGTTTTCTATGTTCTAATACGTGTGTGTGTAGGCATACACACACCTACTTATCCACGTTGGTTTAGAATAACAATTTTAATAATATTATAAACACTATGATTACTAAAAACTGTTTAAGATTACTTTGTTATTTTTGTCCTTAGGATATATTCTAGGAGTATACTATCAAATAATTGTTTTTTAAAATCACTTGAAATAATTATTCTCTCTTTAGTAAAACAACCAACTCAATACAGAGGTAGGTTCTTTCATGTCATTTTGACTTTCATTATCTAGATTTAATTTTGTTTATAATTATGTAAAGAATGTACATTTTTCCAGTGTCAAATCTACTACATAAGATACATGCTAAGAAGTCTACCTTTCACATTTATCACTTCCACTCTGTGTTCTCCTTCTCCCTAATCATTCATGTTAGGTTTATCATTCTATTGTTGTTGTTGTTGTTTTTCTTATTTTGAGACAGGGTCTCACTCTGTCACCCAGACTGGAGTGGAGTGGTGCTATCACAGCTCACTGCAGCCTTAACCCCTCAGGCTCAGGTGATCCTCCCACCTCAGCCTCCCTGGTAGCTGGGAATACAGGCATTCGCCGCCATACCTGGCTAATTTTTTTATTTTTTGTAGAGACAGGGTTTCTCCATGTTGCCCAGGCTGGTCTCTAACTCCTAGGCTCAAGTGATCCACCGGCTGCAGCCTCCCAGAGTGCTGGAATTAAAGGTGTGAGCCATCGCACCTGGCCTTTTCCATTGGTTTTTGAATATAAACAAATGCAGATGTAAGTATTTTGCACCTTCCCATCTCAGAAGGCAGCATAGTTTACACACTTCTCTCCAGTATGCCTTTTCCATCTAGTAAACTATCCTAGCCACATTTTCTAGTGCCTGTGGTGATCTTTAGTATCTTCTTCATGCTGCATAGTCCTCCGTCGTGCAGATCTTCTACAGCTTATTCTTCTACTATTAGACATTTGGCTGGTTTAATCTTTTGCTATTACAAATTGTGTTGCAATTAATAATCTAAGGCATATGTATTTTCATATTTTCGCTAGTTTTTTTAAATACTAAAAGTGGGACAGCTGAGTTAAAAGTAAATGCATGTGTAATTTTGCTAGCTACCACCAATAGGAAATGAAAATGTTACTTTCCCTCAGCCTGGCCAACAATATTATTTTCAAACTTTTGCATTTTTGCCAATCTGATATGTGAGAAATAATAGCTTGGTGAAATTTTAAATTGTATGTCTCTTACTCTAAGTGAAGTTAATTATCTTTTCTCACACTTATGGGTTATTTGCACTGTTTTTCTTTTTCTTTTAAAAGTTTGTTGAAACTTTTTATTTCTATTTCTAGAAGCTCTTTATATATGAAGTGATATAACTGGCAGTATTTTTTCCCATTGGTCATTTGTCTTTTTAGTTTACCTGCCATGTAAAAGTCGCTTTTGGATTTTGAGTAATAAGTAGGAAATTATTCCACGTTCCTGGTGTATAGAGAAATTCATTCACATTTTCTTCTACTATTTATATAACTTTATTTTTCCAATTTAAACTACTAATTCATTTGGAACTTAATGCTAGTACACAGTAGGCAGAGAGATCAATTTTTTTTCTCTTTCCAAATAGCTATTTAGTTATCCTAACACCATTTTTTTAGAAGTCCATCTCCCACAAAGATTAAAAAATAAAGTATTTGCTAAAAAAAAAAGTAAGAAAAAATAACAGAATAATAAAATTTCAGTAATACTAAAAATATATATATATATTTTTTTTTGAGATGGGAGTCTCACTTCCTTGCCCAGACTGGAGTACAGTGGTGCGGTCTCAGCTCACTGCAACCTCCACCTGCCCAGCTCCAGAGATCCTCTCACCTCAGCCTCCCGAGTAGCTGGGAACACAGGTGCATGCCACCATGCCTGGCTGGTTTTTTGTATTTTTGGTAGAGATGGGGTTTTGTCATGTCACCCAGGCTAGTCCCAAACTCCTGAGTTCAAGCGATCTGCCTGCATCAGCCTCCTAAATTGCTGGGATTACAGGTGTGAGCCACCATGTCCAGCCCTAAAAAAATTAAAAGTCCATCTTACTCATCCTTTTCATCCTCTTCCGCTTACCTTCCTTTCCATTTCCAAAACAATTCCCTCTTAAACACATTCAGTGGAGTATCCTCAGAGTCCAGGGAGGATCTAGCATCCGTGTGTGTGTGTGTGTGTGTGTGCATGTGTGTGTGTGTGTGTGTGTGTCTGTGTTGACTGAAGACTACCCAGTGTTAGGGAGGTAGACATTCACATGTTTGCAAACCCAGGCATGAAATGTAAGGGCCAAAGCAGAGTGAGAGGCATCTATGCAGAAGGTAGGCCTGGAGTAAAGTCAAAGCTCTAGCAAGGAAAAGAGGATATCCATCTGCGGGAAAACCCTAGCATGCCTGTCAGAGCCCAGATAGCATAATGAAGCTATCTGTGTAGGGGAGCAGGCATGGCAACAGTGCTGGGAGATTGGTTATATTCAGAGGAATTGATCAAATGGGTAAATATATGAAGGATTTTTTGGAGAAAGAATTACAATATAGAACAAAAGAACAAAAAAATGGACCCTCTACACTGAAAACAATAAAATGTTGCAGACAGAAATTAAAGACTTAAATTATTTCAAAAATAGACAATGTTAATATATTGAAAAACTCAGTATTTTTAAGATGTGAATCCTTCCCAAAGTGATTAATGGAACCAATGTTATCCTGTTCAAAATTCCAGCATTTTGGTAGAAATTAACAAATTGATTTTAATATTTAAAGGAAATATAAAAACCTGGAATAGCCAAAACCATCTTGCAAAAGAAGAAGAAAGTTAGAGGACTCCAGCTACCTGATTTTAAATTTTATTGTAAAATTATAAAATTATTAATAGACTGTGCTATGGCATAAGGACAGAAAGATTCATGGGTTAGGTCTTCTTTAGTTTCTCTCTGCAATATTTTGTTGTTTTCGGTGTGGAGGTTTTACATGTTATTTGTAAGTATATTGTTTACTGTATTATAAATGGTATTGGTTTTTACATTTGATTTTCCAACTGTTGGTTGCTAGTATACAGAAATAAGTTAATTCTGCAGATTGACTTTTTATCCTGTGAGCTTCCAGAATTCGTATAGATTGATTTAGAATTGCCAACATAGACAATCATGTCATCGAAGAATAAAACTAGTTTAACTATTTCTTTCTTCTGTATGACTTTTGTTTTATTTGTATGCCTTACTATACTAGCTAGGACTTCCAGTACCATATTAAATAGAAGTAGTGAGAATGGATAACTTTGCCTTATTTCTGAATTTAGGGAAAAAACATTCAATCTTGAACCATTAATTATGTTAGCTGCAGTTTTTTGTTTCCAATAATTGGACTGAAAAAGCTTCCTTCTAGGTCTGATTAGTTGAGAGGTATTGTCATGAATAGATGCTTAATGCTTTTTCTGTATGTATCGAGATGGTCATATGGTTTTTCTCCTTTATTCTGTTAAGATGATGAATTATATTGATTGATTTTCAAATGTCAAACCAACTTCACATTCCTGAGATAAAAATCACTTGGTTGTAATGAACTATCATTTTTTTATATTTCTGCGTTTGATTTTGTAATATTTTTGTTAGGAATTTTTCCATCTATGTTCATGACAGTTACTAGTCCGTAACTTTCCTGTCTTTTACTTTTTTTTTTTTTTTTTTTTTTTTTTTGAGACAGAGTCTCACTCTGTCACCCAAGCTGGAGTGCAGTGGCATGATTTTGGCTTAGTGTAAGCTCCGCCTCCCAGGTTCAAGTGATTCTCCTGCCTCAGCCTCCCAAGTAGCTGGGATTACAGGCATATGCCACCACACCCAGCTAATTTTTGTATTTTTAGTAAAGATGGGGTTTCACCACGTTGACCAGGCTGGTCTTGAACTCCTGGCCTCAGGTGATCCGTCCATCTCGGCCTTCCAAAGTGCTGGGATTTCATTGTTTTCTTATCACCTTTTTGATCCCTGTGGATCCTGTGTTAATGTTCCTCTTTCCTTCCCAATGTCAGTAAACTGTGACTTCTCTCTTTATTGTCTTTATCAGTCTTGCCCAAAATTTATAATTAGTAATTTTCAATAACTACCTTTTGGAATTATGACTTTTTTTTTTTTTTTGAAACAGGGTCTCACTCTGTTGTCCAGGCTGGAGTGCAGAGGTGCTATCTCAGCTCACTGCAGCCTCAACCCCCCCGGCTCATGCAATCCTCCCACGTCAGCCTTTCTAGTAGCTGGTCACCTCCTGCTTTTACCTTTACTTTGGTCATCGCTGGGTATTTCCAAATTTAGCAGACACATTTCAGTGCCCCCAAGTGTTAGAGTGACCTAGTCATGCATGGAGATGAATCACTTAGGAAATGAACTTCAATTTGTCAAAAGTTACTGCTTGATTTTCAATAGAAACTATTTAACCATTAGAGATCTTTCACTTTAGCAAAGAAAGCCAAAGAAACCTTTTAATCAAAGAAAAAATATAGATAGTAACCCTAATATTATTTGATACAACTTACATTTTACTGGTAAGCCTAAATGTGCTAAATTTTTTGAGTTCAAGAACCTGGATTGTAAAAAACACATTATCTTTATAGTATACTACATACTTAATTGCTATGGCCAAAATTTTTCCAAAGAAACTTTGGGCTATTAATGAAAATTTAAAAATCATAGACTTAAACCTTGATTGAGAAACAAAAGCAGCTTATAACTGTACATTTATGTCACTGTTAATTAGTTCATCAGTTATTCAGTTAATGTAATAGAATTTTTTCCCTAAGAAGCTGAAATAAAGCTGGTGATGCATTTCATAATTGATGATATCTCTGAATTCAAAAAATGATAAGTATTTTTCAGAGAAATGGTACTCTATGTTTCTGTGTTCATGAGTACAGTGGTTTTTAAATATTTCCTGATTTGTTTTTCCTAGCTGTGAATCATTTTGATTCCCCATATCTTGGCCAATACAAAAGCCTTGGTTTGAGAAGGTAGAAGGCCCGATGTAAGTAAGTCTCAGTAAAATGAAAAAAAAAAAATATGCACACTGGTCTCTGGAATAAAAGGACGAAGAAAGTGAAGGAAAGAAAGGAAAGCAGTGAAACATGCAGATCCTGACCTCCTCTCTCTGGTCTAAAGTCCTAGAGCGGGTTAGTACAGAGGGAAGCCTCACTTCCTGCTGGGGGCTCTGGGAGAAGTCCACCTCACAGGATGCCCTGCTCTGAACAGTGGTGGCTTCATCCGAGTAAGGGGGCAGCCCTGCCAGTTTGCAGGAGGGAGGGACAACTGTTTCCAGTACCCCTGTCCCTCCAGTAGTTTATCCAGAACTGCTTCCAGTACCCCTGTGCCTCCAGTAGTTTATTCTGTTAGTAGGTGCCAAAGCCAAGACACCAGTCTGGGCAGTCTAAATCCAGAAACTGAACACGGAGCTACCAAACTGTGCACAGGCAGAATCCAGGTTGGAGAGAATGACTGCTATTTCCAAAGTGTAGTGAGCCTTCTTCCAACTACTAATGCTATTGTTTCCCCACCTGAGCTTAAAGGGCCTCCAAGCAGAGTCAGACTTTTGGAGAGGCTTTCGTTTTGCCATCCAGCAATGTGCAGGTAAGCCTGTATCAAGAGAAAGATGCATAGCCTTAGATGTATTCATTATGTTACTGTAGGTAGTCAGGCTGACATGAGCAGGGCAGAAGACCAGCCTCCTCCCCACCCCCCACCAGGAATGTCAGGCGACCATCAGGTGATGGTCAGACAATTCTTAAGCTGTCTCTCTAAAAGAATAATTGGTTGCAGCCAGCACCAGGGAACAGCATTCTCCCAATAGATGGAGAAAACCTGAAACTGAAGATCAGCAACTTCCTCATAGGATCTCAGGAACTGGGTGAGTGGGCTCAAGCATGCGCACTAAGAGGCAAAATGCTGGCATTATTAAAAAACGCCTCAAGGGAGCATGCGTACAACTCCAGCAAACACACTGCACATGAGGCCCCTCCCAAGTGCTGGCAAGCCACTGCGCATGCGGACAGCCCACCCCAAGGGAAGAACCAGGGGAGAAGCAACACTAGACCCCAGAAGTATGCCAACATGTAAAACCCTAAGTCAAAGCTCAAACCGTGCCCTTGATCTTTCATGTCGCCAACCTGGCCCTCTTCTAAGTGTACTTTACTTTCGTTCCTGCTCTAGAACTTTTTAATAAACTTTCACTCCTGCTCTAAAACTTGCCTTGGTCTCTCACTCTGCCTTATGCCCCTCAGTGGAATTCTTTCTTCTGAGGAGGCAAGAATTGATCGAGGTTGGTGCAGACCCATACAGATTCGCCACCACTCACATACTTTGGTGCCGCCTGCTCAGACACGTTCCCTAAGCGCTAACAATTATGTGAGAGGGAAATAAAATCACAGGACCCCAAACTCACTATGCTAAAGGGTAAGTTAAGCTTGGGAGCTGGGTCACGCAAAAACTGCCTTCCTTTTGTTCCCAAACAGACAGCAGTACCTTCACATGTTTTCTTTATCTCATAAAATGTAGATCTACTGAGCAGGAGATGAATGCATAATTGGCTATTTCCCCATTGCTTTCTTTTCACATATAAAATGTAGATTCACTGAGTGCTAATCCGAGCCTCAAAAGAATATGACCACTTGCCTCCTTGCCTACTCACCCCCATTTTTTTTTCTTTCTTCTTTCTTTCTCTGCTCACCCGTTGCTATTTAAATATTGAAGTTCTCAAAACGCTCTTTGGAAGAAGCACAGGACACAGATTCTACCGTGATTTGTGTTTCGTTTTCCTGGGTGTGTCCTCAACGTTGGCAAAATAAACCTCTTATCAATTGGGAGCTGCCTTGGTCACTTTTGGTGTGCAGTTATAAAGTAAGGATGAAAATATATAGCTTAAAATTATAAGGAAGAAGTTTTAAAATCAAGAAAAACAAACAAGAAGAACAGGTGAGAACTAATAAAGATAAAAGTAGGACATTTTAATTAATTAGAAAAGAAAAACTTGCAAGCAATGAATACATACTGGTTCTTTCAAAATGTCAGTCATCAAAGCAAATCTCTGAAATTCAGATCAACATCAAAATAAAGAAAACATGAATAGGAAACATCTGGAACGAGAAAGAATATAACTACAAATACCAGAGGGTTTTTTGTTTGTTTGTTTTAAGCTCTGGGGAATGTTACCTGTAATTATAAGCCAAAGTTCTGAAAATTTCATTGATAGTAATGACCTTTTAGGAAAAATGAGTAACCAAATTAAAACAAGAAGAGGAAAAAAATCTGAATTGAGCAGTGATCATGGAAGAAAAAGATAAAGCTGTCAAGCCCAAGAGCTGCTGGCCCCAAGTAAGCCATTCCCCAAGTCTGTTTGTTCAGATATTAAAGAAAAGACAATGAAATCACCTTTGCAAAAATTATAACAGTGAGAAAATTATGGTAGTAAAAGAGATCTGATCTAAGGCCACCTCCATTTGCCTTTAGCCTTCAAACTTACCTGATGTATTCCCAGGCTTGGGCCAAGCTAACTTTGGGAGACATTTAGTTTATAGTTTAAATCATAGTAGCCCTTCCTCAAAGCTCAACCGCCTTTTTAAAGCTAAGGAAAGGCCACCAGGCTAGAAGGATAAGAGGAGCCCAAATTCTGCTAAAGTGTAGACATAAACAATTACAAGCCATTATTCCGAAGGTCACAAGATACACAACTTTCCCAATTACTCCTGCAGATAACATCACTATTACAGAACCTAAGATTGGCCTTTTGAGGTATCTTTTCAGGTTTTTTGTATGTCTGATGACCAGTGGCTCCACCTGGACCCACCCATGGCTCCTGTGGCACCACCCAGAAGTGACTCAGCACACAGGAGGACCATTTCCCACACTCCTGTGATTATACACCCAACCAATCAGCAGCAAGCACCCATTATCTGTCCAGGTCCTCTCTCTCCCCAAACTATCCTTGAAAATCCTAGCTTCCAAATTTTCAGGGAGGCTGATTTGAACAATAATAAAACTCTGGTCTCTCATTCAGCGGGCTCTTGGTGTGGATAACTTTATTGCAATTCCCCTGGCTTGATAAATCAGCTCTACCTGTACAGTGGGCAAGAAAAACCCATTGGATGGTTACAATTATTGCTTAGGTATTAAGATTCTTTTTGAGCTTATAAACAAATATAAAGCTTCCTTGTTTATAGTAGAAAGCTAGCATAATCCTCATAACAATTCTAACAGAATAACACACAGAGGACAAAAAAATTGCATGTTGATTTATAAACAGTAATACACAAATCCTAAATAAAATAGAAATTCTAACTCAAAATCATAAATTTCAGAAATTCAATTATTGTTAGAATTTCCAGTAATATTATTAGTTGAGCATTTCTCAAATATCCAATGGAATCTACAGTTACAGAATAAGTAAAAGGGAAACAGCTGAGTTGAACAAGGTCAAGGAAATGTCTTGACTCTAAGCCTCCTCAGTACCTATAATTTGTTCAATGTTCCTTTTGCTAAAACACTTTGGAAGACCAGAAATGAGCTAACTAAGAGCCAATATAAAATTTCACAATGATGGACTAGGCATTCTTGGTAAAGTCAAAAAAAGAGAAAAATAAGTCAGCATGCTCATTTAAGAATGGTCATAAATTCTCACTGGGGTACTGACGTGAGAAAAGAAATTGCACACTAATATGGGAAGGAAAAAAGACAATGTAAGTTTATAATGACAAGTTATCAAGAAAATAGCTCAAAAAAAAGTCAATCAGTAAATGTTAAAATAATAAGAAAGTTCAATAAGCTAATCAGCAAAGAAAGAATCAAAAGTATAGTAACAAAAAATCAACTAATAGACAGACGGGCATGGTGGCACATAACTGCAGTCCCAGGTACTTGGGAGGCTGAGGCAGGAGGATCACTTGAGGCCAGCAGTTTGAGGATACAGTGAGCTATGATCATGCCATTGCATTCCAGCCTGGGCAACATAGCGAGATCTAGTCTCTAATAAATAAATAACTGCTAGGAAATATTTGGAAGAAGTTATCACTATTTTTAATAAGCACAAAATATAGGCATTGCATAGGAAAAAGGTAAAAGAAGTTTCCTGGACCTACGTGAACAAAGTGATACAACTCCATTGAAGGACATAAGTGAAGATTTGGACAACTGAGCAACAATATGAATCCAACAAAATGAATACCAAGTTATCTAAAGACATGTAATACAAGAAAAGCAAGTAACTTTTTGGAAAAAAAAAAAAAAACAATCAGGGGACATGGCATGGGGGAGATGTGGAATCCCAGATGTAAGCTACGTGAGATTAAAAGCTAGAGTGTGGTATCTGAATGATGCAGGACACAGAGATTAACGACACATATTGGAAGGCTTTGTAACATCCTCTGGCATCCAAGAAAATTTATTCATTATAAAAGTGATTTATCTGATGCAAATTAAAACTACAATGAGATATCATTTCACTCCAGTTAAAATGGCTTAGATAAAAAAAAAAAGCCAGGCAATAATAAATGCTGGTAAGCATATGTAGAAAAGGAAACACTTGAACACTATTGGTGAGAATGTAAATTAGTACAATCACTATGTAGAACAGTTTGGAGGTTCCTCAAAACACTAAAAATAGAGCTACCACATGATCCAGCAATCCCACAGCTGGGTATACCCAAAAGAAAGGAAATCAGTGTATCAAAGAACTATCTATACTCCCATGTTTATTGCAGCCCTGTTTACAACAGCCAAAATTTGGAATCAACCTCAGTGTCCATCAACAGATGAATGGATAAAGAAAATATGGTACATATACACAATGGAATACTATTTAGCCATACAAAATGAATGAGATCCTGTCATTTGCAACAACATGAATGGAACCGGAGCTCATGATATGAAGTGAAGTAAGCCAGACACAGAAAGACAAACATCACATGTTCCCACTTATTTGTGGGATCTAAAAATCAAAACAATTGAACTCATAGAGATAGAGAGGAGAACAATGGTTACCAGAGGCTGGGAAGGGCAGTGAAAGGGTATGAGGAGGTAGGGATCATTAATAGGTATACAAAAAAATAGTTCAAAAGAATGAATGAGACCTAGTATTTGATAGCACAACAGGGTGACTATAGTCAATAATAATTTAATTGTACATTTTAAAATAACTAAAAGAGTATAATTGGATTGTAACACAAAAGATAAATGCTTGAGGGGATGGATATGCCATTTTACATGATGGATTTTTATGCATTGCATGCCTGTGTCAAAACATCTCATGTACCCCATAAATATATACACCTACTGTATATCCACAGAAATTAAAATAAAAAATAGTTTAAAGAGAGAAAAGAGTGATTTATCTCTTAAGATAAATTTGGCAGCATGAAACAGAAATCCAAGGATGAGAAATGTACCAAATAGGAGTTTATGTTTCTCACAAATAAGTGTCGGGACCTGCAGTGGCTACTCCAGAAAGCCATCTAGGGTCGGACCTCTCTAGCCTCCTGCCCCGCCATTTTTAGCAGGTGGGGTGCCCTTATGGTGGAAAGATTGTTACCTAACCTACAAGATTCACCTCATATTCCAGGAACAAAGAAGGAAAAAGAGAAAGTAATACTTAGCAGTGCATCCACCAGTTCAGGAAATATTAGCTTCGATAGTTCTGCTTTCTGGGTCATGCAGCCAGCTGCAAGGAAATATGGGCTCATTGCTCCCAACAATTGGGTTCCATGAGTAAAAAAGAATGGGAAATGGTTATTGGATAATATTATAGAACCAGCCATGAATGCATTTCAAATAAAAGATGAAAGGCTGCATTCTTTAACACGAAGGGTTGGGACACTTGGCTAGCCATCTGGGGGAGAGGAGACTATTAGAACTCTACTTCATGTATTATATGAATCTAAATTTCATGTGGATCAAAAAATATTACAACTAAAAACAGAAATGGTACAATTACCAGGATAAATCACAGGTTAGTATCCACGTTATTATACAGCGGGTGATGCCTTTCTATGCCAAATGCTATGAGCAGAATTCATGAAGGGAAGGATCAATAGATCCCATTGTAAAAATGTTGAAAACTTTTTAGCAATAGCTTTTATATTTTATTATTTTATTTTTATTTACAAAAAAAGCCATGAATGAACACAATCCAACCAAAAGCTATTTACTAACAAAAATACATTCATTATATATGAAAAGGAAAATATCCTTAATGTAAGATTTGGTAAGAAAAGAATTCATATAACAAATGGCAAAGATCATCAACACAGTTTGCAAGAGAAAAGAAAATTAACCAACAGATACATGAAAATGTGTTTAATTTCATTATTTAGTAAAGGAATGCAAATTGGCAACAATGAACTGCCATGTTGTACCTATAAAACTCTGATGATACTCAGTGGTTAAGGTGGTCAGGATACAGACCAGGAGAAATGGTGGAACTGCTTGTCGGTGGGCAATATAACAATAGATGTATCAAAATCTTTAAATACCTTAAATGCCACTGCTAATGTTTTATTCTATGAAAATCTTTAGAGATCTGTGAAAAGTTTAGCTATGAAACTTTTATGACCATATTGTATTTGGAATGAAAATTTGGAGAAGCATAAATGTTCACCATAGGAGGTTGGGTAAATAAATTTTGTTATACAATATAACTTTATTTGGTCATTATTAATTAGCCTATGCTGAAATTTTATTGTTATAGAAATATTCTCCTGGTATATTTAATAGAACGTATAGGTTAAAAAAACATTAAAAAGCGATTGACAAACAGAGATTGAGAATAAGACACAGAGAGACATACAGAGAAGATTGAGAAGAATATATATTCAGAAGGATATATAAACATTTATAAATGTGGCTATGTTATGAACACAGGGAGGGGAACAGCACACACTTGGGCCTGTTGGAGGGTGGGGAACAAAGGGAGGGAGAGCATTAGGACAAATAGCTAATGCATGCGGGACTTAAAACCTAGATGACAGGTTGATAGGTGCAGCAAACCACCATGGCACACATACATCTATGTAACAAACCTGCACGTTCGGCACTTGTATCCCGGAACTTAAAGTAAAACAAACAAACAAAAAAAAATGTAGCCATTTAAAGAAAATTTTGGTGTGTTTCATTTTGTGTCTTAAATTATATGTATTTTCTTTACCTTTATACGATGAATATACAATGTTTGTAATAACAACAAAAGGGAACAAAATATATGATCCTAATCATGAATAAAATCACACCAAAATAACAATATTTACCTCTGGGTAAAAGGACTATGGGGTTTTCATTTTTTTTTTTTTTTAGGCTTTTCTGTATTTGCCTTCATGAACAGGTAAAACTTTTGTAATCTGAATTTTAAAATACTATTTTTTAAAAACAGCACCAAGATGCTCTCTGTTGCCCTCATAATAGGGTCTAAAGTTTATTCAAATGTATGTAAGTTCACTCACTATCTGGCCTTTGCTCACCACACCTTCTCTACTATAGTCCAAGACTGGAATGAACTACTCTCAGGTCTCCAAAAACAGCAAAGCCTACTCTCCCACTGGGTACCAGCTCCTGAAGACATGCCCTTCATTGATTTCTCACAACCCCTTCTGCTGGAAAACCCCCTCACCCTGCACCACAGAGCTAGGTGGGCCAGGTACCCCAGGAATACCCACATCATTGTGTGAATCCCAGCCTATTCTATTTTCTGTTTACTTGCCTTTCTCATTCCCTCAACTCTAAGCTCCTGCAGGACAGCACCTAGTGGGTGGTCAACAGGTTTTGCTGTCAATGGAGGCAATAAATGAGAAAGAGCAAGAATGGGACCAGTCTCCCCTGTGCCTTGGATCTCATTTACTTTATCTCATTGAATCCCAACCAAGATCTCATGAAGTAGGTATTATTGCCCCTCTTTCCCAGATAAGGAGACAAAAATCCAAAGAGTTAAGAATCTGGATCACCCTCAACAGCCCCTAACACATAGTCAGTGCTAATAATTATACAACTAAAGACCATGTGTAGTCTGTGGTCATTTCTCTAAAGGCAAAATTAAATGAAGAACCAATCTAATTATCTATATGATTAAAACAAAAAGCACCTTGCTAGGAAAATGAGATAGGGAGTGGAAATAGGAACACGATGTTTATTTTACTTTTTCTTTTTTTGTCCAGAATCCTTTTGGATAGCTACATAGAGTGACTGAATTCATCTGCATTAAAACCCCTTGAGAATTTTTATAGTTTGAACCAAAGCAGGATAATGAAGTGAACCCTTCTAGGCAGGAAGGCAAAAGCAGACTTAAAAGATGATTCCTCTGTGTTACTTGGCCTTTATAGAATGAGCCGTGATGAGCTCCTCGAAAATGCATTATTGATGTGACGTAATAAGGCAAGCTTTCTTTTTCCTTTTCAAATAATGACTTATTTTATATTAATCATGCCATGAAACATTGCCACTAAAGGTTGTTTTTCAGCACAAGTGAATTGTATTTGATTTCATGCTTTGCCTTTTCCATCTATTGCAATAGCTCTCATGTTTTGTCAATGAGGTTTTATTCATATCATTATTTGAATTCTCATTCAGCATGGACTCAATGGAGTCAAGATATTTTTCTTTCCTCAATTATGCCTTTGTTCCCCTATTTTCAGTTTTCTTTGATTTCCAAGTGATTTCTGGTTAATTCATGCTTACCTTCATATTCCATTTATTTTATCTTCTTCTATAAGAAAACTCTTTAATTGTGCTACATTAAAAAAAAGATATGTTTGCAAATAATTAGATATTTAGTTTTTTTAAAGGGCTGCCTATTCCTAATGTCTTGAAAAATATTAAAATCCACAGTCCTGTTCTCTCATTATACATGCAAATTCCAATTGCATGCAAGGTTGTTATTGGAGTACCAGGACAAACAAACTCAAAATCCAAATAAAGGGATTTTATTTAGAATACCAATTAGATGGGGAATATTAATTAGGATTTGATACAAAACTTATGAATCCAAATTACACATAATTAATGTTCTTCCCCAGCTACATTTGGTAATTATTTATTTTCTATTTAGTATTCAGTTGGCATAACTTGTAAATGCATACTCATAAATGCATGTCCATTTTCTTTCTTTCTACAATGGAAAGCCTTCTGCATGCCAGGCACCGTGCTAGATGCAGTCTCAATTTACATGGAGCTTGTGGCTTGTGGTCTAGGAGACAGACAATGAAATCACACTAACGAATATATAATTTCTTTAGGGCACTGACATGAGTGCCCTAAAGAAATGGAGCACAGGCCCAGAAGCTTCTCCAGGCTGGGCCAGCCAGCTGAGACCTCAGGATGAAACAGAGGTAACAAGGGTTTGCCCTCTGCACCTCCACCCTGAGGTTCACTCCCTGCAATTAGGCACATGCTCCCTTAAACCTTTAAACGCAGTATCTGAAAATTCTGTTGGATTCCTGCCCTATCACACGGAGACATTTTCCCTACTAAATGCTTGAGCTGAAAAACTTGCTAGACCTGACCTGGCCTGAATTTTGAAATTCAGTGGCCTGTCCAGTTAGAAAGTCTTCTGCTTCTATTGTTGGCCATAGCTGCCCACCTACTAAGCTTCATTTAAAACGTGTAGTCCATAGTTTTCAGCTGTCCACAGCCAGGGGAGACTGTGGGACAATGGCTGGACAATGTGGAGTGTGGGGCTCCTGTGGAGTCAGGGGCTTCAGTAGCAAGGAACAGGCGCTCCCTGGACAACTCAGTCCTGTTTCATCGTTGTTCACAAATAAATTCCCTTTGCACCCCCAACACATACACACACACACACACACACACACACAGAGAGAGAGAGAGAGAGAGAGATTGAGACTTCACACTAAGATGTGTATCCTTGGTTAGAAACATTAGAAAACAAGTGACAAAGCAAAGTGCTGGAGTCCATCTAGAAAACCTTAAAGCCAGAAAAGGAACTGAGTGAGTAAAAGGAAGAAATGGCCTTTTGGCAAATGCACATGGTGAAGGCAGACCTTACACTTGGGAAAGGCTGACTGGACCCAAGGTTCGGTGAGTTTGTATTTGGTGCTTGATGACTTCACATGGTTCACATGAGGTAAGTATCATCTTATGGAATTACAGAAAAACACAACTCAGAACTTGTCCAAGGTCACCTGGCTTCTAAGTGGTAAAGCCTAAATTCAAACTCACTCATTCAGAGTTCATTTCATATCCTTATTTGGGGAGAAAATGTTAAAATTAAAAACATAATAAAAAATCCAGAGTTCATCCTGTGATGGCTAGAAAGCTCGTGTAGAAGACCCTGGGTGGAGAAGGAAAGGTTCTATGATCTGCTCATAGCAGAGACACCAAGATCAATCAGAACAAATTATCCATCTTTGGAGAGAACCAATTATTTCCAGAGTAAAGAAAAAAGGCCTATATAATATTTTAATTTATTCAGTTCTCCAGTTGATAATCTTCAAGAATCCAGATGGAAGGGTGACACTTTCATGTTTTTTTCTCAATCTGCTCCTTTGTTCTCCCATCCCTTGTCTAATTTTTACCCTAATTTCTGTAATAATATGAGCTACGTGTTTAACAAATATTAGTTTATTATCTTGATTCTTCTGTTTCCTAGATGTTTATTGTGATCAATAAAAGTATAACATCCATTCTGTATTTGTGAAGGGAAATTCGTGGGAATGTGTGGGAAAGAAACATGTAAATAGTCACTAGTTTCCAAGATACTTACATAATAATAAAAAAAAAAGCATTCATTCTTACCACAACACTGCAAGTCTATATTATTCACACCATTTTACATAGAGATAAACAGAGATTTAAAATCAAGGTCCTAAGATCATGTGACCCACAGGGTATTTGCCATGAAGTTACTGCACTGTAATATCTAAGTCTGCTACAATGGGGGAAAGGTGGTAATTAATGACGTTCCTCAGCAGTGTCACAAAATGACACAATTAGGGAATAAATTCTAGATTTGAAGTTAATCTTCTCACTGCTATCACCAGAGGGTGCAGAACGCTGATCCTGCAGGCAAACACAGCCACCTGAACAACCACAAACAGCAGACAGTGGGAGATGGTGCTGGGGGCTGTGGCATTACAAGCCATTCCTGAGGCTACCCAGCAGCAGCTAAGGACTGTGAGAAGGATGAAAAGGCAGGATGGAGATATTGCTTCATAGTGTAAAGGACAAGAACAGAGAGCTGCAGAAAGATGTTGAGTCAGACCTCACCAGGACTAGATCTTGGACACCAGTCACAGAGTGAGCAGAGTCAGGACATTAACAGTAAAAGCCTCTTGCATATTCTTTATAGCTCATCAAATATGACCAGAGTTATTTCATCAGGTGTACATGGTTCTTCTACTGACAACAGAAGAGTAAGGGCTGACTATATGGGCTAGTGCAAAAGTAATTGCGGTTTTTGCCATTAAAGTAGTGGCAAAAACCGCAATTACTTTTGCACCAACCTAATACAAACCTATCATCTTCATAAGGTCCTAAACTAAAGCACCCATGAAGGTGTTGCTTTGTACCTCTCTCTGGGTGCTGAAGTAACAAACATGACAACAGATGACCACCAAGACAGGTACACAAACTGGGTACACAGACTGCAGCTAGTTGCTGGGGCAAGGTTGGAGTGTTCTGCTTAATAGAAGAGGAATTTATTTTAATGGAAAGTGAAAGGAGGAGAAAGGAGCCAGTGGATTCTGTGGGGAAAGAAAAACAAAGTATGGTCTAGGGACCATACTGCCAGAAAGTGACTTTAAAGAACAGAAATGCCCAATTGAAGATTTTAAAGTTATTGTCTGTGGAATGTCTGATGAAAACACCCTCCTCTGCCCACAAAGGACTCTTCAGTAAAGTCTGCATTGTTCCCCAGTGTTTTCCATTAATGGATTCTTAGCAGAGAATCGACCAAGTGCTGAGCTGGGCATCTGGGTTGGTGCTAGGCAAAGACGGCTGCAGGAGCCTGGGGAGATGGGACAGCTGACACAGACAAGGCCTCCCAGTTGGGCATACCATTCACTGTGCTTAGAGTGAAGATTCTGATAGAAGTAGTGGGGAAGAGAAGAAGAAGAAACAAAAAGAGAGGATGAAGGAAAAAAAAAGAAAGAGAAGGAGGAGGGGAGGAAGGAAGCAAGCAGCACAAGGTTGTTTTTGAATGTGCAGAATTCTCTTTCGATGTGCAGAGCTCCAGAATTGAAATCAAGTGTCAAAGCCCTGCATTTTCTACTAAAGTGTAAGCATACAACAAAATCCCCGTTTCTAAAAAGTCAGCCCACTGTATGAACTCAGTCCATGCTGAATTCAGAAAGCAGAGGAAGCTTGAATGGTTCCCATGACACAGTGAAAACACCCAAACTGTCAGAAGGGCTTCACAAGCCTTCCACCAAACAGCTCCAGGCTACTGGTCTAACCTTATGTTCCACTTCCAGCAGCAGCTCTATAGTCTGCAGCATTTCACGCTGTATGCTGTCTCCCTCTGGACGTCCCTGTTGTCTCCCTTCTTCACCTACCTAAGTCTTTTGCATTCTTCAAGTTCCTGCTTGCATTATGCCAGCCCTCCCCACCTATCAGGAGATAGGTGCAATTCCCTTCCCAATCTCCTCACTCTGTATGTCTGTTGTCTAGATCATCTTAAGCCACCTATGCATCCATTTACAGACTCAGCACAGAGAGGGGACCTAATTGGTTCCCAATAAATGTAGATTGCCTTGAAGTTAAAGATGTTGTGTCTCTAACAATATTTGCAGTGAAGCTAAGTAATCTGGCTTAACAAAGTGTTCCCTCTAGAGGTTTCCCCAGGAAGATAAGGAAAATCACATTGCAGTGATCTAACTCAGAATTTGGATGCAGCAAACCTAGCATGGCTGTCTTACAGGTTGCTCCTGTGACAGCTGGTGTCTGATTTAGAAGTTGCCTGCCCAACCAGATATGTGTTTCTGTTAGATCCCATTAGGAGGATGAAATAGTGCCCAACAGACAAAAAGTCCCATTGATCTCGTTTCATTCACCTACACTCATATCTGTGCCTATATGCCAGCCAGATCTAGTGTCACAATAACCAGAGCACCAAGTTTTTGAGGCGAGTCATGGGCTTGGGTGGGCACATTACAGGGGGCTTATTGGATGCTCTGGGAGATATGCATGCCAAGATGCCATTGGGGTTTCTAATTTCTTGGCCTGGGTCCTCATTGCACCAGCAGGAACCACAACTCCAGCGGACACCAGGGGACTGTCTGCGAGGCCCTTGTGTCAAGGCAGCAGATCTGATCTTCTGAACTCCAGGAATGCAGTGCCTGCCTCTTTTTTAATGCCCTAATTGGCACAGAAATTCCATCCTCTCGAGAAGACCACATGAGACAGAAAAGCAGTGTGGTGAACAAAGTGTCCTGAAATTGAAATGCTGCCCGTTTATTCCATGAGAACTTACACCCAAATGGAAATAAACATAACATTACAAAATGGTTTATGTCCTTTTTCTTATTTGCCTTTGCCAACATTATCCTTCAGAGCCACATACTGCCCTTTTTAAAAGACCCCTCTCAGATGGTGTCTGGACACAAACATCACTAACAGAAGAGCAGACACTGCTGAGCAGCATAGCCTGCCCCTGCTTCAGCTGGCTTCTTCCAGCTGGCACCATTTGAATATGAGGGAGGAAAAATGGTAAAGAAAAGAGCTGTATTAGACAGACAGAGAGAGTTAAAGGGAGACAGAGTGAGCCAGAAAAAAAGAGAAAGACAGAGGCAGGAAGGGAAGGAAATAAAGTCTGAGGCATAAACAAAGACAGAAGAATGTACAGACAGACATACAGAGCCTGGCAGAGCAGGCTGATGGACAGACAGACAGACCACCAACGGTGCTCCAAGACACCCTTCACCCAAGCCACTTCCAGGGCTACTCTGGGCTAAAGGGCATCCAAGACCACTTTCCCCAAAATACCACTCCCTCTGCTCCCGATACACTTCCTCCACTCTGTCCTCTCCTAAAACACATCAGTCCTCTATGACTCCAGGTACGCAGAAAGACCCAGCCTAGGATGACAGCAACAAGGAGATACTTCACAGACAGACTGAGTAGGAAATAGACTCAAGGAAAGAGACAAGGGGAAAATGTCCTGGGGAGAAGAAAAGAGAGTGAGAAGGAGGAGACAAGATGATGCTGTGACAAGGTGGGCTGATACGATATGGCTCTGTGTCCACACCCCAATCTCATGTTGAATTGTAATTCTTAATATTGGGGAAGGGACCTGGTGATTGGATCTTGGGGGTGGATTTCCCCCATGCTGTTCTCATGATAGTGAGTGAGTTCTCACAAGATCTGATGGTTTAAAAGTATGTGACATGTCCCCCTCCCTTGCTTGCTCTCTCCTGCTGTCATGTGAAGAAGGTCCTTGCTTCCCCTTTGCCTTCTACCATGATTGTAAGTTTCTTCAGGCCTTCCAGTCATGCTACCTGTTAAGCCTATGGAACTGTGAGTCAATTAAACCTTTTTCTTCATAAATTACCCAGTCTCAGATAATTCTTTATAGCAATGTGAGAATGGACAAATATAGAAAATTGGTACCAGAACTGGTACCCAGAGTGGGGCACTGCTATAAAGACAACTGAAAATGTGGAAGCAACTTTGGAACTGGGTAATGGGCAAAAGTTGGAACAGTTTGAAGGGTTCAGAAAAGATAGGAAGATGTGGGAAAGTTTGGAACTTCCTAGAGACTTATTGAATGGTTTTGACCAAAATGCTGATAGTGATATGGACAATGACGTCCAGGCTGAGGTAGTCTCAGATGGAGATGAGAAACTTATTGATTGAGAACAGGAGTAAAGTTCTCTCTTGCTATGCTTTTTTTTTTTTTTTTTTTTTTTTTTTTTTTTTTTTTTTTTGAGACAGAGTTTTGTTTTTGTTGCCCAGGCTGGAGTGCAATGGTGTGATCTTGGCTCACCACAACCTCCACCTCCTGGGTTCATGCAATTCTCCTGCCTCCGCCTCCCGAGTAGCTGGGATTACAGCCATGCACTACCACACCCGGCTAATTTTGTATTTTTAGTAAAGACAGGGTTTCTCCATGTTGGTCAGGCTGGTCTCGAACTCCTAACCTCAGGTGATCTGCCTGCCTCAGCCTCCCAAAGAGCTGGGATTACAGACTTGAGCCACTGCACCTGGCCATCTCTTGCTATGCTTTAGCAAGGTGATTGGTGGCATTTTACCCCTGCCCTAGAGATCTGTGGAACTTTGAAATTGAGAGAGATGATTTAGGGTATCTGGCAGGAGAAATTTCTAAGCAGCAAAGCATTCAAGAAGTGACCTGGCTGTTTCTAAAAGTGTACACTCATATGCATGAACAAAAAGATTATCTGAAACTGAAACTTACATTTAAAAGTTTGGAAAATTTGTAGCACAGCCATGTGGTAGAAAAGAAAAACCCATTTTCTGAGGACAAATTCATGCCTGCTGCAGAAATGTGCATAAGTAAAGAGAAGCTGAATGTTAATAGCCAGGACAATAAGGAAAATGTCTCCAGGGCTTTCAGATAACTTCATGGCAGCCCCACCCATCACAGGCCTGGAGGCCTAGGAGAGAAAAGTGATTTCATGGGCCAGGCCCAGGGCCCTGCTGCTCTGTCAGCCTCAGGACATGACACCCTGCCTTCCAGCCACTCCAGCTCCAGCTATGGCTAAAAGGGGCCAAGGTGCAGCTGGGGCCATGGCTTCAAAGGGTGCAAGCCCCTAGCCTTGGCAGCTTCCATGTGGTGTCGGGCCTGTGGGTGTGCAGAAGGCAAGAGTTGAAGCTTGGGAGCGCCTGCCCAGAATTCACAGGATGTATGGAAATTCCTGGATGTCCAGGCAGAAATCTGCTGCAGGAGCAGAGCCCTCATGGAGAACCTCTATTAGGGCAGTGTGGAGGAGAAATGTGGGGTTGGAGCCCCCATACAGCGTCCTCACCTGGATACTACCTAGTAGAGCAGTGAGAAGAGGGCCACCATCCTTTAGATGCCAGGATGGTAGATTCACTGACATCTTGCACTGTGCACCTGGAAAAGCCACAGGCACTTAACCCCAACTGTGAGTTTATCAGCTGTGGGGGCTGTACCCTGCAGAGCCACAGTGGCAGAGCTGCCCAAAGCCATGGGAGCCTACCCCTTGCATCTTCATAAATTATGCTGGCAGAGGGCAGAAGCATTGATGAAGTGTTTGTTTTAAATAGCAATTTTTAAAATTCTTGCTACTCTGAACTGTGGCTTCACCAAAGAACCCTATTTAAAATGTGGCAACACTCAGTGGAAATTTGCATGGGAACTTTGGCTGCAAAGCCTGCCTCAGGAAAGCAGCCCTATTTAAAAACTGCTATATGAATGCTACTGTCTTTGTGTTTTCCTGGGTCACTAGCCTAGGAGACCACAGTTGAGAAAATGTAATGTGAGACATTGAGTCAAAGGAAATTATTTTGAAGCTTTAAGATTTAATGACTGCCCTACTGGGCTTTGGACTTGCATGGGGCCTGTAGCACCTATGTTTTGGCCAATTTCTCCCATTTGGAATGGGAGCATTTACCCAATGCCTGTACCTCCATTGTATCTTGGAGGTAACTAACTTGTTTTTTATTTTACAGGCTCACAGGTGGAAAGGACTTGCCTTGTCTCAAATGAGACTTTGGACTTGGACTTTTTGGTTAATGCTGGAATGAATTAAGACTTTGGGGGAATGTTAGGAAAGCATGACTGTGTTTTGAAATGTGAGAAGGACATGAGATTTTGGAAGAGCCAGGTGCCAAATGATATGGTTTGGCTCTGTGTCCTCACCCAAACCTCATGTCAAATTTCAATTCTCAATGTTGGGGGAGGGACCTGGTGGGAGGTGATTGGATAATGGGGGTGGGTTTCCCCCTTGCTGTTCTTGTGATGATGAGTGAGTTCTCACGAAATCTGATGGTTTAAAAGTGTTTAGCACTTCCCCCGTCACTCTCTCTCTTTCTTCTGCTACCATGTGAAGAAGGTCCTTGCCCTTCACCTTCCATCATAATTGTAAGTTTCCTGAGGCCTCCCGGTCATGCTTCCTCTTTAGCCCATGGAACTGTGAGTCAATTAAACCTCTTTTCTTCATAAATTACCCAGTCTCTGGTAGTTCTTTACAGCAGTGTGAGAACAGATTAATACAGGGGCTATCTCCTCCAAAGCCAACTTGAGGGAGTGGGGATGGGTATAGGGCTTCACCTGCACTGGGGTCCAGACATCCCAGGAGGAGGAGTGGGAGCCTTTCTCTGCACACCTTTGTAACTCTGGTGCCAGCTATCTGGAGATCTTTGAGTGATGGTGGCTTATATACACATAAGTCTATAGTACTCGAGTATCATGATATTCTGCAACTCATATGCAAATGGCTCAATAAATAAATAAATATACAAATAAAAAGTTAAAACATATATAGAGAAAGATAAATAAAGTAAATATGGCAAATGTTAATTCTTGACTCTATGTTGTGGAAACACAGGATGTCAGAGGGCTTTCCTTTTAACATTTCAGGATGTTTAAACTTCTCATTTATTATAGGTTGGAATTGTTTTAAAAATAAAATAAGAAGACAAAACAGTGGGTGCAGCTTTGATACGGTTTGGCTCTGTGTCCCCACCTAAATCTCATCTTGCAGCTTCCATAATTCCCACGTGTTGTGGGAAGGACTTGGTGAGAGATGACTGAATCATGGGGGTGGGTCTTTCCCATGCTGTTCTCCTGATAGTGAATGGGTCTCACGAGATCTGATGGTTTTAAAAATGGGAGTTTCTCTGCACAAGCTTGCTCTTTGACTGCTGCCATCCACATAAGATGTGACTTGCTCCTCCTTGCCTTCTGCCATGATTGTGAGGCTTCCCCAGCCACGTGGAACTGTAAGTCCCATTAAACCTCTTTCTTTTGTAAATTGCCCAATCTCGGGTATGTTTATCAGCAGAAAACAGACTAATACAAGCTTCTTTCCCAGACATGATGGAAAATACAGGGTGCACTCCTATTTCTTCCAGGCATTGCTTATGTAGAATCCACTGCATCACTTTCATCCTCCTGCTGAGTCTGCCACATTATTCTCCTCTCACATTTGCTGGTGTTCCCCCTTCTCTTTACTCCACATTGACCCAAAGATGGAACATTGCCCCTTCTTCCTGGATTCTCACAAACCCCACCCCCACAGAGGTTGTGACCAATCACCTTTACTATGGATTTGGAGGCAAAGATTGGGGGCAGGGCTTCTATTACAGAACATCAACAGACAAAATGGAATATTTTGCAATCAAAATTTAACTAATTTTGCCTTTACAGTTTAAAATGAATGATATACTTTACTATCTTATACTTGTAATATTATTTCTAATACAGTGAGAAAACTGAAGGGCAGCCTTGCTGTTTTTAGAGGTCCCCTGGCCAGCCCTAACACAAGAAGGGCCAGATTCAGGTATTTTTATGGGTCATCTCTTCTCAAGACCCAGCTCTGTCATGTCGCTCATCTGGTTCCCTTTCCTCCTTCACCCTCTCACTCCTCTGTCCACAAAAACTCTAAATTCAGCTTGATTTCTTATGCAGAGCCATTCAATTCTCTCTATATTGTGCCCTCTGCTTCCAAATGGTGTGGCTGCTTGTACAGTAGGAGGGGAGCTGCCCCCTACAGAGCCACATATCTATTAATTCATTTGGTTAAGCAGAAAACGATTTGGCCCTAAGAGCAATTATGCTGGCAGAGGGCAGAAGCATTGATGAAGTGTTTGTTTTAAATAGCAATTTTTAAAATTCTTGCTACTCTGAACTGTGGCTTCACCAAAGAACCCTATTTAAAATGTGGCAACACTCAGTGGAAATTTGCATGGGAACTTTGGCTGCAAAGCCTGCCTCAGGAAAGCAGCCTTATTTAAAAAGAACTATATGAACGCTACTGCCTTTGTGTTTTCCTGGGTCACTAGCCTAGGCGACCACAATTGAGAAAATGTAAAGAAGTCTACCCCCAGCTCATTTTCCCAACCTGGTTATCTACCCAACTATCATTTGTATTCTTGACTCAGCCCTCCCGCTGACAGCTCTATTCAGCCACCTTAGCTTCTATTCAGTCTCTTGGACCCAGATCTCAAATCCCCTTTGGGGCCTTTCTTTGTTCATTCCTACTACAGGGTCGAGGACCTGTTCTGGATCTACTCTGTTCCTGGAATCTCTGCTTTCCATGCATTGTCTGCAATGTTTGGCCTCCTGTGAACAGGACTCAATGACCTCTGTCCCTTGCATCACTTTGCCACCCCAAACGTGCACAGCCAGTGTGAAAACCTTCAGGAACAGAATCCTTGCCCTGTCACTTCCTCCACAGTCCCAACTCTCACAGAAGTTTCTTGTCAGAGAGGCAAGTTCCAATTCTTCACTTTGGGGGAAGCCAGTGCTCTCTCTGCCTTGTTTCTGTAAGGTCCTCTGAACAGGCTACACAATGGTTGAGCCATTGTGACTCCTGTGACCCACACATACAGGCCTCCTGCAGTCACAAAGCCTGGAGCAACAAGAGAAGCACTAAAGGAGAAGAAACAGCTAGTTCCTGCCTTAACTGATTAACCAACCTTGCAACAATCCACCAATGTGATATATTCCTGCCCTACCCTAAATAATCAATTGACCCCGTGATATCGTGCATTGTGACCTCCTCCCACCTTGTGACTATGCACCCTGTGACATTCTTCCCCTGCCCAAAAAAACTGCCCCTAACTATAACTTTCCACTACTTACCCCAAACCTATAAAACCAGTTCCCCTCCCACCACCCTTCGCTGACTCCTTTCTCGGACTCAGCCCACTTCCACCCAAGTGAATAAACAGCCTTGTTGCTCACATTTAGCCTGTTCAGGTTGTCTCTTCAATTAGACATGTGCATAACAATTTCTAGAACTTTGGATCATCAGAAAGAACCGTGGAAACACCACTGGTCTAAGACCAACCAGAGCCCTCCTGATTCTGAGCAAGACAACCTTGGAGTCTTTTGTTTGCAATAAACTGCAAACTTCAGAACTATAATAAGAAATAGAGACTTATTCAAGGTTCTCACTCTCCCATGCCCTATTAAAGGAAGTACCAGGAAATATTTAAATAGCACCTGCACCCCTGGATTGAGGCTTCTTCAGCTGCAGAGCCATCTAACTCCAGAGATGCTAGAGCACCGATTAGAGCCACCAAAACTCTGTGAGTCATCAGAACAACTCATACCAGGGCAGGGCACCCGTCTCTGCACTCTTATTATTTCATTCAGGCCAAAAGTTACAGTCATAATCTTGTCTTATCAGATTTGGGACACTCTGGAACAAATGTCATCCTAATTTTGGTAGAAACATAAAAGCAAGTAAGCATGATTTATAAACAAAGGGCTTTCAGCCTAGGATTTGCAAAAGTTCTCCTTCACTTTTATAATTTAGTCTATCTACAGAGGGACATTTAGACCTTATTGAACCTTTCCAAAAATTCTGCAACTAAGAGTCACAGCCTGTTAATCCTATCTGCTTTCTTGGAGTCAGGGGGTCTCTTATAACCACTACATGCCAGCAGGTGCTGTTCTAGGAAAATCTGCCTTCTTTGAGGAGCCTCTTCCCCCATACCGTGCTCTCACATGTACACCCCTGTAGTCTATCTCAGTGACTGGTGACCTCTTCCTCCTGGGCCAGAGTCCTTCCCCCCGGGTGGTATAAATAAAGCTCAGAAGAGACAGCTCTTCCCTCTCCTGAGATAAGATTCGAAAACTTTGAGTTCAGAACCACCAGCTTCCCCTGTGTCACAGGGCAAACCCCAAAATTGGGGTCAGCCCAGGAAGCCAAGTGGGTCCTTAGCTATATGCAGGAAAGAATTCAAGAGCAAGCCAACTGAGTAAAGTGAATACACATTTATTAAGAAAGTAATGCAATAAAAACGTGCCTACTCCATAGGCAAGGCAGCCTTGAGGGCTGCTGGTTGGCTATTTTTATGATTTATTTCTTGATCATACGCTAAACAAAGTGTGGATTATTCATGAGTTTTCCGGGTAATTTATTGGGGGTGGGGATTGGGGTGCCAGGTTGCCATGGCATTTGTAAACCCTCATGGCACTGGTGGGAGTGCCTTTTTGCCTGCTAGTGTGTTATAATTAGCATATAATGAGCAGCAAGGGTAACCAGAGGCCACTTCTGTTGCCTTCTTGGTTTTGGTAGGTTTTGCTCAGCTTCTCTACTGCATCCTGTTTTATTGGAGGGGTCTTGTGTCCTGTGTCTTGGGAAACCAGTGCCGCCAAACTCCTCTCTCTCACCTGTGCCCACTGCATATCCCCAGTTTACCTGCAGGAGGAGAGAATGAACACAACACAAACAAGAGCAGTGGAGGTTGAGTGACCCTGCGGGTGCCCGAGGTTTCGGCATGAGAAGTTCTCAGAAGAGCCCTGGGCACAGCCTTCCCCAGGTTCTGCTTTTAGGTGCTGTTTTTCTATTCTGATGGTGGTGTTGACTTTCTAAACCACCCTGATCATTCCAATAAATCTTTTCATGTTTAGACGGACTCAAGCTGGTTTTCTATTACCTGGAACTCAAAGAATCCTAACTAACAAATGGCCCATAATTTATCTTCATCATTCAAATAATTACTATGTGCCAAGTATTACATCAGACCTTGAGGAAATGTGGATAAATAGGTTGGCCTCTGCCCTTAAGGCATTCAGAATCCAGAGGAAAGAGGCATGGAGTAGCACTCCTTTCCCTGAGTTCCCAGTTCCTGGACTTCCCACCTTGCATGCCAATGAGTTGTGCACGGGACACTCCACCCCACTCTGTCCCCCGGGGGCAGTGGCTGCCCTTTTTGCCCCTTAAATTCCCATTACCTATGGCAATCATAAAGACCCTATGAAGCCTTGTTATGGGAATAAGTGAAATGCAGTAATAACAGTAATGCTGCTTTATGGTTTTCAAAGCGCTTTCAGATAAATCATCTCAAATGTCAAGAATATGCAGTTTCAGGGATCTTTATAGCACAAAATTGACGTTTTCTGGGCATCAGAGCCAAATAAAAACAACATTCAACTTCCTTCCTTTTCTTATCTAATCTTAATTTGGCTTTCTAAATAGGCTTCCTGCCTATGAAAAGAATGGGCTGATGGTGGGGAGCTGGGGAGCAGGAAGGGTGATAAAGGTACCTGGGTAACTTGGTCACATTTTCTGAAAATCAAATGAATTGGTTTCTGCTGAAGAGAAATGTCAGGGCCTCAGGTACCCAAAGGCCTGATCCTCTGTGAAAGAAAATACCATCTCGTGATCCCAGACTCACTACACCAAAGGGAAAGTTAAGCTTGGACAATAGAAGGCCACATACCTCCCCAATGGCCTCCTGCAGAAATTGCTCACAAGGAAATTCCCTGTGAGCCCCTAAATCTTTTAGGACAGCAGTCCCCCAGCCTTTTTGGCACCAGGGACCAGTTTCCTGGAAGACAATTTTTCCACGGATTGGGGCAAGGGGGAGGCATGGTTTTGGGATGAAACTCTTCGCCTCAGATCATCAGTCATTAGTTAGATTCTCATAAGGAGTACATAACCTAGATCCCTCACATGCGCAGTTCACAATAGGGTCCGTGCTCCTATGAGAATCTAATGCCACTGCCGATCGGCCAGGAGGTGAAGCTCAGGCGGTAATGCTCCCTGGCCCACAGCGCACCTCCTGCTGTGTGGCCCGGTTCCTAATAGGCCACCGAATGGCACCCGTCCATGGACTGGTGGCTGGGGACCAACCCCTGCTTTAGTATATATATCACCCCATAAACTAACCCTAAAACCAAATTCTGTTGAATTACTTTCTGACAATGTCAATTGCTTGTTTAATTTCACAGGACAAGGACAAGACCAGAAATCATCCCTCTGTCTACCCTGAGATGAATGTATAACTGGCTTTTCCCTCTATTCCCTCTTTTCACATGTTTGCTTTAGCTTTTTGTTTGTTTGTTTTTGAGACAGGGTCTTGCTCTGTCACCCAGGCTGGAGGACAGTGGTAAAATCATAGTTCACCGCAGCCTTGATCTCCTGAGCTCAAGGGATCCTCCTGCCTCAGCCTCCCAAGTAGCTGAGATTACAGCCATGTACCACTGTGCCTGACTAATTTTTTTTATTTTTTAACACTCAGGGTCTTGCTTTGTTGCCCAGACTGCTCTCAAACTCCTGGGCTTAAGTGATTCTCCCACCTGGGCCTCCTAAAGTGCTGGGATCACAGGTGTGAGCCACTGCACTGGACATTCACTTTATGTTGTGTAAAGTGTACGATTTACTGAGTGGAAGACGATATATAATTGACTTTTTCTCTAGCCCCTCTTTTCACATGTAAACTGTAGATTTACTGAGCCTAATCAGAGCCTCCCAAGAATGTAACCACCTGCCTCCTCTTCCTTTTTTTTCTTTCCTGCTTATTGTTTCCCCTTTACTGATGTTCCCAAAACCACCTTTGGAAAAAGCACAGGTCACAGATGCTCCTGTGACTTGTATTTTTTCCCAGGCACATCCTTAACCTTGGCTAAATAAACCTCTATCTATTGAGATCTGCCTCAGTCACTTTTTGGTTAATAGCCCCAAGAGTGAGCTGGCAACCAAAGTTCAGGGTCTGCAAAGCCAAAGCCTCATTCATTCAACTCATTCAATCCACGAGCTCTATTGCATGCCAATTTATACCAAGCACTATGGTAATGCTCATGACTATACCCACTCTCATCAGGATTTTACCACTGAGTACAGTGGTTCTTGAATTGACCTGTGCCCTGGAATCACCTAGACAGCTTTTAGAAATACTAATCCCTGGATCCCACACCCAGAGACTAATTTATTTAGTCTGAAATCTGATCTGGATAGCAGGAGATTTTAAATGTCCCCAGGCAACTCTAATGTGTGGCCCAGGTTGAGGCCACTGGTCTCGAAGAGGAAGATGAAAAAGCAGAGAATCACCAGAAAGGGTCTAAGCACCTGATGCAATGAAATCATGTGGGGCCCTCACAGCCCAGGCTCAGGATCCTCTGAGAGGCTCAGGAGCCCAGAGAAGGAACACCTCAGATGAGACCTGCCAGGTCATGCCGAATGGCCAGGTGAGGATATTGGGAAGACGGGAGAAGAAGAGTGTTCTGGGCAAACAGAACAGCCAGTAAATGCCAGAAGAAAGTGCCCTGAAGGGAGAGAGAGCCTGGTGCATTGGTAAACAGAAAATGTCCCTACAGCAAAGGAGAGGCAGGAAGTGATAAATTGAGCTTGGAGAGGTGAGTAAAGATCAAAACACAAAAACTGAAGTTTTGAGATGCAATTCTGAAGACAGTGAGGAGGCATTAGAAGGTCTGCAGCAGGAGAATGAAAATGACCAGATGTGGGTAGACAGACCACTCACCGTCTTTCTCTCACACTCTTGGAGAATGACTAAGAATGACTCTTAGGCTCAAGCCTGTAAGCAGAAAACAGCATGGAAACAGCATGGTTAACGCAGATAGGTGATTGTGTTAATGACGTATCATTTTACTTTTTAAAATCTTGTTTGTATCTAGTCATTGGGTTTGATATATTTATAACCTTCTTTTTCTCCCTAGGAGATCAAAGCAGCTGCATCATCTCATTAACCTTCACTCAGCATTCCTGGAGGAGATTGCCAGGTAAATTATATTAGAGAAAATTTGAAACACTTAAAGTTCGAAACATTTGCCAAAAACTCAGTGTGATAAGCTGAGAAAACGCCAAGTTCTGGGGCTGCTTTTTTCCCTGATTCTTAGGGTCCGATTTATCTGCATGATGACATTGTTAAGAAGAACAGGTCAGCTTGGAGCATCTCTGCAGAACAGGGCAGTGCCGAGCTTCAGGCTAACCTGCACTTAGAGAAAAATCAGAGGGAAACAAAATTGCTTTTTGCTCAAGGAAACTAACAATTTCAGTTCCTGGGAAAATAGTCAGTTCATGAACTGAGCTATGAGAGAAATGATTGCATTGGCTCCCAGAGGAAACAGGATCTTGCCAACTCTCCCACTGCTAATAAAAATTTTAGACTATTTTACATTTGCTCTCATAAGGGAGAGACTAGATATTGCTTATCTAAAGCTAAAACACTTTGAATTTGATTTGACCTGGTAGATTTTTGCTAACTCAGCAACTACACATTGAAACTGGCCCATTTATTCTGTTTTGAATCAGTCAACTGTGTTTCCCAACATACTGCCAACTCTTGTATGCCCAGAACTGATTTTCTGCTGCTCTTTCCTTAAGTTACCTCTTACCTGCTCACTTGAAAAAGGATGTTTAAATTTGCCTTTCAGTTCCAGTGCTGAGCTCAGCCCACTGCCAGAGATCAGACAAAAATGTCAGAGCATGGATTACACCAGTGCTTCTCAAACTATAAGGTACTCCCAAATTACCTAGGGATCTTGTTAAAATGCACACTGGTAGGCCTGAGGATGGCCCCGGATTCTGCATGTCTAAGGAACTCCCAGGTAATGCCAGTGTTGCTGGTTCCAGGGCCATACAGTGTCTACTGGTTCTGAAGCTCTGAGACGATCGTTCCTCTTAAAACTCTCTCCCGCTCACCCTGCTTCAATTTTCATTATCACGGAATCATCTGAGTCTTAAAGACCTTTTGCCCTTCCAGTGTCTCCTTTAAAAAAACATACTCCCTGGAGGATTAATACTTGATGCTCTCTCTCAGCTAACGGTATCAGGGATTAAGTTTCAGCTAGTTGAAATCCAGACCAAAATGCAGTAAGTCAGGACTGTGGATGCTGAAGAGAAAAAGGCAGCAAAGAACACAGAAAGGACCTAGTGGTGACTTTATCCTCCCCAGTGAAAGAGAAACAAAACATGAAGCCACTCAGAGGAGTTTCAAACCACAGGACGTCACCGGGAATGCGTGCAGAGCTATAGCCTTGGCAATAAATCCCACTTCGGCCCCAGGATTGGAGGCAAATTAGGTCGCATTTTACATCTGTTTCCTAACCTGTAAAATGGAGAGGACAATACACACCCCATTGTACCTCAAGTTATGGTGAGAATTAAAAACGAGACATTTAATCCTAGATACTGCCAAGCACCTAGTATGGTAGTTCTAATCATTACTCAAAATATAGTCAAAATGTAATTAACAACGCCTGTACAACTTACAAAATCAGATTAGCTGGAGTGTGGGGGTGAAGGGAATACAGTTTATCACACAGTCCTCCAACCCCTTCTCTGTTATTTGCCTTTTTGTATCTTGGGTCCCATGATAGTTTTCCTCTGCTCCTTTCCTCAACATTTGATTCTAATTTACTTGTAGCGTTTTCCCCTAGGGAAATGTCCTATTCAAGAATAAGAAAAGCATCAGGAGTTACCATGAATTCCTACTGGGATACCTTGCTTAATTAGAAGACACCACTGTAAATCCATTACTTCCCTTGCCCTTTACTAGCTGACCTTGGACAAATAATTTTCTCATACTTTTTTTTCCTCTGTAAAATGGAAACAACAGCAGCTATCTCATAGGGTCATTGTAGAGGCTTCGACAGAATATTGTATATGGCCCCTTGAATATTGTAAATTGGAGTCTTCTGCCTCAGAATCCCCCCATCAATGTCCCTTTGCTCAATTGCATCAAATAGGCATTATCCTTGGGAGTAAACAGACCAAGCTAACAATGAATTCTAGCCTTATTTCTTCTTTTTCTTTTTCAAACTTGAAATGCTCACTCCTATTTTCTCAACTTTTCTCCAAATTGTAGCAGCCCAAAGAACTGTTATTGGAAAAGCTGTATCAAATATAATGTTTTTGAGCTGTTCTTTTTTAACAACAGGTCTAAATGGGAGAATTTCAAATTTCTAAGGAAGTCAGCATTTTAGCCACTCAGAGTTGGATGGGAATGGCTCTCAAGAAATGGAGGCATATAAAAAAGAATGAGATCCTGTCATTTACGACAACTTAGATGGAACTGGAGAACATGATGTTAAGTGAAATAAGCTAAGCACAGAAAGATAAATGTCACATGTTCTCACTCATGGGCAGGAGCTAAGAGAAAAACATAAGTTGAATTCATAAAGAGTAGAATGATGGTTACCAGAGGCTGAGAAAGATAGCAGAGAGGGGAAGACAAGGTGGGGAATGTTAATGGGTACAAAAATACAGTTAAGACGGAATGAATAAGGTCTGGTATTCAGTAGCACAATAGGGCAACTATAGTTAACAATAACTTATTATATATTGTAAAATAACTAAAAAAGTAGATAATATGGTTTGGCTGTGTCCCCACCCAAATCTCATCTTGAATTATAGCTCCCATAATCCCTATGCCTCATGGGAGGGACCTGGTGGGATGTAACTGAATCACGAGGGCAGGTTTTTCCTGTGCTCTTCTCATGACAGTGAATAATTCTCACAAGTTCTGATGGTTTTATAAAAGGACAGTTCCCCTGCACACATTCTCTTGCCTGCCACCATGTAATACATGACTTTGCTCTTCCTTCGCCTTCCGCCACAACTGTGAGGCCTTGCCAGCCATGTGGAACTGTGAATCAATTAAACCTCTTTCTTTTATAAATTACCCAGTATCAGGTATGTCTTTATTAGCAGCATGAGAACAGACTAATAGAGTGAAATTGGAATCTTCCTAACACAAAGAAATGGTAAACACTTGTAGTGATGGACATTTCAATTACCCTGATTTGATCATTACACATTGTATGACTGTATCAAAACATCACATGTACCCCATAAATATATACAACCATTATATGCCCATAATAATTAAAAATAAAATGTAAATGATTAAAAGAATTTCTTAATTTATTTATATATATTACTTTTATAATGTATAAAAGTAATAATTACAATAATTGTTAAAAATAAATGGAGGTGTTAGGAACAATACTCTGGCAGGATCACAATGAGGTCTGGAGAGGAGCTCTTTCTTTCCCCTTTGGAACTCAAATCACCCCAATCCAATAATCAAAAGCAAAATTGCCAACATATGTTTTGTTTTCCATCACATGATGTTCAATTTGGGCCATGATAATATTTCTAAAATCCCATTTAATAGAAATTTTGTTTTATATGAGCTAACAGATGGATCCTGAAAGCTATGGAACAGAGTGGCTGTACAGTATGTCATAAGTCACACTGGTAGGGTGACAGGCTCCAGGTTTCTATGTGGCTTGGGAAGCTATTAAAAAATATGAAGAAAATCAGTTCAATATTAGGTGTTTTTAAAGTCAAAAAAATCCTGATTTGGAAATCTACAGGCTGTTCATCTTATTTTTTTTTTGACATGGGAAATGAAATGTTAAAATACCACTTGAATAGACAACCACCTTTCAATTATCTCATCCTCCATGGGCCCCAGTTTCCTTATCTATGAAATGAGGCTCGTTTTGGGTCAGAAGTGGCAGAGATTTCATTTTGTGTGCTATCCCTAACCCATGACAGCAGCTACTGAGGCCTGGACTGAGAGGTCTGAAGCTCTGTATCAGTCACGGTTCTCCAGTGAAACAGAACCAATAGAACGTGTGTGTGTGTGTGTGTGTGTGTGTGTGTGTGTGTGTGTGTGTGTGTGTGTGTGTGATTTCTTATAACGTATTGATTACAGAGTCTGAGAAGTCCCAGGATCTGCTATTTGCACTCTGGAAACCCAGGAATTCCAGTGCTGTGTTTTCTGGAAACCCAGGAATTCCAGCACTGTGTTTTGAAGGCCTGAGAGGTGGAGAGCCAATAGTGTAGATTTCAGTCTGAGTTCGAAGGCCTGAGAACTAGGAGCAGGCGGTAGACTGATGTACAACTCAAGCAGTCAGACAGAGAGAGGGTGAATCCAACCTTCCTTCACCCTCTTGTTCTATCCATGCCCTCAATGAACTGGATGAGGCCCACCCACACTGGGAAGTCTGCTTTCCCCAGCATACCAATTCCAATGCTCATCAGACATCTGGGCATCCTGTGGCCCCATCAAGTTGACACAAAATTAACCATCATAGATAGGCTCTGTCTGAACTGGTGTCACAGTAGATAATTAGTATCTGTTAGGAGTCTAGGGCAGAGTCAGTTAGAGTTGTGTCAATCATTTGTAACACATGTGAATTAGATGGTCACTGATGTCCTTTGCTTTCTCCGTAGGTATTGAGTCTGATTTGCCTACCACAAGATGAAGGGCACACGTGGAGGGGGAGAAGCAGAAGATCAGATTGGAAAGCCCGAGAGTCATCTGGAGGTGCCCTAAGAGTGTAGCTTTGGATAACAGACATCCTGAAAGCTGGCTTGCCTGCCACTGAACACCACATGCAAATTCAAGCCCAGTGAATATGTGTGGTCTCAACTGAAACCAAAAAAAAAAGTTTTTTAAAAACCAATACAGATTTAGGCCCTCACAATTCTCTCAGCAACTGTAATGGGTTGAATGGTGGTCCCCAACATTATGTCCATTTCCTAACCCCTGGAACCTGTGACTGTGACCTTCTTTCAAAAAAAGGGTCCTTGCAGAAGTAATGAAGAGATCAGATCATTCTGGGTTACCCAGGTGGGCACTGAATTTAATGACGAGTACCTTTGTAACAGACAGAAGAGGAGAAGACACATGAGGAGGAGGAGGGACTGTGGCCACTGAGGCACACTGGAGCCATGCATCCAGGGAAGCCGAGGCATGCTGACATGCACTAGAAGCTGTCAGAGGCAAGGGAGGGTTCTACCCTAGAGCATTAGGAGGGAGTGAGACCCTGCCAATAATCTCATCTTTCAATTCTGGCCTTCATAACTGTTTTAAGCCATCAAGATGGAGGTAACTTTTATGGCTGCTGGAGGAAACTAACACAGCAGCCTACAAAGGCAGCAGAGCAGCTCAAGCTTGGCCACAGGAGGAGTCAGGCCTTGTGCATAGGACATGGGCTCAGATCCCTACCACCCTTCCCAACTCCCCTGCTCTGCAGATCCCCTCCTTACACAGGATCCCCCAAGTAATCAGCACCCCCTGCCTGCCTTCCTTTGGGCCTTGCCCCTCATCTGCGCCATCTCCGCCCTCAGACAGCCTCACCCAGGCTGCTCCTTGGGCCTACCTTGACCTCGGCCAAGTTCTCTAGTCCAATTCAGCTGCCAGGCTAGTCATTAATCATAATTCTATTTGCGCAGGATGCACATGGCCATGTCGGAGAGTCTGCCAAGCTATGCTCCTTCTCCTTTATTACCCAAGTGACAACTTGCAACTGCACACACAACCCTGCCAGCACTTGGCAGCTGAGGAATGGAGCAGGAGAGGCAGGGAGCACGCCAGCAAGTAAGTGCCCTGGAATAATGTCCGACAAAGAACCTTTCCTCTTCACACCGCAGGGTGAATTTGGAATTTGGTTAACAATCATTTATTGTATGTGGTCCAACGCTGGAAGAGAGGATTTTGAATGTTCCCAACACAAAGAAAGGATCGATGTTTGAGCTGATGGATACGCTAATTACCTATTTGATCACTAAACATCATATGCATGTATGGAAATACTCTGTACCCCATAAGTATGTATAATTATTAGGTGTCAACTAAACATATAAAAAAAGAAACTTTCCTCTCCCAACTTGCAACAGATAATGCACAAAAGGGGTCATTTCTTAAATGTCATCTTTATAGCCTCTGAATTTCAATCCACAGGAAGAGCATTCACAGTAACAACAAGTGGTAGAAACCATTCACATCTTCAGACGCTGTTGCCCCTATCCTATCTTGTTCTAATGATGTATACTGCTTGCACACACCAAGGAAATCTAAAATTCATCATATAGCCAACCATATCCCCTACCTTGAAACTGGTACATTCCACCTCCACTTCTCATTTCATCCACAGCCATTTCTTTACATTGAGACCTCACCTGGAAAAATAGAACCAGCTGTCTTGTAAGCTGGGTCTTCCCCCACTGTCACAGAACATGGCAAGGGACTAAGATGTCATCTGGCTCCTGTGTTATGATGAGAAATGTGAGGGAAAAAAACTAGGCCAAAAATTCTGCTTGCTAGGTATTATGAAACAATACTGTATATTACTAGAGTCTACTCTTGGCCATGTGTGTCAAGAGTAGTGATGTAGACCAATACTTAAAATCTGGGAGACACCAGTTTTTTGTTATAAGAAAGAGATAATTAGAGCTTCCTTGCATAATTAGAGTGGGACTCAACATACCAAGTCTAGGGCTCACACATAGCAAGTCCTCAGTGAATATCAGCCACTGGCATTCCTGTTGCTGTTATTGGGATTGCTGTTAAAACCACCCTCCGCAAAGATATGTAATGGTTTGTTTCCCTCCATCTCCTACCTGCCCTCCACTATTCCCACTTGCCTCCACGTTTGTTCATCCAATGATGAAGGGAGGGATCAAGATGATAGAAGAAATGAAAGCAGAAACTTGGTTCCTGCTGGATCAGAGAAAGGGCCTTAGCCATTCAAAGACTAAAAGGTGCATTTGTCTATCAACCACTTTGCTTAACTCTGTTCTATATTCTGCACGCAGAGTCATTATGAGACACTTCTGCTTCAGAAAGCACAGCAGCCTAAATGGCACTTGATTTTGTCTCCAAAACCACCAGCCTACATATAAAATATGCATCACCCCAAGAAACCATCTTGCTTTGTGAATAATTGGACACATGACTACAGAATGACACCGTCCAGACAGCCCATGCTGCCCTAATCCCTTCCCTGTAACTGGGAAGGTGCTGCCAGTTTTCTTGGGCCAAGCACAGAGGAAGTGTTTCCGTTTCTGTTCCCTCCAGCCTTGATGTTTGTCCACCGAAAGCCAAGCCTTGTCCTACCTAGGGTCCTGGCTCCGCGCAGTGCATTAAGGAAACCATGGTGCCTCCCACTGTTCCCCCTTCAACCCTAAGCTTTGTCCCCTTATCTCAGCACCTGGATCCTCCCTTCAGCTCCCCCACTCCTCTCCTGACCTCTCCATGCAGCCATACCCTTCTGTTACCTGCACGAACCTAGCCCACAGCACCAAAAAAAAAAAAAAAAAAAAAAAAAGCAGGTTGCTAACCTTGTGTATGACGTCCTTAGACAAACTTCAACCCTCCTGATTGGTCCATCAATTTCCCTTCATGCTATGGTAGTGGTAACCAGATCCTGGGTAGTATGCCTGATCAGCTGGGCAATGCTTCCACTTTCACTGCAATTTCATCACTCCAGTCAAAGTCGTCACTCATCACCTTGATGTCAGCCAATCTCTTAGAAATGCGTCTGATGAACTAATCACACATGCACATAAGTGGCTGAGAAAGCAAGGTTTTCCCCTGGGGACTGGTAGCAACTGGGGTAGGCATTCCCCTCCTTCTAAGGGCCATTCCTTGGGATCTGCTGTTGGCCAAAACATTGGGACCACAACCTTTGTACACTCCTAAAAATGAATTATTTTAACTCAGATCAGCCACTTGGTATATTTGTTGGCTAGGGCTGCCATAACGAAGTATCACAAACTGGGTGGCTCAAACAACAAGAATGTATTTTCTCCCAGGCCCTGGAAGCTAGAAGTCTGCAATCAAGGTCTCAGCAGAGTGGATTCTTTCTGAGGGTTCTGAGGGACAATCTGTTCCATGCCCCCTCCCGGAGATTCTGGTAGCCTCAGGCATTCCTTGACTTGTAGATGTCTACAATGTGAAGACTGTCTTCACATTGTCTCCCTCTGTGCATGTCTGTCTCTGTGTCCAAATTTTCCTTTTAGGTAAGGATATCAGTCATATTGGATGAGGGCCACTGTAATGGCCTCATTCTAATTTAATCATCAGCAAAGGCCTTATTTCCAAAAAGGTCCCATTCACAGGTCCCAGGAGTGAGGACTCCAATATCGTTTGGGGAGACAAAATTCACCCCTAATACTTGGGTATAGCATATTCTTATTTGGGTCAAGGATGCATTCCTCAAGACCCCCACAGAATTTAAAATTTTCATAATACAAAATTAATTTTTCTAAAGTTAAAACAATTGTGGAGGGACTACAATCTCAAAATGTATTTAATCAATTAATTAGTTTATTTACTTATTTATTTATTTTTGAGACGGAGTCTCGCTCTGTCGCCTAGGCTGGAGTGCAATGGCGTGATCTTGGCTCACTGCAACCTCCACCTCCCAGGTTCAAGCGATTCTCCTGCCTCAGCCTCTCGAGTAGCTGGGATTACAGGTGCCTGCCACTACATCCAGCTAATTTTTGAATTTTTAGTAAAGACAGAGTTTCATCACGTTGCCCAGGCTGGTCTGGAACTCCTGACCTCAAGTGATCGGCCCACCTCAGCCTCCCAAAGTGCCGAGATTACAGGCATAAGCCACCATGCCCGGCCTCAAAATGTATTTAATCCACAAATATGTAGCATGTTTGCTTTTTAATATTTCTTTATTTTCTCAATATTTTCTCTAAAGTTTCCCTTTGGGGACTCAAATTTACATAACCTCTACCACAAAGTGACTGATTTTTCAGCACAAGTCCAGGCAATATGGCTTAATGACAACTTAGATGATATTATGTGATTCAAAAAGTTTTAATTTTTAAGTAGCAATGAATATTAAAATAACAGTACAAAAATAACCAAAATCCCTTGCAGAAATTCTAGTGCATATAAACATGAGAGTGATCCACAGCCACCAACAATGGAAGCCACATGTTTCCATTAACCAGCTGAAGCAGCACTGTCATCTGGCAACGGCATGAACACAGCAGACAATTCCAGTGGAGGCCCTGCTTCGAAATTGCGTAAATGATTTACACTTTTTTTAATCTGGAGAATTACTGGGGTTTTTTCAAATTTACAGTGTGAACACAGCAGACAATTCCGATGGGTCCCCTGCTTTGAAATTGTGTAAATTATTTACACTTTTTCTAATTCGGAGAATTATTGAGTTTTTTTCAAATGTGCATAGCCAATCGAGACTTCGTTAATATTTTTAGGTCCCACTATTTCAAATTCATATCGTTCAAAATTGCATTCAGTGCCCCTGCGCTGTGTAACTAGCACTTTTCCTTCAGGAGGAAGAATCACAAGGCAGAACTACCCAGAGGAAGCGAGGCGGCGCAGATGGCGGCTACATGTGTGGTTACAGAGGCCAGTCATGTATAGATGAGGATAGAAATGGGTTTTAGATATTTCTCTGATCCTTGGTCTTTATGTTGTTTATTATCTGGCCCTCTCTACCTAGCTCTGAAGGCTGACACAAGAAATACTACTTTTATTGCATGTTCTTTTGTCCTCCCCTTCTCCTGGCTACCAAAATAGGCCTGTCATCTCTTGATACAAAAGCTCAGTTCCTAAAGCAAAATGACCTAAAGGCAACACGAGGGAGGCAGTAAATACTCAGCAATGTGGTGTCGTGGTTGACCGTGAACCAAAAGTCCTGAGACTTGGCTTTCAGTCTTGGCTCTGCCACCAACCGGTTATACTTCCTGGAATAATTTGTTTAACTTCTCTGGGTTCCTACTCCTCCATAGTAAATGGCTTGTACATTTTTGCTAAATTGATGGAATGCCAAAGGCAACACACCATTGAGAATTGCTCAGCAATTCTCTCACAGAGAGAAGTATGGGTGATGTGATGAGGATCTCTGTCACAAGTCTTCTCATCTCCTCCCCACTAAACCCATGGTTTTCCTGAGTTTCCCAAGTAGTGCTGAGGCCTCACATGCCCAGAAGAGCAAGTAGGGCTGTTCCCACCAGTTTTGCCAGCTGTCTCATCCTCAAAGGCCTCACACAGCTCAGCTACCCCAGCTTTATAGTGTATGTTCACCCCAACCCCAGCAGGGAAGCAAAGGCTACCTTGGATGCGTTGCACTGACCCTGACACCTTGACAGGGCAGCAGGTCTTGGACAGGCCCATCCTTGGGCTTCTGGATAGAAGGGCCCTAAATAGATACAGTATCTTCTGAACTAAAACACGTGATTTGCTTCACAAGAGACTGGTGAGTTTTGAAAGTAAAATAATCTAAAAAATATAAAAATCAAATCACATTTAGCAAAGCCTCTAATTAATTGCCCTAATCAAAAGGGAACAAAATTGCATTAGATTCATCTACCTAAGAAAATCCATAATGGGGCATATGGTTACACATTTCCCCCTGATTAGTGAGCAACAGGAATGCTCTCCTCCCTAACCCAAACCATCTCTACTGTTATTTCCACAGATGAGCCCCATTTCTTTTTTCCAAAATCCTTCCCTCTCTCTATAAAGGAAGACATTCCTCTTCAGCCTTGTGAAAAAATAAACAAAGGGGAGAACACATCTTGTCCTAGCCTTTGGAATGTCAATATAAAAACATGTTCCACTCTTGGAGCAAAGGCTTGTTCTTTTCAGCCTATCTTCAGCAAGGGTGCTCCACAAAAGGGTCTGGAGTTTTACCTTTTGGTTCCATGCTCAACATCTGAATGGGTTTGTTTATGTTTGATTGCTGTTTGGGTTTTTGTTTTTGTTTTTTTTTTTAGCTTGTGAGTGTAAGAGTAGAGAGAGAAAGGTATTAAATATTTAACTCTTGCCTGCTCCCAACAATACTGACAGAAACTGATGTCAATAAACTGACGTGAAAAATGAGCTGGGATTTTAACATGTGTGAACCAGGTATCCCTTAGATCTGATGTGAAAATTGAAGACAGGAAGGTGAAGTCAGTAAAACAGGGCCTTGCCTTTGCAAGGTACAGTGAGAGCAAATAACTTGGAGAAATAAAAAGGTCTCCTAGGCATGAGCACCATTCTTCCCGTTTTCTTATGGAAATATTGCCCAGGAGAGAATTGATGAAGAGGTCAGAATACATAGTTATTTTAGAGCCATTTGGCAATTTTGTCTGTACTCAACCAAAAGGTCATTAGAATTGCAAACAGCTAATGTTGCATGCCAACTTGTTTGCAGGAGAAACCAATTATCACAAACAAAAGCCTCTTGTCTCAGATTGGTTTACTCCGACTGCTTTTAGAAAAAAGAAAAAAGCAGATGATCCTCCTGCTCTGATTTTAACGGGCCTCCGCCCGACCCTTCTGGCAACAGAGACCTTAGGATCTTAAGCCAAATGGGCACCTACGAAGCAAAGCACTGCCACCTCCCTGGGATCTGGCCTCCTGCACTCCCAACCTCTTGAACCCAATCAGTGCTTACGGGGAACTAAGTCTCTTCTAAGTTGTTTTCTTTATTTAAAACAAATAAATGACAGTGTTTGAAAATAACCAAGAGCTGCAGCACTAACTCTCAAGGTGAACTTGGCTGACTGAAGTGCACTTGTAGACTCCATGACCTGCTTGCTAGAGTGACTGTTTACAGTCATTAGGAGACTCTGAAGAATTGAAGGTCTTTCTGTGGATTTCTTGTTTTTTTGAATAATTAAAAATAGAGTTTTTTTTTTTAAGGGTATCATTTATAAACCATTTGGCTATCTTATGCTTCTTAATTTGCATATTTAAAACTTCTATGTAGTTGATCAATGTAGTACAGGCATTAATGATTGATAGTAATAAGGAACCATAAAGTTTAGAATGTGTTCATTTAGAGAGGCAGCACAGCACAGTGCTTAACGCACAGACTCTGGAGCCAGAATGCATTTGAACACTGGCTGTGTGACCTTGGACAAGTGATTTAACCTCTCTGAGCCTGTTTCCTCATCTGTAACATGGGCACGATCATCATTCATACATGATGTCCTTAAATCATTTACAAATAATGCCCTTTAAAAAACACCTTTTTATTTCCTCACATGAGCTATAAAGACTATAACAGTGCTGTACAGCTAATAGCTCATAGTATTTATAATTTTTCTGAGGCATAAATTTGAATCACGTGTTCCGTGAGAATGGCATGAAATAGCCTATCACCTGGTTTGAGAAACTGTCTGTTGCAGGTTAGGAAGGGAAGGATGAATAAATTAATAATGTTGCTGAATAGTTGATGGTCTTCACGAGAAAAGGAAAAAAAAAATAGATTCCTATCTAGAGACATACACAAAAATCTATTGTAGACATAAATAAAGACTTAAATGCAAAGAACAAAACTTTAAATCTTTTGGAAGAAAACAAAAGAATACCATTATGGCTTCAGGAAAGGAAAGAATGTCTTTAAAAAGACAAAATAAGGCTGGGCATGGTGGCTCACACCTGTAATCCCAACACTTTGGGAGGCCACAGCTGGCAGATTGCTTAATCCCAGGAGTTTCAGACCAGCCTGGGCAACATGGTGAAATCCTGTCTCTACGAAAAATTAGGCAGGTGTGGTGACATGCACCTGTAGTCCTTGTTACCCAGGAGGCTAAGGCAGGAGGATCCCCCAAGCCCAGGAGGTCAAGACTGCAGTGAGCCATAATTGTACCACTGCACTTCAGCCTGGGTGACAGAGTGAGACCCTGCCTCCAAAAAAAAAAACAAAAAACAAAACAAAACAAAAAAAACCACTCTGGCAGGGGGAACTATTTTTAAAAGCTATAATATATTTAAAAACATTAAAATTAAGACCTGCTCACCAAGACATCATAAAAAGTTGAAAAGATAGGCACAACCTGGGAGAATATATTTGTAAAACATTTAACTGACAAAAGATTAATATCCAGAGTAAAAGAATGTCTATGAATTGATAAGAAAAAAGCAAACAACCTAATAAAAAAAATGAGCAAAACACCTGAATAGGTATTTCACAGAAGAGGAGACAGGAAAGGCCATCAAATATATGAAAATATGCTGAATGTCATAGACAAGGCAATGCAAGTTAAAATCACAGCGAAATACCATCCCACAACCACCAACTTGATGAAATAACAAGCATCGCATAAGGATAGAAAGCAATGATCAGGAACTCAGGCACTACAGGTACACAGGTGCAACCACTTTGTAAAACAATTAGGGATTGCGGAGTAGAATTCAAAATGCTCTAATTTACAATCCAAAAAGTCCATTTCTAAGAGTGGATCTCAAACTTTGCTGTATATCACAGTTACCTGGTATGTTTTTTACAAATCCTGATCCCTAGGCTGTACCCATACAATTAAAAAAGAATCTCTGGCATAAGACCCATACATCAGTATTGTTTAAAACATCCAGATGATTCCAAGGTGAGCCAAGCTTTCTAGCCAGCAGCACCCTCTGGGCTGTAGCTTTTGACTGCTCTTCAGTACTGGCTGAAGTGGAGGAGACCCAGAATTAGCAAGACACCCAGTAGGCTGGGAGCCCCTTGAACAAAATCCCATTCATGCTTCCCATCCACAACACCCTACGAGTAAGAAAGACATCCTCTCCAACTTGGATATTTACCTCTTGTGCCACACAAACAAGGAAGTCCTCCAGCAGCCCTTTGGTCCAAGACACAGCTAGGTTTTCCTCCCTAAATACCAGTGGGGTAGCTCCTCTCAAAGTGTACAAACTGAGAAGTCTCATTTTTGGGTTCTAGGGCTGGTTGCTGGGAGGTCAGACAGGATACTGGAAGATGTAGCATTAGTCAGAGGTCTAAATTGAATGGTTCCAGCAGTTTGTAGCAGAAGGTCTCTTTTACGACATCCATTTAGCAGCAGGGTGACTACTCTAGCCATGCAAGCCTACTCAGCAAATCAGAGCTTCCTCATTATTTTGTAACAGTTGATATAAAAATGTTTGATTGAATTTAAAATTGAGTTGCGTTAGCAAGGTATTTTCAATGTAACGCTTGTCAATGAAAAAACAGAGCTTTTTGACTCATTATCATTTTTGAATTGTTATTAAATGATTTTAAAATTTTTATTACCTACCTTGACAGCAATGGTTTTCATCAGTGGTGACTATCAAGAATTTAAAGACATCATCATTTTAAATCTTGACCAGAAATTGCATGTAACCATTTCATGCATAAAGCCTGACTTAAAAAAAAAATTATGTTCAAGGAGGAAAGCTTAAGTTTCTCTTTTTAAAAATGTTGAAAGCTTCCATGCGGAAATTTTATACAAATTCATTTTTTAATACAATTATGTAATATAAAAAAATTCTTTTTTCACCAAGACCCATGGAGATGCCTCCAAACACCCTCCAGTTTACCCCTGTGTGTTGAACAAATGCTGTCATTTTCTATGTCTGTCATGATGGGTCAGGAAGTATGGCCGTAAAAAGAAACTTTTCATGAAACACATGCAAAAACATTTATAGAAGCCTTGTTTGTAACAGCAAAATACACTAGAAACCACCCCCAAATTCATCACAATGGAATGGATAAACGGTGGTGTGCTTATTCAATGGAGTAGAATGCAGCAGGGGAAACAGTGAACTACAGGGACAGGTTAACATGGAGGAATCTCAAAAGCTCGTATTAGGCAAAGGAAAAAAAAAGCAAGTCACTAAAGAAAACTACACAAAGTTCAAAAAATAGGCAAAACAAATGACACATTTTTAAAAGAGGGGATTGATGATATTTTCAGGAGAAAATAAAGTCCCTAAATATAGCCACTCTAGCAATGCCCCTCACACAATCCAATCTCCACTGTACCTCACCCACATTGGCCCATGGATTCACTGCCTCTTCAGGCTACACCCAGAAAAAAGATGCTCTGCCATGTCCCCAACTCATCTGGAGTTCCCTTCCCCAGATCTAGGGCTCGGCTGAGGGATAAAGAAGACCCCTTCACTTCTCAGGTATCCACTGGGGTCTAAGGTTTTGCGTCCTTGAGTATCCTACCAACAAATCAGATTTGATTTCGTGTACTAGAAGCAAATCAAGCTCTCCCATCATCTTGAATTTTTCCTCACTCTTTAAAAACCCAAGAAAACTCTTTTTCTGTCAAAAATCTTGGCTCCGGCTCTATTACCAGAAGTGTTCATAACAGTGGCGTCTATTCAGACACTGGACTGACTAATTCTGAGCCCGCCATCTCCCACAGCAGTGGGCAACTCAATAAGAGGAAGGCCAAGGCAACAATATGTTAGGAAACATCTGCTGTTTCCTTGAAATTTTATCTCACCACAGCAGAATTCATGGCACCACAGGAGCTTAGAGAACGGCTTTACAAATTTAGATAATGCTTTATTTACCTAATCCTTCGGGAAATCTGCAGAGATATTTTTTTTTCTCCATAACAGATGTTCACTACCTGCAACTCCCACGCTGTTTAATTTAACAATGCTTGATGGAAATATTTTTATCACATATTATATACTTTCCTAATTTATTCGATATATCATCCAGAAGACAATGACTGTATTTGCAAAAGAAGGTCACCTCATTAAAAATATTAATTATTGGCCAGGCAGGGTGGCTCACACCTGTAATGCCAGCATTTTGGGAGGCTGAGGTGGGTGGATCACGAGATCAAGAGTTCAAGACCATACTGGCCAACATGGTGAAACCCCGTGTCTACTAAAAATACAAAAAATTAGCTGATTAGCCGGATGTGGTGGCGCAGGCCTGTAGTCCCAGCTATTCAGGAGGCTGAGGCAGGAGAATTGCTTGAACCCGGAAGGCGGAGGTTGCAGTGAGTTGAGATCACACCAATGCACCCCAGCCTGTCAACAGAGCGAGATTCCATCTCAAAAAAAAAGAATATCAATTATTATCTTATGCTACCCAGTAGCTCTGGAAACTATCACGGGTTAGGAAAATGGGCAGGAAACCTTGGCTTTCACTCACCCTGGCTGGTCTGTTCTTCTGTGTCCTTCCTTACATCAGCCATAGCTCATGGCTGCTAGCTTGTGGTCAGCAGTAGATCTTCTGTTTACAACAAGGTGTCCATGCTTCTCCAGGTGTGATCCTTGGGCCTGCAGCATCAGCATCGCCTAGGACCTTTAAGAAATGTAGACTCTTTGACCATCCCCAGACCCACTGCATGTGGATTAACATTCTTTGGCACAGAATAATTCCTAGCATAAGGTGAGCTAGGATACTTGTCCCTTGCCGTAACTCTGAACTGATATTGAGGCAGGAACTCAGTGAGGAAAAAAGAAAGTGGTAGGACAAAAAACAGTCTGAGACACAGGTGTTTTTCTTTTTTTATAGATGGGGCCTCACTGTGCTACCCAGGTTAGTGTACAATGGTGAGATCTTACCTGACTATGGGCTCGAACTCCTGGGTTCAACTGATCCTTCCACCTCAGCCTTTCAAGTAGCTACAACTAGAGGTGTACACCATCACACCCAGCTAATTTTTTTAATTTTTTGTAGAGTTGGGGGTCTCACTATGTTGCCAAGGCTAGTCCCGAACTTCTGGCCTCAAGTAATTTGCCTGCCCCGGCCTCCCAGATTGCTGGGATTACAGGTGTGAACCACCATGCCTGGCCCTGAGACACTTTTATGTCTCTAAATCTCATCAGCCCTGTTGCTACAGGAAATCATTACAATCACAATTACAAGAATGCACACAAACTTTGTCCTGCACAACCCCCAGATTATACTTTTGTTACTTTTTATCCTCTAAACATCCCCTGGTATTTATTCTGAATTAATTTCACTTGAATTACAACTTTCCCTGTGTTAGTAAAATGAGCATTGACTAGAGTGGGAGGGGCAAACAATGAAATCTACTTTGGGCTCCCCTGACCCCTGTACAGATTGTATCACGTGTTATGAAGCTGGACTGCCTGGGTTCGAGTCCTGGCTCTGCCTGTGTCACTGAATGACACTGTACAAGTTATTTCAACTCTCTGTTCCTCAGTTTCCTTATTTGTAATATATGACAATGATCTTAATTGCACCTGTGTCTCAAGGTGAGCTTAACAATCATATAAATTTATGTATATATGTACACATATATATATATATATATATATATGTAGTACCTAGAACCAAGGCTGGTAGCATTGGCAAATGCTCAATAGATCATCACTCTATCACTATTATTATCTTTTATTAGAAATAATTATATTTTTGTTATTATACTGATTATCTAAACCCAGACAGGAGGCCTTGAACCACTCATATTTGTTTCTTAACTCATTTGTTTTTAGCTATGAGACCTTGAGTAAATGTATTCACCATCTCTGAGCCTCAGTTTCCTCATCAGTAAAAAGAGGATAAAAATAGTACTTACCTCACAGTTGGCTAAGAGTAAAATGAGAAAAGTTTCTGTAAAAGTACCTAGACCTGGCACATATGGGCCTTAAGCAAATGTTAGCTGCCTTCTCTCCTTTGCCATGAAAGCAAATAGTCAATACAACTAAATAAGATGTGTTATTTTACATGTAATTCACATTCAAGGTGCCAGTTACGTGTATCTTCTACTCACCGTGCAGGGCGCAGCTGAAATGCCCCCTGCAGTGATGTCTCCCCATTCTCCCTGGGGGCCCCATAACTCTATCCTGACTTCTCCTAAAGTACTTGCCTTACCGGGTCATAACGTGTCTTGCATGTGCATCTCCCAACTATGCTGTGCACTTCTTGGGGGCAGGTATCAGATTTTATTTATATCTATGTCTTTAGTACCCCAGGCAGGGCCTGACAAAGAGCCAATAGTAAATACTTGTTGCATGGGTGGGTGGATGAATTGGTAGGTGTTGGGGAGCAAGGGTGGATGAATGAACACCTAGGGTAGCTCCCTGGCCCATTCTGCCATGGAAAGATTTAGAGACCTGGGGCAGCTATTTTCTAAAACACAGTAAGTTGAATTGCATCTTACTGGGTAAACAGGGCATTACTCCATTACATTGTGAATAACAAACCCTTTCCTCCTAGGTACATATACAGTCAGAAAACACAAACAAGTTCTTAGAATTTAGGTAGCCTCAATTCCATATCTGAGGAGTGTGTATATATTAGGGTTGTTTGAAGTTTATGCAAACCCTTTAGGATGGCATCCTAAGACCTCTCTGATCTTGCACCAGCCTTTCTCCCCGTCTTGTTTCTCCTGTCCCTTCACTACCTCCTGAGAACAGAGCAGTCCATGAACACTTTCCAGATGCCCCCTCATAGACAATTACCCCTTCTCTGCATTTCCTCAGAACACTGCACTATTTTTGTCTCTGCAATATTATTTATCCATTTTATAGCTGAGGAAACTGAGGATTAGAGAGATTAAGTAATTTGCCCAAAATCACACAGCTAGCAAGTAGAAGAACCAGGATTTGAACCTAGACTAACTGCAGAGCAAATGCTCTTGAACATTGTGCAAATAAAAGGGATGTTAACTTACTTTTGCAGTTATCTCAATATTACTCTGAAAATAAGTACTGATATGCTAGATTAGCACAAAGCATTAAGAAAAGTGATGAGTAATTGCCACAAATCGTAACTCATGGTTATTCCATGATTACTCCAATCTCTTTTTGAGGTTATTCCCATAGGAGCACGATATATACAAATACATATATACAGAGATAGGTATATAGATATATAGATATGGATAGATATAGACGATATATCTATCTATAGATATAGACGATATATCTATCTATAGATATAGACGATATATCTATCTATAGATATAGACGATATATCTATCTATAGATATAGACGATATATCTATCTATAGATATAGACGATATATCTATCTATAGATATAGACGATATATCTATCTATAGATATACATATAGAGATATAGAGAGTGTCAGTTTCAAATTTATAATCTATGTTACACCAGGCACAGAGTAAAGGGTAAAGTTCAAAGCAGGGTCAAATGAACAGAAATAATTACTCTTGCATTGGCTCTTTTTCCCACTTACTATTGCAGGAATTACAACTCCCTGCCAAGCCTCCCTGAGTCTGTTAATTTTATGGAATCCCTTGGGATATCATGGATATAAGACTGTGCTGGCAACAAACATGTGGCATTGAGCTTCTCTTCGCCTGTGTGGTTGGCACCTTGGATAAGGCTTGCTAAGGCCGCCTCAGCTGTCACTGGTGTGGCAGTGCTATATTTTCCCCAATTTACCATCTGACGGTCCAACTATAAGGCAAGAGAATGCTTGTCTTCTTTTACAGTTCCCTTAGGACGCTAAACTCCAAAGTCATTTTAGATTGCCCCGTGTCCTTAGGGTGTAGCAAAACCAGTTCCTTTTGTTTCTACCTAGAGACCGAACAACTGGGCAGCTGACCAGTGCCCAGTATGGACCTTGAACCCCATCCTCCAGGGCCCCACCTTCTCCAGCATACACTGTCCTCCCAGTGCTTCAGGAACCAGACTCAAGGTTTGAATTTGACTTTGAAGCCTCCTGGATTTTGGTGTGCCCTGTAAATTGCTTAGGGTAATAACACCACCTTGCACTTTTATAGTTCTCTTCCAAATAAACAGTGCCTCCTTGTACTTTATCTTATTAATGTTTGTCACCAGTTGTGGAGATAGGCAAAGCTATCACTAACTGCCTCCGATTTGTAGATGAAGAAACATGGACAGGCATTAGGAAATACAGGGGAAAAAAATAAAAAAACATGATACCTAAAGAAAGGCCAGATTCTGTCTTTGTTTAGTATAGGTAGAGAAACCTAAGTAGCCGCTCAAATCATGGTTCTCAATTTCAATTACACAAAAGTCTCTTACCCAGTAGCTTGATTGAGACCAGATGTTCCTTTTCTATGTTTAGGACAAAATGTGAAGAAATGTTTTCAAACACTGTATTCCTGAGGCCTTAGAGTCGGTATGTGGAAGAAGGCTATGATGACACAATGGAATGAGATTACTGAGGGAAGTTTCAGGCCATGTTTAAAATAAAGATAGATTTTAATCTCTCTGGAATTGCTTGAGGACTTTCATAGACGGAAATAAATGATATGACTACAGGTGCTCCCCCACAATCTCGTGATTTGGGGTTTTTGTGTGTCATCTACAATTCTCAGTGTGACCAAAAGGAATCTGGAGAAACATTTTCCCAAGAAGGTTCTGTTCTTAAATGAGGAGTAGGTAGCTTATTTGATCACATAACTTTAGGAAATTCTCAGTTAAGCACAATTAAACAGGTTTTGTTTTTTTGTGTTTGTTTCTGCAATATTCCTTAAGTTTTTGCCTTTAAGCAATTTGAATTTCTATGAAAAAGAAACAGCATTCTCTATTTCCTTAACTATTTTCCACAACATTATTTTTCCAACAGCATTTTGAAGGATGGAATTTCACAAAATACATTTGAAAAACACTGGCCTCAACCCAATGTATAGGTATTATTTGTAGGAAAAACATTTTGCTCCTGTGCCTAAATTATTTCCAAACTTATCAATGTTATAGATTTACTGCATTTGTACTTTTGAAATGTTAACACTATGAATTGTAATCTTTGTTTAAAATATTACTTATTAAAATGATTGTTTTTGTAAAAAAAAAAAAAAGAAGCAGAAATAGAATATTTAAACAAGAGTTGAGAATAATTCTATCAGGTATTTGAGGTGCTTCAACAATTTTCCTGAAAATTTTATTGTGTAACAAAATGCAAAATCTCTTCTTCACCCCATAAGGAAAGGAAAGAAAGAGATGAGTATAAGTGAGCCAATGGGTTCCCAAAAGGCCTCTTGGAGTTCATGAAAAAGGTTAGAGACCCAGAACAGAAAGCAAGGGATGTGAAAAGAGCTGCATTGAACTGTAAGGGTGATGGGTTTCATCCAGGGTGGCCTCAGTTTTCAAAATCCCTAATTTCTCTACTCTGGCCTTTTTACCCATGGTCTTCCAAGACACACCTCTGTCCTCAGCCATGCTTCCTTTTGGATCTGTCAAGGACTGAAGCATATCCTCTCCTAGGCAAAACCTTGTGAAGGAGTGGCAGAGAATCTGCCCTTGGGTTTGCTGCAGCAGACCACACAGGAGTTCAATTAGTCCTGATGTTCAAGCTCAAATTCCAACTATCAGCCTTCATGGCTGCCTGTTAGGACAGCCTGAATTGACTAAAGCCATAAAGATCCAATCAGGTACACTAGATAATTAAAAGAAAACTTAATGCAGTAAAATTCCCCATAAGCTTCCTTAAAGAAATATATTTCTGGGACACCTTTTGCCCCATCAGTTGTTCCTCACTCCGCTGGCTTCTACGTTTCCAGGAGAAGCTTCTCTTCCAGCTGCCTTTGAGCATCTCGTAGAATGATGACTATCAACAGGAGAGACACTGCCTAACATCAACCACAGAAAGGCTCCCAAGGGGATAAGGAACACAGGCAGAGAACTGTATTTTCTTGATGTCTCTGCTCCTATGCAAAAAGAGGCTGTTGGAGAGAGGATTTAACTCCACCTAACAAAATTGCCATAACATCATTGTAAATGACTTCCCAGTGGCTACTGCTCAATGCACATCACCCACCACCACCCACAGCACCCACAGCCCAAATCCTAACACTTGGCAGCAATCGTTTGTCTTACACATATTATCTTATTTTCACAAGAAACTGGAGCTGCCAAAAGGCCCTGTGAACAAACACAGCCTGGCAGATGCCATGACAGGCCCGGAGTACAAGGCCCTGGAAAGGGGACTGGCAAGCTGACATGCCTCCCCACATCCCAGCAGGCAGAAAGAAGGTGACAGACACAAACTGAGCTGCATGTTAATGTCTCCAAAGTTCAGAGAACAGAACACAGGAGACACAGAAGGAGAAATTAATATGGAAGAGTTTCAAAGTGAAGCAAAACATTTGTCACTACTTCAGCCACTGAGTAGATTTTCAGATTATTTAAAAGCAAAGGCAGCCTTATAAACAAAGTACAACTATATAAAATACATTTTTAACTAGAAAGAACAATCCAGGGATATTTTAAATGCCTCATATAATGGAAATATTTGTTTTTAAATAGGAGGAAGGAAAATGGTTCACTGGAGTCTTTTGAATGAAGGACCGGGAAAGCATATTTTCACAGTAAGTGGTACCATCTTGCCCATGGACCCACCAGTTTCCAGGGGTCCTTCAGGGAGGAAATCACCCCAGGCCCAGTGCCACTCTTTGGTTATGTCCTCTAAGCTGCCACCTTGCCAAAAGAAGCTGTTCAAAATACAGGACTTTTCACGTCCTCCCCTTACTTAAACATAACAGTGGCTCCTTTCTTGCCCTCGAAGTACAATCTAAAATCATCAGCACGGCCTACCAGTCCCTGCATGACTGCCTGCTGCCTGCCCCTCTGTCCTCAGGCATCACCCACATTCTCCCTATTCCATTACTCATTCTCAGGCTTTCTTCATCCCCCAACCTTACACATGCTGGTTTTTCTTCTCCTCTACTGAGTCAATTATGAGCCATTCTTCAAGATCCCGGCCACATTTATTCTTCTCAGTGCTTCCCTCATACCTCTAGGCAGCATTCCTTTCTCCCTTGTCTACAACCCAGAATACTCTGTGCATCCCTCTGTCACAAGGTTATTTGGTATTGTGATGAGCTGTTAGAATGTTGGGGTCATGTTGGGATGGTAGGCTCAGGAGGCAGGTACTTTTCTTATTTCTCTTTGAATCTCTTTGATACCCTCTAAGCCAACATATCATCTGTTGGTCTAGAAAGATCTTTCTCTATTAAAATATGGAGAAACAAATAAACAAATTAAAAACATGAGGTGATTCATAAAATATCCTGATGCTTATGGAAAAGGTACTGCTTTCTGAAAACTTAGAAGATCATATTTCTAAAAATGGCTTTCAACAACAAAAGAGGAAGGAAGGAAGGAAGGAGGGGGAAAGAGGAAGGAGGGAAGATAAGGAAGGAGGGAAGGAGAGAGAATGAAAAGCCAGGGAAGGAGGAAGAAAGGAAGACAAAAAGGAAGGAAGAAAAAATTTAGCATATATTGGCTTGGTGTCTTCAAAATGACACGGAGGGTATGATCTTAAAAAAACAGGACCAGAGAACCATAAAGACAGAAGAGGTCAAGACAAAAGAAGAGATGTAATAGGAACTTCTGGAACTGAAAAAAAGGTAAAGAATTACAAAAGGCAAAAGCAAAACCAAGACTGAATTAGGGCAATAAAAAGTGATTTCTCATCATTCAGCCACACTTTCCACCCAGCACATCAGGTCCTGGCTTCTTCTTCCTACCCTATCTCTGCTACAGGAGTCCCAGCAGGTCTCCTGACTTAGTTCTCCCTAGTATGACATCTACAATTTCCAGTCCCTACAGTCTAGAAGTTTCTCAGCTGAGGGAGTGGGCAACAAGAAGGGCATGTAATCATCTTTCTTAGGCAGGTAACTTGTTGGATCTTGGTGACTGGATGCCCAAAAGCCAAAGAAAGTAAGCCATCAAAATAAGAGAAAAGAAAACTAGAAAATAACAAAAACAGTAAAAATAAAAATATAGGCGAGAATTTATTTTCCTCATAAAATATTCATTTTTCTTGTTTAAAGATTAAAAAATACATATGCTATGACAAACATTACAAAATTTGGAAAATACTCTATAACAAATATGAAAATGATGAAGAAAAGTATCCCCAAATTATCACTGCTGACATTCTAATCTATATATTTGAAATAACTTTCCATGCTAATACATAAAAAACTACATATCAATCATACACTCATACACATACCCTACACATCACTTTAAATCCCTGTTGCATGTATTCTATGAGAATAAATAAATCTAGATTCTCTAAGAGAGCATCTAAAATGATAAAGGTGTATTACTTTCTCAGACCACAGACCATTGTTATTATCAATAAGAGTCTGCCTGTCACTCCAGAGCCCCTTCCAGGTTGTGATACTAGGCATTCGGAGGCAATATCTTCAACATGTCTTCCAAGTTTGGAAAAGGGAAGAACAGAGGTCAACGTGTGCTTCTGTAAGCCAGGCCTCCAAGAGATTGCATCACTTTTGCTCATATTCCATTGACTCTATATCAGTCACAGAGTCCTACATAATTGAAAAGGGATTAGGATATAAAACTTAGCTTTGTGCCCAAAATAACAGGAAACATACAGGTATTAGTAAGCATTAGCAATCTTTGAGATGTGTGGTAGTTTTAAAATATGTACACAAAATCTCTGGTGGAATCTAATTCCCCTCCCCCTGAGAGTGGGCTCAAATTCGAACATGACTCAGTACTAATGAAGAGAGTATGGTGAAAGTGACTCTGTGTGCCTTCTGAGAACTGGTCAGGAAAGGCACTGCACCTTCCTCTTTGCTCACTCTCTCTTCTTTCTTGAAACACTAAAGGAATGCCAGCTGCTGTGCCATGAAGATACTCAAACAGCCCTATAGGGAAGTTGAGTGTGATGTGGAATTTAAAATCTCTACAGGCCAGGCATGGTGGCTCACGCCTGTAATCCCAGCACTTTGGGAGGCTGAGGTGGGTGGATCACGAGGTCAGGAGTTCGAGACCATCCTGACCACATGGTGAAACCCCATCTCTACTAAAAAAAAAAATACAGAAATTAGCCGTGAGTGGTGGCACACACCTATAATCCCACCTACTTGGGAGGCTGAGGCAGGGGAATTGCTTGAACTCAGGAGGCAGAGGTTGCAGTGAGCGGAGATAGCATCACTGCCCTCCAGCCTGGGCAACAGAGTGAGACTCCTTCTCAAAAAAAAAACAAACAAACAAACAAAAAAACCTCTGCCAATAGTCAGCAACAAACTGAGACAGACTGCCTGCCAACAGCCATGTAAGAGGGCTAGCTTGAAAATGTATCTTCCAGCCCCAGTTGAACCTTCAGATGACCACAGCACCTTTAGATGACCATAGTCCCAGTCAACATCATGACTGCAACCTCATGAGTGATCCAAGCCAGAAACATCCAGCCAAGCTGCTCTTGGATTCTGACACACAAAAACTGTGTAAAATAATAAATATGTATTGTTTTAAGCCATTAGGTTTTGGGGTAATTTGTTATGCAGCAATAGATAATCAATGTAACAGAACACATACAGCACAAGCCTAGGTAAATATCACCTTATTGCTAACTGGGGCTTTGGGCCCAGATCCCAATGTGGAAACCATAATGGAGTCTCTATAACTGTCTTGCTTAAACTCAGTAGCCACGGGAGTTAGAGGCAAAGCCAGCAGAGGCACTTACTTACACATTTCCTTTACATACAGACTCATACCCTAGCCTTCTAATTACTGGCTTTCGAATGGCCAGGCTAGACCAGACTAAAGAAAAACAGACCAAGGAAAAGCAAGGAAGAGAAGGGGAATCTGACTCTGACCAACAAGCCCCTGGAGGTAGGAGGAGGGCAAATAGAAAGCTTGCAGGGGAGGCAGCTTCTCACCCCTTTTAGGAAAGAAGTTCTAGAAGAAAGGAAAGAAAATTTGCAGAGAGAGAAAAGCAAAAAGAAAAACTTTCCATTCTGACCTAGAATCTAAGCCTCCTTTCCTTGTTTCTCAAAATTCTCCACCTGCAAGTGCCTGGACTCATTAAATATCTGTGTACTCAGATCCATTCACATTAGGCTTCCTCTGACCTGGATGCGGTAGGTTAATGCAAAGAGGCATTATTTTTCCTGTGCTTCTTCCCTGGAGGCTAAATGGTGTTATTTCCTGGTCTCCTATGGCTATCTTTCTCTACTTTCTGATAATAAAGGCTCTAGCCTGCTTTAATTCTCATTTCTAATAATAGCCTATATTCTCAAGTTCATTTTCACTTAATGTCATACTCTACTCAAGTATGATATAGAGTTACTCAAACAACCAACAAAGTGTTTCCAAATTGAGACCCTGCTAAGCTGGCTTTAATGGACAGAATATTTAGTATATGAATTGTTTATACACAGAGACAAACATTAATTGTGTTGAGTTCATCAAACTCTAAAGTTCTTAAATGATTTGTTCTCTTAATAAATTAAAACCCTCTCTTTTTATTGAATTCTTACTAATTATTTTCATCTCAACAGATAGCTCATAATATGCTCTGGGTGAATTATCAACAAATCCTGAATTAATGTAGCTGAAATTAAAGAAATATTTCACCAGTAATAGCTACTTGGCTATTGTCCAGTAGCCATTTATTCCTTGATTAAAACACTAACTTGCCTGGTGGGTCATTCCTACATGAATAGATAGATAGATAGATAGATAGATAGATAGATAGATAGATAGATAGATAGACAGACAGAGAGGTTAGGGAGGGGGAGAGAAAGAGAGAGAAGGAGATTTGGATGTGCAGAAACAAAAAGAAGAGCTGAAACACATAAGACAAAAAGTCATTGCTGCTTGGCAGAAAACACAACACATTAGGCTTTGAGACATGGTTCTATGCCCTGCTCTGACATTTGTAACTTTTTTGCCCAAAGCAAGTAGTTGGAATCATTTTCCATGTCTGTTTCCATGTCTGTAGTAGGGAACACCACCACCCCTGCCCTGCCAGTAGTGTCAAAATACTTGAATGGAGGTGTCTTAGTCATTTCAGATAGCTAAAATAGAGTATCATAGACTAGGTGACTTCAATAACAAACACTTATTTCTCACAGTTCTGAAGACTGGGAAATCTAAGCTCAAGGTGCCAGCAAATCCAGTGTCTGGTGAGGGTCTTCTTCCTGGTTTGCAGATGACTACCTTCTTACTGTATCTTCATATAGCAAAGAGAGAGAGAGAGATACAGAGAGAGAGAAAGGAGAGAAAGGAAGCAAGTTTTCTTATGCCTTTTCTTATGAGGGCACTAATCCCATTACAAGAGCTCCACCTTTATAACCCAATTACCTCCCAAAGCATCCTATTTCCAAATACTGTCACATTGGGGATTAGGGTTTCAACATATGAATTGTGGGAAGAGGACACAGATATTCAGTCAACAGCATTAAATCTGTATTAGTCAAGGAACAAATAGGAGATGATGATGATGATGATGATAGATAGATGGATGATAGATAGATGATAGATAGATTAGATAGATAGATAGATAGATAGATAGATAGATAGATAGATAGATATAATGAAGAATTGGCTCACACAATTGTGGAGACTGAAAATTCCCACCATCTGCCATCTGCAAGCTGGAGACCCAAGAAAGCCAGTAATGTAGTTGAGTATGACTGCAAAGGTTGAGAACCAACAGAGTTGATGGTGTAAGTCTAAGTCTCAGAGCAGTAGAAGACTGACGTCCCAGCTTAAGTGGTCAGACAGCAGGGGCAAAATCTCTCTTCCTTGGCCTTTAGTTCTATTCAGGCCCTCAACAGATTGGATGATGCCCACCACATGTGCCATCTGCTTTACTTAGTCCAGCAATTCAAATGCTAATCTCAGCCAGAAACACACTCACAGATACACCCAGAAATCACATTTAGCCAAACATCTGGTCACCCCAATGGTCCTTTCAAGTTGACCCCTTGATCCAGTCAAGTTGACACAATAAAATTAACCATCATAGTAGGTGACAGTGTTCTGAGAGAATAATGAAGAGTGTAAGAAATCAGGAAGATAGAGAGAAAATGCTTCACCTGGCTATCACCTTCCATTCCTACCCCTTCACTTCCAAAATTACCTATGCTGCTCTGATGACAGTAGAGAAGGCTTCTCATGGGGATTCCATGGTGCTTCATTCCCTTGAAGCCTCTCTGCCAAACACTGTGGAGAAAGTGCCTGAAAGATGAGCCAGGGGAAGATTTGCATCAACTCTTTTTTTATATCTATTATATGCCAAACATTTTGTCCTTGCCTACTTCAAACCTATACTTCCAGAATGAACCCAAGCTCCCACTGAAATAAAGATAAACTATAAAAGTGACTTTCATATCTCTGAGGACACAATAGCCAAGACCCAAACTGTGATTGGATACCCTACCATGCTTGGCCCCAGACTAAAAGCACCAGTGTAATAAAATCATTCACTCCTCTTTCCTCCTCTCTCCTCAGATGTTGGCCTGATCTTTGCCCTCACTTTACAACTAAGAATTTTAATCATGGCACCCCAAGGCCTTACTCAAAGCCACTGAATTCTCATCATTTTATAAAGCCCACCCTGAGCTGCTGAGACTAACACACAGTTATAGTTTCACCTAGGATGCCCCTACTCCTACCTCCCCTAACACGATTGTCAAACAGAGCATGTTTCCTGCCCATATTTCCCATCATATATTCTGCTCACCTATGACATGGCATTTTGGTCAAAGCGTCATTGAATGAATCAGAAGCTGTGAGAGAGTTTCCACTTCACAAATAGTTTTCAGTGTAGGTGGTACTTTACCTTAGTGGATTTGTCAACTGCTTTTTCAGGCTCAGGAATCATGGCAACCTGTGCAGCACAGAACTCAAGAAAAAGTAGCCAAGAAACCCATTAATGTGACAAAAAAAAACTTCAAATGTGCTTGGACAGAGAGAGGGTAAGACAGATATCTAACACTAATAAAGTGACTTATAGGCACCTGGGCATCCTTAGAGGCCAAGGCCCCAGAAATACTTGTATTGTCATTGCAACTGTTTGTATTGACAAAATTAGTTTTTCATTTGCCAACAAAAAAATGTTCAAAGATGAGCTCTAACTTTTATTAATTCAGTCTGGATTTAGGGGGAGCTGGGGAAGAATTTCAGGAACATGTGGGTTTTTATAACCTCTACACAACTGATGAACATGCTAGTCACTTTAAGATCCTTTTCCACAGGGCCAGAAAGACCTATGCTCTCCAGCTTAGGTCTTCAGTCTCATCAGGAGAACCTCCTAGCCAGTTATGCCCACTGTCTACTCTATGTCTTCACTCAATGCCTTCCCTAACAGTCACCAGAGCTATGTTTATTAGAAGCTTCCCCAAAACTAGGCAGCTTGTAATAGATTTAGGGAGACTGGCTTCTGCCAATGGCTGTCAAGAGTTTATAAATCTTTATTGCCATTGTCACTACTGTCACCATAGACAATGGATTAGGATAAACCAGATCTGTTATCACACTAAATGGTGGACCCAAATAGTTTTGAGAGCCCTAGAAGGGTGAGTATGTCATATTTTAAAGTCAGAAGGAGAGTGAGGCTTTGCTCATTTTCTCATCCTAAGTAAGAACAAGCCCTGGGCTATGGCCCAGATTAATAACACTTAGCTATGGTCAAAGACCTGGCTTTGTGTCCTTGCAACTTTCACCGCCTCTATCCCTCTCTTCAAAATTGTGTGATGTGGATCCTGTTGACGTCTGTAGCAGACACCATGATGTACAGGGGGTCTTCAAAAGTTCATTGGAAAAACATATTATGAAAAAACTATTCATGGATTTCAAAATTTTTTGCACCAAAATAAACTCATAGTAACCTGTTATAAGATGTCTAAACAGGATCTAGTTTGAGGCACTAAGAAGAGCAAGACATCAGTTTGAAAAGAGCCCCACTGGAACAACATGCATTCTGCTAAAATTGAAATAAGAAAAAACATCAAGCTGATAATGAACATTGGGTGGAAGAATAGTGTGGTGTGAGGATGAGCAACAAAGTGGGCTTTGTACACTGCAAGGACAGGAATGAGAGGTGATGCAAGGGAAGGGTTAGCAGATTCCCAAAGGCTCTAACAGCAGAAAATAGATTAAGGAGGATAGAGAATGAGAGAAGAGATAAAATAACCACAACATCATCAAGGTCAGCAGCAGCCCTTGAGGAATGTGCTTGGTGCCGCTGTACACAGGCTAGACCTGAGCTGTCCTGAGGAGGGGTGTGGGTTCAGCACTGTGCCATCTGCCTGTCACTGCTCAGTATTTATTGAGTGCTTTTGAGCTGGAGACAAGGAAGTAAACACAAAAGGCAAAGGCCCTGCCCCCAGAGAGCACATGTACAAGTCGGGGGAAACTGGCAATAAACGCACTTATGTAGTATAGATGTCCGAGAGTAATGAGAGCTGTAAAAATATTACAACAGGGCTGCATTGCTAGAGAGCAGTGTGAGGGCCATCTTAGGTTCGGCAGTGGGGAAGGCTTCTCAGGAAGGTCACATTCCCAGAGTGACAGGAGTGAGAGGCAAAGCATTTCAACGGAGGGAACAGCCAGGACAAAGGTCTCTTGTGCAAGGCTCTCGGGAGCAGCAAGCAGGCTGGCATCTGGGCACAGGGTAAGTTGGGGGAAAGCTGTGGCAGATGATGTCCATCCCTGTCCCTTGAATGAAGACTTTTTTTTAACCCAATAGCATCCAAGCCTGGAAAAATTTAAAGCTCTCCCCAAGTTTTGCAAATTCTTGTGGATCTAGCATTCCCCGTGTCCTGTGGCTTTCAGCCTCTTTGTCCTCCTTTGCTGCATTGGTGTCACCTGGTGACAGCCAAGAATCCACCTACCATAGCTTTCTACAAGGAACTAACCACAACTAGCAGTGTACAGTTATCATATTATCGTATTTATTAAGATTGGGAGGTATGTGTGGAAAGAGGAACGGTATCCAGCCCACATCACTCTGCCTTCTCCCTCACCCTTTCTCCTCCTCTCCTTCTCTTCCTCTCTTCCTCATCCTCTTCCCCGCACCCCACCATGACAATTCTCCTTCCATTACATATTCCCATGCCCTTCCTTTCTCTGACCCTGGAAACTATTTTTGCCTTAAGTAGAAGTCTTCAAAGGTAGATCTCCCTAAGAAGGATTCTAGAACAACTGCTAACAGAATAAAACGTTCTCTATGTCATGACTCCTGCCTGGGCAGGTACGTGGGTAACAGCCCTGAGGCCACAGGACTTGGACAGGAAGAACATCAACTCCCAACCTTCAGGATCGGCTTGCACACAGACCTGCACAACTGTGTGCACATGTCTTCTAAAGAAAAAATTAGGTGGCCAAGCTCGGTAGCTCATACCTGTAATCCCAGCACTTTGGGAGGCCAAGGCGGGCAGATCACCTGAGGTCAGGAGTTCAAGACCAGCCTGGCCAACATGGCAAAACCACATCTCCACTAAAAATACAAAAATTAGCCAGGCATCCTGGTGGGGGCCTGTAATCCCAGCTACTCGGGAGGCTGAGGCAGGGAGAATCGCTTGAACCAGGGAGGCAGAGATCACAGTGAGCCGAGTTGATGCCACTGCACTCCAGCCTGGGCAACAGAGTGAGACTCCATCTCAAAAAAAAGAAAGAAAGAAAAGGAAAGAAAAAAATTAGGTCAGCTATAAATGGAGAGGACCCAAGCACTGTGAAACCTATAGATTTCAGCCAGGTTTCCTAGGGAATGATCTATGTTGCAAAGGTGTGGTAGTGTCCTTGGAACACAGACAGGCATTTAACAGAGCAGGCTCAGCCTGCCTGACCAATAAATATGCACATTACTTTAATGCTGGGCCTGGGGAGGGTGTGTGTTTGGTGGGATGTTTTATTTTTATTTTGTTTTATTTTTCTTTCGTAACCTAGATTTAGTTGTAAGATAGGCAATGGTTTTTGGAAAGTAGATAGGCCCTAGATAATTGTAAACATTCCCTAGCCTATGATATTTTTGCAACGAAGTTTGTTTTCCTTTTTTCTCTATCCTGTCACCCTTTGACTTTGGAGGTGCAGTCGTAATTATAGTAACTACCATCTGATGCTCCCCTGATATATGCCAAGACATTTTCCCTAATCTTTATAAGAACAAAATAGTTAATACTACCATCATTTTACAGATGAGGAAACCGAGGCTCAGAGAAGTTGCTTAAGGCCATGTAACTAAAACAGGGACGTGCTTGAATCCTTCTGAATTGAATTCCCATGGCCTGTCAAAGAGGAAGTCTTTGTCCTTTCTTGAGTACCGGAAAGGAATAGATCACTCTGCAGCTTTTGCAAAAACAACCATAGGACAGTCCTTCCATTGAACTTGTTCCTTGGCAAAACCAGGGTGATTAGGTCACCAGTGTGTGCTGAGTACCTGCCATGTGAGCCTCAGTCCCAGGGTGAGCAGCTCATCAGTGTGTGCTGAGTGCCTGTCGTGTGAGCCTCAGTCCCTAGAAGGAGCGTGCAGTGCAGCAAGAAGGGGCGTGTCCAAGAACTAAGAGATTGGGTCCCACCCTCCAAAGCTTCATGTCTAATGAGCTTTTAATCATGATTCCTCGTGACTTTTTTAAGCTGGCAGAAGAATCCAGGAGCAGGAAAGACAATTTTCACCCCTCACATTTCCTTACACCCTCCTCACCCCATCCTCTGGAGCTCCCATAGAGGGCTAGTTGAATATTACTCTGTCCCAAATCTTCCTCATTTTGCCTTTGTGAGGCTCCAATAAGATAAAGCGTGTGAAAGTGCCTTGTAAACTCTAAATCACTGGAAAAGCACCGTGAGCAATTGTTGTGTGAAGCCCCAGTCAAGGACATCTGTGTTGCTGTTTCAGCATCCTCGCTGGGTGTGGGCCTCAGTTTTAACTATTGTCATTCCCAGCAGCAGCAGAAGCAGCATGAAATGTTTGCTGAACTCTTTATGTTGTGCCAATCTCTACGCCTAGCACTCTCAAATCTAATGCTACCTCATTTAAACAACCCCATGGAGCAGTTATTATCATCTCCATTTTACAGGAGAGGATGTTAGGGATTTTGTCTTTAAATAAGCAGCTTTAGATGAAGGTCAGGTATATTGCTTGCTAGAGTTGAGTATTTGGAATGCTGTGTCAAGTAACTCTTTCTTGGTTTAACTATGCCCTTCAATGAGTTAGAAGAATGAGTAAGGAGAGGTGTCCTTTGGGAAGCCATCAAATGTTTAATAGGGGCCCTTCGACTAAGTTCCCAAACCCTTGAGTCATTGAACAGTCATACAATCCCTAAATTCCCCTCAACATCAGGGGCATGAAAAGTTCCTAAACAGGTTACTCTGAAAGGTCACTGACAGCCAATTCAGGTTCTGGAGGGAAAGAGAACCAGGCTGTGACTTCTGAGGGTATCAGGCCCAGGCTGGGGATTCCAAGGCAAAAGCATCTCAAGTCACCCCTGGTGCATCAGACTCTGCTTGGTCCCTCCCCGGGACTTCTACTCTTTCCCTGTTCTCTGCCCTCACTCCTTTCTCCATCCCCCGTGTCTCTCGCCACAAGTCAATCCAATATTGGAACTTTGCATTAAGAAAAGACGTCAACAATAATAGTAGCGTTAAATTACTGATCCAGGTGATTTTCATGGATTTGGTTGTCAAATCCCCACACATACCCATGAAGCACTGTTATTATATCTTCCAGATGAGAAAACTAAAACGCTTGGAAGAGACTTTGATAAGCCGATGCTGAAAGAGAGAGCTGGGGTGGGAACCCAAGCAGTGGAATACTGCTGCTTTAGAGACTATTTCAGTTATTTTTAAAAGATCATTTTATTCTAGAGAAGCCTAAGCATCTAAGAAGTTCACAGGTGAAAATGTGGCCATCAACGAATATGTCTCCAGAAAGTCAAGTCATTGTTCAGCCTAGAATTGGATTGCGAAGGGAAATAGTGACAGGTCCTCACCCATAACAAGCACTCCCTTAAAAATAAAAGTAAAAATAAGACTTAGGGATGGAACCGAAAGCCAGAGCCCCAACATGTAAGTCCAGACCCACTTTGACAATATAATATAATGAGAGCCACTGTGTGTGATGTGAGCATCTACTGCAGGGAACTGAGCTAGGTCTACAGACCATCTCCTCCATGGAGGCTTCCAACACCCCCGAGAAGGAGGAGCTTGCTAGAGGCCAGTGACAGGGCAAACTGGCTTCTAAGAATTTTTCTGCAGGAGGCCAGATCTTGAGTTCTGAGCCATTTGCTGTGTGTTTCAGAAGTTTAGGATAGAAAGTTGTTTGCAGCTGTTCAGGGGCCATGCTGATGGAGCTAAGGTTGGGAGCTCAGAATCAGGCTAAGTGAACAAAGGATACAGGCTCCAGCCTGGAGGTGGGCCACTCACTAGCAGAGCATAAATAGGTGGGCATCACTTTGCCAGCTTTATGAGGACCCATGCAAACAGACCTCCATCCTGACGAAGACCACTCCAGGTGGACATCTGACCAAAACCAACTAAAGATACCTCTTGGCTTATATAACGAGGTAGTTCACACTACAATTATATAAATTACCTAGTCTTAGTAAACCAGAGTGGAAATATGAGTTATGCCTATAAGTCTAATTTTAAATAAAAATGTTCTCTATAACTTGACTTTGATTCCTGTGAGCCAGTTTATTGTCATATAAACGGATAAGAGTTTACCGTATTCCGAGAAATAATGCCTTGAATATTTTAACACAAGTTTTTTGCTCTAATGGTTTATTCAGCCACTAAGCATTTATTAAGTCACTACAACTCAATCGTAAATGTCATAAGAAAGCATAATATTAAGTGGGCATAAAACTGTTAAATAAACAGCAAAATAAAATCTTGTAGAAGCAGCAGATGGACTCTCTTAAGCCTAGTTGCTGTGTGGGAGGGATGGCTTGACAGTCTAGTGTGGTAAGCAACCCCAGTCAGGTCCTTCAGAGACCAAGGCAGGGAAGTGACTCTTCCAGACAGGAACTTTTTCTCTTCCCACCAAAGTCTGTTAAAACTATCAAACTCTCCCAGCACTGCCGGAACCGACAGTGAGAAGGTCACTCTGTTTGCTGTTGTATTTAAACAGCTAGTAGATTTACAGAATGAGAACATCTCTCCAGGAATTGCACAGACTTGCCAAGAGCAAACAGGAACATCGGCAGCTAGAGCGTTAGAAATGCAGCAGATAGTAAGGACTCTGTGACTTTAAGTGTCAACTCATAACCCCCTCAGGGAGGGCAACCAAAGTACATCAGTCCAGATGCCAGGAGACCCCCCTGGAGGGTCCTGTTGTGAGTGGGACCTAGAGATGAACCAGGTGGCAGCGGGAGGTTCCATGAGCATTTCCCACTACTCCACTAGGCTGGCGAGGAGGTAGCTGCTCAACTGTCCTGGCAATACACCAACATTAATTGGCTTTCTTTTTGTTGCTTGGTTGTTGGCTATACCTGTGCTTAGTAGAAGGAATACAGTGTGGTTTCGGTTTGTTTCAACTAATCCTTTTGCTGATTCTACAAATCACACAGTTTAGAAGCCCCCCAAGCACCTTTCAAGAAGCTTACCTAAATGGAGTAGACCTGAGGGACAATTATTGTCCTAATCCCAGGGTCGCAAGTAGTAAACAGCTACCTTTATGTTATAAGGTTTCAGGCAAAGGGTGGGATAATGGCAGATACTTGGGGCTCAAGGTCTCGGGGGTCAGGCATACTAAAGTTAACTGATAGGTGATCACTGCATGCATGAGATGAACAGTGAGCAAGGGCCGTACTCTTAACCCCTGGAAAATTTCTTAACGTTTTACAAAATGAGAAACTGCACTGGAAGAAACTGGTTCATGAGATAAGGACATGGATCCAGTGAACCTCTGGAGCCCAAAAGGATAGAGTCAAACCAGGCTCCAGCATATGCTAGTTGTAGATCCTTGTGCAATTTACTTCTTTGGTGCTTATTTTGAGTCACAGCAGGTTTGTTTTTTTGTTTTTCTTTTTGTTTTTGTTTTACAGAGTCATGCTCTGCCTCCCAGGCTGGAGTGCAGTGGCTGGATCTTGGGGGCTTACTGCAATCTCCACCTCCTGGGTTCAAGCAATTCTCCTGCTTCAGTGTCCCAAGTAGCTGGGATTACAGGCATGCACCACCACGTTTGGCTAATTTTTTGTATTTTTAGTAGAGATGGGGTTTCACCATGTTGGCCAGGCTGTCCTCGAACTCCTGGCCTCAAGTGATCCACCCACCTCGGCCTCCCAAAGTGCTGGGATTATAGGCGTGAGCCACCGAACCCAGCCAAGTCACAGCATTTTAACAGGGAAGCACATTGCCAGGATTTGCTACACTGCTGCTCTCTCATTTTGTCACTTTGTTCCTGCTAACTCCCTCTCTCCTCCTTCATATGTTTGTCCCAAAACTCTTACATACTCCTTCGTTCATCTCCTCTCATTGTTACCTATATATTCTTATAGTATTTCATTATGAGTTTTAAAAATAAACATTTGATCACAAAATGACAAATACTGTATGATTCCTCTTACGTGAGGTACCTGGAGCATTCAGATTCGTAGAGACAGAAAGCAAACTGGCTAGGGGAAGGGTGGGAAGGGGCAGTTTGTGTTCAATGGATAGAGTTTCACTTTTGCAAGATGAAAAAACATTCTGAAGATGGTTGGTGGTGATGGTTTCCCAATAAGGTGAGTATACTTAATGTCACTGAACTGTATAGTTCAAAATGGCTAAAATGAGGACTTTTAGGTCTATTTTATCCCAATTTTAAAAAACAGAAAACTTACAAAGCAAACCCTTGACTCACTTTCATTATATTTACCTATAAGATTCACCAGAATAGAAATATTTGTCACACCCAGATCACCTCAACACTGTCCTGTAGAAAGAACTGAGGTGGACTGAGGATGCATACAATACCCAGCAGAGGGCAGGAGGGAGTCAAGGTGGCATTTTCCCCTAAATTTTGTATTTGTGATCATTTTTTCTTCCTCTCTTATTTGCTGTCTTAGTTTAATGTTCTCTCTAAAGGTGTAAGTCTTTCCAAGACAGCCATGTTAGAGAACAGAGGATAAATGATTCTCTCACAGAGCATGTCGGTTAAATTATTGCATAATTTAAATCACCACATAAAAACAATTGCTCAGTGGAGCTGGGTTTGTTAGTGGTAATAGAGCTCCAAACTAGGCTTTTTCGCTTTATTCTGGCTGTATATTATTGACCCAGATCATTTTGCAAAGTACTCCACAAATAATTGTATTGATGTTCCCACAAAAGGATACTAAAAACCCTGCTAAGTCTCAGTGGAAACCCTACGGAAATAGTATTGTAAAATTAATGGGATTCAGGTTTTAGGTGTTCTTTCTCCCAGCTGAGCCATGTTGCCAGGACCAAATGCTATAAAAGTGCTGCCATTTGCATCAGCCTTAACTGAGGAAATATCTATTTTTCCCTTGATTTGCTCTTTGCCTTGATTTCCTGGAGCATATTTGCAAGTTATCCTTGATGCACTATAATTATTTTGAGGAGATTGCTTTTTGGTTTAAAAGGATATTGCCATTTTATTATTTTAGAACACCAAGGGAGTCATATTCAAGGAAGAGACCAGCATTTTAATGCTGGGCTTCTCTCTCGAAGGAAACCAAACTCTTCACTGATTGTTTTTTGACTTCTGGTTCAAATAGCCTGGGAGGTACAAGGGTAGCATGTGGATTCGCGTGGAAGGTTTTGTTTAAGGCAATGAGCATTAGCTCTCTTTGCCTTCTCCCAGGGCTGCCACTCGGCATCGAGTTAAAACGGTGACAGCAGCAGCAGCAGCAATATCTGCCCAGACAGTTCTGGTTCTTCCATTTACTCAAACAATTTGGATGCAGATGGCCTTTCTACTTCATGCATTGAATATGATTCAAGTCCCAACCATCCATTATTACTTCACCTGCCTTGAAATGGGAATTGTAAGCACTCTGATAAATTATTTGAAAGACTAATTTCCTCAAATACCCCTTTCTGCTATTAACTTGCAATTTTATAACATTTAAAACGTTCTGAAATTTCTGTGTGCATAGCTCCGAGTGAGTTGACAGCACGTGCCCCCTGCATCAATACTACAAAACATAAGGGGGAAGGAGACACTATATTTCTCTTTCCTGGGCAGTGGAAGAATACTGCTCTCTAAGCCCAGCATGTGTGAACAATGAGTCTTTCCTACAGGAATGGTGGTGGAGCTCATAGGAATGCACACTAGGATAGGCTTCATTCATTTAATTTCTGTCTCCAAAAACACAGCCTTTTCCTTCCTAAGAATCCAGGTAAGGAGAGTGGGGGTAAATAGAGATAGAAAGATAGGAGGTCAAAAAAGAACAACTAAACAACAGAACAGCCCTATGTTGTTTCAGTGTCTGAAAATCCTCTGAGTTGTTGAACCCTGTGTTGTGCATTATGTGACTATCTGTTGCAAGATAGGTGGATGCCCTCTCTAAGCTCCATTACCCTCTGTGCATGGCAATCCATTGATAATAAGCTTCAAGAAAGCCAGCTTTCATGTGGAGCTCACCACATTTAGGAGCTCTGTAAGAGTTACTTTCATAACCCTAAAACCAGAATTTCCATGAGGAGAATCTAAACAAAGTGTACAGACTAAATAAACATCATTTTGAGGAAGGGAAGTCTTCAATATGGAAATCACAGTGACACATATGTTGGCAGGAGTTGCATGCTACAGTTGATTAAGACATAAACAACCTTCCTTGATAGAAAATCCCATACAGAAAGTCGAATCTGGCTGTTGATTATAGATCTCATAACAACAACATGTCTCTGGACTGAGCAATAGAGCTGAGTAAGGCAGAGCAGGGATGTTGTGTTTATCCGGTCCACATGGAGGAGAGGGAGAAAGAACTTGCCTGTGTGGAACTCCATTGTGAAAGGCAGGCACAGCTCTCCAGAGGCAAATTCCACTTGGCTCAGGCTCTCCGCAGGATTTGTTTCCATGGGTCCTGCCTAAATTCATCATAATGGAGACTATGCTCTTCAGCTTCTGATGAGGGGTGTGGAAAAGAATCTATACCTGTGTGGAGCGTTCCCTATGTGCCTTGCACTATCTCTGTTTAATTGAAAACGAAAACAAAGTATGGAAAATTACGTAACAAGCACTGTCTCCAGATCCACACATGTCAACATATTTTTATGCTTGCTTCCGATCTCTTTAAATTTGAATAAAAGACACAAACTATCTCAGTTAAAATTAAAGCTCCCTTTGCTACCTGTCTCTGTCCCATTCTCCTTCCTTCCTCCTGCAGAGAAGCTACCATCCTGAATTTGGTGTGTATCATCTGTTGTGGACACTTTACCATGTCATCTCATTTAGTCCTTCTGACAACTCTTTGAAATGGATATTATGCCCATATTATAGATTAGGAAATTGATATGCAGGGAGGTCAGTATTTGCCCAAGATCACACAGAGAGTAGGTAAAAGAGTCGAAGTTCACAGCCAGCTTTCTCTTATTCAAAACCTGGGACCTTTTCACTGCATCTTACATCCAGAAGAGCTGGTCCTCTTCCTCATGTCACTGAAGACTTCAAAGACTTTTCCCAGCCAAATCATTTCACCTCATTTTATCTTGACTTACGAGCTTTACTTTCTGATTATTTAATGGCAACTCTCTTCTGAACCATTTTCACATTTTTGCCCAGACATGGAAAGCTCAGCACAATCGTGATTGGAGAGGGATAAAATGGGAGAATTGCACATCTTGCTGCATGCATTTGGGCATCCTATCTGTCTTCAAATATGCACAGGTGCATGGCTGCCTCCCTGAGTACCAACAACGCATTCCACGCTCCACTGCTCCTATGCCTTTAGGGAGCTATCTGTAAAGTGGTTTCTTAAACTTCCCCATGAATATTTACACTTTGTTTTATAGCCATAACTCTCTGAAAAGGCTTTAGCAGAAAGGCAGAACGTAAGTAAACTTAGATTCAACAGTGGCTGCAGTACAAACTGAAGAGCCACTTTTGCAAAGCAATTTGGAAGTATATATCAAGTATAGTAAAACTATCCATAACAATTGACTTTAAGAACTACATTCTGAGAATCTGTCCTAAGGAAGTAACCTAAATAGTGGGAAACGCTGCCTTCAAAACCCTTCCCAGTTCTGATATTTATTATAGCAAAAACCTGGACTTAAATTAATGGTCTAACAAATGTGTTAGCTATACTTTAGAAGGGCCCCTTGATTGAATCCTATATTGTCATTATGCTGGTAATTTTGATAAAAAGCCAAGCTCACATCCTCTCTTTGCTAATTCACTGTATTAAATTTGGCAAGCTAGCTAACCATTCTGAATTTCAAGTTTTTCATTTGCAAAATGCAAAATACTGACATCTACTTTAAAGAGTTGAGAAAATTGAGTGAAGAAAATATGAGTGTAGAAAATTGAGTAAGAAAATATGAAACAGCTTATCCCAGTTACTGAAACCGGATAGTGATCAATAAATTATAGTAAATACAATAAATATCTATGAAAAAGATACAGACATATTACAGTCACCAGGGAATATGTCACCAAAAGAGTATAGATTCAGACATACAAAAATGAAAAGAATCTAATTTATGTTATGTATTTCTTCCCACAACAAAAAAGAATAAGAATATGATTGGGGCAATAGCACTAAAATTTTTTTTCCCTATACAGTAAACAATCTTGCTGTAATATTGTTAGGCAGATTTTATAAAATTTTTAAATAAAGTAATATTTTCTAAGCTGTTGCTGTGTAAACTGAGACAAAAGAAAGACTTTTTCAATCCAAGAGAAGGAAGTTCTAGCATTGTCTAGATTCAGAGACTGTTATAATGGTGGAAACAGCCCTGGTCTCGTAGCCCCAAGACCTCTGGTCATGTCATGGGAGCAGCGTTTGGCTGCTGTGTTCTGCCACCCAAGGGACTGGGACCTGGTGGTCCTCAGTTTTCTCACCTGTAAAATGAGGATGGTAATAATGCCTAGCTAGCAGATTTCTTGCAAAGAACTGGATAAGATCCATGTAGGTTGAAAATTCATTTGGTTTATAAAGGCTCATTTATGTTAGATTAAGTCATTTTAAAACAGCGTGATCTTACTAATATGGTGACTTTGTATTCACGTAAATCAATGGAAAGCATTGGTGATTAAACTTGAAAACTTGAAAAATATATATATGTACTCATCTCCAGGGCCAAGCTGACATTCACCCTTGTTCACTCTAGTGGCTACAGCTTACGTCAATGCTGTTGTTTTAGAGACAAACCTGCTTTTAAAACTGGAGTCAAGTAGGAGCCAGAGACCTTACTGAAATAAAACAATAGCTACTTAAGGATGTCCTTGAGCACGATGACCTTGCAAAATGCAATTATTATTACAGAACATTATGCTCTCAATACTTTGGCCTTCTTATTTTCACAGCTGAAACCAGAAATGCCAATTTATCCTAGAGTTTTTGGCATATTTGTAGACAGAAATTAGCTGACAGTGGGTTCATTTTTGGTCAGGTAATCTTCACTTAGACATGACATTTATCTGCTAACTTAGCCAACATTTCCTAAGAAAGTTCCCTTCCCCCCTTGTTGCACATGCACACACATAAAAAACTACCTTTTATGAAGAGTTTTCCCCAACCTTACAGCCTTACCAGGGAAAAAAGGTAAGCAATCCATCAATGCAGCTACTAACTTCAAAACTGTTGTAATAAGGTCCAAGTGAATATAAACAGCAGAATAAAGTATTCTATGCACAGAGATTCTTTTATAATGTGCTTCTAAAAATTAAGCTTTTCATGTAGAAATTGTCAAATAACTAGCTGTGCTCATTTCTGAAGAGATAAATAGCGACAGGATTTCATTATGTTACAAATTTTCAAATGAATTGGTTAAAAATCCCATCTGGCTAGCAGCCCCTGACACATCCTCCTATTTCCCATTAAAATACACACAAAGGTTTTTTTTTTAATGACAGTCATAATACAATTTGTCTTAAAAAAAGAAAAAAAAAAAAGATGCTTGCCAGAATCTGGGAGACATTTTTCTGTAACTCTAAGTCCAAAGTCAACCCATTGACAAAAACAATAGATGACTAATTGGTGCTTTCCTCTGAAATTAATAGAGGCTTCTATTCTAAAATACTAACAGATGTGCTTCCTCCTTTCCCAGCTTCAACCTCCTGATTCAGACTCTTCCATTCAGCCATTTTTCTAATGTTTGGGTAGAGGTTTTTAAGACAAGCCATGCACTGTTAGTCTTTTCCCAGGGTGCCTCTCCTTTCCCCAACTAGTCAGAAACTGCAACATCCAGAACAATGGGAGTTTATTGCATTCTGGGAGCCACCATCCACCAAAGAGCTAAAGACAAGAACAGAGGACCCACATAGGTAACTGGACAGCCTAGGGACTGCAGGTTTTTAATTTTCTCCATTTGCACAGAGTATCAGGAATCTCAAGCCAGCAGAAATGCCCTAGATGAAAGCCCACTGAAGCCGAAGAAGTCTGCCATAAAACTGCATGAAATGTGAGGAAGAACGACATAGATACAAAATAGAGCCACAGGCATTCCACATACACTACTGTGTTAACAGCCACCCCAGCAAGCCACTCTTTTGTTTTTTTTTTTTTTTTTTTTTTGAGACAGGGTCTTACTCTGTCACCCAGGAGGTTGGAGTGCAGTGGCGCGATCACAGCTCACTGCCTTCCTGGGCTCAAGCGATCCTCCCATCTCAGCCTCCCAAGTAGCTGGGACTACTGGCACTTGCCACTGCAAGCAGCTAATATTTTTATTTTTTGTACAGACGAGGTCTCACTGTGTTGCCCCCAGGCTGGTCTCCAACTCCTGGGCTCAAGCAATCCTCCCACCTTGGCCTCCCAAAGTGCTGAGATTATAGGTATAAGCCACCACACCTAGCCCAATTTTTATTTGAAGATTACGTAGAAAAAAAGGGTTGGGGTAGCTTATGAAAAAAAAATCCTCATAACGGAAAGGAAATATCTTGAATACTTGAAGAAGTAAAAAATTTCTGAAATGATTTACTGCAGAAACTAATAAAAATCATTTTGACTACTCTGCCATCATCACTAGAACGCTAGAATACTTGGGTTCAAATCTTCCTTGCTGTATGACCTTAGGCAAATTACTTAATCATACAGATCTTCCTTCTTCTACAAGTGAAAAACGCAGATAAAAATATATTCTCTTACAAGGTCGTATTAAGAATTATACGGTATCAGCTGGGCGTGGTGGCTCACGCCTGTAATTCCAGCACTTTGGGAGGCCAAGGTGGGTGGATCACCTGACGTCAGGAGTTTGACACCAGCCTGACCAACATAGAGAAACCCGTCTCTACTAAAAATACAAAATTAGCTGGCCAGGGTGGTGTACTCCTGTAATCCCAGCTACTCAGGAGGCTGAGGCAGGAGAATCACTTGAACCTGGGAGGCAGAGGTTGCAGTGAGCCGAGATCGTGCCATTGCACTCCAGCCTGGGCAACAAGAGTGAAATTCCATCTAAAAAAAAAAAAAGGGAAGAGGGTAGTAATGGTAGTAACAGGAGTGGTGGGGTGGTGATGGTGGCAATGTTTGCAGTGGCATGGGTGGATAACTAGACACCCAGCTTTATATACATTCTTATGCTAAAGAATATACCTGAGTTAACAGATATCGAATGGATTACTAAACTGCTCTCCAGTTTGGTAACAGAAACTGAAATAGTAATTTCAATTTCTATTGCCACCAAAAATGAGTGAGTCTGCTTTTCAATAACCCAATGCCCTCACAAATATAGAGTAATGTAATTAAGTACATTACTTAATGTAATATACTTAAACAATGGGATTCTTTTATCTATAAAACTTAAATACATATAAAACTTAAAAACTTAATGTGTTTAAGTTTTATAGACAAAAGTAGAATCCCATTGTTGTTTTAATCTACATCATCTCTTTAATCAGTACATGCTTACTGACTGTACTTTCTCCTCCATGAAATGCCTTTTCATATCCTTAAGCCATGTTTTCATTGGGATTTTGTTCTTTTTTCATTAATAACCATTCTAACATATTAAATCCAGCATTTCTTTTTAATAGACTGAAAATATTTTCCTGAGTTTATCATCTGTCTTACTTTTTTGTTTATAGTTCTTTAAAAGCACAGAAGTTTTAACATTTTTGATATCTAATGTCCTTTACCTTTTATATTTCATCTGGAATTTATTTTTAAATAAGTATGTGCCACTTTGTGACAAATATTCATCAAATTTTCAACTCCATTGAACTAACCAATGCATTCTCTTCATCCCCATCCCAATTTGAAATGCTTAATGTACCATATATATGTATATGCACACACACATATATACACACACCATATATATACACACCCACACACAAATATACATATGTGTGTTTTCACACTTCTACTTATTCATTTTTCTGTGGTTTAAAAGTGAAAAAAGGTACTTATTGTGAGTGGATTAAATAAATTATATTATTTCTAAACTAGCAAATCTTAGGAAAATCTAGAATGTGGCAAATATGCATGAAAAAAAAATGTGTATTCAGGGAAGTGTGTGCCACAGACAGGAAGGGGTAATAACCTCTTCATCCATCAAGCTGGAATTCAACACGTATGATGGTTCAGCCACACAATGGAGTTTTACACAACCATTAAGAATTATAAAGGTCCCAGGGCAGGAACTCAATGTAAAAAATAAATAATAAAAATAAAATATTTAGTTTAAAATAGCAAAAAATAATTATGAAACTCTGTGTTTGACATTAATAAATGTCCATGAGATACAGTTAACCTTAAAAGCAATTAAACACACTGTACTGCATTTGTTTTCTTTAGTGTGGTTTCGTGTTTAAGAATACAAAGACAACATATGAAATGATATACACCAAATATATTCATAGTACATAGAATATATGTTAGTGGAATATTTAGTAGTAAAATAATGAGCTGTAAGTGGAAGAATAACTCCCCTCAAAATACTCCACAGGGGGACACAACAGCTTGACCAGGGGGAGCTCCAGGGTCAGAATGGGAGAAAAATATTACTGTAGGAGAGGAATGGATGTGGCTGGGGGAGACTAAACCTTGTCATCAAGATAGAATCTCCTTAAGGGACAGTGCAAAGTCACAGAACAAAGGCTCAGAGAAGAAGGTATTCTCAGGCAAGAGCAGAGTCCTATGGATGTGGAAGTCAGGAACTCAGGGTTCCTATAAGAGACCTACAAGAGTGTTCATGTCATGGACTCAGGGGAAATTCACACTAAAGGCGAAGTTTTCAATTCTTTCCCTCATATGTTGCAGTTCCCTTTAATTCCTCTGACCCTTTAACCAACTTTGTGTCAGGTCACCACCTCCAATTCCCAACATGACCCATCAGTCTGCCATCAGGGACCTGTGAAGTGAGGGTCACAACACCAGTGCATTCCAGGCCAGAATGGGAATGCAATGAAAGGTCACCCACTGTGGTACGGAATAGATGCCACAGAGGAGCAGGGCTCAAGTGGAGGACTCAGGGGTGCATGGAAGACAATCTCCACCCCTCCCCAAATATGAGCAGGAAAGGACGTCTCATGTCATGAGAGAAGGTGACACTTGATGATATTAGTAATGCTGAGACAAGCTGTATGGTTTGTATTTCTGGCTCTGCCACTTATGAGCTATGTGACGTTAGTCAAGTTACCTAGCCTTTCTGAGCCTCTGTTGTATCATCTATAAATCAGGGATGAGAATAACACATTTCATAGAGCAGTTATGAGGATAAAACATATTAATATTCATAGAACCTTAGCAGTATCTAGAACTTGTAAACAATGAATGAGGCTGGACACAGTGGCTCACACCTGTAATCTCAACATTTTGGGAGGCCAAAGCAGGTGGATTGCTTGAGCCCAAGAGTTTGAAACCAGCCTGGGCAACATAGTAAGACTCCATCTCTACAAAATATAAACAAAAGTAGCTGAGTGTCATGGCCTATGCTTGTAGTCCCAGCTACTTGGGAAGCCAAGGTGGAACGCTTGCTTGAGCCCGGGAGTTAGAGGCTGCACTCGGCCGAGATTGTGCCACTGCTCTCCAGCCTGGGCAACAGAGTGAGACCTGTCTCAAAGTAAAAATAAAAATAAAAAAAAATAAACAATGAATGTGTTAGCTATTGTACTTACATAGTTATTATAATTAAAACTTTTTGTATTATCTGAATCTTTTTAAAGAGCACATAATTCTATTAAAACATAAATTTATAAAAATATATATTTATCTTTATTAAGCACCTACTATGTTCTAGGCTTTCATTGTACAGTATTATGAATATACTAAATGCCACTGGATTCTTTGCTTAAAAATAGCGATATTGGTAAAATACACACACATTACATGAAATTCACCACTTAAATCATTTTAAAATAGAGAACTCAGTGACGTCTAACACATTCACACTGTTGTGCAGTCTTCACCACTGTCTAGTTCCAGAACATTTGCAGTGCCCCAGAAGGTAGCCCTGTTTTAAGCATCATTTCTCATTACTGTTTCCCTCAGCTTCTGGTAACTGCTAGTCTGCTTTTTGTCCCTGTTTCTCTATTTTGGACATTTCATGTAAGTTGAATTATACAATATGTGGCCTTTCATGTCTGACTTTTTAAATTTACTATCATTTTCTTCAGATTCATCCGTATTATAGCATGTGTCTGTATTTTATTCTTTCTTATAGCTAAAATAATATTTCATCATACGGACATACACATTTTGTTAATCTCTTCATCTGTCCATGGACGTTTGTGTTATTTCTACCTCCTGGCTGTTGTGAATAGAGCTTCTATAACCATGCATGTGCGTGTATTTGTTTGAGTAACTGTTTTCAATTCTTTGGGGTATATACATAGGCATGGAATTGCTGGGTCACATGGAAATTCTATGTTTAATCTATTAAGGATGCAAAGTATATTTTTAAGTAAAGAAAATAATTGCATAATAATATGAGAGGCAATAGAGAGTAATGGAGCCACAAAGCAAGGGTTCGAATCCAGGATTCATCACTTACTAGCTGTTGTCACCTTAGAAAACTTATGTCCTCATTTTCCCATCTGTCAATTGGCAGTAATACTAACCCCTATCCCACCAGGTTGTTACAAAAATTAAGGGAATTAATATATGTGGTATAATTAGAACAATGCACATGATGTACTTATTTTGGTTTAGTTCTGTTTGCATGCCTATGTATAGACTATATACGTAATTGTTTAAATCAAACTATTAAGACTGGTTGCCTTTGGGAAGTGGATTTGAAGGATAAAAGACAGGGCCCTGTCAGCCGGGCGTGGTGGCTCACGCCTGTAGTCCCAGTACTTTGGGAGGCCGAGGCGGGCGGATCACTTGAGGACAGGAGTTCAAGACCAGCCTGGCCAACATGGTGAAACCCCGTCTCTACTAAAAATACAAAACAATTAGCCGGGCACGGTGGCAGGCACCTGTTATCCCAGCTACTCAGGAGGCTAAGGCAGGAGAATTGCTTGAACCCAGGAGGCGGAGGTTGCAGTGAGCTGAGATCACGCCATTGCAATCCAGCCTGGGCAACAAGAGTAAAACTCCATCTAAAAAAAAAAAGCAAAAGACAGAGCCCTGTCCTCTTTTTATTTTGTCTGTGCATTTCTCTCTGTAATGAGCATGTATTAGTAGTCACAATATTTTGAATTAATGAGGTTTTCTTTTTAAGATGCAAAGTGACCCATTCAATGACTCAAAACCCTTCAGTGATCTTATAGCAGTGGTTCCCAAAGGCCTTCATGCTGGCTGGACACATAAAATCACTTAAAGAACTTATCCAAAATACAGATCATCCTACTCCTCATTTGGCCTTATTGAATCACAAGTTCTGGTTGATTCTAATGTGCCATGATGTTTGAGAACCAGAGAGTCTACACTATTTCCATGACCTGGTCTCTCAGTGTCTTTCAGTTTCATCTTCCCGTCTTCCTTCCTAATAAAGCTTCCCAGCCAGGCGCGGTGGCTCACGCCTGTAATCCCAGCACTTTGGGAGCCTGAAGCGGGCAGATCACCTGAGGTCAGGAGTTCAAGACCAGCCTGACCAACATGGAGAAACCCCGTTTCTACTAAAAATACAAAAATTAGCCGGGCGTGGTGGCACAGGCCTGTAATCCCAGCTACTTGGGAGGCTGAGGCAAGAGAATCACTTGAACCCAGGAGGCGGAGGTTGCAGTGAGCTGAGATTGTGCCATTGCACTCCAGCCTAGGCAACAAGAGTGAAACTCCGTCTCAAAAAAAAAAAAAAAAAGCTTCCCACCTATTATTTGACATGCTCTTCTATGCCTCAGGATGTGTCTTTGCCTAGAACGCAAGCCCCGTTTAACTTTGTTCTTTGAATTACTAACCCCTGTTTATTCTTCAGTACTCAGTTCAAGCATTTGTCTCCTCCAAGATCCACTGTTATCAAATGAAGTATGTCCAACAAATGAAATACTTAGTCTGTCCGAAAATGAAGTAAATTTCTTCTCTTTTGGTCTCCCAGAACATTCTTTAGCAGTAGCTCAAAAACATCTTCTCCACATACATTGAAACTGTTTTTTCCCATGTCTGTTTTTGCTCCCACCCAACTGAGGTCTTGAGGGCAGAGACAATGTGCTGTGTAGCGATTCTTAACTAAAGATTTCACCATGAAATGAATAGTTCAATTTTATAATAAATACTTAAGTGTATATATATGTGTATTTATACATATATAATTATAATTATATATGTATAATTCACAGTAAACTATGTAGTAAATTACAGGGCACAGAGAACACTGGCCCAGTTTTTCCAAATTCATATTTAATATATGCATGCAGATATTTGTGCATGTGCATGGGAATACTTCTGAGTTAAAATAACCTCTGAAGCCAATGTTTCCTAAAGCCAGTTTCTAGAAACACTAGTGTCAGGAGCTCCTCAGTGAGAAGAAAGGATTTCATTGGTAATGAAATTAAACACTCTACGATAGCCTACACTAAGAGCATTTCTGGTCATGTTATTTGACCACAACACTATTTCAAATACATCTATGAGCATTCAGAGAAAGTAGAGTTCTGCGGACCCACATTTTTAGAAATGCTGCATAACGTACTTAACCAGTTCTTTTTCTGAAGTGACAGAGTGGTCACGCTTAGTTGTCGTGGCATGGTGTGGAACAATTTCCATTGGAGTAGGCCACGCTCTTACTATGCTCTTACCACCACCAGAAGCAAAAGACACTTTCCAAGTGGCAGTCTATTTCGGGACAATCTATTTTATATTTTCCACCACTGAGAATTCCACTCTGCTTTCACAGGCAGTTCTTTCAGCTGAATGAATCGTGTTTTCTCCTTTGGGGGCGTGTGTAAATGAATTGCTAACCGTTTTGAATAGCACCCATCTGTGACAACAGTCATGCTTATGGGTGGCAGTTAATTAAGACAGCTTGGAAGATGACGATGTCTTACAAATAAGAAGGGAAGAAACAGGGACTGTCTTTTTTATAGAGTCATATTTATAATATCATAATTATTGTATGTATTTATAGTATTATATTTATTGCTTGTATTCCATTTTCTTAAATTAAGGTATAGTTTTGGGACTATCAAAATGCACTCCTAATTTATAATGTTGCATGGGACAAGGACAGAACTTGGCTTCTCCTATTTTATTCCTGAAATCTTAGAACAGGAAACCCTACACTATCCATTTATGTTTGTGGCTTTGCATTCAGCATAAAATTAAATTTTCTCTGGCATCATTTGTCAAGAAAGCTTTTAAAGCAGTGATTTCCCTGAGTTCCTTATGTAGGCAGCCCATCTTCATTTTATTTTATTTATTTTTTTGAGATGGAGTTTCACTCTGTCACCCAGGCTGGAGTGCAGTGGCGCGATCTCGGCTCACTGCAGCCTCTGCCTCCCGGGTTCCAGCGATTCTCCTGCCTCAACCTCCCTGGTAGCTGGGATTACAGCCATGCACCACCATGCCCAGCTAATTTTTGTATTTGTAGCAGAGATAGGGTTTCACCACGTTGGCCACGCTTGTCTCGAGCTCCTGACCTTAGGAGATCCGCCCGCCTTGGTCTCCTAAAGTGCTAGGATTACAGGCGTGAGCCACCACACCCAGCCTGGTAGCCCATCTTTAAAACCACCAACATCACCCAACAAGTGTGGGACATCACCCAGCAAGTTATATCTAAGGATAAGGAACAATGTGAAAGTTGAGAGTTAGAAAGCTGACCAATTTCAGAACAAACCGTCTCTCTAACAAACATCTTATTACAAAATCAGAGACTCAACTGTAAACTCTGGTAATAATTTAGAAGATTAACACTCTGCCCTAAATCCCACAAAATAGGCATATCTAAATTATACACAAACTGCAGATGTGGCTGGGCAAGGTAGCTCACACTTGTAATCCCACCACTTTGAGAGGCTGAGGCAGACAGATCACTTGAGTCCGGGAGTTTGAGACCAGCCTGGGCTGGTGAAACCCCATCTCTATAAAAAATACAAAAAAAATTAGCTGTGAGTGGTAGTGTGTGCCCGTAGTCCCAGCTACTTGGGAGGCTGAAGCAGGAGGATCATTTGAGGACATGAGGTCAAGGCTGCAGTGATCTATGATCGCACCACTGCACTCCAGCCTGAGCAACAGAGCAACACCCTGTCTCAAAACAAACAGGCTGGGCGCGGTGGCTCACGCCTGTAATCCCAGTACTTTGGGAGGCTGAGGCGGGCAGATCATTTGAGGTCAGGAGTTCAAGACTGGCCTGAACTACATGGTGAAACCCCATCTCTACTAAAATACAAAAAAAAAAAAAAATTAGCTGGGAATGGTGGCAGGTGCCTGTAATCTCAGCTACTCAAAAGGCCGAGGCAGTAGAATCGCTTGAACTCAGGTGATGGAGGTTGCAGTTAGCCAAGACTGTGCCACTGCACTCCAGCCTGGGTAACAGAGCAAGACTCCCTCTCAAATAATAATAATAATAATAATAGAAGAAACAAACTGTAGATGAGTTAAACATAGTAATTATACAAGGGTGCCCAATGTACTATAAAACATACGTGTATCACATCAAAAATGATGAAATGCCAGCCTAAATCATTTCGAAAGTTTACCCTAAACAAAATACTTATTCCAGCAATAATTAATAATTTTAAGTATGTTATTAAATATATTTTTGCTAAGTGCTTAAGATTTAATGATACCTTGTGGAAATCAGAGCTCATTCACATCTCCTGGAAATGTTGGACAAAAAAGTCTGATTGCCAAATCTCCCTAGAGTCATGGAAACATTCAAAGCATTTTTGTTTTCAAAAGAACCTGCAATTACCCCTCTTTCCGCTAGGTGGTATACTCAAGGCCAAGAAAGCTACCAAAGGGATAAATATGTTCTTTTTCAACAAGGTCAAAAAAAAAAAGGATAATTTTTTTAATGTAATTTTTTTAAATTTCTTTTTCATTTCAATAGGTGTTAGGGGAACAGGTGGTGTTCGGTTACATAAGTTCCTTAGTGGTGATTTCTGAGATTTTGGTTCACCCATCACCTAAGCAGTCTTCACTGGACCTAATGTGTAGTCTTTTTTCCCTCACCCCTCACCTCCTCTCCCACCCTTTCCCCGAGCCCCCAAAGTCCATTGTATCATTCTTATGCCTTTGTGTCCTCGTAACTTAGCTCCCACTCATAAGTGAGAATATACGATGTTTGGTTTTCCATTCCTGAGTTACTTCACTTAGAATAATAACCTCCAATGGAGAGGATAAATTTTAAGCTTGAAGAGGCGACTATCTTACATCTGAATTCCAAAGTGTTTGATGAAAAAAACAGACGTTAAGAGAGAGAAGGAAAGACCTACTCAAATAGCCAGGGCCCCTCAAAGAGTGAGTCACCTACCACCAGGAATGACAATTAAAATTAGGCAAGGCCACCAGCCTCCAGTGTTACTGCATCAGACTGGTGGGGATGAAGTAGGGAACTCAATTTGCTTTTCCAGCATGCGCTTGGCTTGACTGTTATGCAAAATTCTGATAACTAAATTTAGATTGCTCTCAATCTTTCTAGTAGTCAGAAACCACAATTGGTTCATAAGTTTGTGATGTTCTGAAACCTTTTTTTTTCTGCTTCCTATATAGCTTGTATCTTGAAGGCCAGGGATTATAGGTTTCACTGTAAAATCTCCAGATGAAATTTTGCTAGCTTACTATCTCCCCAAGAAAATTCAGAGTGGCAGATTCAACTCTATGTAATAGGATATTTGGAAAGTACTTTCAGCTTTGCAGAAGGGGAAAAATGTATTTTATAGAATGTAATGAAAATGAATCTCTTCTGGAAAGAATGGGTGATATTTATATTAGATATTCAAAAGTTGAATCACATTGATCTGTCTTTTAAAGTAATTACATTGATCTCTGGAGTTTAAAGAAATGTATTGCTTACTCCCTGTGGATATTTTCAAACTTTAATTTTTTTTTACGCAAAGCAGTTTATTTTGTTTTTCCTAGTTTGAGACACAAAAGAAACCCATCTTCCTGAAGTTCAGCTAATTATTGTATAGGAATGTGTGTATGAGTGCGCATATGTGTATACTGTAGGTATGCGTGTGTGTGTGCGCGCGCCCGCGTGCGCAAGCTCTGTCTCTCTAGGACCCCCTGAAATGAATGTTTGTTGTTTTAAACCAGATTTTTTTTGTAGAGTCACAAGTTTGCTGCTTTAAACTCACTTGTTTTAAAATATTTCAAATGGACAATATTCTAAAATATATTTCCCACTACTCTAATTTCAACTGAGTAAAGAATAAAATGTAACCGTTTCATTACAACTTAGCACTAACAGTGTGAAAATGGATTCGTGGGCAGTGTTTGAACGCGGCAGTGTCTTCAGGGTCCGCTGAGGTCCTAAAGGCCTGTTTGTACCTAGAGTACATGAACCCAGGCAACTCTGCTCTGGGAAGTATTGCCTCTACGTGTTACGGTTTTCTTATTTTTCCCCCTTACTTTCCATTGTTACTTTGTGTTGCTACCAACACACCAAGGCAGCAGGGAGGGCTCCTTCTGTTTCTAATCTGCAGAGGCCTTGGAAGGATGAGCGTCGTGTTTTGTTAGTTAGGAACGTGCGTAGCCCAAGTGGGAGAGCGGGGCCCGTTACGCAAGGGCCTGCTCCATGACGACAGCGGTGCATACCTTGCCCTGTGTCTAGTCTGGCTAGTCTGGTTCTGTGTTTTATTTTCTTGCTCCTGGTTGTTCTCCCAACAGGTGAAACTGCAGGTGGTCGAATCGTGGGTAGTTGAGCTGTTGTTTCAAACAAATCTTTCTAATCTATTTTTACTTGTGGCTAGAATCACAACATTTATGGAAAAGCTTTGTGTGGCCCCTCAACTTATGTAACTCTTATGTATTTTATTTTTCATGTGCTACTAGCATATTTTCTTTAACAAAAATGTCTAAATGTGCTTCAGGGCTTTCATCTATCAAAAAGCATACCTGCATTATCACGTGTGTATATATGGATACATATAAACACATACGCATATAAACATATATACATGTGAGTGTGCGCTTATTATGAGGCAAGGTGACGAAGGGGCGCTCATTATTTTCCTTTGGGAAAAGGCTTTACTTGAATCTGTTTTCCTTGAGTTATTTTTATCACTTAATTATCTTTATCAAGGTCATTAAATGGAAAAAATGCTAACAAAAGAGGGCTAGTGGTACTTTACTAAGGAACAGTATAGGAGAGCTGTAACTGCTCGACTGTTCTCTTGGGCAAAGTTGGGGGAGTTGGTGAACAAAAGCAACAGTTTCCAAGAACAAACAATGGCATTCTCTGTGACCTGCAGCACAGCTGGCAACGCTGGGTTCTCAAACATTTAGGACCTATGCTAAATATTTCCTCCAGCCACGTCTAACCATGCCAACATCTCACACACATTGAAAAGTATTGCTTTTTCCTTTTGGTTTTAAACATTCCTTCTAATGAACAAAAACAGCATTTAATATTTTTAATTGAAGACTGGCTACAGTAGATTACAAATGTTACACCCAGGAAGGCATGAGCTCATTTCTCAAGACTTTGATCTGTAATTACAAAATACTCACCAGCTGTAAACTCTATGCAGGTCTTCCTAGCATGGTGTAGTCCCTGGTACATGGTAGGCCCACAGTAAACATTCCCAATGGACAGATTAACCAGTTACAAATCCACTTGTGGGTAGAGACTGAGTTTAGCACATACAAGGATAAGTCAGATCGTGTCCGGAATTGGTGGGTTCTTGGTCTCGCTGACTTCAAGAATGAAGCCGCAGACCCTCGCAGTGACTTTTACGGTTCATAAAGATGGCGCGTCCAGAGTTGTTCGTGTCTCCCGTCTGGAGTTGTTCCTCCCTCCCAGTGGGTTCCCAGTCTCGCTGGCTTCAGGAGTGGAACTGCAGACCTTCTCGGGGAGTGTTACAGCTCATAAAAGCCGCACAAACCCAAAGGGTGAACAGCAGCAAGATTTATTGCAAAGACTGAAACAACAAAGCTTCCACAGCCTGAAACGGAGACCCCAGCGGGTTGCCGCTGCTGGCTCCGTGACCTGACTTTATTCCCTTATTTGGCCCCACCCACATTCTGCCGATTGGTCCATTTTACAGAGAGCTGATTGGCTTACTGGGAGCTGATTGGTCCATTTTCACAGAGTGCTGATGGGAGCATTTACAAACCTGTAGCTAGACACAAAAGTTCTCCAAGTCCCCACCCATCCCAGAAGCACAGCTGGCTTCACCTCTCACTGGCACTACTTGTGAGACTTTGCAGCACCTAGCCCGGGCACTCCCGGAGCCCAGACGGAGCTTGTCCCAGAGAATCAAGAGGAAAAGAGGAGAAGCGAGAAAGAGAAGGAGACCTGCTATCCTGGCCAACATTCCCGCGAAGAGGGAACGGCGGTCCACGCACGGGATTGTCTCCAATCAAGCCCAGCAGGCGCCCCCCGGAACCCGCGCCAGCAGGCGAGCGCCGCGCGCAGCCCTGGCTCTAGCTCTGGCTCTGGCTCCGGCCCGCGCCTCTCCCTCCACACCTCCCGGCCAGCAGAGGGAGCCTTGGCCAGCCCCAGAGAGGGACCCCCGACAGCGCAGTGGCGGGCTGCAGGGCTGAGTGTGGCCAGAGCTGAGGCTGAGGCCAAGGAGGCGCCGATAGCGAGCGAGGGCTGCTAGCACTTTGTCACCTCTCAAAATCATGATATAAAGATGTTTTTATTTGTGTCCCCTACAGATTTCTTTACTCTTGTTTTCTCTCCTACATCTTGGAAAACACGTCACAGTGTATGAGGAACAAATGACAAGTTACACTATGCCTTCTCAAATCTTTTCTGAATTCATATTTCATCTTAATTGTAGAAAAAGTAAGACAGGTTCATTGTAGAAAAAAATAGACAAAGGAAGTATATTTTTTAAAATCCTCATAATCTCACTCCCCAGAAATAACAGCTATTAAAATGTTGTGGTTTTCCAGTTTTTTCTATTTTTTTGGCTTTAAATTATATCTATGTTCACATATTGAAATGATATACATATAATTTCATATTTTGCTTTTTAAATTTAATGATGTTTCTTAAACGTACACCATGTCAATTAAAACTTCTTTAAAAAAAAAAACATAATTTTAGGCCGGGCATGGTGGATCACGCCTGTAATCCCAGCACTTTAGGAGGTCAAGGCGGGCAGATTACCTTAGGTCAGGAGTTCAAGACCAGCTTGGCCAACATGGGGAAACCACATCTACTACTGTGCTGGGCGTGGTGGCGTGCACCTGTAATCCCAGCTACTTAGGAGGCTGAGGCTGAGGCAGGAGAACTGCATGAACCTGGGAAGCGGAGGTTGCAGTATGCCAAGATAGCGCCATTGCACTCCAGCCTGGGCGACAAGAGTGAAACTCCATGTCAAAAACAAATAAACATAATTTTAATAGCCATGTTGTGTTCTGCTATAGATATGCCCAATAATCAATTTATCTATTGTTGAACATTTACATTATTTGAAATTTATCTTTATGGCCATCTTTATATATAATATTTAAGCATATAATGTTAGTGATTTTCTAGGAAACTTTCTTAACAGTTTCCTAGAAATAGACTTGAATATTTTTAAGGCTTTTGATTAAGTATTGTCACATCACCTTCTAGTGTTGCTACAGTTTGTGGATTAAGGTCTACCAGCATTGTTTGATAACTGTAAGAGTAGCCGACAGCAACTATCTTTTTTTCTTTTCTTTCTTTTCTTTTTTTTTTTTTTCATGTCTTATGGCCAGGCACTATGCAGCTATGCTAAATGTTTTATTTGTGTTATCTCATTTAATTTTATTCATAACAATATGAAATAGGCATTCTTTATATTCATTTTACAGATAAGAAACTGAGGCAGGGACAGGTTATGTAATTTTCTCCCAAGGTCGTACAATCAAGTTGTAGACACATGATTTAACTCCAGAGCCCTAGTCCTCACTGTGCTGAAAGAATCTGTCAGCATTGAAAAGTTCAGTATATATCCAGTATTTTAAATTTTTGCTAATTTGATAGAAAAAAAGACTCTCATTTTTGTTTTATAAGTTCATTAATATTAGCTCCTTTATGTGCTTTCCTGATATAGTTATTAGCCAGTTGTGTTTCTTCTAATGTGAATCATCTGTTTCCATCATTTGCCATTTAGTAACTCTTATTATATAAACTTGTCAAACATTAAAAATTTTCATCCTTTGTGCCTATTGGTAGCTAAATATTGTTCTTGTTTGGCATTTAATTGTATTTATGTTTTGAACACGTGAAATCTCTTCATTTCTATGCAAATATATTGACATTTCTCTTTGAGTGTTTTCATCCTCTGAAAGTCATCCCATATCTAGAGATCAGATCAATATTAAATTTTCTGCTAAACACTGTCTTTCCCTGTGTTGATCAATCTACTTTACCCAGAAAGTCTTGCTGACAGCCATGGATTTCTTCAATTTGTCTTAGATGGCAGTGATATCAAAGTGGAAACAAATATTTTCTAATATTTCTGGTACTCTAAAAACACAAGTCATAGAAATTTCAAAGCAGCAACTTTGTCCTCCCCATTGCTAGTAACAAAAAGGGAAAACAAAGGAAGCATAGTTATGCATTGCTAATGGCAATTGGAGCCAGAGGACTGGGTTTTTGGTCCTGGGCATCTGATTTGGTGTCACGAATACAAGTCCTTTCTTTCCAGCACTGTCATTCATTGGGTTGGTTCTCAGAATAAGAATCCAAAAGAGTTACTCATGAAGTGTTACCTTTGAAATTTCAACCCTAAAAGGAAATGTTGCCAATCAGAGATATCTGCCTTCTGTGCTAGATTACAGCAGAGTAGTCTGTGTTTTCAAAGCTCCACATTATCTTATTATCTGGCAACAAAACTTCCAACTGCCACAATTAGGGATCTTTTCATTTTATCAAGGCTATTTGCTGATAATTCTCCCTATAAAAGCTTTGCAATAAACCACTTTTTAAAAATTCGAATTTGCACCATCATAATTGGGAATGTAATATTCTGCTTAAAAAGAAGCATGAACATGTTTTAGGAAAACCTTCTCAATCCACTCTAAAATCTAAGCCTAAAATTATTTACATGCAATTTTCAGTGATTTATTAATTATTAACTAAAGTAGGGCTGATGTTGGAATTTTTTTTTTTTTTTTTTTTTTTTTTGCTACTTATTACTAAACTACTCTTCAACTGCTAGAAAAAGAAAACCTACAATTATAAACAAGACATAAGCAACCCTGGTAACAGATCCACCTTTTATAACAAATAAAAATTTTTCAAAAACAATTAATGTTCCTTCACATGTAGCATATGTTTGACTGATTGTTACAAGCAATTCCAATGGCCTCTGTTATATTTTTGAGGAAATTAATGTCTAGGTAACTGTGGATCTAGGTGCATTAACTTTAGACTAGTTATATGAGCCTAGATTATATTCATTTTAGACCTTAAAATCTTGCACTTGTTTTTGATCCAATTTTAGACTCTTTTATGATACAAGTAACTTATCAGCAAACAGTTAGTAATCTGCAAGTTATACAATTTATAATATAGGATATTGAGCAATTGTTATTTAAAAATAATAACTGTGATAACAATAGAAATGGTTCTCCAAATATAATGAGTAGTCACTACCTACTTTTCATACCACAAGGATAGAAGATGTTTTTGAAATCATGTGCATCAGCATTGAAAATACACCCAAGAAACTGAATGGAATAACAATTACTTGACAGAATACTCTGATCAGAGATGATTATGCATAACAACAGTGAAAATTTACAGATGCTTATTATATGCATTAAAGTTCCTAATCAATTAACATTTATTTCTGTAGAAAGTAGAAAAGTTCCTCTTCAAAGCTCTGCTTGGTTTAAAAATAAAATAATAGACACTAGGAATAATAGCTCCTTACTTTAAAGCCTCCTATCAATTATTAGTTCTTACATTTTAGCCCAGTTAGTTGCTTTGGCTTACTCAGGCATGCCTGGACAGGCCCAGGCCAGTCTTAGCTCATAGCTTATGCCTCTTCCTTATTTGGAAATGTTATTGCTTCCTTAAACCTTTGGTAAGCAACTTCCTTTTCTTCTTTGTTCTCCCTTGCACTCACCTATTTAGGAAAGTTTTAGGTTATTAGCAAATCAGGTATCAGTTTAAGACTCTGAAGTCCAGCTCCAGCCAATAGATGCAGGACACAGCAGTAAGGATGACCAAAATGCGTAAGGGATAAATATGTCTGCTTTTCCTTTGTTCAGATATGCTCTTGCCATTATTCCATCTGCGGGGGGCACCCTTTCAGCAGAAAGTAAAGATTGCCTTGCTGAGAGATCCTTTGTCTCCATGCTGACATTTCTTTGTGGCACCGATTATCTGTTTCTAACAGTTTCTCAGGTGCTATAATTTTCCTTATATTATGGATAAGAAAATTGAGCCTTAGAGCAGTAAAGTAACTTGTGGTCAACATTCTGGTCAGGGACAAGGCTAGAGATTAAACCTAACCTGTCTGAATTCAGGATCCAAGCTCTTAACTCTTATATGATAATAAATGTTGACCACACTTTTTTTTTTTTTAACAAACCTAGGAACACAACTTTTAATAAAGCTGGCTCTTCCTTCATCCTAAGGTTCATTCATACAACATAGTATTCAAAATATCTGGAGAACTGTGTCTTACAAGAAGATACCAGGAGTGACCAGATGAACCATGAACACCTTCTTTTTTTTTTTTTTTTTTTTTTTTTTTTGAGACAGAGTCTCACTCTGTCACCAGGCTGGAGTGCAGTGGTGCGATCTTGGCTCACTGCAACCTCTGCCTCCCGGGTTCAAGCAATTCTCCTGCCTCAGCCTCCCGAGTAGCTGGGACTACAGGCGCACACCACCATGCCCAGCTAAATTTTTTTGTATTTTTAGTAGAGACAGGGTTTCACCATGTTGGCCAGGATGATCTTGATCTCTTAACGTCATGATCTGCCCGCCTCACCCTCCCAAAGTGCTGGGATTACAGGCATGCCACAGTGCCTGGCCAGAACACCTATTTTAGGTTACTAAGATTCTTTGTGGGTCCCTTATTTTTGCAAGCTCCCCTTTCTGAATAAGTCACCACCTTTTGCATGGTAGGAATGGATTCCAGCAGGGTCTGGAATGGCTTTAACTGGGAGTGTGTGTGTGTGTGTGTGTGTGTGTGTGTGTGTGTGTGTGTGATGCCCAAAGAGTCCATGTGTGACTCATTTAAAACCATTCTTTAAGCAAATAGTGGACCAGAACTCTGAATATTAGGTGTGCATCTGGCTTTCTGGTACCTATTCTCTCTGGCTATAAAAATGTTGCCAATGTCCTGATTGTGTTGATGTACTATATTATATAGGATGTTATCATTGAGGAACACTGAGTGATGGAAACATGGAACCTCTCTGTACTACTTTTGAAATTTCTCATGAGGCTACAATCATTTCAAAATAAAAGTTTTAAACTACCATCAAATTTCATTTTGCCCAGGAAATGAACTTCTGATTTTTGCAGTTAGTAATTTACAACTAATCAAGGTTCTTCTTGGGGAATTTGCCATCAATTTGAAAAAGCACACCTGGGATGGACATGGTGGGTGGCACATGCCTGTAATCCCAACTCTTTGGGAAGCTGAGTCAAGAGGATCACTTGAGCCAGGAGTTTGACACCAGACTGGACAACATGGTGAAACCCCATCTCTACAAAAAAATAAAAAATAAAAATTTTAAGTTAGCTGGGCATAGTGGCACACAGCTCTTGTTTCAGCTACTCAGAAGGATGAGATGGGAGGATTGCTTAAGCCTGAGAGGTTGAGGCTGCAGTGAGCCTGCAGTGAGCCATGTTGGCACCACTGCACTCCAACCTGGCCAACAAAGTGATACCTTGTCTCAAAAATAAATAAATAAATAAAAATAAAAAAGAATGGTGATTCCTCAAAGACCTAAAGACAGAAATACCATTCAACCTAGTAAACCCATTACTGGCCATATATCCTAAGGAATAGAAATCATTCTGTTATAAAGACGCATGCATGTGTATGTTCATTGCAACACTATTCACAATAGCAAAGACATGGAGTCAACATAAATGCCCATTGGTGAAAGATTGGATAAAGAAAATGTGGTACATACACACCATGAAATACTCTGCAGCCATAAAAAGGAATGAGATCATGTGCTTTGTAGGGATGGAGCTGGAAGCCATTATCCTCAGCAAACTAATGAACTAATGCAGGAAAAGAAAACCAAATACTGCAGGTTCTCACAAGTGGGAGCCAAATGACGAGGCCACATGGACACATAGAGGGGAACCATACACAATGGAGCCTGTTGGAGGGTGGGGCATGGGAGGAAGGAGAGGATCAGGAAAAACAGCTAATGGGTACTAGGCTTAATACCTGGGTGATGAAATAATCTATACAACAAACCCACATGACACAAGTTTACCTGTGTAACTAACCTACACATGCAGCCCTGAACTTAAAAGCTAAAAAAAAGAAGCACTCACGTATGAGAGAGGCACTATCCTGTGTAACAAACCTGCACATGTACCCCTGAATTTAAAATAAAAGTTTAAAAAAAGCATTCATGCGTGAGATGGGCACTATTTGTTATTGTACAGGAAACACAGAACAACATCCATACATTTGTGACTTGCATCAGAGGGCCAACCACTTGCCTTCTTCCAGGTGTCTATCTAAAGTCCAGAATGCCTCTGAAATCCTCATTAGAAACCAAAGTTAGCCTGTTGAAGAAGAATCCCACATGCGTCTGGAGGCGCGACTCCCCCTGAGCAAGAAGAACTCGCCAGGTGACGGGATGAGACTTTCAGCAAGCGGGAAGGACTTAGCTGTGCTCCCCATCACGCCGCTGGCTCTGCATAGTTACTGATACCATATGTATCAGTGCCAAATCCTGACAGGGACAGATGATAGCAGTGCTGGGTTCCAGGAAAGGAGCAGCAGTAGAGAGAAAAGCAAAGCAACCTTGCGCAGATGAGCAAGGCCCACCCAGAGCATGGCCCCTAGAGCACACTGGTGCCTTGTTTTCAGGCACAATGCTCCGGGAAATCTCCACCTTGAGCAACTGGAAAAAGTCCCCGAAATAAGACACTGATTGAAAACACTGGGGAAGGTAAAAAGGAAAAACATTAACAATTTGTTCAGAAGGCACCTATATAAAATGCAATCTTTACTTTTTGTTTCCCCTTCAAGGGGACTGGAGGGGAACTCAAAGGATTCCATAGCTTTGCCTGGTTAATGAGGCTGATTGTCGAAGTTCTTGGAACTCACTCCAGTCCATACAGACCAGAAATGTTTGTTCACAGTTAGTACTCAGAGGAACCTGTTAAAGTTCATATTAGGAGAAAGGTTGAAACTTTGAAAAGATAGAGCCATGAGCATAGCGTGAATTCTGAGGTGGAAGAAGATCTACTCACAGAATTTAGGAAGAAAAAAGGACAGGGCAGGGAATGAAAGGAAGTCTCACACAAGCCATTTCATACACTGCCCTATAAGTGCCCATTCGTTGTCTGACATCAACCAACCCAAAGCCCTGTTGGCCACTCTGGAAACAGATAGCTAAATAAGCCTACATTTTTTTCATTTGTAAAATGGTGAGTCAAAAAGGCAAAGGATTTATCTCATGCCTCTACAGATCGTTTATAATGTGGCTAAGTGGCCCAGGATAAAATCACCACAGTCAAAGTGATTCATGCAAGAAACCTATTCTGTTGAGACAGAAATGAAAATCCACATTAAATCACAGTCTATTCTATGCATGGGAGAATTGCAGTGAGCCAGCTCAGTGGATTCCCAGGCCCGTTGAAGGCTGAATGCAATTGTTCTTCTAAAATGGAGAAATCAGACTCCTTCAAAGTGAGGGTGCAGCCTCTAGTTCGGAGAGCAGGGGTGAGCAGCCAGTGGCCCTGCCAAGCAGGCATCTGGAACTATATTCCCGGATGGCAGCCAGCCTGGGGATCTATTCAATTACTGCAAGTTTCTTGCCAGGAGGTTTTCACCAGTTCCACTATTTATCAAGACAATTGGACCCAGTACAAAAACCACCTTTGCAAATTGCCATTAAAGGGGCTATCTATGTGACTGAACTACGGACGTCTGCTGCTTGTTGGCATTTGAACTCAATGGTACAGTTACTGTATTTTCTTCTGGCTTTTAATACCTGAAAAAGGTGTAATCTCCTCTCCTCACCTTCCCTTCTTGCCCTAAAGTTCTCAAGCTTAGGGAATGATGTAAGTACAGGAGCAGATTCATTGAGCAGTGGCCCATGGTCTGTTATTTTGCTCATGACCTGTTTTTTGTGTGTGTGACATGAAAGTCCTTTCAGCTTCTCTCCCTTCCTCCAGCTGTCACCACATTTCTTGACTTTTTCTTCTGATATCTGTCAGTCTCCACTCTAGAAAACAAAGGTTGGGCTCCGGGCATTGGCAATGGCCAAGTGCAATGCTTTGTCAGCTCAAATCCTCACATCTTAGTGCTTTTCTGTGAGAAGTTGACTGATGTTGTATCCAAAGCCCTCCAATTTTATTGTAAATTAACCTAAACTGTAGAAATGTCTGATTCGTATTTTCTTTTTCTCCAGTGGTTCCTTTCTTTGCATTACATTTCATTCATATATTGATGTTGCAACTTAAAATACAGAACAAACATAAAGAACAATGTCTCATGCCACATGGAGCAAGCTGGTTGACAACCAGGACATCTGAAAGGGAGGCAATCCATTAACTACATACACATTAGTTTGGCACTTGCCGTAAATCATTGGCCCTCATCTGTTGTCTTTATGAAAGCTGACAATGGGCATTGTGAGCCATTCTAAAGGGTGGTCTAAGCGGCATGTCCAGAACTGCAATAAAGGTAGGAATTCCATCCACAGTGGGTTTTGCAAAGACACAACCTCATCAAAGTAAAGCCCCTTCCTTGAAAATAAGTAAAATCTGTTAATATATTACACTTTTATGAGAAGTATTTTTGTCCTTGGAGGCAATGGTAAATTATCTTGTCTATTGACAAAACACTTGAAAACTGCATTTCTGTAAGAATCTTTGCCTTTCTTCAAAAATACCTCATGGCCTATATTTATGCATAGAAGAGATGCACTGCAAACATTAGCAATGAAGAAGGCTTATTTTATGGCAAATGCAATCTGGTAGATTATAGAAAGAAGACCAATGTTGTCTAGTAATACAAATCTTTGGTAAGCATGAACTCTGAATGCATCCTACTGGATTTTTCCTACAAAACTACTTCTTATCTTAATAGAGTCAGTATTTTATTGTGTTCCCCTTTTAAAGGCTAAGAGGAAAGATATGCTCTGGGTAACTGACTGCTTCTCATCAAACTGTATGGGGAGAATTAATTTAATGCAGAGTTTCTACTTAGAAAGAAGCTGTAAGAGGAGAGGACAACAATTGGAGCTTCCACCAGGCCGGCTGGTGTTTTACGTGCTAGAGAAGCATCTGGAAATCTGAATGACAGTTTTGAAAGATGGAAGATAAAGGAGAGGCCAGCAAAATTGAAATGGTGGGTGGGAGTGTGGAGCAGGCCAGGGTAATGTAGCAAAACTGAATCATCTCATCTGTATCAAAGCTTTTAAGAAACTTCTTTTTGCATCAAACAGTTTGCTATTCTCTCTGGTGACGAACTGTCCCATGAAAGCATAGATGATTTGCCTTTTTTTTTTCCCATCCCAATCAATTCTAATGGCAATTTTAAAATTTTAGTTTCTACAGTAAAGGATTTTCCCATAAGACTTGAATTAAATTCTGAATGTGTGCCTTCTGCATATTATGGTTTTTGTTTTTGTTTTTAGTAAATGTTTGTTCTCCACCTTAAAAACAATGTGACTATTTATGAAGCTAACAAAAGCACTGTAGCTTGGAAAATTCCTTTGGCACAGACAGACAGGAGTGTTCAGCCACAAATGCTTCTGACTTAAAAGCTGAACCAAATAAAATTTGACAGCAAGGCAAAATATGTTATAGGCAAAGTGACATTTTATAATAATGGAATAATAGATGCAGAAGGGAAAAATGAACCAAGGCTGAAATATCATCTCAAATCCCGTGGATACTAAAGGGAAGGAATCTCAGCTAGACTTTTCCTGTTTTTATTAGACTAATAATTATGTCTGTGACTGAAGCACTCTTAAACTCAGAGAACTCCAGTATTCCTAATCACGTCGTCACCTATCTCCAATCACTTATCTATATGAGATCCAGACGATGCCTTGGTAGCATGCTAAAGTGGATAGATGCAGAAGGAAAGTAGTGGAAAAATCACAGGACCACTTTATCAAGCACTTCAATTTGGAACCAAATCAAGCAATGTGTTAAATCATTCTGATGAACACAACCCAACCCCAAACAACCGACAACTTGACATTAAATCAGATTACCAATGGAATTAATAAAGACCAAATCAGTTTACTTCCCTACCTTCATCTTCCAACCCCCTCCACTCAGCAACCAAAGGTAATTTAGGCCAGTTTCAGATCATAATCAGCAAGAGCCTGTCAATCACCCTTCTATTCCAGAGGACAACAATTGTAGAGAGGGTAAGAAGCACTGGTGTTTAGCTCTGGAAAAAGGGAAACTGCTAAGGCTTCTCTTAACACAATGGTTTCGATTAGGACGAAATGAGAGCCAGGTTTGCAAGGACAGAAAACTTGGTATGTGCATTCTTCTCAGTGCCAGAAAACATGCATTTGCCTCCTGCAAGTCCTAGTCAAATGCTGTTTGGGTTCACAGTGAACTCCTAGCTGAGAAAAGCCCATCAGTCCTTATTTTCATCACTTGGAAACAATATTTCCACACAAGGATGGTCGTGGTATAATATAGAAGGAAAAAACCAAGGCAACGAGGAACTCACAATCATCAAATCAGTAGATTAAAAAAATGATTTAGATAGTACATTAATTATTCATATGACATATATTTATTGATATCTACTTTATTCAAAATAGTAAGTGAGGTTCTGGAGAACAATCAGAAATCTCATTTCTGGACATGCAGTTTCATTTGGTCTAGAGTGGGATGTAGAAACAGGTCATTTTTTTTTAACTCCTGAGATGAGCCTAAGGATCAACAAGTTTGGAGTCTACTGATCTGAAACAGTGAACCTCAATCTCTGCATTGCCTGGTAGATTCAGAGAGGGAGCAATAGAATGGAATTAGAGCTAACGTGTAGAGAATTGATAATAACTCCAGTTTCTGTGCCTGCAGGATGGCATCAACAAGGCATATCGCCAGGGCAAAGAACTTTTGAACCAAATACTATGTCACTGCTTAGAAGCTGAGTGACCACGAGCAAGTCACTACACTCCACCAAAGGATAATTAATCCACCTTTCAGAGTTGTTTAAATACTCAAAGGGGATCATAACAAGGCCTCTGCCCAAGGCCAGGTCCGTCGTAACTGCTATGTTAGGCTCACCCTCCATCCTTCCTTCCTCTCACTTGGTGTGCTCTCCTTTTTTTCCCCTTTTACTTTTAGAAACTGTTTTCATTCTCCACAGCCCACATTTTCCATGAAGGCATCCCAACGCCCTCCACTCCCACCAGCAAGGCTCACTAACCTCCCTTCTCTGTCCCCCTTCAGCCCTCACATTCAGGATCACACAACCTGATACTTAATTGTTCTCCCATGACCACATGAGGATGGCTTTGCTTTTCCTGCCTGGATTCTCCCTGAACACTCGGAGAATGTTTTCTTCCATAGAGGTGCAAAAGAATTACTTGTTGGTTAGTCAGATTTCCTGTTGGGCTGCTGCCATAAAAGACGCCTAAAGAGGAGAGGAGCCTCCCTTTTCTGTGGGCATAATACAGAAGAGACCGGCCAACCCAACACCGCCACCGCCTATGGCAGGCATTAGTATTCTGAAAAAATCATCAGAATGCCAGTCTCCTTCCACCCCCACTCACTTATTTTGCTGGAAAAATGCAAAACCTGCATTTTTCCATGAACCAGATCTCACTCTATGCACGGAGTGAATGCAGTGCCTGTGTTTAGCATCCCAATGTGGTAATTATGCATTATGCTTACTCTGTAGCTAAATCTTACATTTGTATCCTAAAATACAAAGAAATGACTAAATACTCCAGGGTGTTATCTTGCCCTTCCTCTCCATTATTATTTTTTCTTCTTATCCAGATTAACCCCTGCTGAAATGGGCCTGTAAAAATAACTTGAAAGGTGAATGATGAGAAGAGGGGAATTGCAGAGACGTCCATGCCAGCCAACACATGAGCATGTGGGGAGAGGTCGCACTGTGTGTGTATGTGTGTGTGAATGCTGTGTGCCCGTGGAGAAAGCAGATTTTTTTAAATGAGGAACAAAAGCTGGGTTATGTAAGCAACACTGTTTGAAGTGGCATATGTAGCAAGAATGGAAACAAGGTATGAATATTCATAACTAACAGGGAAGAAGTGTTCATTTGCAAGGAGGAAATGGAGATAGGATTCTGAATATTGTTTAACCACAATATTATACGGGAGGCATTAGATACGTAGACCACAAAATTTATCACACAAACACAAAATTAACTAGGTTTACTGCCTAACATTTTCCCTTCTTCAACACACTAATAGCCAGTTTATTAATATTTTCACATGTTATTTGGCCAATTTGTCTTAACAAATTTGGCTCTTTCAGTCTCTCAAGACCTAAAAATGAAAGAAGAAATGACAAAAATAAAAGCCATTTACAAAAATTAACTTCAAATGAATCAAAGACCTAAATGTAAAAGACAAAACTATGAATCTTTTACAAGAAAACACAAAGGTAAATTTTTGCGACCTTGGATTTCGCAATGGATTCATAATCAATGACACCAAAAGCATAAGCAACATTAGAAAAATATAGATAAGTTGGACTTAATCAAAATTAAAAACTTTTGTGCTTCAAAGGACACTACCAAGAAAATGAAAACCCAGAGAATGGGAGAAAATATTTGCAAATAATTTATCTGATAAGGACCTTGCATCTAGAATATATAAAGAACCCTTAAAACTCAGTAATAAAAAGAGATAAGTAACCCAATTTAAAAATTCACAAAGGACCTATATAGACATTTCCAGAAAAAGATATACAAATAGTCAGTGAGCACATGAAAAGATGTTCAATATTATTAGTCATCACAAAAATGCAGATCAAAACTACAATGAGATACCACTTAATACCCACAAAATAACCATAATCAAAAAGTCAGATAACAACAAGTGTTGGTGAGGATGTAGAGAGATTGAAATCTTCGTGCACTACTGGTGGGAATGTAAAATGGTATAGCCACTTTGGAAAACAGTCCAACAGTTCCTTAGATAGGTAAAATAGAATTAACATTTTACTCAGCCATTCCACTCCTAGGTATATACCCAAGAGAAGTGAAAACATATAACCACACAAAAACTTATACCCAAGTATTCATAGCAGCATTATTTATAATAGCTAAAAGGTGGAAACCTAATATTCACCAACTGATGAATGGAGAAACAAAACACCTTCTACCTATACAATGGAATGTTATAATACATAAAAAAGAATGAAATACTGACATATGCTAAAACATGGATAAATCTTAAAAACATTATGCCAAGTGAAAGAAGCCAGTCACCAAAGATCGCACATCATATGATTTCTTTCATGTGAAGTGTCCAGAATAGGCAACTCTGTAGAGATAGAAAGTAGATTAGCGGTTGCTTATGGCTATGGAGGTTACAAGACTGTCATAGCTAAAGCATATGAGATTTTCCTTTGAGGTGATGAAAAATGTACTAAAATTGACTGTGGTGGTTGCATAACTCTGTGAACACACCAAAAGTCATTGAATTTTATAATTTAAATGGACAAATCGTGTTATGTGTATTATATCTCAATGAGCCCGTTGCAAATGAAAAAGGAAATTAGGAGAGAGGAAAAAAAAAAAAAAGGAAGAAAGCAAACTCCAGGCTCTTGGACTCTGTTAGAAAACACAAACTATCAACTGAAATTCTATCAATGAAATCATCAATGAAATGAATGCTATGAAAGAATAAATTGAAAATGATCAAATGAAACCCCTATCTCAACCACAAATCCAAGCTTGTTCAACCCACAGCCTGTGGGCCACACAAATTTGTAAACTTTCTTAAAACATTAGATCTTTTTGCAATTTTTTTTAGCTTATCAGCTATTGTTAGCATTAGTATCTCTTATGTGTGGCCCAAGACAATTCTTCCAATGTGGCTCAGGGAAGCCAAAAGATTCAACATTCCTGCTTACATTGCATAAGTCTCATTCACCATGATGTGACATATTAGTGGTGAGTTTTACATAAGTGAAATTTTCTTTTTCAGACATTTCTTTTATTGATACACAAAAAGCTGTATATATTTAATATGTACACCTTGATAAGTTTGAAGATAGGTATAAACCAAAGAAACCACTGACACAATTAATGCCATAATCATATCCCTCACCTCCAAAAGTTTCCTCCTGCTCATTTATTTATGTTTTGACTGGTTGATTGTGATAAGAACACAACATAAGATCTACCTTCTTAGCCAATTTTAAATGCCACAATACTGTTAACTATAAGTGATATGTTATACAGTAGCTCTCTGAGACTTACTCATCTCAGATAGAGATTTGATCCTCCGTACATTTGCTTTGAAAACCAGAAGCCCCCCAGTAAAGTTGATGGCAAATGGCAAACTAAGGAATAGCATTTGTCACAGTAATCAATCTCTTCAGAGTCTAAATTGACAGTATTTTCTCTTCTGCACGAAGCCAAGAACACAGGTAGAATGATCTTCCAAAATTTAATTGGGCAATCAGCAGATCTTGAGAATGAGATCAAATGACCACATTTTAACATTGGAATCAAGCATAGCAAGGACAAAGACTAGATCTATTTTAACATACTCACAGTATTTAGAAAATTAGCCCAGAATGAATCCTAAACCAGTTGTTCTCAGATTGTCCTGCAGGCTCCTGTGGGGAGCTCCAATGTAAACACACAACAGATTTTCTGGCTCTTGGGGAAAAAAAATCTATTGCCTTAGGTCAGAGATAAAGTTAGATTTTTTTCATCATGTAGCATTAGATTATAGATTTCAACGTGTTCCAGTTCCTCCCCTCTGTTGCAACCAGAGAAGCTCCACTTCTACTTGGTTTAAATGCAGTTTCTGCTTACAGAAGGAATTCTGTAGCTTAAAAAAAAAAGAATGTTGAAACCTGTACAACTAGACCATTTTAATTCGCAGAGCATCCTGAGTTGTTCCAGCCTCACAAGAATTTCTGCCAAAAAAAAATTAAATAATGAGTTGCAATAAAGGCCAAATTTTATCCACAGAGGAAACATCACAAGTTCACAGAAGACCTATTTCCTATAAAGGACTCCCCACCCCAATATTTCTGGAAGTCTCCTGGAAGTGTTTTGCATAAGCTCAAGGATAAATCACCATTTATTCATTCAGCAAGCATAGACTCTGAGTGGCACAACACAAGGGTCAGCTGGGCTTTCGGTAAGGATGTCCGGCTCCGTCCTCACCCTTGACCTTCACTGTTTTGTCAGCAAGATCTCCACCTCCAAGCATGAGGGAGAGGGCATCTTTCCAGTCACTTTTGACCAGTGATTGTTTTAAAAATGCCTTTACCCCTTTGCTAGAGGAAATATGATTCTCCCTAATTTTTCCAATGTTAACACATAACAGATTTTCTGCCTCCTGGGGAAAAAGTAATCTGTATTGCCTTAGGTCAGCGATAAAGTTAGATTTTTTTCATCATGCAGCATTAGATTATGGATTTCAAATTAATGGCATTTCACCTGTTTGCAGAAGAAACAGGCTTTAAAAATCTGGCTTTCAAAATGAGCTATTGCTGGTTTCATATGGCATCTAACTAGCAATTTAGATGCTAGTGAAAACTGGTCTCTCCCAACTTTCCCCTGAAACACCCAAGGAGACTCAGAGAACAATGAACCCTCAGACAGACCGCCCATCTAATGCCAGAGCATGTACAGCAGTTGCATTAACTCATGAGAGAAGTTCAATATTTGTGGATCTGAAACAAGATTTGGTGGTACCAAGGCAACATTTTGTGATTGAAAAAGCTGCAACCCTCCTACCCTGCTTCATGGACCTATGCCTCTTCCAGCCATAACTTGAACAGGTATTCCTCTGCCTTGCCCATTCTGGGCACCAAAATGTTAGAGTAAACCAGCCTTTTCAGAAGGGACCTAGGTAGAAAAGATTGAATATTTAGATTTTTATCCCTATATTTGTATGTTTGGCCATATGGCTTCTATATGCTTTTGGCCAATATTATGGTGAAAATTATCCTAAGTTTAAATTTTAACAGAAGGAATTCCATTTTGTTCACTGATGCATGCCCAGTACCTAGAATAGTGTCTGGCACATAGTAGACAATTAATATTCATTGTTTGGATGTTGTATATAATTAGTTTTTAAAAATCAGTAGGGTTACATTTGGCTTCTGGTCACATTTGCGCCATAATTTTTGAAGGAAATTTAGGCACAGAATTCTTTAATAATTGTCACATAAATAATTTCATTAAAAATTTTGTTATGAAATTCATCAAAAACTTAGAATAATAAAAGCAAGAGTTTGTTGGGAGAGGGAATAATGCATTTAATAAGAAACAAACAAAAATAGCTTTTGTCGGTTGGTAACCTTTAGGATACATCCCCCAGTCCTCTCCCCCCTCACCCAAACAAGTGCTAACAAGCTGGGTCATTTGCCAGGGCAGAGCTGCACGCTATCAATGCTGCTGACACTTTGAGGAAGAATAAATAATTACTTTTTAGAGCTATGCATTAATTCAAGCATTTGGGAAAATTCAATTTGTAAAAAATAAAGAATGAAATGGGAACCCCCCTGTGATGGTTAACACTGAGTGTCGACTTGATTGGATTGAAGGATGCAAAGTATTGATCCCGGGTGTGTCTGTGAGAGTGTTGCCAAAGGAAATTAACATTTGAGTCAGTGAGCTGGGAAAGGCAGACCCACCCTCTATCTGACTGGGCACCATCTAATCAGCTGCTAGTGCGGCTAGAATATAAAGCAGGCAGAAAAACGTGAAAAGACTAGACTGGCCTAGCTTCCCAGCCTACATGTGTCTCCTGTGCTGGATGCTTCCTGCCCTCGAACATCAGACTTCAGGTTCTTCAGTTTTGGGACTCAGACTGGCTCTCCTTGCTCCTCAGCTTGCAGACACCCTATTGTGGGACCTTGTGATCCTGTGAGTTAATACTTAATAAACTCCCCTTTATATATATCCTATTAGTTCTGTCCCTCTAGAGAACCCTGACTAATACACCCCCCAAAATAGTGTTTAATATCAGGATAGAAAGTATAGAGATGAAGATTTGGCAAACAGAACAGTGTATGGAAAGATAATGAGTTAAAACCTGGAAAAAATGCCAACTGTACAGTGCTGTGTGGCCAGCATACACTGGGTTTTCTACCTAGGAAAGGGGCTATTGCACTTCACACACCTATTACCACGTGTTTTCCTCTATCCAGAAAAGGTGGAGAACACTCACTAACCTTCTGGTGCTGATTCTAAAGGAAGTAACTTACTTGTTTTAGGAAGGTGGTTGGAGGTTTAAATGTACATGGAGGCCTGGCATCATGCTTCATGCTTGTAATCCCAGTGCTTTAGGAGGCCAAGGAGGGAGGATAGCTTGAGGCCAGGAGTTAGAGACCAGCCTGGGCAACAAAGCAAGACCCTGACTCTACAAAAAATTTAAAAATTAGCCAAGCATGGTGGCGCACACCTGTAGTCCCAGCTACTCAGGAGGCTGAGATAGGAGGGTCGCTTGAGCCCAGGAGGTTGAGACCTCTGTGAGCTATGATTGTGCCACTGCACTCTAGCCTGGGTGACAGAGCAAGACCCTGTCTCTAGAAAAAAATAAAAAATAAGTGCACATGGAGTTAGAGGTAGCTCTGGGGACTAGCCTTTCTCTTTTCTCCCTGCACCCAACTCCCATGATTCTTATGTCTAAATTGCTTTATTCCTTCACTCTCTCAGTTCTCAGACAACCACAAAGAAGTAGCCTAAAACATGTTTAATTCCTCTACTTAAAGGCACTTGCCTAGGTCCAGCTTGCCAAATTAGTAAACCAATCATTTCATGCAGTGACTTCTGTCCCAGCACAGACCTCCAGTTACCAGAAGACGAGGCTACCTACAAATTCCAAACCCAGAAAAAGGGTCTCATGTGAATGTGAGGAAACAGCCGCTACGGCCTGAGAACCATCTGCATCCTGGTCTTGGGGGTTTGCCCTCTCTGAGTGCTAAGAAAATTACAGGTGGAGAAGGAAGCATTCAGCTTTATTGCTGTGCGTTAACTCATCACAATGTGATAGAAAAGGGTGGCCTTGGACTACCGATGGCAGCAGGGAAGTTATCTATCCTATGGTGAAAATCCAGCCCTACCAAATCCACAATCCTACCAAGTCTTGGTAGAAGCTCTTATACCTCAATACAAGTTGGAAAATGAATTGGAAAAATGAATTTTCTGAACATCATTTTCACGGAGGAGAAAAAAATGACAGCAGGTTATTGTCCCCAAAAGTGGCTTTTCCTGACTTCCAAAAATAAAATACAAATGAAAATGTGAGAGGGGGGAATATTCAACCACATCGAAAACTAAGATTTTCTACCACCCTATTACTGGAGTTTGGAAAGAATGTTCTCTAACTCTAAAGTTGATAGGTTTGGATTGGAAAATGCAATCTGTGTCTTATCTGGGGGTGCTGATTTGCCACAAAATGAGAAGAGCTTGCCTTCTTCTTGATCTTTTTATGTGCCTGATTGCCAAAACTCCAAATTTGGGATTATATAGCTTTATCTTCCTTTGGGATGAATAGGCAAACAAAACAAAAACAGAAACAAAATATGCCCATGAAAAAAACTACTACCAGAGGGTAAAGAATGCCAAACATGATGCTGAAAACGGAGGAAAAACAAGCCTCCAAAATGGATTTCCTTCAGAAAGCAAAGAAAATTATTACAAACTGTCAACCTCAACAGGATAGAAGAAGCAGGAAAAATAGAGAATAAAAGATTCTAAGATGAGGGGGAGATGAATGAGATGAGAAAGGCATTTAAGAAAACTGAAAATCTAACAGCAGAACTCAAAATAACAACAATTAGGAGAAAAAATGAAAAATTCAGAAAATCAAATCTGTGATCAGAAGGATAATATTAAAAAAGCTCTTAGGAACACACAGAGAAAGAGAATGAAGAAATGAGAAATGACAAGAAATAAGATGATGAGTGTTTAGGACAGAGATTAGAGAGTTCACTGAGTAATTATTTGGTGTTCCTAAGGAAGAAAATGGAAGAACGGATCAATAACGAATCATTCATGAATGTAGAATACTTTCTAGACCAAAAAAATACTGAGGAATCCAACTCAATAAGTTACATTGCATTCCTGGAAAAATTAGATTACATTCTGACAAATGCTTAATTTACAAGAACTGCAAAGAAAGAGAAAACCCAAGCCTCTGAGTAGAAAAGTGGGTTACATGCAAAGAACAAAAAATCAGGCAGATCTCAGTCACTTCTCTGTGACATTAAATAGTAAAAACAAAATATTGGCAGAATTTTGGGGGGAAATTGTAACATAAGAATTTTATCACATGTAAGAAGCTCTTGCAGTGTGAAGTCAATATAAACATAGTTCCAGATTTGTATTGATTCTGAAAATATATTAATCCTTTACATCTATTTTAAAAGGTATATATTTCATCTAAATGAGAAAGTTAAACAAAAAAACTCAAGAGTGTAAGTTTTATGGTATCAAAAAGTCAGGCAGTAACAACTGATAGCTCTTAGTTTAAATAACTGTTTAAAATTTACTTAATGACACCAAAAGCAAATCTCAATTTTATATATAAAAAAGAAGATACAGACTACAAATGTGATTTAATTAAAATCTTAGTGAAAAACTTAAAATTATATTATGAAACCCAGGAATGAAATTGATTATGATAGAAAAAAGGTTTTCACGTTTCACAGTTTTTTTTTGTTTTTTGTTTTTCTTTTTTGAGACAGAGTTTCACTCTTATAGCACAGGCTGGAGTGCAATGGCACAATCTCCGCTCACTGCAACCTCCACTTCCCGGGTTCAAGCAATTCTCTTGCCTCAGACTCCCAAGTAGCTAGGACTACGGGCCCATGCCACCACACTGAGCTAATTTTTGTATTTTTAGTAGAGACGGGATTTCACCATGTTGGCCTGGCTGGTCTGGAACTCCTGACCTCAGGCCATTCACCCACCTCGGCCTCCCAAAGTGCTGGGATTACAGGTGTGAGCCACCACGCCCAGCCCCACAGTTCTTATTATAAGGTGGACTCAAACAATTGTTCTCATTCTTGATTTTGATGTAAGATAATAACAATTTTTATTTTAAAAAAATTTAAAGATAATAACAAAATAAAATACACTATATATGACCTTCAAATCAGTGAAGATAAATGCAAACACATCATGATATGATCTTACTTTTAGTTTTTAAAATGCCTATTAAAATTCTATGTGTAACGTGAAATGTATTTTTTAAAAATTTCAATGTTAAAATAAGCGTATATTAATTTTAAGTACAAAAAAATTTTAAGAGTTGTCGCTCATGCATAAATGGAAAAAAATTGCGTTGACGTTTTCCAATCAATTGCCAGTGACTGACATTTGTTTGCTATCTGAAACTCACCATCAGAACTGTCCTTCTGCGCAGGCTCAAACAACCCGTGAGAAAATGGCTTTGTGTAAACTTCCAGTTGGAGTCTTTGAAAAATGTAATCTGTGTGGCCTTAAACAACTATTTGCACATTTACTGAGGTTATATAGAGGGTTCTTCTTTTTTTGAATTCTAGAATGGCGATTGCTCCTGTGCCCATGTTTTTATTAGGTATGGGCTCTTAGAGGCTAGAAATTATTATTTTTTAATTTCCACTACCTAGTCCAGAGCCTAGGTATATGTTTGTTGAATTTAAGTGAAATGAATTGCTATAAAGTTATTTTGCCAGATGGTTGTTGCCATCAGCATGTTCATTTCCATTATTGGTCAAAAAGTATCAACATCACAGCCTCATGTTTCTTTAGTTGCCTCTTTAGCCATTTTAAACAATTCTTCCCTCTATATTTTTTTGACTTTATTCACACCTGTAAAACCCAGGTGGTGTCTGTTACTATATATGCATTTAATCATCCATAGCTTAAATGAGCCATAGTCGTGAAGCTGCATTTTCTGCTCAAATTTAAAACTCTTTCTCCATCACCTGTATGTATTTAGTTTCTGAATTTTCCCCTCAAGTTCTATGGATCTGAATTAATTTTAACTTCTTTGGAAAACTTGCTTAAGCAAACAGTTTAAACATGGCTTGCGTTTCCCACACTTTCAGGCCTTTTCTCCTGCTGTTCACTTGGCCCAAGCATCCATTCCCCAGTATGTGTGTACTCATCTGAATGCAGCTGCTGCCTCCTCAGTGTAGCTTCTCCTTCACCTATGGCTTTCCACTGCACATTGCACAGTCATGACAACGCTTATCAGGTAGGGCAGGACCCGTGTCTCCTTCATCCCCAGTCCCCTTGCTTAGAACACTACGACCCACATGCATTCAGTAAACCAGTATTTACCGAGAGCTGGTTGCGGCCCTCTGCCAGACCTCCAGGATATAGCAATGAACAGGTAAACATGGTACTATCCTCATGGAGCTCCCAAGCTTAACTAATAAATAAGATAACAGTTTGGGTTTTTAAATGTAAACATTTGTTATCTCACACAGTATTTAAAAAAAATTTTTTTTTGAGATAGGGTCTCGTTCTGTCATCTAGGCTGGAGTGCAGTTGGCACGATCACAGATCCCTGCAGCCTTGAACTCCCGGGCTCAAGCAATCCTCCCACTTCAGCTTTCAGAGTAGCTGGGGCTACTGCAGGCATGCACCACCATGCCAGGTGAACTTCTTAAATTTTTTGTAGAGACAGGATCTCGCCTTGTTGCCCAGACTGGTCACAAACTCCTTGTTTCAAGCAATCCTCCTGCCTTGGCTTCCAAGAATGCTAGGATTACAGACATGACCTCCACACCCAGCATTAAGGTAACAGTTTCGACAGAGCAGTGGCCAAAATAAACGGAGTGGTATCCATGAGATGTAGGATGGTCTACTTCAGATAGAGTGGTCAAGGTAGGGCTACTTCAGGAGAAGTTAGGCCAAGGTCTGAAGACAAGAAGGAACCAGCCATGTGGAAAGCTAGGTAAGTTTGCATCCCAGACAGACAGAAGAGTGTGTGTGAAGGCCCTGAGGATGGCATGGGCTTTCTCTGTTCAAGGACAATAAACAGAGCCAGTGTGGCTGGACCAGAGGGTGAGAGTCCTCAACAAGGGAGAAGAGTAGCATGAGCTAGTCAGTTATGCAGGGGACCCAGATAATGCGGCCCAGCAGTCATTGGGGAGTTTTGTAGTAGGCAGGGAAGCCATTAGCCATAGGTTCCAATTTAAGGTTTTTAAATACGAAAGTGACATGACCTCATTTCCGTTTTTAAAAGATCACTGTGGAAGTGGATTGACATGAGATGTATTTTCCTTGGACAGTGGTGCCATTTACTAAAATGGGGAAGAAGGAGAAGCATGTGTGTATTCGTCTGTTTTCACGATGCTAATAAAGACATACCCGGCCGGGCGCGGTGGCTCACGCCTGTAATCCCAGCACTTTGGGAGGCCGAGGCGGGCGGATCACGAGGTCAGGAGATCGAGACCATCCTGGCTAACACGGTGAAACCCCGTCTCTACTAAAAATACAAAAAATTAGCCGGGCGTGGTAGTGGGCGCCTGTAGTCCCAGCTACTCGGGAGGCTGAGGCAGGAGAATGGCGTGAACCCGGGAGGCGGAGCTTGCAGTGAGCCGAGATCGCGCCACTGCACTCCAGCCTGGGCGACAGAGCGAGACTCCGTCTCAAAAAAAAAAAAAAAAAAAAAAAGACATACCCAAGACTGGGTAATTTACAAAGAATAAGAGGTTTAATGGACTCACAGTTCCACATGGCTGGGGAGGCCTCACAATCATGGCAGAAGGTGAAGGAGAAGTAAAGGCACGTCTTACATGGCAGCAGGCAAGAAAACATGTGTAGGGGAACTGTCCTTTATAAAACCTTCAGATCTCATGAGACTTACTCACTATCAGGAGAACAGCATGAGAAAAACCCGCTCCTATGATTCAATTACCTCTTACCAGGTCCCTCCTATGACACATGGAGATTATGGGAGCTATGATTCAAGATGAGATTTGGGTGGGGATGCAGCCAAACCCTATCAATGGGCTTTGGAGATAGCTGAGTTTTGGACATAATATGTTTGAACATGGAAGTCTCAAGTAGGCAGGTGGGTAAGTGAGCTTAAGTTTCATGGCAAATGTCTAGCTCAGAGATTTAATTTGGGTGATATTTGCATATATATGTATTCAAGATTATGGGAGAAGAACAGATCATTTAGAAAAGAATGGAATAGGGACCCAGGCCACTTCCTGGGGCACTCAAACATTTGTAGGTCTGATAGAGGAGGGAAAACTGGCAAATGAGCCCAAGAAGGAGGGCCCAGTAAGGTGGGGAACTGTGACTTGGAAGAAAACAAAAGTAGAATATTTCAGAAGGACTAAACAACTCACTGAGTGGAATTCTGCTGGGAAAGTGAGCAAATCAGGGTGGAAGAGGTTCTTCTGAGCTGGTCAATGGGAGGTTGTTGGTGGCTTTGTCAAAGCAGTTTCAATGGCATGATGGAAACAAAAGTCAGAGTGAATGGATTGCAGAGGGGGCTGGAGGTGAGGAAGGAAAGAAGAGAGAGTTGGCCCTGGAGAGAAATTTTGCTGCCTAGGAGGTTGGAGAAATAATTTCCTCTCCATATCCATAAGGCATACAAAACAGGTTTTGTTTTTGTTTTGTTTTGTTTTGTTTTTTAGATGGAGTCTTTCTCTGTCGCCCGGGTTTGAGTTCAGTCGTGCGATCTCGGCTCACTGCAACCTCCACCCCCCAGATTCAAGTGATTCTCATGCCTCAGCCTCCCAAGTAGCTGGGACTACAGGCATACACCATCACGCCTGGCTAATTTTGTTTTTTAGTAGAGATGGGGTTTCATCATGTAGGCCAGACTGGTCTTGAACTCTGGACCTTAGGTGATTCACCTGCCTCGGCCTTCCAAAGTGCTGGGGTTACAGGCGTGAGCCACCGTACCCAGCCAAAACAGAGGTTTTGAACACACTGTAGTATTTCTTTTTCCAGTCCACTTAAAATTTATGAGGAATCAACTGACCAAATAGCAATACTTATAATAAATGGTTTGAGTGTGGGAGAAACCTTCCGTTACTTATACTGCTTTTTTGTTAGTTTTTGTACTCTCCTACATAGCTAAATTAATAATAGGTGACATTCTGTAATTAAAATTTGCCAATCAAAATATACTATTTTAATACCATACTCAAAACTACCTGTGATGCAGGTGCTCCGACTATCCCACTTTATATACAAGGATCCAAGTCTTAGAGAGTTAAGAGACTATACCAGATAATGGAATAAGTACCACTTGTTACAGGCAGCACTGAGACCCAAGTTCTGACTTCAGAGTCCGCCATTCCTAACCTCCGAGAAATAAGAGTTGGAGACAAGAAAGAAAGTATGAATGACATAAGATAAACACTAGAATTTTTGCCATCCCCATCAAAGAAAAGTGGTCTTTCCCAATTCATTAATAATTTTAGTAACAAGATGAAACTCCTTGTTGAATAATCTTCAGCAGTAATTTAAATAATTCTTCTGGTAGTTGAGAAGAAATGAATGGAGGCAGTAGGTGTGATCTTTTTTTTTTTCTTAATGCGAGTGGGAAAGGAACTTAGGAAATGCCATCCACCTCCCACTAAATCTGGAATATTTAAGACGAAATGTTCTAAATATGAGTGTCTAAATACGCCCAAGACATTCATAAGGGAAGTGTCTCAGTGGAAGTAGTCAATTAAGGTTTACTGAATTTATGACTATGTGCTTATGTCAATAGTTTCTAGGCATATTTTTTTAAAAAGTAGATTCTCTAAACACTAGACTAACCGGAGCCCTGCATTTCATCAGCGTTGAAGGCAAGGTTCTAGGAGAAAAACTGAGTCTTGTCCTTTGCCTAAGAGATCACTAAATGTGTACACATCAGGAAAAGACAAAGAAACCTGGAACATAAGTCCTCACAGGACGGAGGGACCACAAGACAGAACACTCTTGGCTTTCTGTACCAATAGCTGTTCTGCCCATTCTGAGAGCAAAGAGACACAACTCAACTCTCTGGAGTGTTTCAGGCAGCCAGCCATTCGCTCATCTATGCATTTAGTCATCTTGAAAGTGATTTCAAGTTTTTGCAAAGTGCACAGCATTGCAAAAGAAGCAGTCCTAGCTCTTGAGTTTACAGACTTCACAAAGAAATGGTTTCCTTTGCTGATTCGCCAAGTCCCATAGGAATGATAGACACTAAAACAGGATGGTGAGAGAACTCAAAAGAGAGAAGTGACATAATGTGCAAGACTTCATATCAACAGCATAGCATAAATGGTTTTTAATCTTTGAAATTTTAAGGCAGGTATGTGCCCACTGTTTAAAGTAGAAAGGTAATAAATAATTCCCTCAGAGAGCACTGGTATTCCTGGGTATACGTATATACAGTTGAGATATAATATACAGACAAATTTCTCTTTTTTCATTTAATGGTACGTTGTGTTTTGTACCACATTATGTAATTTCTAACGTTATTAAAAATTATTCTTATATATAGACCATTTTTTTCTAAATAGTAACTTTTAAAAATAAAAATCAGCTCATTACAATGACTTTTTCTTTTCTTTTCTTTTCTTTTTTCCAGGAATAACTTTCTTCTATCTTCACCTTCCCTTTTGGCTACAGCCTTAAGAAGAAGTGGCAGAAAAACATCTGAGATGAAGAGAGACCCTAGGTTCCTGACATGTCCAGCCTCTGAGTCATAGAGGTCATATAAAAAAGTAAGAGAGAGAAAATTGTGAGAGATAGGCTGCCCTAAGAGTGGAAGGCATTGAATGTTACACACAGTTTGGAGTCATTTGCAGACAATGGGTATTAACCTTTAGTTTTGGTCATGAATAAATAGCTTATTGGGAATATTAGCCTGGTAATGTGCAGTAAGGATTAAAAAGAGAAAGAGAACAGAAGCAGAAGACATTTATGAGTTTATTGATTTGGCACATTTCCAGAGGACAATTCAGTGACATATACCAACATGTACAACAGATTTATCTTTTGACCCAACTTTTTCACTCTTAGGAATTGTGTTTAAAGATGTATGTGCAAGGGTGTTCATTTTAAATAACAATATTTAAAATATTTATTTAAAATAGAGAAAACACTTTTATATCAAATCTCCAACAATAATTCACTCACTTCTATGACTGCAAAGGCATTTCCCCCAAATCCAATTAGTCATCTGATAGTCTTTGATTTTTTTTTTTTTTTTTTTTTTTTTTGAGACAGAGTCTTGCTTTCGCCCAGGCTGGAGTGCAGTGGGTGATGTCGGCTTACTGCAAGCTCCGCCTCCTGGGTTCACGCCATTCTCCTGCCTCAGCCTCCCGAGTAGCTGGGACTACAGGCACCCACCACCACACCCGGCTAATTTTTTGTATTTTCAGTGGAGACGGGGTTTCACCGTGTTAGCCAGGATGGTCTCGATCTCCTGACCTGTGATCCACCCACCCTGGCCTTCCAAAGTGCTGGGATTACAGGTGTGAGCCACTGCACCTGGCCAGTCTTTGAATTTAGGTTCTCAATAGTCCCCATAAAATCAAGTGTAGAGTTGTGGTATGGATTTTTGTCATAGCAGAACAATTGTGAGCTCTGGAGTGAAAAATCTGCTTTCAGTCCTAATCTGCCACTTGATAGGTGTCTGAATTTGGTAAGCCACTTGATATGGTTTGGCTGTGTCCCCACACAAATCTGATCTTGAATTTCCATGTGTCATGGGAGGGACCTGGTGGGAGGCAATTGAATCACGGGGGCAGGTCTTTCCCGTGCTGTTCTAGTGATAGTGATAGTGAACAAGTCTCATGAGATCTAATGGTTTTAAAAACAGGAGTCTCCCTGCACAAGCTCTCTGTCTTCTCTTGTCTGCCACCGTGTGAGACATGCCTTTCACCCTCTGCCATGATTGTGAGGCCTCCCTAGCCATGTGGAACTGTAAGTCCAGTAAACCTCTTTCTTTTATAAATTGCCCAGTCTTGGGTATATCTTTATCAGCAGCATGACAATAGACTAATATACCACTTAACCTCTTTAAATTTGTTTGATATGTAAAATAGGAATAATATGATATTTTTTCTTTGGTTATTGTGGAATTGAACAAAAATAAAAGGCCTTTCTTTACTTAATTTTTGCCTCACCAGATTAGGAATTTCAGATAAGGAATATCAGTACTTAAAATAGATTTTTTGCCTTAATGAAATAGGAATATACCCACAATTTACTGCCTAAGATGCTAAAATGTTTTTTCTTTATAATTAGTCTCTTTGGAATAAACCATAGAATCATTTTTTCCCAATATTATAAAGCCTTCCAATTTTCATAAGTGCATATACAAATTAAAGAGGATCTCACCTCAATTATGAGTACTTAAGATAACATAATTATGTTATTCATGTGACCTACCTTGATCTTATATTCAAATCCATGGTGTATTTTCCAAAAAAGAAGGCCTAACTTTTTTAGGTTCATCTAAAACATTTTGCTCATGGAAACAAAATCCTACTTAGCATTTTTACCTTCAGGCAAAGAAATAGGGAATCCTATTTGCCCTTTACTGTCCTCCTTCATGCCCTAAATATTAGACTCATTAGGGAAACAAATTCACATGCTTGGAAGCAAGTAACTACTGTGCTTGGTCATAAATGCTATTTTATTAACATGAGATTTAATGTTATTCCTCCAAATGTTATCCAAATATGTAGCAAAACTCTTTCTTTTTTCTATAAGATTTAAGGACCATTACAAGCCTAAAGACTCAAAATTGGCAATAGTAAAATTGCTACACACTCCATCTTTTCCTTTCACATTTAATTCTCTCTCTTTCTCACTTATTTTCCTTTGAAGATAAAGAAACAGATAAGGTCATGTTTGGGGGCAAACAACATAAGGTGTTGACAATAAATTGCAAAAATTGGGACATGGATCTTAAGATAAAAGTGGTGTCATGGTGGATCTTTGAGAGTTGAAAATAACCTTTCATCAATCTGAGAGCTACATCTAAAAAATAGTGCACATAGAATTATAGATGAGCTAAATTTTTCTAGGTGTATATGTCTTCAGAGGGGTCAAGCTGGTGGATGAACTCAGTTGTGCTGACTCCTTGAGGTGTATGGTGACCCAGGACGGGCGGTTGGAAAATGTGGCTGTGATTCTTGGAGAGGTAATGAATAAGGGAAAAGCTGGAAGAGCAAAATGGCTCACAGTGCCTGATGATTGTGCCACATGCCTGGAAGAAGAGGTAACAGTGTTTCAAAAAAATTCTGAGTGGTCTCTGGAGGGTGCAAATGAGTGAGTGTTCCGCAGACTGAAAAAAGACATTTTTTAAAAAAACAAGTTTAAGGTGGCATAATTTACATACAATACAATGCACCTTTTGAAAAATTAAACTTTTTTTGAGATAATCGTATATTCACATGCAGTTGTAAGAAATAAAACAGAAAGATTCTATGTACCATTTACTCAATTTCTCCCAATGGTAAAATAGTAAAATATTGCAATATCACAACCATGATATTGACATTGACACAGTCAAGATAAAGAGCAGCTCTATCAGCACAAGGGTCCCTCATGTAGCCTCTATATAGACACACACCCCCTTCCTCTCCCCACTTCCTCACTCTCACTCTCTCTGATGTCTGCCAACCACTAATCTGTTCTCCATTTCCATAATTTTTTTCATTTCAGGAATGCTATTTAAATGGAATCACATAGCATGTGATATTTTAGGGTAGAGCTTTTCATCTAGGATAATTCCCTGAAAATTAATCTAAGCAGTTGTAGCAACAGTTCATTCTTTTTTATTGCTGAGTAGTTTTTCATGGTAGGAATGCACCACAGTTTGCTTCAGCAATCACCCACTAAAAGACAAAATGTATGAATTTTAAGGTTACATTTTTGATGAGTTTTGACAAATTAATACACCCATGGAATCATCACCACAATCAAGGAAAAGGACATTTACCCGAGATAAATGAAAATATATGTCCACCTACAAATGATGCAGGTGCTTGTAGCAGTTTAATTCATAATACCTAAAAATTAGAAACAATCCAAATGTCCAACCACAGGTAAATAAATACATAAATCAATCATGATATATCTACATGATACAATACTACCAGCAGTAAAAAGCAACGACCTTCTGATGCACACAACATGGATGAATCTCAACAACATCACAGTGAAAAAAAGCAAGACATAAAAAAGCAATATGCTCTGTGCTTCCATTCATGTGGATTTCTGGAAAAGATCAGACCTATAGTGTCAGAAAGCACGTCAGTGATTGCCTAGGGCTGGGTGAGATGAGGGGCGGGGGTATTGGCTGCAAAGGGGCACAAGGTTTTTTTGTAGTTTAAGAAAACATTTTTGGGCTGGGTGCGGTGGCTTACGCCTGTAATCCCAACACTTTTCGGGAGGCCAAAGTCAGGAGTTCAAGACCAGCCTGGACAACATGGTGAAACCCCGTCTGTACTAACATTACAAAAATTAGCCAGGCGTGGTGATAGGCCCTGTAATCCCAGCTACTTGGGAGGCTGAGGCAAGAGAATCGCTTGAACCTGGGAGGCAGAGGTTGCAGTGAGCTGAGATCACGCCATTGCACTCCAGCCTGGGCGACAAAGCGAGAGCTTGTATTAAAAAAAAAGAAGGAAGGAAGGAAAGAAGGAAGGAAAACATTTTTTAACTCTAAATGTGGGGAGATTCTGTTGCTTAGAATAAAAGGGCCTTAATTTCTCAGAAAACAAGGAACTGGTGGAAAAAAAATTTGTTTATGGAGGATAGAAAACCTCTATAGAGGTTTAAGGAACCAAGGCATGGAAGACTAATGAAGCCCAAAAGTGAAAATAGATGAAACTTAGAAGAAACCAATGAAAGCTTCAAACAGCAGAAAGCTGATTGGAGCAATATAACACCAGGGTCGTGACCTATCTGATGTCAAGTATGTAATATGTGAACCCCTCCTTCCTGGTTTGTGATCTTTACACAGCCATGTGCACTGTTCCTCTTTGAGCCTGCAGGAGAACTTAGCCCAGTAAACACAGAATGAAAGAGCACTGAGATGGCAGGAGAGTTCTTTGACAGGAAAATTCTCTAACTATCTGATTCCACAAATTGGCAAGACACAAAATTACTTCTACTAGCAGAAAACAAAAAAGGAATAATTACCTTGTTTTTCTTTGGACACTTCTATGACAGAACACAAAGTGACATTTTCCACTGTGCTTTCCACTGCTTGGAGCCCTCTCTATACCTCCAGAAAGTATTAGTGTTGATATAGTAAATGGCATGCTCTGGTAGAAAGAAGCTCTTATAGCACAATATGTATGCCCACATCCCTGCCATGCCTAAGGAGACAGTACTAACCTGAGTTATATAGAGAGAGACACTGGAGCAAAAACAATGAAAGACAATAGGACTGGAAACATTAGTTGAGTCTGAGAAGAACAAAAGAAGGCAAGCTCAAAGCCAGCTGAGAGTAGGACTGAACACCAATTCCAGGGGACCTGAAGGTAGGTGTGAAATGAGATATGGTTACTGGAAGTCAGAAGTGGGGAAATACACTAAAGTAACTGGGAAGAAAGCTGGAAGAAAATTGCAATTGGGGAGAATTATCAGTAGATGCTAAAATTATTGGGTAAAATGTGGTTCTAGAATAGGATATAGGCACAATGTAAAGTATCCCTCCATAGATTGCTTATTATTTGTAAGTGAAAAATGTACCTTTTCACTGGAAAGCCTCGTTAGTGGTGACAACATTACCAAGTGTTTAAAGTTAGCACCATCATAGTAGGACAGATTGACAAGGATGTGATGCGTCTGATATTGATGCGATGCAATGTGAAGTCTCCATATCACCCATGAAGTGTTCTTGCCAAAAATGTTCAGCCTAAATCTCATGAGACCTAGTTTTTGTGGAAACGCAAAGGACAGCAGAATAAATACAATGACACGATAGGAAAAACTGACAAATCTAAAGTGTAAGATACTCTGTAAGAGGATACGCTTGGACCTCACAAATCGTAATAGTGATTGTAATCCATTGATAGATAAAAAGAAGGAAGTATTTTACCTTTTAATACTGTAAGGCATAGAAAGAGTTAATGAACAAGTTAGAACCTGGATGACTAAAGAAGAAACTCCAGACAGACTCTTACCCAATTGCTTAATGAGAAAAAAATCAGAGATTAAGACTAGCGCCTCAGCCAGGCAGTGGGGCTCATACCTGTAATTCCAGCACTTTGGGAGGCCAAGGTGGGAGGATTGCTTGAACCCAGGAGTTTGAGACTAGCTGGATTTAGAGACCAACCCTGTCTCTATAAAAAAAAAAAAATACAGAAACTGGCTGGACATGGTGGCATGCGCCTCTAGTCCTAGCAACTCAGGAGGCTGAGATGGGAGGATTGCTAGAGGCTGGGATGTTAAGGCTGCAACGAGCTGTGATCGCGCCACTGAACTTCAGCCTGGGTGACAGAGCGAGACTCTGTCTCAAACAAAAACAAAAACAAAACAAAAACAAAAAATGGAGCCACAGTATGTGGCATTTATGAAATAGAATTAAGCATAAGTTAACTAAACAATTAAAGACATAAGTTTTTATTCAACATAAGAATTCATTCATTTTCAACTCATCTTTTTGTGGTCCTTAAAAAATCTCACATAAAAGACAACCCTTCAAATATTCTTGTAGCTTACCCCTCCCCTCAAAACACGTGGTAGATCACAACTCATTCCAGTAAACAAGATTCTGAGGCTCAGAGAGGGCACCTTACAGAAAAATCTGTTAATTCAATGTAATCGGCCCATATATTCTGCATCAGATAGCCACTGTAGGCAAACCTCAAGTCCCAGGTGTCTTTTGATGAAATAACTCAGGACTGCTCCCTCTAATGAGCACAATTTTGACTTCAATGTTTTATTAACAAAATTTTAAAATATACAGAATATTTTATACTGATACAGAATAAAAGAATACTTCAGAGAATGCCTGTGTACCCTCCTCTTAGGTTCAAGAATTAACATTTTGCCAAATTTGATTTATATAGTTATATTGGAAAATTCCCTTCCATAAGCATACTATAATTTTTATATCTAAGAAAGTAAGACTAATTCTATAATATCATATAATCTCCAATGAATATTTAAGTTTCTCCAACTGACACAACTAATATATTTATAGGTTTCCCTCCAGAGTCAGGTTCTAATCAAGACTTACTCAATGCATTCTTTATATGTGAGTCGATGTCTTTCATCTCTTTACTCTGGATTTGTCTTTTCATTTTGGCTTATTGTCTTTTCTTTTAAAAGTCTTCATGAAATTGACATATTGAAAAATCCAGGTAAGCTGCCCTGCCCATAAGGAGATGGCTTGGCTGCATGGAGGGACCAGGGCTTTGGTAACCACAGCAAGTGAGGCCCCCATAGCCACCTGTGGCTGAGAGTGAGCAGTGTCTACCCCCAACATGGAGGGTCTATCATGATGAGACCCAGAACAAAGAGATTTCTTTTGCTGTCACCTATAAACAGCCCAGTTCACTCCTATAATCATAGAGAGGGTGATAAACTCATAAAATAGACGGAGATTGGATCTCCAGTCAACTCAGCCAGTGGATGCCAAGTTAGGTTCAAGTGATTTAGAAAATTAAGGGAGGTTTGCATTGAAGATGGTGGCCTGAGCATCTGTGTTTTCTCATTTGCTTCCAGAAATCCCACTGAAGTAACAAAACAGACAGACAGAGGGGATCAATAGGAAACCACAGGGAGAACAGAAAGGGAGGACCACAGTTCAGAGCTCTGAGGAATTTGTGCAGTTTAAGAGCAGATGGGATCTTAGTGAGTGTCAACCCAAGTGGAGGGAGCTGTTATTGGAAGAGACACAGAAGGCTGCTATAAAGGTCTAGGAGCAAATCTGTCCAGGAGACTCCATGCTGGCTTCAAGTTCAGAGCCTGCATGCATTGGGAACAAGAATGGACTGTGGAGCAATCATCAAGGACTGTGGTGACAGGAACAGGGTATGGAAAAGCTGGGCCAGTGGATTCCATCTATGTTTAGAAAGTGGCCAGAAGCTGTTCTGTTTACCACTGATTAACAAATGGAGAGCTGCTGTCTGCAGAGGTGGAAGATTTGCCTAGAAAAGGCTGGGGCTGCAAGTTTGTAATTGACATCCCCAAGACTGGGAGCGGTGAGCTGAGGGGATGAGAACATGCCTGCCAGTTCTGTGTACGGACACCCTAAAGACAGAACTGCTAGTATCCCCTATCCACAGAGCTCACAGGTGGTCCTCATAGTCTGGGAGAAGCCTGCTGGGGAAACGAAATTTCATAACAGCTGAAAACAGCCACACATCACAGACATAAATATTAGCGAATATAAACTAATGATTACTAAACTATCAGAAAAACACATCAGTGCCTGAGTTAAGAATCAAGGCTAAGAAACAGAAAAAATGGACCCCAGCTTAACAGACAACTCAGGAAACAAAGAGAATTTTAAAAATAAGACCCAATAACTTTTAATCAAAATGTCATCAGAGATTTGAGAAAATATTATGTCCTTAAAAGAGAAAATGGGCTGCCATAAAAAAAGGAATAATTAGAAATACTAAAACACACGATGGCTGATACTAAAATAATTCAATATAAGGGTCAGAGGATAAAGTCAAAGACAACTTCCAGAACAGCACTGAGCAAACAAAGGAAGAAAGGTAGGACATGGCTGGGCGCGGTGGCTCATGCCTGTGATCCCAGCACTTTGGGAGGCCGAGGGGGGTGGATCACGAGGTCAAGAGATCTGAGACCATCCTGGCTAACATGGGTGAAACCCCATCACTACTAAAAATACAAAAAATTAGCTGGGCGTGGTGGCATGCACCTGTAGTCCCAGCTACTCAGGAGGCTGAGGCAGGAGAATCACTTAAACATGGGAGGCAGAGGTTGCAGTGAGCTGAGATCAAACCACTGAACTCCAGCCTGGGCGACAGAGCAAGACTCTGTCTCAAAAAAAAAAAAAAAAAAAAAAAAAAGTAAGGTAGGAGATAAAAAGAGTTGATACAGAATACAGAAGATCCAACACTGACTTACATAGAACTTCTAGGAAGGAGATTACAGAAAATAGAGTGAAAATGTTTAAAAAATGGGGACAAAATTCCTCAGGCTGAAGAGAGACAAGTCTTTAGATTGAAACTCCCTAAGTAGTGCCAATTGGGAAAAATGATAAAATATTCACACCCATCTCCATCCTGATAACAGTTCAGAATGGCAAGAATAAAGAGAAGATTCTAAATGCTTCTAGAAATGAGAACATATAACATAGGCGCACACACACACACAGACACGAGGCATACCACAAAAGAAGGTCACCTGGGCTTCAGATTTCTTATCAGCTTGAAGATAGGAACAACGCTTTTAATAATTCTGATGAAAAACATTTTGATATTTATGATCCAATAACTAAATAAACAATCAAATGTAACTTCAAAACAAAGATGTTTTCTGACATGCAGCTTCTCAGGAAAGTTTACCTTCCATTTATACTTTCTGGAAAAAAATTATAAGGTGCTATGTACTTCAGAGGAGAAAGAAGTCTGTGAAAGCAGCAGACAAGGTATTCAAGAAACCATGGAAATGAACAGAGAATAATGAGACGAAACCCTTGGCAAACAGCAGGAAAGTGGGCCAAACTGGGACAGAAAATCTGTTTTCCAAAACTTCTGGTGTCTTTTTTCCTTCCTCCCTTTCTTCCTTTTTCCCCTTCCTTTTTTTATTTCTTCCTTTTTCTAGAGTGGCTATGGAGTCTTCTTTTTATATCTTTTCTTTTGGGGGATTTGGTGCTAGAAGAAGGGTAGATATGCATCATGAGGACACTAGATTTCCACACTTAATATTACTTTTACATTTTGGATGTTTACTACACTTACATTCTGCTACCTTCTATCTTGACACTATAATTAAAGTTTATCTATAGATTTATTCTAAAAATTGAAAAACAGAATTTACAGCATTGTAATTATGCAATATTATTCATAGCAGAGCCTAAGAGCATGGCTGGACCTGAAGAGAAGGGGTATAATCCTTAGACATGGAGGATGATTTCAAGAGGAAAGTGCATTCCATTTTTTTTTTTTTTTTGAGATGGAGTTTCCCTCTTGTTGCCCAGGCTGGAGTGCATGATTTTGGCTCACTGCAACCTCTGCCTCCCCGATTCAAGCAATTCTCCTGCATCCGCCTCCTCAGTAGCTGGAATTAGAGGTGCGTGCCACCACGCCCAGCTAATTTTTTGTATTTTTAGTAGAGACAGGGTTTCATCATGTTGGCCAGGCTGGTCTCGAACTCCTGACCTCAGGTGATCCACCTTCCTCGGCCTCCCAAAGTGCTGGGATTACAGGCATGAGCCACCACACCCAGGGGAAAGTGGATTTCATTTTTTACAACATAGAAGACTTCCATGTGTTTCAGCAATTTAAAACTCCAATGAGAGCAAAACACAAAGAAAGGCATGGTATCTCCATAAAGTATACTGAATTATATCAAAATTTGGGGCAACTGAGAGAATGTCAAAAGAGAGAATCTGTTTGATCTTGACCCTTGATACATTCTTCCTCAAAGGTGACAGGTTTAATGATGTAGCACTAGATCAGAGACTGAGGAGATTAAAATGGAAGGAAACCACAGCCCCAAATCTTTTTCTTTCTTTTTTTTTTTTTTTGAGATGGAGTCTTGCTCTGTTGCCCAGGCTGGAGTGCAGTGGCACCATCTTGCCTCACTGCAACCTCCGTCTCCCAGGCTCAAGCAATTCTCCTGCCTCAGTCTCCTGAGTAGCTGGGATTAGAGGTGCATGCCACCACACCTGGCTAATTTTTGTATTTTTAGTAGAGACAGGGTTTCACCATGTTGGCCAGGCTGGTCTTGAACTCCTGACCTTAGGTGATCCACCTGCCTCGGCCTCCCAAAGTGCTGGGATTACAGGTGTGAGCCACCGTGCCTGGCACCACAGCCCCAAATCTAAGCTGAAAATTACTACCACAAAGGTAGAAGCCATTTGGTTCAAGGGTGCTCTGAGTCTGGCATAAACACACACAAAGAAAGGAAAGTGTCCAAGGGTACTGATTAATTGTGGGACTACTCTCTCTCTTCTCTGCCCCAACTATCACTTTTTGCGGAGGAGCTCACAGCCTTACTCTTCCTTCCCCACAGGGCAGTGAATATGAGCAACTGGGTTGAAATGGAGGGGCTCCAGGTATCCTCTCATCTCCTGGAGGGGGAGTGCTACCACACACTGGAGATAAACTACCGGCATGTCCACCTGGCAATCCATTTCTTCTTCTCCGGGATCACCAGTTGCAAGCTGCAGAAAATAGAAACAGCTGGCAGGTGAACAGAGAATCACATTAGTAAAGTTCAGCATGCAAACAAGGAGACATCCAACTTAAACTGAGTAACTATAACCTAGGAAAGTAGAGGTAATAGAGTAAATAAAAAAAAAAAAGAATTTGGAAGAAATACTAATAGCCTCACAGCAATAAGAGAGGCTATTATATCCATAAAACAAGAGCAGCTGATGTCTTAGGTCAGGTTGTCCAGGACACATACTCTGAGACTGAGGCTTGCATACTGGAGGGTGACTTAGGAGTACCCTTGAGATCCACACTTGAGAAAAACTGAGGTAAGCAGGACTGAGCAGAGGAAGAAGTTGAGATGCAATGTAGTCACAACAGAGGACCCAGCCAACTTCATGGGGAGCTCTGGAGCTGTATTCGGGCATCAGCCATCAGTTGTGTGATTGGATGATGCAGCACCTTGGTCCTGAGCCAGGGGATGAGGGGGTGTGCCCACAGCGCCCATTAGAGGTAATTATAAAAAACTGCCAATGAGAAAATTAAGAAATTTAAATTATGATCATTAAAAATTTGAAAACCACTTAACTACATAAATAGAAAGAATAGACAAGGCTAAAGACTGACTTAACGAATTGGAAGATAGAGCCAGAGGATTGTCCCAGAGGGCACTACTAAGACTCATAGGAATAGAAACAATGAGAGAAAAGTTAAGTGACGTGAATGAGAATATCAGAAGGCCCATGAGATAGAAAATTTATCAATAAAAAAAGCTATTATACAATCAAAGAAATAATAGAAGATTAGGAAAGAGAGGTAAGTAAACAAAAGTTATGAAAGCTTTTCAGAGGAGGGAGTTAATAAATACTGTCTGAAGTTGGTCAAACAAAATAGTACAGTTGGAAGCATGGCATGAATTACCAAAAAATTCAAAAAAGAAAAAACTCAGTGTGTTGACCTCTAGGGACTAGGACTGTGAATGTATATATTCATTATATATCTATAAATTAGTAAATATTTACTTACTAATAATATTTATTAATAATAGTAAATGGACATATATTTATTTAAAACATTTTGAAGACAAAGTAAAGAATATTGGTACTTTCACCTGACTGTCATGCAATCGATTAATAACCATTACAAGTGTATAGTGGTTAGCATTCATGTTGGCTCCATTTTTGAGCATTCAGTATGTGCTAGGCACTGTCTGAAAGAAGTATCATTATCCCAACATCCATGTTTTATAGGCTTAGAGAAAAATAAGTTACGTGGCTATTAAGAAGTAGAGCTAGGATTTTCACATCTGTAGACTTCAAAGCATGGACATTTAAATATTCTGTAAATTTTGCTCTCATGAGACTGTTCAGTCAATCCTGTTGTCAGTATTTATTGTAATATTGGAGGGATTCCTTGAGTTACTGATTAATACTATTTCTTTGGCTGTTGTTCATCAGACACTGGGTGGTAGACAATGGATATAGATCTAAGAAGTCTTGATAAACCTACCCAGCAAAACTCGAAACAGGAGAACACATCTGATTAATAGGTGACTTAGAAGTCCATGGAGATATTTTTTGTTTAAAAGCAGGGTGGAACAGCTGGAGCAGAGGGGTACTGGTGCAGACAGTAAATTTTGCATTTTTGGGTGGATGTTCTTCACCAATGGACAGTAATATAATGATTAAGAAATGGGGACACATTGGAGATGAATGCAAAGTAATGGTGTCACAGAAAGTCAAACAAGAGGGGAGTCATCCCTTTTACATCTTCAGTCTGTCCTCGACCTGGGAATAAATGTTGTAGGTGATATTGTGTTGGACACTAGGCTACAAGAAAGCCAAGCAAGTTTAGTGTTTGGTTGAGCCGATGCAGGAAGACAAAAGCAAATTGCTAGTTTGAGAGCTTCCCCAACCAGAGTGAACATCAGTTCTACGTGCCCTCTACTGCAAACGTAACTAACACTTGAATTTCTCTAGTTCTCCTCAGCTTCTCCATTAATGCATGACTTAGGCTCCCATCATCTCTGACCTCAATGCAATAATTCCATATCTGTTGGTTATGAATTGAATGCTTGTTCTCCCCCAAAATTCGTATGTTGAAGCCCTCACCACAAATGTGATGGTATATGGAGATGGGGCTTTGAGAAGTAATTAGGTTGAGATGAGGCCTTGAGGGTGGTGACCTCCTGCTGGGGTTAGTGCCCTTGTAAGAAGAGATACCCGAGAGCTTTCTCTTGCTCTTTCTGCCATGTAAGGACATAGTAAGGAGGCAGCAGTCTGTGGGCCAGGAAGTGAGCCCTCACCAGAAGCCAACCATGTCAGCACTCTGACCTCAGACTTCCAGCCTTCAGAAGTGTGAGAAAATAAATTTCTGTTCTTTAAGCCACCCAGTCCATGGAATTCTGTTATGGCAGAATGAGCAGACTAAGACATTATTCTTCCCACATGCATTTTTGTCTCCCCACTAATTCATTCACTATTTAGTAGGATGACCTTTAAAACAACAACTGACCACAACCATCAGTTGCTTAAAACATTTCAGTGGAAAACAAACCAAATCCAAAACTTATTAGGCCTTTCCATCATCCTTAATACATCCAAATTCTGTGATATGACTCTCAAGGGCTTCCCAATTTTGGCTTTTGCCCATTACTTTTAGATTTAATTTTGATACTCTCAGACTTTGGCCAAATAGACTTTTTAAGGTTCCTCCCACACTATGATTTCTCCTGGGGTGTCCAATGTTGGCTTCCCTGGGCCACATTGGAAGAAGAAGAATTGTCTTGGGCCACACATAAAATACACTAGCACTAATGATGAGCTAAAAAAAAAATCACAAAAAAACTCATAATGTTTTAAGAAGGTTCACAATTTTGTGTTGGACTGCATTCAAAGTCGTCCTGGGCCACATGCGGACTGTGGGCCGTGGGTTGGACAAGCTTGATGTGAACCTTCATACAAAGTTAACTGTTTTTGCTTAGAATCCTTCCTCATTACCAACCTACTTCCTTTTGTCTTTTTGTCCTGGATAACACCTCCTCACTCACCCTTCAGGTCTCAAATCAACAGAACTTCCCCAGGAGGCTTTTCCTGACTTACAGATGATGTTAGCATCCCTGTCTCCGCATAGTCCTGCAATCTTCTGTCCTTCTCCTAATATTATACTCCTCACTTGTTTTTATGGCCATTTAAAATCTGTCTTCTGAGCTAGAATGGGAGTGCCAAAAGGGGGCAAGCCATGTTTGTCTTGTTCGTGATTGTACTCTCCCTTCCTCCCTTTTAAACTCACATTTAAAGCATTCAGTGCACGTTGAATTAATGAACGATCAAGTGAAGGAATGCCCTCTCACAGCAGCCCTCCGTGTCATTCTGCTTGTTCCAGGGCTGACCCTAGTGGCTCTAAATTGCAGGTGTCTGCCTGCTGCCCAGATCTCATTATCCCTGGTGTAGCGGCTTCCTGGAGCTGAGGCAACTCTCTATGTCCCCAGAGCTGTTTGAAGACTGGAGGCAAACCAGCATGAGCCTGATTCTAACACAAGAAAAGGGAATAGATTTGTCAAACTGTAGATCAAGGAATTTAGTGCTGATTTGGAGCAGAAATTTGGAGCAAATTACTGAATGTATTATTAAATGCACAGGATCCATTTAGAATCCAATGTTTAAAAATTAAATTAGAAATTAATATTTATGAGCACTTAGGAAGGAGTTGATCAATGTGAGTCATCATTGATTAAAAATACAACAGGCCATTATTGCAGTTTGGGGTTTCATGGTGACACTTTGCATGGTGACATTTTGATAGGATCTCAATCCTCCTAGTTTGGAATTTTGTACACACAAGGAAAGATAAAGACATGGGAAACACAAGATCAAAGTATTTAAATATGAGAAACTGCCCCAAATACCTCTCTGTCCATTAACAATTCAAAGCTTTCTTATAGAAACACGGTGGGGGAATGAAGCTTAGACTTGAGGCTTAAGTGATTTTGATTTTCCAGCCATCTGTCCCTACCCTGCTCTCTTTTCCTCTACTTATCCTGAAACTAAGACAGATGGTTCTACAGAGGAGATCCTGAATCAGTCTCCCTAACCACTTGAGATGTGGATGAGGCTGGCCTGTCTGCACAAAGGTCTAAGTTCTGCCCAGGTGGGCTTACCAGAAGTGCAAGTGAAGGGATGCACTTGGATTCTGTTCCTTGCTATAAAATGGCCGTCCTCACTGCTAAAGCATGACCTAATGATTGAATGGCCCAAGCTGTGACCAGGAGCTGAGAAGGGACAGTGGCAACAGATCTTTCTCACCATTATGGGTGGAGACTGACATGTGAAAAGAGGGAGTGGATGTTGCTCTTTTATTTTTTGAGTCTGTTAATATGACTTGTCCATTGAAGAACTATTGTAGATAATAATAGCTAACATTCAATGAGTGTTTCTATGTGTTAGGCCCTGTTAAGAATTTTTCATGAATTAACTCATTTAATCTTCACTTAACCGTATCTGGCAGACATGGTTTCAATCTCATGAGTTAAGAGTAATGCAGCCAGTAAATGGTAATGGTGGGATTTATACACAACAACCAGGTCCAAAGATGGAGCCCACATACATGACAACACCACATATTCCACTTTATTGCATCCATTGCTGACCACCAGCAGAGCTGAGGGAGAAGGCGGGTTCCTCTAAGACACTTGACAATACTTCTAAGATGTCTTTATGAATAGAAGAGAAAATTGAAGTTTGGCAATTGCACTGTTAAGCAGTTTATTAATAACCAGTGAACCAAAGAATGCTATTCTCCCAGCTTAGCAGAGGGAGCTCCTTAGTGGGATGTCATGTGGCATCTTAATATTTTAATGTAATCCATGGATATGGGGAGACACTGGATGCCTGAATTAAATCCTAAGGGACTTAGAGAAAGTGGATCAGGAACTTTGGTTCCAAAGATCAACTCCATGTTCCCGCACATGGCCTAACCGTAACACTGTAAAGAATTTCCAGTCTTCCCCTTGCACTCCTATCAACACTGAGATGTATTTGAGAAAAAAAAAAAAAGAGAGAGAGAGAGAAGATCTCAGGCTGTATTGTGTTTGCTAATGGTTAATTACGTAATTAATCTATAAGACTACTTTTTTTTCTTTTTTTCTTTTTTCTTTTTTTTTTTTAAAGGGCAGAGACAGATATTCTTCTGGGAGAAGATGGCTCAAATGAGAGAGACTTGAAGCCATGTCACATGAAGAAGAGTCAGAATAATTGAGGATGGTTAATCCTCAAAAGAGAGTGTTTAGGTAAAATTTGAGGGCTGACTTCAAAGATCTGAAAGACTACTTCATGGAGGAAAGATGTGAAGACCCGGGACCAAAGGTTACAGGGGAGTGGATTTGCATAATTGCTGTGCAAGGAGGGAACAATTATGACAGCTAATGTTTACTGAGTGCTCACCACGCATGCACTAAAGTTAAGGTCTTTATATGCCTTAGCTACAAGGTTGTAGATCAAATTCATACTTATCACTACAAGTGTCTCAGAGCATCGTTAGTAAAGGCTCCATTTACTGACTACTTATTAAATTACTTCATTTAATAGTTGGTGCTATTGACTTTTGTTATTATATCATTACTGTTTTATAGATGAGGAAATACAGAAGTTAAGTTGCTTTCCTGCAGTCACCCTGCTTTAGTTACTGGCTTATAACCATCTGGACCCAGGCACTCTTGATACTAATACTGCCTCCCAGAGTCATGCGTATAATAAGGAGTTAGATCAGAGCTGTTCATTAAAAGTATAAGGTGAGCCACTAATGAGAGCCTATGTGTAGCCTTACATTTTCTAGTAGCTACATCAGAAAATGTAAAAAGAAACTGGTGAAATTAATCTTATATATGCTTATATCTTAACCCAACACATGACGAATCCAACTGACTTACTACATCAGACTATTCTCATGTATTGCAATAATGTAATCAACATAAACATACTTAACAAGTTAGTTTACATTCATTTTAAAAATACTGAATTGTATGTCTGTTTTACACTTACAGAACATCTCAGGGATAGCCACATTTCAAGTGCTCAACAGCTGCCTGTGGCTCTTGAGGGGGAAGATCTTAAAAGGGAGCTTAGTTTTCCACCTTGATTCTGATGCCTCCCTGCCCCCGACTTATTTCCTTTGCCAATTAGAAGAAAATGCCGAACTGCCTTTGACTTTTCCGGTAGAGCCAATGTAGGTATTTCTGAACTGGGGGAGGACAGGTGGTTCGCCTGCAACCCTCTTCCCTCCTGCCAGCTAGGCTGGGAGTTAACGTTTTTGATTTCTGCTTTGAAAATGATTTAAGTAGGTTGCATGAATTAAGTAATTTATTCTAAATATCAAATTATGGGTGGAACGTCTTGCCTTATGCAAAGTTATGCAAAATTAGGAAGTCCCTGGCTTAATTGGTTAGAAATACATCTTGTAGTTTCAATTGCAGGGTTAGTAAATACATAGATGTCGACGGAGAGGGAGGAAACTTTTTTTTTTTTTTTTTGCCACTCTGTCCAAGGGTAGAGGCACAGCGTCAAAACAAACACGTCTTAAAGTAGCGTTCAAACAGCCCACCGAAGTTTCCCCTTAATATCCGGAACCGGTTGCCAAAAATTAAAAAAGGATGTGAAAAGATGCTACTCGCTTTTGGCCTCCCGGAGATGGCGCTATGAGGGTGACGGAGTTAATTAGTGCCTCCAAACGCCGTGTGTGAGCTCATCGAAGTCATGCTCTGCACACATATTATTTATAGCAGATCTGAGGCATGCATGGTGTTTGACATTTCTGTCTTTTAAGTAGGGGGACTTCAAAAAGTCGTGGGCATCCCCCTAGGCAAAGTGCAGTGGGCAGGGACCAGGCAGGGTGCGGGCGCAAGGCGAACGCGCAGACCACGAGTGTCCTGGCGCAGGTGCCGGGGGCGGCGGCTGCAACTCCGCAGCGTCCGCTCGGGAGGAGAGTTCGCGGCTGATCTCCGGATGCCTTGCAGATGCAAAATGTGTCTCTGGCCAGCAGGAGGAAGGAAGAGGAAGTGAGAGCAGCGGCAGCCGGCGGTGCAGCAGCCGGCCGACCCAGAGTGTAAGTGCGTGTGCTGGGGCGAGCGGGAGCGGGCGAGGATGGGCACAGGATAGAGGCAGAGCCACCCACGCCGCCGCGGCCCCACGCTGGGCGACAGAGCCTCCAGTTCCCCTTCAATGGTGGCGGGTCGCCGGAGCTCTGATCGCCGGGAACCCTTGCCGCTGCTGTCCTGCGACCCCAAGCAGGTTCGTAAAGTTTCCTGGGCTGGCGCCGCGCCCCGACTCGCTGACCTCGGCGCGGCAGGGGAGGGGGCCGGGACTGGGGCCGGGAGGAGGCGTCCTGCTCCGGGGGACTCCGGGCGCCGCGGAGACACTTTTGTTTCCTCCCTGGGGGCGCCGCGGCTCGGGCGGGGGTGGCCGCCGCGCTCGGCAGGGTGAGGGCTGCGGGCGCGTCGGGGCGCTCTGCAGTTGGGGAAGTCTGAGCTCCGGGGATGGCGGGAGTGGGAGTGGGAGCGGAGGGAGGGGGCGCTGGAGGTGCGGCGCCCGCGGATGAAGCGCAGGGCCCGGGGCCCGGGAGCCCGCCGAGACATTTCGACCAGGGTCTGCGGGAGGGGGGGCGCGGGAGGGTTGCGACGCTGGCGCGGGGTTACTGGGGACGGGGGATGTGGGGCTGGGATCTTGGAGTCAAGATTCCTATAGAGCTAGAGAAGCGGCTGCGGCTCAGACTCGGCGTCTTCTCCTGCACTCGGGGATGGGAGGGAATCCCCCGGCGAGCGCGCTCGTGGGAGGGGGCGGTGATGGGCCAGAGGAATGGGGGCCAGGAGGGCCGGAGAGGGCGGTCTGGGCAGCCGGGAGCCCCTGAGGTTCTGGTTAGTAAATACTCTCCTCCCGGGGACACACCGGGGTCTCCGCCGAGACCGAGAGAGGCGGCGGGGAGCTTTGTGGAGCTTCGTGGAAATCTCGGCTTCGGAGAGGGGACGCACCGGGCGCGCCTTCAGAGAAGGGGGCGGCGGCATGCCAGGGGGCCCGGGAATCGGAGCGGAGAGTGGCGACTGCGATCGCCGGAGTCGCTTTGAGGAAGAGGAAATACAGAACTCAGCTGTCCCGGGGGTGCGCGCGTGTGTTTGGGGTTGGGAAGTCGGTGCTGTGCCGCGAGCGCGCGCGAGGCGGCGTGTGTGTGTGTGTGTGTGTGTGTGTGTGTGTGTGGTGTGTGCGCGCGCGCGTATGTATGTGTGTGTGGTGTGTCGTCGGTGTGTGTGTGAGTGTGTGTGTGTGGGGGGGGTGTTGTGGGTGTGTGTGTGAGTCGGTGTGTGTGTGTGTGACCGCACAGCCAGGAACTCCCCGCCCAGTGACCCTCTCCCGCCTAGGGGGCCATTTGAAGTTGGAGGCGGGTCGGGACCTGCCTTGACCTAAAGGACCAGCCTCAGGCTTGGTCCCAGGTAGTGACCCAGCTCTGAGAGTCCCTGGACGGCTCCCGAGACTCAGTGAATATATTTGGGATGCCCCCCGCGCTGGATCATGGGCTTCCCAACACCGCTGGCCTTGAATGATTCGGGCCTAATTCGTTATGGTTAAGATTTCAGATAATCTAAGACGGGTTGAGGCCTCCAGAAGCGGAGGCTTCCTGTTGGGCGCTGCCAGTGACTTGGGGATGAAGCTATGGAAGAATATCTGAGTGTTTCTCTTTTGCTTCTATAAAAGTAATTAATGACCTGTATTTACACACCAAAACCCTGCGAGCAACTTTGGGACATAGAGGGATATAATCCTTCTCAGAATCACTTTGAGATTGCAAAAACCGGCAGCAGCTATTATTGGGGTCTCCTCTGGCCAGGGTTCTCATATTATCTCACCTCCATGCCTACTTTCCAAGGTTGTTTCAAGCATTAATGTCCCATAATTTACAGATCTGGGGGAAAATAATGGTAAGTTAGGAGGCCAGATCCCCTGCAGAAACATCACATATTTTTAATTTTTCTTATAGCTGACCTTTTGAAGCTTTACTCTTTATTATTGTACATTTCCTATCTCTGGAAGGCTGTGGTTAAATGTGCATGCTGCCTTGTTTCTACTCTGTTTTGTTTGTTTTTATTAGGTTGGTAAATTTTGAGAAAATGACCTGGACTGCTGGGACTCTTGGGGAGGGGTTGTGTCAGGAGGGTACTGAACTGGAGAACAAGAAGTATGGTAGGTATCAGGGAGGGGCAGGCTCGGAGGCAGACCCGGATGGGAGTCTGGGGAAACTCAGGGCCTGGAGCAGTCATTGGGCAAGAAGATGGGCAGTTCTAGTGATGGTCATGCTTACTGTCCTTGGTAACTGCAGGCACCCTCACCGTCTTACATTCTTCTTTTTCACTGAGTTCTCTCCCTAGGGCCTTTGCCCATGATATTACAGGAGGAGCTTTTCTCCCACATGTCCAGATGACTCACTTCCCCTGCTTCTTTCAGGTCTCTGTCCAGTTGTCAGCTTATAGGGGGCCTTCCCTGGCTACCCCATATAAAATAGCAGCCAGACACTCCCTGGGCCTCTTATGTTACTCAGTTTTTTGTCTTAGTACCTTTTACTCCCTGGCATTATACAGTCATTGGTGTATTTTGAGTATTGTCTCTCTCCCTGTTAGAGCAGAAGTTCCATGAGGGTAGTGACTACCTTGTCTTGTTTACAGCTCCAGAACCTGGATGGATTCTTAGCATGATGTCGGTGCTCAATAAGTGTTTGTTGACTGACTAAATGAGAGGTGGCTATACTGGGAGAGATCCACCAGGGAAATATACCAGGAAAATGTTGCAGCATTAGTGCAAGTGAGAAGCCCAGGTAATGGGCTTTTGCTTTTTTCGCTGTCCTTTCCCCCATGCCAGGCCACTCTTCTTTTAGACTCTGTTCTGCCTTGAGTAGACTCCTCCCTTTTTCTGCCTGAAGAAAGGAACAGAGAGGTGATTCCTTGGGAGATTAGATAACCAGTACACTTAATGACACATAACCATTCCAGATCTGGTGTTTCATCACTCTCCTTGGAGAAGGTCTTTTAAAGAAGTCTGTGTTGCTTTAGCCTAGGAGGAAGGGCATGATTGTAAGGGGATTGAAGTCAGAGGCATCTACTGTGTCCCATTCTGCTCTCCTACAATATGGAAGTGAAGACAGGAGGCTGTAAGGGAGGCTGTGTGGCAGATGCAGGGGAGATGAGAAATGCCTAGGAGAAGAAAAATAAAAGTGAGAAAACATTAAGGTGTTCTGCAGGTGCAGCTAAGTCTTGAACATTTACTAAATTACTATATTGAAAAGAAGCTAACTCTTGAGTGTTTCAAAGTAATTTAACCCCTTTGGGTGTTTGGTGTGAGTGGGTGGGGCGGGTGGGGAAAGGGCTTTGAAGCCTTTGCTGAAGGATGTGGCTGGGGGTGAGGCAAGGAGCTCACCTGATCACACACTGTGCTTACTTCATCAGGTTGCCTAATGCTCAAGGGTTAAAGGTGATCATTCCTATGGAGGTAACATTTCCCTTCCAGATCTAAGACAGTGGATACAATTAAGGTTTGTAACTCAAGCTTGTAACCACTTTTTGGTGCCTGAAACCATCCAAGTAGATAGTTTGGTTTATAAGACATTCTGTTGAATCTGGAAAACGTGGTGGATTAAGAAACCCTCTCTGCATCACAAAGCCTGGAGTGTTTGCTACTAATTGTGCAACTTTAGTTCTGGTTCCTTCTAGTCAACCAGAGAAGTGCTTTTTAAGCTTACGGCTGTAACCCATGAGCGGATCATGATATCACTTTAGTAGGCCAAGACCAGCAGTTTAAAATGTGAAAGAGAAGAGTGGTGTGGAAAACAGCATTTCATAAAACAGACACCCAGTCTTAATGTCAAAGTATTGCTCAGTGTAGGTAACGATTTTAAAAAGCCTGTTTCAATAATTCTGGGGAAAACTACATTTTTAACCAACTTGCCAGGGATTCTGATGACGACGTTCTAGAGGGCTACAAGAAATACTTAGCTATCTCCTTTTAACAAAATACTGTTGGTTTAACCCCCTGCAGGAGATGCTATTTCCAAATGTTGAACCAGATGCAGTTCTGTCGGCTATTGACTTAACTTTTCAAAATGCTACTATTGGCCGGGCGCGGTGGCTCACGCCTCTAATCCCAGCACTTTGGGAGTCCGAGGCGGGTGGATTGCGAGGTCAGGAGATCCAGACCATCCTGGCTAAGGCGGTGAAACCCCGTCTCTATTGAAAATACAAAAAAAATTAGCCGGGCGTGGTAGTGGGTGCCTGTAGTCCCAGCTGCTCTGGAGGCTGAGGTAGGAGAATTGAGTGAACCCGGGAGGCAGAGCTTACAGTGAGCTGAGATTGCGCCACTGCACTCCAGCCTGGGCGACAGAGCAAGACTCCATCTCAAAAAAAAAAATGCCACTATTTGTAGAACTTGCCAGTGCGCTAGGCCCTCATGCTGCCATCTTGGAGGAACTAGAAACTCAAGTGACATGCTTTTCACTTTAGTGATGCAGAAAGGCAGTAGCTCCCTTTGCAATAACTCTTTAACCTTACTTAGAATAAAATCGACAGACTATCCCCTTTTCTCACCAAGTTTTAGTTTAGAACTTTTGAGGTCTTTGGAAATTTACTCTGCTCAACTTCTCCTTTCATATTTTACATCTAGTGTTCCCCACATGAATGATTCTAATTACAAAGACAGTTGTAATCTCTTCTGGAGGCAGCCACACTGCTGGGATGCATGATTAGGTGAAGCATTTTAGCTGACCTGGGCTTGGATTGGCTATCCAAAGAAGAAAGTCAAAGGCTGACAACTCAGCCTGGGCAACATAGCGAGACCACATCTCTCAAAAGTTAAAAAATTAGCTGGGTATGATGGCATGCACCTGTAGTCCCAGCTACTTGGTAGGCTGAGGCAAGAGAATGGCTTGAGTCCAGGAGTCTGAGGCTGCAGTGAGCTGTGATCTCACCACGGTGCTCCAGGTTGGGGGACAGAAAAAGACCCCATCTCTTTAAAAAAAGAGTCTGAGAACTTCTGCACTGTCCATAATAAAAGGATCATGAAGGCCAGTCATTCCACAGGGTGTGGCTCCCAGGACCATGTGTGTGGCCATGAAAGCCTTCCAGTATGCCAGCACAGCATTTTTAGGTTCAGCAAAGCCAGCCTGCATGTACAATGCACACACTGGTTGCAATGCTTATTTCCCTGGATAATTTGGGTTGTTTGAGTGTTAACAATTGGAACTTATCTATATTAGCCAGAACTAAAGCCTGCAAAGCCATATCATGATTCCTGATTACATTAACTACTTGTGTCTTAGTGCTGTATTTTCTAACCTGTTACAATATAAGTGCAGGTACGGTACGAGCAGAATTTGGTCATTGGCCTAAGGTGGGGTGAACAGTTAAGTATCAGATAGGAATACGTGTGGGAGAAGGAATGCTAGCTCATCAAACAGAATTAACTACAGTAACAAACTGGCATAGTGCTGAGTCGAGAAATTAGTCACATGTATAAATAGAAGGAGACGATTCTCAGTGTTCCGGGCCCCCACAAACACTGATTTCCAGAATCTGAACAGAATTATTATTGGAACTTCAATTTTAGGAATTGAGGCTACAGTTTTGACTGTTTTAGTTCTAACAGTTAAGGTAGAAAACAAAACTTTCCTCAGTAGAAAACACTGGAGAGGCACAACTTGCTGGACTAAGGACTGAGATGTGTTCAGTGGGTTGTACTCTGGATAGGGAATGGTGGTTTGAGGGAATGAAAATCAGGTAAGCCCTATAAAGCATTCTCTCAGTGGAGGTGGAGTCATAGGATCAATGCGACATTTTTCTCTGTGGCCTGACACACCCTTCCTCTGGGGATGCTGTTTTGGAAATGATGGAGAACAGTCAGAATAGTATTGTTATCCCATTTTACAGATGTGGCTTGGAGGAATGAAATGTCACAAGCATACTTAGAGAGTGCATCTGAGCCTTAAACCCAACTTTTCTGACTCGTTTTACTGCGTTGTTTCTTTCTCCTGCACCATGATGTCTGCACTGGTTAGTTCCTTCTTTTGTTGGTTCACTGGACTTGCCAGCCTCTGAGGCCAGGATGCCATGTGGAGCTATGCTGCAGTGGTGTCCAGAGAGGCTCTTCACTCCTGTATGTCCTGCAGATGGATGTGCCCTGGGTTGCCATGGTATCCAGGGATGTCAATGCTGCCACTGAGTCCTAGTTCTTCAGAGTCAATCCCTCTCTTTGGGTATCTCATTCTAAAGTTGACCTTAGTTTTGAGAGTCAATGGATTCTTCTCTCAGGGACAGTATGTCCATCAGCCAACCTCATGATATTGAAGCATATGAGCTAGAATGCAATTTATTAATAAAAAATGAGAACAGTATTTGCCAAGAAGAATGGGCGTTTATTCTTTAGCCAACATTTTTCCTCTGTGGATGAGTCATGGTGAAGGCAAAAGCATGGAACCACCTGGGAAGGAACCAGTTGGAAGGGGAATATACTTGACAGTGTTTTCCAGCTCCTCATAACTTTTGCTAATTCTCTTGTTGATAGATTCATACCAACTAAGAAAACCAGAGACTGGAGTCCTTTGACCGTGATGGTTTCTCCTTTGGGCGATGCTGAGGCTACTTGTACGGTTCTTTTTCTACTTGTAGGCTGTTGGCCATTTTACTGACCCATTATTTCAGGCAGTGTCAGCCTCAGTGCTATTGACATTTCGGGCTGGATAATCCTTTGTTGTAAGGGCTGTCCTGTGTACTGTCGAATGTTTACTGCCTTCCCTGGCCTCTGTTCACTAATGCCAGTACATTAGTCGTTTGTGACAACCCCAGATGTCTCCAGGTATTGCAGATTGTCCTATCAATTTTCCTGTCCCCAAGCTGAGAACTGCTGCTTTGTCTTCCTGTGTTAGTGAGACCAGTTGTGTGTTATCAGATAGTCTAGACTTTCAACAGCAGTTATAAGTGCCCCAGTTTTCTCCTTACTGGTTATTCCTTAGAGTCTAAGGTGGTGTATTAATAAATGAGAGGGCTCACCCTTTATGTTCATTTCTTTCCTCCAGCTCTCCAAGTTTCCTTTCTAGCTCTCTTCTCTCTTATACTGCAGTTGTTTCTCTAATCCAAATGTTTTTCAAGTTTCCTTTCCATGCATGTTTCTTCCTAGTACCTGTGGCTGAAAAACACTGTAACTAGTGAGTTTTTGTCTCAGTTTCTTAACAACGTTTTGAATTCTGACCACTGGTTACTGCCTTAACTGTAACCTTTACATAATGGCAATAAGATAAATGAAATGAGGGAGGTGGGTAGCAAAGCTCAGCTTGGCTTGTTCAGAGGCCTTTGTCACAAGACAAAGGAAATGTCTGTGTGGGAATGAGTTAAGTGAGTTCAGTGCCTCCTCCTTTGCTTGTCAAATCCACCTTGACTAGTTGGATAGTAATGGTTATTGATATTCCATTAGTGCGACCAGGACATTGTAGCAGGTCAGGGAGAAGCCTTCAAGGTACTGCTTTATGCGAAGTCCTTTCCCACTTTGTATATTAGATTTCTGTCCTAATCTTGCCATGTTAACTTTCTTATGTAATTATCTGTCAGCCTTTTATTTACCTTCTCTGCTTGGCTGCTGTCGTAGTCCAGAACACCATCGAGTGGCTTAAGTGCCGTAGAAATATGCTGGGTTATAGACTAGCTATGACTCCCCTAGGCAGCCGCCTTCTTACAGTTCACCAGCCCTATAGCAACCCTCCACCCTTCCTTCCGCCCTTTGTGTCTTTTTTTTTTTTTCAGTTCAGAATTGCATTTAGAACGCCAGAGTTTTGTGCTGTGGGGTTCAGTGGCAGAGCTGGATGAGCTGTATTTTCCAGGCTGCTACACACAATTACCCTTAATTTTGAAGAGTAATCCATTTCAAAATAATTTTTTTTTTGTTTTTGGTCTCTTTAGCCCAAATGCGTAACCACAGCTGGCTTTACCCTTGGCCCTCAGAAAGCATGTGGCTTGGGAGGTAGAGCTAGTGGAGGAGTTTGGTCAGATTGCTCATTTTTGGTCAAGTGAGGAGTGAATTCCAATAACACTCAGTAAGGCTGGTTTTTATTTGACTCCCGTCCACCCCTCCAACTCTCCCCACCCCACAGTTTCCTAGATTTTTTTTTTTTTTTGAGATGGAGTCTCACTCTGTCACCCAGGCTGGAGTGTAGTGGCGCGATCTTGGCTCACTGCAAGCTCTGCCAACCGAGTTCAAGCGATTCTCCTGCCTCAGCCTCCTGAGTAACTGAGATTACAGATGCCCACCACCATGCCTGGCTAATTTTTGTATTTTTATTAGAGATGGGGTTTCACCATGTTGGTCAGGCTTGTCTCAAACTCCTGACCTCGTGATCCACCCGCCTCAGCCTCCCAAAATGCTGGGATTACAGGTGTGAGCCACCACACCCAGCCTCTTTGTTTTTTCTTTCTTTTTCTTTTCTTTTCTTTTTTTTTTTTTTGAGCTAGAGTCTTGCTCTGTTGCCCAGGCTGGAGTGCAGTGGCACGATCGTGGCTCACTGTAACCTCTGCCTCTTGGGTTCAAGTGATTCTTCTGCCTCAGCCTCCCCAGTAACTGGGACTACAGGTGCCTGCCATCACACCTGGCTAATTTTTGTATTTGTAGTGGAGACAAGGTTTCACCATATTGACCAGGCTGGTCTCGAACTCCTGACCTTGTGATCCGCCTGCCTTGGCCTCCCAAAGTGTTGTGATTACAGACATGAGCCACTGTGCCTGGCCCCTAGATTTTTTTATAGTGGACTTGTGCCTCAGTTATTCCAATTGTGGGCCACTCTGGGAAGTGACCACTACTCAGAAATTTTGGTTTGGGGGAGTGGGACCGATTCTTTGATATATTAAATAATAAGTGCTTTGTACATATATGTGTGTGTGAGAGAAAGACACACACACACACACACACCCATGCAGCTCTAATAATGAAAGGCCTTTAGAAGCAAAGAAACAATTATATCAGCTGCTAAATCCTGTTTTCTCCAGTGCTGTCACTTTTATAGTAAGTCAGCACAAATCACATGAAATTAAACATTTTGTCAAGGAATGAATATGTTTCCATCATCTCTAGGCTTACTCCACTGCCAGGAAGCGACTTTGACTCATTAGAACTACTTTCTCAATTACTGTCCATTCTCCAACTGAAGGTTTTTGAGAAACATTTGCTTGGGTTTATATGAGAGAAGCACAGTAAAGCTTTATTTATTAATTGTAGTATATTTTAAAAACAGATGTTGAGCTTATCCTTAAAATGTATATAAATATTTTCAAGCTAAACTATTGCTGGGCTTATAGCCCTGATCATAATGCTTCATTCAGTCATTCAAGTCAGTCAACAGCCACTTTGCTTGTAATTTGTATGCTGTAGCCTGGGCACTCCATATGTGGAGAAGGGGTAGGGAGGGCTGTAACAGGCAAATCTGTTTAGAGACAGTCATAACAGTATGCTAAAGGTATGTTTACCGTGATTGCAGATCACAGAGGTAGGTGTTCACAAATGAGGTGACTTTTGAGAAAGATCTGGAAAGCTGAGTATTAAGAGAAAGAATATGATACATCCAGGGAATATAGCAATCAGGGTGATGGAGGACAGTCTGGAAGGGGCTTTATGTCAGCAATCCCAGGAGCTGGGCATTTGGATTCAGCAGAAAGGAAAGCCAAAGGCTTTTAGGCAAGGAAAAGATGCAGTGCATTCCAGTGAGAGCAACCTGGAGGATAGATTAGATGGTACAGCTGGAGGGAGGGGCAGAGGAAAGATGGGAGCTCCTGCTAGGCCTGCTCAAATAAATACATGGTCTTGGTCAGATGAATAAATAAACAAAGCAGTGTGCTTGCTGTGCCAATGCAACTAGGAGACAGGTTGTCCAGCCCCCGCCTTCCAGCGGGTGCCAGCCAGAGTCTGAGCAGAGGTAAAGGAGGGGAGGCCAGCACTCACCGTGTTTGCCTGTAGATATTGATGACAAAATTAAATGATTTGCTAAGTGATTGGATTTGGGAAAAAGGAGAAGGAGTCTTTGAGGTTTAAAGCGCCATAAGCACATACTTGTTAATGGAGGGTTCAGATCTCCTGTTGAGTACAGCAGATGGGTGACTTCAGGTAAGTTAGTGATCTTCCTTAGCCTCAGTTTTCACATCTTTCAAGTGTAGGTAATATAAGTCCCCACCTCTTCGAGTAGCTGAGATGATTAAATGCAATCATGATTGTAAAGTAGAGTACCCTAAAAGCGTTGGGTTGGATTTGCTATTATTATTGAGGTTATTATCACTGATTCAGTAGTGTTTTTTTTTTTGAGACAGAGTCTCATTCTGTTGCTCAGGCTGGAGTGCAGTGGCGCGATCTCGGCTCACTGCAATCTCCGCCTCCCGGGTTCACGCCATTCTCCTGCCCCAGCCTCCGAAGTAGCTGGGACTACAGGCTCCCGCCACCACGCCCGGCTAATTTTTTTTTTTTTTTTTTTGTATTTTTAGTAGAGACAGGATTTCACTGTGTTAGCCAGGATGGTCTCGATCTCCTGACCTCGTGATCCTCCTGCCTCGGCCTCCCAAAGTGCTGGGATTACAGGCATGAGCCACCGCGCCCGGCCCGATTCAGTAGTTTCTATTCAGGTTCTTTATTAAACTATCTTGCTGAAATCATAAAAAGAGATGCATTTTGTATTTAATTTTCTTCAAGTGACCTAGGTAACTGCTCCTAAAGTCTTGACTAGAATTAGTTTGCTTTATATGTCTTTTCTTCAAGAAAACAAGAGGAAAGGTGGGGTTGGCAGGGAAAGAGGAGATGTTGGTCAAACCCAGATAGAAAGTTTCAGTCAGACAGGAGGAATAAGTTCTGGTGATTTTATTACACAGCATGGTGGCAATAGTTAATAATTATATATTGTATATTTCTTTTTTTTTTTTTTTTTTTTTTGAGACGGAGTCTCGCTCTGTCGCCCAGGCCGGACTGCGGACTGCAGTGGCGCAATCTCGGCTCACTGCAAGCTCCGCTTCCCGGGTTCACGCCATTCTCCTGCCTCAGCCTCCCGAGTAGCTGGGACTACAGGCGCCCGCCACCGCGCCCGGCTAATTTTTTTTGTATTTTTTTAGTAGAGACGGGGTTTCACCTTGTTAGCCAGGATGGTCTCGATCTCCTGACCTCATGATCCACCCGCCTCGGCCTCCCAAAGTGCTGGGATTACAGGCGTGAGCCACCGCGCCCGGCCTATTGTATATTTCAAAACAGCTAAAAGAGGGGATTTTAAATGTTCCCACCACAAAGGAATGCTAAATATTTGAAGTGATAGATATGTTCATTAGCCTGATTTGATCATTCCTTAGGTATACATGTATCAATACGTCCAATTGTACCTCATAAATATGAATGATTACTATTTGTTAATTAAAAATGAAACTTAAACCAGTACAGGAGAAGTACCAACTGTTAAAATACAGACGGGGATGAGTTATGATTGACTGTGAATTAAAATAACTGATGTAATGACTGAAGTTAGCAATTTAGGGTCCTCAAATGAAAGCTCTTCTAATGTGTATCCCCAGTTCCATTTGAACTAACCTGAGATTTTACTGTTTTATTGTATTATTAATTTTTTTTTACTTTGAGGGGAGAGAATGGAGATGGCTCCATTGGAGCTCTTTCCCTTTTCTTGATTCCAGCTTTTGAGGTTGTTTGCATTTGTCCAAGGGTGCACAGGGGCCCTGGGAGAAACCCCATGTCATTGGAGTAACAGTGAAGGAGCAATTGTCAGGAATTTCATTCAGTTGAACTGGGTTTCATATGATTATGTTGCATATAAAGGAGGTTCAATGGGTCCATTCATGCTTTGGAAATGTCCCTTTTTCAATCGTTTGGAACCTTCCACCAAGTAGGGGACTGTTGAAATGTTCATTGGCAGGTGGGTGGTTGTAAATTGTTAAATTTTCTTCTTTAATCTGAGCCAGATGATCAAGCTGTCAACCAGATTAGAAATTATCCTGGGAATAAAAATAGAAAAATAAAAGAAGAATGTCTGTAGTCCCAAGTGTACAGACCCAGTGTGGCCCCATTGTCCCAGCACGTTCAATTACACCAGCTTTCACTTTCCAAGTGCAGTGGGTTGGACAATTCATTTTATGGCCACCTAAGTGGAAGCCACCTGCTTCCATTTCCAATCGCTCTCTCTGGATGTGGCCGGTTTGTTTGGGTGCTTTTTCTACTTATTGCTTCTTCAGAAAGGCAGCAACTAGCTTACAGGCACACCAGCTCATTAAGCAGTAGCTCATGTACCCATTAAACAGTCACTTAGTAACAGCTTTTAAGGAGTGGGTTGAAAAGAGAGAAACCTTCATCTAGACACTAAAATGCCCTGGATAGAAGTATGGGTGTCAGAGAGCCATGTGCCAAACAGAAACTGCTTCTCCAAATTAGTGCTTTGAAAGTGATAACTTTTGGTCTCCACCTTGACTTCCATTACTATAGTCATGAAAATCACTTGTCTAATGGCTGTATGCATATCTTCATTGGACCTGACAAATATACAGTCTTCAGTGTGAAAAATTTCTGGTCACTTTATTTTACCTAGGAGAGTGGTAAACATGGGTTATTCAGCAACTACAGTGTCCGCTGTGTAGCAACGCCTCTTTTCTATATATCAGGATTGGTGTGTACCTTGAAATAGAATCCAATGGTAAATATATGTTTAAAGACCCATAAGAAGACTTAGATAATGAAATACAGATCTACAGTAACTCACTGGAGAGTTATGTTCTTACCAAAATATCTAGCAGCTTAAAAGTGATTTCAAACATGTACCCATTTTACAGATGAGGGAATTCAGGTGTCAGGGAAGCTGGCTGCCCAACTTCACATAGACTCAAAACCATACCCTCTTTTCTGCAGCATACCATATGGTACATACCCCTGCTGCCAAGTTTTCATCACTTTTGCCTCAGTTGAACCTGCTACACTGGATCATTGTGTTGAGTTGAGCTACTTGGTGAAGGATGGCGAATGATTTGCTGCCTCAGGAGTGTGTAAAAGAGCACCGTCGGGGCAGCAAACCATTATCCCAGCTGTGGCTAAGGATGGTAGAGAGAAGAGCGTGTAATAGAGATTCCTTTAAATACCCAGTGAGACATCCTTCCAGTCATAAGCGTTGTCATATAATTATTGTCAACTGGTTTAGGGCCATGTTGAATCTTTTCAAATGTGTTGCTAACCATTCTAGCATGTGCAAGTGTGTAATGAAACAGTCTGAGACTCGGCGTCTGGACCTGGGAATGATAAGACAGGCAGATGAGGGTGTCTGAAAATACAAGAAGTTGTGAAAATTCTCAGATTTGTTTTTATCTCAACATATATCTTTAAGACAATTTTTTATGACTAGATCAAAGCAAGGCACAGAGAAATGGCATAACAGTAGTTTTAATGTTGAGTTTCACCCTTTCGAAATCCAGAAGTTGTATTAGGAATAGTTTGGTCCATCCATTAGAAGTGATAAGTGCTTTGAAGAGTATTGGATCGTATGCAGGGGGTGGAAACCACCCTAGGACTTTAGTCCTTGGCTGGGAAGAGACTGCTGCCTTTAACTTTCAGGAAAGGGATAGGAGTATTTTAAATTCTTAATTGCTACTGTGTGCCTGGATTTGTTCCAGCATTTGATTTGGAAATATTCTTTATTTTTCTTCTTTTTCTTTTTCAAGGCTAGTCAAGTGAAGTAGTGGGAGTGGAGAAGGAACAAAGAAATCTGTAAATGGTTAAGATCAATTAGTTGTAAACACCTCGGCACTTGGACCAAACGGAAATATTCATTTGTTAATTCACAAATATTTATTGAGCGCCTGCTGTGTACCATGTGGTGTACTAGGTGATCCATAAACAATGGTGAGCCTCCTTCCAAGAGAAAAATAGGCCTGTTGATTTCATGGGCTGGGCTGCTTATACATTAGAGGAGGAAGTTTGCATTGATCAAAGGATCACACAAATAAGTGTGATGTTTAAACTCTGCTAAGGGCTGTTGAAGGGGGAGTTACTGATGCTCAGGGCGCCTACAACAGGGAGATTAATGTAGTCAGGGAGGTCAGGGAGGAGGGTGAAAGAATTTTACTGGGTACAGACAACTAGCACATGAAGGCTGTGTAAAAGGCTGACCTTGGATGTTGCAGGAACTGGGGAGCAGAGTGCCTGAGGCAGGGAGCACTCCAGCGTGGATTAGACTGGAGAGGAGGCCTGATTGGGATCATGGGGCTGAGCTTTTATCAAAAGGGCAAAGGGAAGTGACTGAAGAGTTTTACCCAAGGGAGTGACGTGATCTGATTTATGCTTTGAAAAGATCCTTCTGGCTTCAACCTGTAAATTTTACATCATTTAAAATTGGTCACAATGTGACTGTACAATCACTCCTGTTAGAATCTAACCATTTCTAAAAGAATCAATTTAGCCACTAGTGTCTTCTTTAAATTTTAAACAGCAATTTAAAGGAGTGATTTAGCATGGGTAATGCAACCACTTAGGAATGATGAAGTACCTAGTTCTGTGGTTCTCAGACTTCAGAATGCTTAAGAATCACTGGGGACCCAGGAAACAGCATTTTTAGCAGCCTCTCAGGTGATCCCAGTGCACGTGGTCCCAGACTTCACTTTTCTTTTCTTTCAAGAAGCATCATCCTACAAAGTGGTGACTAAAAAAAATTATAAACCTCAAGGTACCACCTAATGAGGCAACCAGAAGAGGATGGAACCTCCTTATCGCCCAGGTTTGAACCTGGATCTGTTCTCCCAATACTGGGGGGATTTTCTTTCAGTGCACCCAAAATGGATTCTAAATCCTTTGAGTTACTTTTTTCATTTATTTTCTAATCCTTTCATATGCAGCTGTTTTCTCAGATCTGTGGCTCACTCTCTGTGTGTCTCTGATATTTTACTTTTCATCTTTGTCACCGTTTAATAAAAATCTTGTTCCATAAGTCCCAGATGAGGTTCGGGGACAGGCAGGGGTTCTGAGTGGGTGGGTTAGCCTGGCCTGATGAGGAGGGGAGATGAGAAGCCCCTCTGTAGATTTTACTTATTTTGCCCCCTGCAGCAGGAGACAGCGCATGTACAGGGGAGAAACTAGTTCATGACTGCCAAAATAGGGAATTGTTTTCAGGGACATAAAGACTCAGAGACACCAGGAGAATTCGTTTTTGGGGGGCTTTCCTTGAGGCACCCTGCTCCCTGGGGCCCGTGTTCAAGTACTGCTCAGAAGCCAGCAGTGAGGGATAAGGTGGGCTCATGTTTCTTCCCTTACAAGTGAGCATAAGACCCCAGAATTCCTAATCAGGTGAAATCGGGTTGAAGTGAATATTAAGGGGAAACACCAAGCAAAAGAGAAGTCATGCCAGAGGTGTCTGGCAGTTTGGTGGGCTGGGAGATAGAGGCCTCTGGCTTCCTTTGTGAGTGAAGTGCCTGGACCATATGATATGTGTGGATGGTCACCTCCTCTGAGAACCTTCCGTGACTTCTAGCATTTGCTCCTTGGACACATGAAGTGCTTCCCTCTGCTGGCATTGATTGTGCTTTCACACTCTGTTTCATGTCCTTCTCTCTTAGTAGCCTGGAGGGCTCACGGCAGGTGTTCCCAGGCTGAGCCCATAAGAAGTACTCAGTGTATGTCTGCAGACAGAAGCACTATTTTCCATGTATGTGAGCACTGTGTCCTTTTAACAGTCCTTTAAAATGGTTCCTTCGTCTTTGAGTAAGGGCCCTGGGGATATTGTATTTAGGGATGCCTGGCATGTAACTCTCGCTGTCCTCAATTTTGCTGAAGACCCAAGGTCACTTGTTGAGGAGCCTCTGGGTGTTGGAGAGGCACACGGCCATGCAATGCCCTAACCCTAGGAGGCAACAGTTACTGCCTTAGTGTCATTCCACTGTGCCAAAATCCACTCTAGATATAACGAACATTACAGAAGAAGAAACCAACATTTTGTCATTGCATTACTCTCTGCAGAAGTATTCTTACTTGCTTGTCTACTTATAATTCTCTACTAGTCACCCAAGAGCCTACAGGGCATAGACATTTGAAGACCATAACTGGAAAGAACATAGAAAACGTTTCTTGGCTTTTTGTCCCTTCATCCACGGTTCAGCCAGTGTTGAATTTGAAGCGTCTGTTTTTTCCTCCCTCCCTCCCCAGTGCCTGTGGGTGACGAGGCATCTGTGATACACATTGGGGGTTGGGATTTTTACCACATGTGTGGTTACCCACATTTCGTTTATTACATTCTGAGAGCACCGTGGCCTTGATAATATACGTTTCTAGACTATAATTGCATATTATTTTTCTAGCAGTTATCAGGGGTTTCAGCTAGCAATTGAAACTTGATAGTGTCTTGGCTCTTCATCTCTGGAACAATTTATCCTGATGTTCAAGTGCAGAGCTGAGCCCATTTCTTATAAGCCAAGTAGCACACACATGGTAAAACCCCAACTTAAGTGTTCTCAGTTCACTCTGGAAATGGAGCATATTCAGGCCTTTGGAACCACGTTCTCAGACCTTTCATATCCCCTTTCTCCCTCAATACAAGTACAATAACCAAACAACTCCTTGCTTCCCCAGTGTGGAGAACTTGGCAGTTGCTGAGCATACCTATTCCAATTATTCATTCCAGAACTTAAGAAATGTCCATAGGCTGAGGTGTGGGACCCACTGGGTCCACTGTGAGGTGGACCTGAACTAAAACTTCATAGATCAGGCCAGGTGCGGTGGCTCACACCTGTAATCCCGACACTTTGGGAGGCCAAGGTGGGTGAATCACCTGAGGTCAAGAGTTCGAGACCAGCCTGACCAACATGGAGAAATCCCTTCTCTACTAAAAATACAAAATTAGCCAGGCGTGGTGGCATATGCCTGTAATCCCAGATACTCGGGAGGCTGAGGCAGGAGAATCGCTTGAGGCTGAGAGACGGAGGCTGTGGTGAGCTGAGATCGCACCATTGCACTCCAGCCTGGGCAACAAGAGCGAAACTCCATGTCAAAAAACAAACAAACAAACAAACAAACAAACAAAAAACAAACTTCATAGATCACCTGGCCTCCATAAGTCCCTACTAACTGAGGCCACAGTGATGTTTTGAGTATTCTGAAATTAGTGTTAGTTCAGAGCCATTGTCCATTAGTTCCCAAAACATCTCATTATTCCTTTTTCCCCAGTGCACAGTTACCCTGGTAAAAGGTTGTACATAGGTCTTCTTGGGGAAGGCTGGGAGAAAGATTAACAGAATACATTTCTGGCAGTGTACCAGGGTCCTATTTCAAAGTGACCCAGCCTTCCTTTCATTCTAGTTGAGCCAGTGTAAACTCACTATAAACTGACTCTCAAGTCTGAGGATTGGTTGAGGGACCATGACTGTTTTTATGATTCATATTAGACTTTTGTTCACTTGACCTAGAACTTTTCCACTTATACACATCAAGTAGAAATTTAGTAGGCTTCTCATCTATTCCCACTTTTAGAAACACTATGATCATCTAGCCAATAGTATAGCCCTGTGTGCAAGTTATTCTTTTTTAAATTAATTAATTTTTTTTTATTTTAGAGACAGGGTCTTGCTCTGTCACCCAGGCTGGAGTACAGTGGCATAGTCATAACTCACTGCAGCCTTGAACTCCTGGGCTCAGGCCATCCTCTCACCTCAGCCTCCTAAGTAACTAGGACTATAGACATGCACCACCATGCCGGGCTAATCTTTTTATTTTCTGTAGAGATGGGGTTTTGCTATGTTGCCCATGCTGGTCTCAAACTCCTGGCTTCAAGTTAACCTCCTGCTTTGGCCTCCCAAAGCACTGGAATTACTGGAAGGAGCCACTGCACCTGGCCAAGGTAGACTGTTCTGATTGCTGTGTTGACCTTGCTGTCCATTAAGGTAACTATGCCACACTAGAAAGTGCTCAATCAGGCTTTGTGCCTGTTGCGAGGCTTGGTCCCATTTGTTCCCTTAGACACTTCCCTGAGCTGCCTTGTGGGATCCAGACCTACACAGATCCATGTTGAAATTAATCACCACCCACTTGCTCTGTGACTTAGGGGAAATTTATTAAGTTCTCATAGCTTCCGTTTCCTCTTGTATAGATGGAAATGATGCCAGTGTGTGGTTGTCAAGATAAAATGAAAAAATGTAATCAACAAACAGCAGAATTCTTTGGCCTCGGCCGGCATACAGTAGATGTGAGAGTATGTATGAGTTTTGAACCTCTTCTCCAAAATTCTGTGGCCAGAGGCCATCGCGGGTTGAAAGGGATGGAATTAGGAGACACCGGTGAGCTCAGAGATGCAAAGAAATTTCACAGCATTTTCTGTTGTTTGCATTAAGACTTAAATTTCAAGTTTGCTGTGTTTTCCAGTATCGCAGTTTGATTTCTGGATTTTGGTTTTTGGTCGGTTCAGAGAAAATAAGGTCTGTCTGGGAGAAGCGACCATTTTTATACTTCCCATACCCTCTGAGGAGTGCCTTTTGTGAGCCCTATTTGTGGACTTCATTCATTAACTCATTCTTTGGGCACTTGAGGCCAGGAAATGACGATACATGTGGAGTGCCTTTGCCCTCTGCAGGGGAAGATGAGGTCGCAGTGGGCACAGCTGTAACGCGTGGCTGATACTCTCATGCAGGCAGAAACCCAGGTGGGGATGGCAGAAGAGGCCTGTGTCCTGTTGGCCAAAAATGTGCTTCATGGAAAATGATGTTCCTGGTGGAGCTCTTCGGGAACTGGTGGTCCAGACATTGAATTTGGAATCAATAGGCCAGAGCCCTATTTTTGGGGCTGAACCTAACTGTTGTCTGTGCTCTCCGTCAATGCCAAATTTTTCTCAGCTATTTATAAATGTGGAGGGAGGGTGCTAGGTGTGATTGATGGATCCCAAACACAAATCTGTAGGTCAGTCAGCTGCATTCAGAATCATCTCAGCAGCTTGCAAAAACTAGAATCTGGGATCTCATCACTAGAAATTCTGATTCTGGAGTAATTTCCTAAAATCTCTATTTATACAAAGACTCTGCACCAGGTAATTGTAGTCTGAAGCCCCCTTAGGGATGCCCTGAATATCTTCTATGTCCCTCTTCCCTCTAGTTCCATTCCTCATCCTTCACATCCTAATGCCATCTTAAATGTCTCTTTCAGAAAACCTTCTTGGCCTCTAACTGAGCAGCCCTCCATAGAGGATTATTAGTTCATGCCTCTGTGCAAGAAAGAAAAACAAAAACAAAATGCATGAGTTCATTCACTCTCCCATCTCCCCTGCTGGCCTGAGAGCACCTGAACATAGTGATGGTACTGTAGCCAGTCATCTGTGCATCCTCTGTGCTCTGCCCACTGCCTGGCATGTAGAATATGCCCAGCAGGGGATTTTCAGAGCTGACCAGATGGGAGAGTGGTGAAACTGAAGATCAGCCCTTTTCCCTGCCTGTAAGCACCTCTAGGAAAAGATTTAAGAGATGTTGCAAACAAATCACTCCAACGTATTTGGGATTGCTCATTGTGATGCCTGATCTGTGCCAGCCTCTTCCTACCACATCTATGACTGTTACAGGGGTAACTGTTCCATCCCTTAGTCTGCAGCACCCGGAATGGATGTGGAATCACTGAAGGAGGTGAGTGGGGAAGAAGACAAGTTGGATCCTGACAGTTTAAACCCAGGTGTTTTGCAAATCCATCCCTTAGTCTGCAGCACCCGGAATGGATGTGGAATCACTGAAGGAGGTGGGTTGGAAAGAAGACAAGTTGGATCCTGACAGTTTAAACCCAGGTGTTTTGCAAATCCTTCCAAAATATCACTTGGCTTTTCCTCTCCATACCTCCTCCCTTGCCCAGTTGGAAAAAATAACAACAACAACAACAACAACAACAACAACAACAACCTGCAGTACGTGTGCCCACATCCTCCTCTGGATGAAATAGAGTTGCACAGAGAAAAGGAAAGTTGATTTCCTAGTTATTCTCCCACACATGGAGTTCTGGGTGGCACCATCCCACACTATTTGCATCACTGAGCTACACACTCTGCCAAGACTGCCTCTTAAATTTAAACACATTTTGATGAAAATAGAGAAAGGCTGAGGAAGAAAGGTTAACACTTCCCCATAAGAGGTGCGTAAGCACTATACATCGTATGTTTTTCTTCTGGCTCTTGGATTAGGACAGAATGTTAATTAAAAAGTAAAAAGCTGATCTTCTGAGCAGCAATTAATTTCAGGATTGCTCTTCTTTCATCTGTTGGGTCTTTGCATTTCTGAAGACGTGGTGGAAAATATTTCCTAGGGGTCTTTCTAATACACATTTTCATTTGATTGTTTTGATCTTTAGGCTACATGTTGACTTAAAAAGGAACCAATATTACAAAAAGAAATGTCATTCCAAGGTTCTGGATTCTGATTATCGCTCTGGTGACACAGATGAGATTGGCTCCAGGCATATACACATTGGTTAGCTGGTTCTGCCCAATCCCTGTCTGGAGTTGAATGTTCCATTTAGTCAAGACTGCCAAGCAGCAACATAACTGGATTCATTAGCTTGAGTTCTGAAAGCTCCTCTTAAAAGTTGTTTTTGTATTCATACTACTTTAATATTTAGGGACAGGCTGCACCATTTTCTAGGTTGCAAAAGTGATCACTCAGTTTTTTTTTTATTAGGTGCTATTTTAGATTCAAAAATATTTTATTTTTTATGAACTGTTTTGTGCCTTTGACCTAGTTCTCTTTTCACTGGGATATGTATCCTAAGAGGATGAGGTTTATGATATTAATAATACCTGCATTATTAATTCCTTTCAAATGAAACCAGCTGTCTCTGTTCCCCTCCAACGTGTGTGTGCACACACAGACACACACACACACACACACACACACACCCCAAGCATACATCCTTCATGTAGATAAAAAGATAAAATGCCTTTGGGGTATCTATGGGGATAACTTATTTTTCTCCCCTATTGATCAGAATGCATGGAGGCCTGGGAAACTCTGCTGGAGTACCCAAAGCCTCCAAGCTGGCAGACTTGAGCACTATTGTCTTTATTGCTTCTTTTAGCAGGATTTTCCTGGGGATGGTGAATGTGCCATAAAGTAGGGCCCACAGGCCTTGCAGAAATGGAAGAGCATGCCATTCACTGAAGAAATGAGCTGTCAGCTCCCTTCTCCTCTTACTATAATTTGCTACAGCCTGGAAATGAAAAGTGACAGCTATTAAAAGGGCTTGGGAATAATTGCAGTTAAAAGCAAAAATAGCGATATTATCCACTGCCACTTAGGCTCACTTTTACTTTTGAAAAGGCTCAATGTTTGGAGTCCATAAAATGTTTGCAGAATATCATCCTGAGTCATTTTATTTATGACTAATCTAAAATATTTTTATAGGTTTTCAGCCATCCCATAGTGGTGTTGGTTTTGGTGGCATCTGAAGGAGGGTGATATTCCTATCAGAGTGATCTGTGACACGTTGCAGTGTTGGTCACTGCTGACCCAGACTGAGGTGACAGGATTCTTCCATGCAGAGCTGCAAGAGTTCTAAAGCAAGTGTTTTTCCTGGAGGGAGAGCAATGGCTTTTTGTGAATTTTAGTTTTAGAATTTGAAAAAGTCTTAGCCTGAAACATATCTTTAAAAATGCCTCCTCATATCTCAGCTAACGTAGCACATCACAGAGATGTCACTGTATTCTGGAAGTTGATGTCATTCTTTCTTTGGAAAGCCATAGAGTCATCTCCGCACCTTCTGTGATCTCTGATGTTCAGATGTTTAGCCTAGAAACTAGATTTGAATCTCGTTTCTAAAGAAGACCCCCTTGTGGTCTGAACTACTGTATTGTCTTAGGGGGCTCAGGTTAGTGTTTGCAAAGGTTAGTTTGTGATTTTTTTCTTTTTTTCGGGAAAAAAGACGTAGAATCTTTTTAGCAGAAGGATCTTGGATAAAAATCCTGAGTAAATGTTTCTCGGTGTATGGCATTGAAAATGAGTTAGGTATAATGCTGGCTTTTAGGGAATATTTAAATAGTTTTTTATTCATTTTCATGTGTCTTGGAAAAAGAATAACAAGGATATCCAACCTGTGATTTCCTAGATTTCCTTGTTTAGGATGAGACTAACATGCAATAATTGTAAGAGAAATACTGAGTAAAATAGGGCTGGGAAATGGTCTTTGAAGAACTAGAGTTTGGGAAACACTGATGTAAGCCAAAAACCTGGATTTTGTCTGTGACACTTCTGAGGCGAGACAAGGACTGACTTGCCAGAGTTTACCTGTTGGTGACCTTGAGACTGGAATCCAAACGAGATGCTGGTATGTTTGTGAATAATAACAAGGAGAGCTGACCTTTACAGAGCGTCTCTTGTGAGTGGTACCAAGTGATTTATATATGTTATCTCATTTAGTTCTCACTTCAGGCCTTTTTTGAATTAATTACTACTAGTATTTTATTTTATAGCAAATACAAGATGGGTGTGGTGGCTCACACCTGTAACCCAGCACTTTGAGAGGCCAAGTAGGGCGGATCGCCTGAGGTCAGGAGTTCGAGACCAGCCTGGCCAACGTGGTGAAACCCTGTCTCCTACTAAAAATACAAAAATTAGCTGGGCTTGGTGGCGGGCATCTATAATCCCAGCTACTTTGGAGGCTGAGGCAGGAGAATCGCTTGAGCCCAGGAAGCAGAGGTTGCAGTGACCCAAGATTGTGCCACTGTACTCCAGCCTGGGTGACAGAATGAGACTCCATCTCAGTAAAAAAAAAAAAAAAAAAAAAAAAAAGAAAGAAAAAAAGAGGGAGAGAGAGAGAGAGAACTCTAAGTTTAGAGAGGCTGGGTAACTTGCCCAGGGCCATAGAGCCAGAAAGAGCTGAGGTGAAGGAAGGAGCACACCTCTGTCCATCTTAGCTCCCTGAGAATAGTTCACATCAAAGAAGATGTTGAAGAATGGATCCTTTTGTTGGTGTTAAACTGCTAGGCATGAGGGTCCAGAGTCTTGTTCTGGAGACTTGCAAATGATGATTTTTATAGCCTCATTGGAGTGGGGGACTCTGCCTAGGACATCCCCTGAGAAGTTCTCAGTATATCAGCGTATTACAGTTGGAGAAGACTCAAGTAGAAATCAGCTTTCTTTTGTAATATTGATGGTTTTCAAACTCGGCCACAGGTTCCCTTTTTCTCCAATAAAACCCATGACATTTTGCAGAACCAATACTCTGTGGAGCACTTATTTGGGGAACCTAACGTTTTAAACTCATTTTACACATGGGAAATCTGACGTTTGTGATTACTTGGCCAAAGCCAAAACTAGCTGTTGGCAGAGCTTATGTCATTAATTAATTTATTCATTCAACGGATAGACATCCAGTGCCTCCCATGTGCCAAGCATGCTGGGAATTAGTGGTACAGCATTGAACCAGTGGACAAGACACAGATATAAGGAGACACATGTAAATAATTCTCGATAACTATCATGATGCACTGAATGTTTGTGCCCACACCCCCACGCCTCCAAATTCTTATGTTGAAATCCTCATACCTAATATGATGGTATTAGAAAGTGGGGTCTTTGGGAGGGCCTTAGGTCCTGAGGGTGGAGCCCTCTGGCATTAGTGCCCTTATAAAAAGGACCCAAGAGAGCTCTCTGCTGCTCTTTCTGCCACGTGAGACATAACGGGAAGTTGTCAGTCCACAGCCCAGAAGAGCACCCTCACCAGAACCCAACCCTGCTGGCACCCTGATCTCACATTTTCAGCCTCTAGAACTATGAGAAGTAAATTTCTGTTGTTAATAAGCCACCTAGTCTATGGTACTTTGTTAGAGCATCCTGAATTGACTAAGAAAACCATAAATCTATGAAGACTGGAAACCCTAGCATTTCCTGGGTCTTCTTAAGGCAGAGGGCTTGCCTTTTTCATCTTTCATCTTTGTTTTCCCAGTTTCTAGTATGAGGCAGTGATAACACAGCCTCAATAAATATTCGTTGAATAAGCTGTTGATGGATTGGAATCTTTCCCATTCTATAACAAAATGGTTTATTATTATTATTATTATTAAAAATATATAATAATTATTAGTTTTGGTGTGGGTTACTCTTTGGGAAGTTTAAAACAAAATGTTCCAAGAGGTCCCCAGATTGAAATAGGTCTCTTGGTCACCCTTGCTAAGAAACCCAGTTCTGAACAGCATTGACCTTGAACACTCATTACAGGACAGATTATTTGTGAAATGAGTAATGTTTGAAAATCATCTCTGTAGGTTTTTCGGCATTGCTAAATTGTGTCATTGGTTGGAATTTTCAGATCACAACCATATTTTGATTCCCAGGCTTTTGGCCATTTTGCTAATGTGCCAGAATCTCTAAGGCCTAGCCCAATTGCTAATATTGACAAATTCTTGAGGAGTATATATGGTTTGTTCAGGAATAAAACGGATAGGACTCAGAATCTTATCAGCTCATACCTGTAGGTATGGGGCAATCCATCCATCTAGCAATTTTCTAAACTATGTAGCCTACTGTGGGATACTGAATCCCTGCCCATGAGTACTGAGAAGGACTCATGGAAGGATGATAGCTTTCTTTGCATTATTTGTTTCTAGCATAGGAAAACTGGCTAATGTTCGTACAGTATGAGAAGTTTTTAGTCCACTGGACTGGAGATTCGGAGCTGCCCAGGTGGTCAGTGCTGGCAGGAAAAGGTAAAGAAGATCAAAGCATATGGCTTTTCTACTTTGCCTATCTTTTTCTTGAAAGAATTTATGGCTGATGAAGACCATTTTGCTCTGGAGGAAATGATGATCTGTTGGTGGCATGCACCTGGCCTCTTAGTTTGCTTTGTTGTCCTGGGAAGTGGGCAAGTGCCCCACTGGACCTTGATCTGCATTCCACAGGGGACTCCCTGCTTTAGAGGGACCCCTACCCATGAGGTCCAAGGATGACCACCCAGCGTAGCCCCCAGCAAGTACTCACACACACTTCCTCCAGAGCAGATCATTTAGTTTAAGGGAAGGGCATCATCACTTTCAGAGATGGGTGTTTTAGTGATTAGACATGCGACTTCTCTGGTAGAGGGCATTTATTTTTTAAAAAAGAGAAAGGGTAATGAATCGGACACTATCTGTCAAATTCTTTGCTAGGAGTGGAAACCTAAGTTTTCCCAAGTCCGTATTTCCCTGAGAAGAAATTGATTTTGGTATGATCCATAAAGCCTTGTACAGTGAAATAAACTATTGGCAGAAAAGAGACAAACACATATATAAAAAAAATAAGAATCAATGTTTCAAAAATGAAATACAGTAGAATACTGTGAGGTGTTTGTTTGTTTGTTTGTTTGTTTGTTTTCTTTGAGACAGGGTCTGGCTCTGTCACCCGGGCTGGAGTGCAGTGGCAAGATCTCAGCTCACTGCAACCTCCGCCTCCCGGGTTCAAGCGATTCTCCTGCCTCAGCCTCCCGAATAGCTGGGATTACAGGCAGCCACCGCTGCGCCTGGCTAATTTTTGTATTTTTAGTAGAGATGGGCTTTCACCATGTTGGCCAGGCTGGTCTCAAACTCCTGACCTCAGGTGATCCTCCCAGCTTGGCCTCCCAAATTGCTGGGGTTACAGGTGTAAGCCACCACGCCCGGCCAACTGTGAGTTTTATTTAGCCTCAGAAGTATCTTTAGACATTAGGTAAAGAGACACAGACTTAATCATGTCTGTAGTTTACTGCAGGTTATAAGATGAATGTCTGATGAAATTATGACATATGTTACTGAAGGGAAATTGTGCCATGTTTTTCCCTATATATTTTAGGGTGATAACCTGTAACACAGAAGACACTGGTGCCTCACTAAGAGCATGGCACCAGGAGCCTGAAGGAGTGGGACCTGAGTCCCATTTTCTTGGTTTACCAGATAGGAAAATTTAAACAAGTTATGTAATGCTTCTGAATCTCAATTCCCCATCTGTAAAATGAGGGTAACAATACAGACCTCTAGAGTTTGCTGTGCAGACTTAACAGGCTTGGCTCATGGGCTGCGGCCAATAAATGGTAGCTTTTGTTATGAACTCTAGGTAGAAAAGTATCTAAATGGTTTTCCCCAAGCCCAGAGAGTCTGAAATGGCCTTTGGAGGTATCTTCAGACATCATGACTTCTTTTAGTGTGGCATCATGCTTGTCTGATTTTTAGATTTCCAAAGAAGTCTTGTAGTGCATCATGACTAGAAAACATTTTGGAGTTTACACAATCAGTAAATGAGTTTTAAAACGCTTTTTTTTCTAAATAGGAAGGCAAGTGTTGCCTGCTTCATCTATTTGTAGACCTGTTTAAGTGTTTTAAAATCCATCAAAACATTTAAAATTATGAAAGCCATTTGCTTCATGACTTAACAAAATTCCTTAAAAGTCTTGTATATTCCTGCGAATAGCTGAATCCTCTAAGAGAAGCAGGAAAACCACACGAGCTTCTCTATTAATGTTGCTGATGTGTTGTGACTTGTACCAGGTCCCTTAGGCCAAAGCGAAGCACAGATTTTTTGGGGGAAAAAAGCTGATGAATTAAGCCAATAACTCCGACCTCTTGGCCAGAGAAATGTAAATTCTTTTTCTAAACTCACAGAAATAAGACTCTTCCAGGGCTGGAAAAGACTTTGATGAATAACGCAGGCTCATTTCCCCATTGAATTTATTCCTCGATGCTATGCATATAATGGGTAGTCAATAAATATTGTTTGCCCGCTTTTTGTAGCTGTTTCAAATTGGGATGAGGATGAGTCTGTGGTGTTGAAATAGAGGAAAGCTAATTTTCTTATCCTGGGATAGGCTTTAATCTTGTTAGCCAGATGTTCTAAACATGAGAGCTAACCAGTCAGATGAGACCACAAATATCTGAGTTGCACAATGCAATTGGCTTGAGAACTGCATTCTTTAAAGGTCATCCTTTGTATGGGGACAGAGGCACCCCTTGTCTACATTTTGGGAGGATAGGTTGGCTTCCTGGTCCCACTCAGGTCAGAAACACCACTGCCCATCACTTTTGGCCCCAGCTTCTTGTGGTTCAGTCCCACTGCATTGTAAACTCCAAGCAGAGGGGCCAGTTTTGACCAATGAAAATGGTTAACCCTTTTGGCCAGCCCTCTTCTGCCGAAGTCTATAATGCATGGCTGTTTTTATCCCTGTCTGTTGGAAGAATATTCAGAAATCCATTGCAATCTAGTTTTGATAAAGCCTTTAATTTTCCACTCCTTCCTTTTGCAACTTCATCCATGTGCTGCATATTCAGCCCCTAAGAACCCAGGAATGAATTGATGTGCTGCCTTCAAAACAGCCTGGCGTTTAGGAGTTGTGATTATATTCGAGAATCTCCAGGCTTGACTGTTCTTAGCTTTGATATCATGAGGACTATCCTCACAGGGAAAGATTTATAGCATCTGGGGTGAGAACTTTAATCGTGGCCCAAAGGAACTTGTGATATTTTGATAAGGGGCTTGAGGAAGTTGTTGGATATAGAGCAGAATGTATTTCGGAAGGGTGCAAGCAATTTTGAGCCCTTCTGGCTGATCATTGCAAAATGGGTGAGCACTGGGAGATCAGAAAATATGTGGTGGGCAAGGTAGAAAGAACGTCAAACTGGATGAAATAAGAAAACGGGGGAAAGCTATTTGAGAGGAAACTTGGCATATACTTAGTATTTGTGTCTGTTTTTCTCTTGAAATGGGCTGTTGTGTTGGCAGAGGCTTCTGGCTGCTGTCAGAGATATGAACATCTGTGCTCCTTTGCAGAAAACTCAGGATTCTAAAGTGTTTGGTGGAAATTGTTTAACTCTGCCACTTGCTCCATCTCCTCATTAGGAAGAGGTTAGTCTGTACTGCTCAGAGTGTGCTTTTAAGAGGAAGATGTGGCTTAGGGTTCTGGGCTTCACTTTTACATACTGCATGGCAGAAGCAGGTTTGCAGCAGTGAAATCTGAGGCCATCAGATACAAGTGTGTAGACTTGGTGTAAATCAGTTTGCTTGCTTGGGTTGGAAGTAAGAATGAAAGATGCCAAATTAGTAAGGCAGTTGTGATACAGGCATCCGAAGAGAGCCAGCAAGATGGACAGGTCACGTGTGGCTAAGTTTTGGAAGGCTTTGCTTTAGTCACTGTAGTTAATGCTAAAAGCTGTTATAAATGACCCCAAAATATCAGTGACAATACAATAAGAGTGAAGTATTTGATCACTTTAAAATGCATTCTCCTATTCCCCTAATTAATTCTGCTGTTCACCAAGTCTTCTAACAAAGTGGTCAGTGGAGTTACACGGGGCATCAGTGTCTAGCCAGCATGCCACCTTCCTTTAGCCAAAACCTAATCCCAGCTGTGGCACACGCAGGAAAGGCCAGGCAATGTAGTTTAGCTCTGTGCTTGTGGAAAGTGTCACTGGTTTATCGAGCACAGCCTCAAATGTTCTTCCTAGACAGTGATGGATCCATCCACATTTTGTGGAGCCCCCTTTATGAAAATAACACAAAATCAGGTACAAAAGTGAATGGTTTATTTAGAATGAGAATGGGCAGGGCTTAGTCAAGTGGAAGGCTCTGAAGATTACGGTTTCTTAGCTTCATGGTAATATATCTCTGCTCCTAATGTCCAAGTATAAAATGTGTTTTTCCCCTTCTTACTACCTAATAAAACCATCTTTGCTAGGTGACCCATGGAGCACTTCGTGCTGTTGAAGTGTGCCAGGGCAGCTTATTTTCACATTGCCCTTGGAGTGAACAGTGCTGCAGCCTTGCTGGGAGGCCATTTGGCTATTGGTACTGAGAGCACAAGACTCGTCCTGTGCTTTGACTCAGGGGCCTTACCTCTCAGCCTCTGAAAGCCCCCAGTGATTTGTATTAGGTATGTGTAAATCGTGAAAACATCCTCCTTCTCCAAAGACCGGTAAATGGTTGAATTATATCACCATGCAATGGAATATTGCAGCAATTACAAATGATGATAGGATGTTTTGTGCAAGGGAAAATGCATATAAGTGAAAACAGCATGATGTGAAATAGTGTGAACTCAATTGTGTAAAAATAAGTAAACTAAAAATTACTGAAATAAATGATATGAAAATGTTGCCACTGGTCATCTCTGGATGATACACATATGACCAAACTTTATTCATCTTTATAGTACTTTTTTCTTCAACTCCATTTCCCTGCATTTACAATACAGACCAGGCACACACACAGGGCCTGGGCTGAGGTGCACATGGTATAGGTTTACTCTGCTTCCTCTTTCTCTGCTTCAGTCAGTGTAAGAAGACAGCCTTGGTAAGCACCAGGAGGCCTCTCATCTTTATAGTTTTCTGCATCTAGCAAATTGTATACAATTATTTAAATAGTGATAGTTCTGACACCTCTATGTAAATGGCAATATTGCAGCCTTAATTTGCCCTAACATTTTACTGTTTCCAAAGTGTTATCACATATTATCATATCTAATTTTACAACAACCCTGAGAGGACAACAAAGAAAAAAATCATACATTTTTAGTAGAAAACAGATTAAACAAAACAAACCCATCCAATCACAAACGGCCCATGAATATATTGACATTTCCAGATAGCATCTCCATCTTCTTCCTCCTGTTCTCCTAATTAATTCTGCTGTTCACCAAGTACTCTAACAAAGGTAAAAAATACTACTTTCTTCTCAATTATCATAGCCTTCTATTTAGATTTTTAATTACAAATATTTTAAGAGTATTATTTTGGGTTTTCTCCGAGCTTGGAAACCTAGCCTTGTTCTACCAGAAAATGCTTTCTGCATTTCAGCTAAGGCATTTAGAAGTCCACATTGGGTCAGAGCCTGCCTGCATCCTGAGCGGCTGTTTCTGTTCTCCCTGCCAGCATCCTCCTCTGCGGGCTCAGTCCTGGGGGGTAGGAGTGGGGTTATGGGGGAGTCTCTAGGACCCTGGGACCCAACACTGGAGAGATCTCAATCACGCTGGGTGCTCTTCTTCCCTCGACTCATGTTCCGTAGCTGCTTAGTCTTGTTGCGAGTACCCGACTCCTAGCCTCTGCAGCACCCTGAGAGCTGGGCACTTGACTCTTACCATCCCCATCTCGCCTCACTGCCCCTTCACTGCAGAAGCTGCAGTTTGCCTCCCACGCTTAACCTGATGACTGACACCTCCTTATAATACCTGCGAGATGACTTCTGTGATTCTGCCTGCCCGCATCTGTGTGTTTCTGGATTTTCCATCTCCACGCTTGGCCCTGCCTGAGACTTCTGCAGGTCAGCATCTGACCGAGGTTATCTGAGCTGACTCTGACGCATCCATGGTGTTGCTATTCACCAGATACAGAGTTGCACTGGCACAGCACAGTCCCTTCCCACTACTGAAGCTCTTTCTCCTTGCCAGAGGTCTTGCTCACCCCAGGGGCCTGGGCAGATCCAGTTCCAGATTCTGGAATCTCCCTACGGGCCTTACCTTATTGCAATGTACTGGGCCAGGCCACCAGATATTGCACTTTGAAAATCTGTTTTGAAGTTGCTAACTGCTTGGAGTACTGTGGTGCTGCAGGCTGCTGTCAGGGGTAGAGGTATGGGGAGCAGAGATGCCTGAGCTGATCTAGAAAATACTTAGGGGTAGAATGCTCTAATGTGAAAATTAATTTTAAAAAACACACTGTTAAAGACAGTTCAAAATGTGCTGCACTTTCTATCTGTAGCAATCTCAAGTCCAGAAAAAGAAGGTGGAATGAAAATTTTGGTTTCTGTCTCTTAGCAGATAGGTCAGGTCAAGTGGAAAGAAAATGGAGGCAGGAAAGAGTAGCTGGGGAGAGCCTGCAATGTTGAGTTTGTTTCCTGGGGCTCCCTTAACATCTTTTGATGAACTGGGTGGCTTAAAACCATGCAGATTTGTTCTCTCACAGCTCTAGAAACTAGCAGTCCAAAATCAAGGAGTTGGCCTGAAGGTTCCAGGGGAGGGTCTTTCCTTGCCCCTTCCAGCTTCTGGTGGCCCCAGGTGGTCCTTGGCTTGTGCAGTATCACTCCAAGCTGTGCCTCCATCTTCATATGGCTGCCTTCTTGTGTGTCTGTTTTTGCATGACGTTTTCCTCTTTTGTTTTTGAGACAGAGTCTTGCTCTGTCATCCAGGCTGGAGTGCAATGGTGCCGTCTCGACTCACTGCAACCTCTGCCTCACAGGTTCAAGCGATTCTCCTGCCTCAGCCTCCCGAGTAGCTGGGACTACAGGTGTGTGCCACCACACCCAGCTAATTTTTGCTTGTGTGTGTGTGTGTGTGTGTGTGACGGAGTCTTACTCTGTCTCCCAGGCTGGAGTGCAGTGGCGTGATCTTGGCTCATTGCAAGCTCCGCCTCCTGGGTTCATGCCATTCTCCTGCCTCAGCCTCCCGAGTAGCTGGGACTACAAGCGCCCACCACCATGCCCAGCTAATTTTGTTTTTGTATTTTTAGTAGAGGCAGGGTTTCACCATGTTAGCCAGATGGTCTCGATCTGCTGACCTCGTGATCCTCCCACCTCGGCCTCCGAAAGTGCTGGGATTACAGGCGTAAGACACCGCGCCTGGCCAATTTTTGCATTTTTTTAGTAGACATCTTCCTCTTTTTATAAAGATAACAGTCCTAGTGGGTTAGCACCTGCCCAAATGACCTCGTTTTAACTTGATTATGTCTGCAGAGACCTATTTCCAAATAAGGTCACATTCACAGATAGCAGGAAAGGACTTCAACGTGTCTTTCTCAGGGGACGCCTTTCCATGCATAACAGCTGCCTCTGGTCCAGTCTTTCTATCCCCTCTTCAGTGGTGTGTCCACCAGCAAAACTTCTGTGCCTCAGTTTCCTTGGCTGTAAAACGGTGCCCTCTTCTAGGATCGTTGAGAGAATTAAATGAAATCATGCTTGGCAGAGTATCACGCTCATAGAAAGTGCTCAGTAGGGGTTTAGCTTTTACAGCTAGTTGCTTGCAGTCATTTGATTTCATAAGCTAGGTTTGTGGAGAAACTGAGGAAGTGAATGAGCCAAACACAAAAGTAAACACTGTTGATAGGACAGGTGGTTAACTCTTTCAGTGCCACAAAACACATTCTGACTCACCTGCACACAAATTTTGCTTACAAGATTGTTGTCAGCACTAATTTTGCTCCAAGTATTTGCTTGATTAAAATCTCTTATGCTACTCTTTGCAGCTGACCTATAACAGAAATAAATGAACTAACTAGAGATACTTTCTTCGTTGGGCTTCCATCTAGAGCTAAGCTTTACTTAGGCTTTCAAATTGTAAGCAAATGCAAAATAACTCTCTTGGGAAAATTCCAGAGAATCTAGGCCTTGAGCTGTTGTAAGCAAATGTGGCCCTCCTTTTAGGGCGGGAATCTAAGAAATGGAGATTATGCATTATCCAGTTCCAGGGGCATCATTCATACTGTGGTCTGTGCGTGTGCATGGACAAGCCTGCTCCTCTGGGTGAGGTGGCCATAGGTCCTTTCTGGGGTTCAGTAAGTTCTGATAGTGGCATTGTCATGGTGTGAAACCTCTCATTCTCCCAGTTTAATTATTCAGTGAGAATGGGATTCCTGAGATTCTAAACCATATTCCATAACTTTGGAAAATATATGTGTATATAAAATTTTCCATACGGTTAAAACCTGAGAGTGGACTGCAAGTCAAATTGCTATTTTCTTCCCTGCTTCGTCTTTGTGAACTTCGTATTGTCAGTTTTCCTGACAGTTGACAAAAGTGGGCAGTTTTGGTGGCATATCTGATTTAGGAAGTAAGTGCAACAATTTGAAAGCCTAAGTAAAGCTTAGCTTTAGATGGAAGCCCAATAAAGGAGTTATCTCTAGTTAGTTCATTTATTTCTGTTGTAGGTCAGCCGCAAATCTGAAAACACAGGTTTGAATTTGTATGCTCATTTAATGTTACTGATAATCTGAAATGCTGGTTTTTAGGACTGTAGATTTCATTATGGAATATGTTTTTAACTTAATTTGTACATGGGTCTCTTGTTGTTTTGGGAATTTTGTTCTAAGACATGTTGAAGCTGTGCTGTAGTTATTGGGTTTATGAGTTGTTGGGGTATTATTTATTTTTAATGTACTCTGTTCCTTCCTCTTCCCAAAGCAAATAATCAAGAATTAATGTTTAACTTTAAGTTGGATCCACTCACTTTATATTGAGAGTTATTATTACTTTAATTCACGTTTCTTTTCCCTGAAGCCCTGATATATCTTTGGGAAGATACATTTTTTCATGCATTAATTATTTTCTTTTCCAGTATCAATTGCAGATATTACAATCACAGCAAGAAACATCTGTTGTACCTTTATTATGTGCCAGGTACTGTGCTGCCTGCTTTATATGAATTATTATTACGATCATTAAATTTTTATATCCACGCTAGACTTTACATACTGTCTATCATAACTCACATTTTATAATAAGGACTTGAGACTGGGGAAATAAACTTGCCAAGTCGACACAATTTAAAAGTGGTAGAGCCAAGAGTTGAACTCACGTAGTCTCTGACTCTGGAACTATGCTCTTAAACCCTACACTCTTGATGTTGAAGATGTAGGGACATCTTTGCATTTGAAGACAGAAATGCACATACAGCCCAGAACTTTTCAGTGATTCCAAAGACCTCTGTATTTTCACGTAACATAACTTTGGAAGCCACAGATTCGCTTTGCTCAATCTATTTTGTTCAGGAGTACATGCATGCTAATTTGCTCAGGCAGTAGCTGAAAGCAGTGAGAGATATTCCAACAAGGCTCCAGATTGCAAGAGAAATGAGTGTGGATTTAAAAATTAACAGGCTTTGTATGCATATAACTAAGAATCAGCTTACTTGCCATGAAGATGAGTACCAAGGCCCCAAAGTATGTATGTCAGAAGGTAGGATATTACTTGGTTTTGTGTAATTGGTAATACCAAGGTCAAATCAACTTAGATAACTGGTTTAAACCATTAAATAGCTTTTTTGGCTTTAGATATTTCTCAAGATTTTTACTGCAAGCTACGTGCATTGCAGTCTGCAGGAAGAAAAAAAAGGATTATTAGTGTTTTTGCAATGTTCCTGCCCAGCGTTTACTTCTTTATTTGCTCTTGTTTTATTCCCACAGGGAAAGGTTCATTGTAACATACCCAGGGATGTGTGGTAGATTTTTCCAATGCAGCAGGTAGAATGACTTTGATGGTAAGAAACAGAAAATTGAATGCCGACTGGCTTAAACAATAAAAGCTTATATCATTGAAAAGATTAGAGGTATGGTGAGTTACAGAATTAGATTGATTCAGCCACTCTCTGGGTCATTTAGGGTTTCTTTTTTTCTGTCTCTGCCAAACAGGATTGGACTTTGGAGTTGGCCACAGGGCAGATTCCCCCAACACACCAGCAGGGTGGCGATCAGAGAATGCCAGAACAAACATTAGATAATTTTTAAGAAGAGTGACTTGGTGTATGTGTGCCCCAACAAGTATCCACCATAGCCAGTGACCTGGATATGCTTAATTTAGATTAATGAATTTATCCGTCCTCTCTCTTCTCCACCTTGTAGGTGTTAATATTCTACATGTAATGTACAGGGGTTTTCCCCCTCGGATATTTTTGGTGAATATTTCTGTAGTTGTCCCTAAACATAGAAAGATTTTCCAGCAGGATACTAAGAGGTACTGTTTAGCATATTTCAATTTCCCATTACCAATCCCACAGACCTGATAAGATATGGATGTTGGCTGCTAATATCAAATAATGTTTTCTAATTTTCTTAGTGGAAAATGAATGGAATGAATCATTCAAATGAATTCCATGATTCATTATGGAATCATTCACTCAATATTATTTTGATATTAAATGATATTAATTATATTAAAATATTATTTTGATATTAAAGTGGAGGTAAATTGACTTCTGTCATATACCTTTTCACTTTGCTACTTCACAGTTTCCCTCTGTTCTTGCCATGCTGAAGTGGCCTGGTGTGGTGGCTAACATCCCTAATCCCAGCACTCTGGGAGGGCGAGGCAGGCAGATCACTTGAGACCAGGAGTTCCAGACCAGAATAGGCAACGTGACAAAACCCCATCTCTACTAAAAATACAAAAATTAGCCAGACGTGGTGGTGTGCGCCTGTAATCCCCGCTATTTGGGCGGCGGAGGCACAAGAATTGCTTGAACCCAGGAGGCAGAGGTTGCAGTGAGCTGAGATCACGCCACTGCACTGTAGCCTGAGTGACAGAGCAAGACTCTGTCTCCCCCACAACTGCCCCCAAAAAAGGAAAGTGCTGAAGGGTGTTTTCCTGAGTGACATGCTGGAACTTTAGATGGCAAGAAAAAGAGAGCTAAGGGCATACTTTGCATGTTACCTGGATGCTCATTTTTGGCCAAGGGGATTTCTTCTGAGAAGTGAAAAATATCTTCAGACAGTTTGGTTCATTTGGTGATTGTCCTGCTTGCCAGGTTGTACCAACTGGTATTTTCTTCTTTTGTTCAGTAAATCAACCAAAAGCCCACTATGTGTAAGGTATTTTCTGTGGATTCAAAGTTGAACAAGACTTCCTTAGCCTTCCTGGTCTTTCAGTCTGGTCAGGGAGATGAGACAGACACACAAATAACCACAATACAAAGGACGAAGAGGAAAGCTAGGCTTGGAAAAAGGGCTGTTGGGCTTGGAGGAGGCAAGGAAAGATTCCTGGAGAGATGAGGAAAGTCTTGTGTGCAAGGGGAAGGGAGAAGAGGGAGGATTTCAGACAGAGCAAGTATTAAGAATCTTGAGCCTAAATGTTGTGAAGCAGTTAAAATTAAAAAAAACAAAAAAAAAATTTGGTCAAGTTATGTCTCCTATTAGTGACTTATTATTGTTTAACAAATCACCACAAAACTTAGTGGCTTGACCCAACAAGAATAATTTATTCTCTTTCATAATTTTAGTGGTTGAGGAACCCAGGAGCAGCTTAGCCAGGTGGTTCTGGCTAAGGGTCCTTTGTGAAGTGGTGGTCAGATGTCAGCTGGGGCTGCAGTCATCTGAAGGCTGGACTGGGGCTGGAGGACTTGTTCCAAGATGATGTGCTCCTGTGGCTGACAAGCTGCTGCTGGCTGTGGATGTCTCTTAGGGCTGCTTGAGTGTCCTTATGACATGGGGTCTGGCCTCCCCCAGAGTGAAAGTTTCAGGGAGAGACAATCATGTGGCATCTTTTTTCTCTGACCTAGCCTTTGAAATCACATAGCATAGCTTCCCACACACTCTGCATGTTAGAGAGGAGTCACTAAGGTGGGTCTAGGGGAAGAGGGTTCACCTTTTAAGGGGAGGAGCATCCAAGGATATGCACCCATGTTTTAAAACCAATACATTCTTGAAAAAAAATGACAAGCTAAAATGATGGTTGCATTAGTTTTTCTTTAGTTGTTGTGTCTGCACAGTGTTTAACTACAGTAGTTGGCACACTGTAGTTTTTTGATTGGTAAACTATGGTATATATGATGTCTTCATCTGTTAAACTAGTCATTTAAAGTAGAAATTGGCAATTTATCCAAGAGACATCTTACCACAGAAGCCTCCTATAGAAGACAGATAAAGTAGAAGTCAGGGGCTCAGGCTGAGGTGGTGGTGAAGGGGGCTGGCACAGCCTTTCCTCAGTGTCCAGGAGGACCCCACAAACGCCCTGGCTCCTGAGAATAGAACTCTCTGGAAGCCATTTCATGGACCCATCCATTCCTTCCTGTGATTTTTTTCTTTTGGAGTTCAGTTGTTCCTTTGAAGAAAGAACAAAAGGATTTCATGTTGTTTTGCAAAATATAATTGTAAGAATTATTTTCTGAATTATAAACACATAGTTTGAATGATGATGTGTAGCACTGAATGATGGTTAGAATAATTTCTTCCAAAACATTTTGTGTGTGTGTGTTTTTGTGTGTGTGTGAGAGAGAGCAGAGGTAGGAAGTAGTTGAGCGTGAGGAAGGGACTTTAATTTGAACAGAATTTTCTCCTCTGTGGAGCATATTAATTAAATATGTACTTGTACTGAACCATAACACTGTGTTTAAAGCAGTGAAAGACATGAGCCACCATTCTCAGCAGTATCAAAGCTGAAGCCCTCCATGACCATGTGATCTGACATGACGTTCCTGCTGGAGTGGGAGGCAGAGTTCTGAGAAGTGGAGAATGTGATGCTTCTGAATTAAGTGTCTTTGATAATTACCAGAATAACGGAAAAAGTTTATGAACCAGATCAGGAAAAAATATGCTCATTAGTCATATGAATATTAGTTTTCTCAACATAACAATACACTTCTGAGGCTCCCCCTTCTTCCTTGGCCCCGCACACACACAAAAATGCCATTTCTGTGGACTGTATGGCCATTTCTGTAGACTGTATGAAAAGGGACCCTCTAATACAATAGAGAAGTTGGAAAAGCTGAATACATTCTCTCTCTCTAACTTAGCACACTTAAAGGGCAATAGCCAGAAAATTAAATTTTATTTAAAGAATTTTGAGGATGAAAAGCACGAGGATATTAATTTTTCTCCACTGTCACTTTCCACTTTCATCACTGCTACAATTTATTGTACCCACTTGTTCCTGGAAAAGAAAGAGCATAATAGCTTGTTACAGTGATTTCGTTTTAAAATAAAGTGTTGTAGGATGTTGAAAAACTAGAAGAAACCAACGGCTAGCGGTAAATGAAAGAGAGGGAACTTTGTTTGCTAAGATGTGGACAGGGAATAATATTGCTCCTTGAATTTATCCACTAACAATCCAGTATTAATATCTGTGGGACTTCCCATTTAGAATATTGGTAAGGTAGAATTAGTTGCTACATCTCCATAATTATTTCTTAAAATGGTTTTCTGAGAACCAGGAAAATGTTATACTACTTCTTGTTCCTACTTCCTGTTCTTGCTGTTCCGGGTTTTATTATGAAAATGTGTAAGTGGGAGTAAAAGCCAAACTCTTACTTAGCAGAGTGCCTGGTGTGCAGTAAACATTAATTCTCTTCCTCCTCTATCCTGATGCCTTCTGCACTGACCCCAGGATCCACAGAGGGAGGGTGACAAAAAGTGTCACAGCATATAGCTCATGAATTGCATCCTTTTCTTTAGTTAGCTAAAAACTCTTTCCACTCATGTCTTCTTCCCTTTGCAGTTTTTTTCTCCAACAGGAAACCCACTGTTTTTTGTTTCTCTACCAAAATGTGTCAGGTTGCCTTCCTTTAGGGGTAGGCCAGCAGGCTCTATGATGGGCCCTAGTTTTTCTCATTGTATTAGTTTTCCCTTGTTTGAATGGAGAAAGTGATTAGAAATCTGGATTACTGTTCATTTCATTTTCATCCATGTATGTCATTTATTCATTCATTTGTTCATTATAACATTTGTAGAAGACCCACTGTGTAGGGCTGTGTGTGTGTTAAGGGGTGGGAGGGGCTAGAGCAGAAGGTTACTGGAACTGAGGCATCTGGCCCTCTGTCCCTGCTTTTTAGTGGCTCACAGTATGGGGTTGTGGGGAGGGTTGGAGAGAAAGACATGAAGACAAGTAGATACATTTCAAATAAGCATTTACTGAACCCTTGCTGTGATCAAGGAACTGAATTAAATTTTATGTGGATACCAGGTTTTACTAAACTTGTTTTTTTCTTTCAAGGAGATTATACTTTAGTAGAGGAGAGAAGACACATCTAATTTAGCAAAACTTTAGGGAGCTTTCTATGTGTCAGTCACCAAACTGCAATAGTACTGGGGAGTTCATTTTTTTTCATGTCAATTACATAAAATAATCCTGCCTATGCAAAGAAGTTAGAGACTCTCTGAGCTAGAGCAATTACAGCAGGAATTGTAAAGGAAGTCGGAAGCAAAATAGTCATAGTAGTTAAGGGTTCTGACTTGGGAGTCAGATATATCTGGTTTTGGATCCTGGCTTCGTTGCTTAATAGCTATGTGACTTTGCGGGAAGGAGGGAGATAATTACCTTTTCAAGATTCAGTTTTCCTGCTTGCAAAATGGGGATTATAATGATAATATTTACTGTGGTAGATTGTATTGTCCAAAATGGTCATGCCAGTATCTTTTATCATACATGATCTTACAATATCCCTGTGAAACTCCTGCCATCTAGCAATAGGGTTTATGTTCCTTCCATTTGATCTTGAGTGGAATGTTGTGACAGCTTTGACCAACAGAGCATAGCAGAAGTGATACTATATGGCTTGCAAGGCTACATCATAAAAATGTTATTCACCTCCATCTTGCTCTGCAGTGTAGCTCTTGGAACCCAGCCACCATGCTGTGAAGAAGCCCAAACAGCCCGTGGAGAGTCCCAAGTGGGAGGAATTGAGGCCTCTGGCCCACGGGCCTGGCTGAGTTCCCATCTAACAATTAGCCTCAACTTTCCAGCCATATGAGTGACCATCTTACAAGTGGATCCCCCAGCAAGCCCCAGTTGAGTTGCCCTGGCTGACTGTGCATGGAGCATAGACAAACCATACTTACCCAACCCTGCCCAAATGGTAGTTTCATGAGAAAAATGAAGTGATTGTTGTTGTGTGAAGCCAGTAAGTCTGGAGATAGTTTGTTACACAGCAGTACACAGCCAGGACACTTGCCATATAAAGTTGCTAAGAGGAGTCGATGAAATGATACATATAAATCAGCATAAAACTAGTGACCCGTTAATGATAGCTCTCTTCATTATTATCACTAGTTAAGGGAAGTTATTTAATAGATGTCAGCATTAGTTCAAAGTAAGGTCAGAACCTAAAAAGCTACCCACGAACTTTTGGCATCCAGTAGGTTTTAGGAATTTTGTTCACTTTTTTTTTTTTTTCACTTGCAAAACTCTGCTGTGTGTCAGCTTCCGGATCACCTTTCTGCTGATATTGTGCTGAGTTTGTTCTGAACTCTGTGCTTTCCGTTGTTTCAGAGTTTCACTTAGGCTTTCGGTGCCATGGCCCGATGTGTAAACAATGTTTAAACTTCCAGATTATTCTGTGAAAGTCATGCTCAGGGCTGTTATTTTATTAAAACAATTTTTTTGCATGTGGTAAAAAGCAACACAAAATTTACAACTTCACCATTTGAAGTATACAGCACAATAGCATAAACTATATGCACATTCTTACGCAGCAGATCTCTAGAGCTTTTTCATTGTGAGTGACTGGAAATCTATACCCACTGAAAAACGACTTCCCCTTTCCCTTCTCCCCAGCCCCTGGCAACTACCACTGTATTTTATGTTTCTAAGAGGTTGACTACTTTAAATAATCCCTAGAAGTATAACCATGCAGCATGGGTCTTTTTGTGGCCGGCTTACCTCACTTAGCATCATGTCCTCAAAGTTTATCTGAGTTGTAGCACATGACAAGATCTCCTTCTGCTTTAGGCTGAATAATATTCCATTGCATGTATATTCCTACCGTTTCTTTATCCCTTCATCTATTAATGAATATTTAGACTGCTTCTCCCTCCTGGCTATTGTGACTAACGCTGCAGTGTACACAGTAGTGCCAATGTTGCTCTGCGGTTATTTTTTCCACTTCCTACCAACAGCAGAATCTCGTTGAAATGCATTGGAAAGACAGAGCGTAGGGGCTTATCTGAGTTCTTTGTCATCTTTTTTCCAATGTGTCTTAGACAGTGATGCACAATCAGGTAGCCAGACTGCCCAGATTCTTCCTGGGGGTTTCAACTTCATTATGTATATCTATTGTGTAACCGGTTGTGATTAGAATTAAACCTCTGCCAGGCTTTCTATTGCTTTCAGAGCAGTTTCACAAGCATTATTTTATTGAACCCTTGCTGCATGATAGCTATTTCTTTAGTATGGGGAACACAAGGTTACAAATATAGTGTGGATATAAAATCCAATGCTACTGTATATGTTTATTGTGGTATTCAATGTTCTTTACCAATGTAAAATTCACTTACAGACTTGACACAATTTTTTGAAGTTACTATTTTTAAAATTAATAAATATTTTAAAAATTAATCAATTTTTTTCTAAGAGAAATTTTAGGTTTACAGAAAAATTGGGCACAAAGTACAGTTTCCATATCCTCTCTTTCCCCAGCAGGGCTTCCCTCTTATTAACATTTGTTACAAGCAATGAGCCAATATTGATACATTATTATTCATTGAAGTTCATAGTTTGCCTTAGGGTTTACTTTTTGTTTTTTACAGTTCTATGAGATTGAACGAATGCATAATGCCGTTTATCCACCATTATTCTGTCATACAAAAGAATTTTACTGTCCTAAAAATCCCCTGCAGTCCACAAATGCATCCCTCTCTCACTGCATATTGCTGGCAACTACCGATGTTTTTATTGTCTCTATAGTTTTGCCTTTTCCAGAATGACATATAGTTGGAATCAGTCTGTGGCCTTTTTAGGCTGGCTTCCTTCACTTAGAAATAGCACTTAAGATTCATCCATGTTCTTTTTTTTTTTTTTTTGAGATGGAGTTTCACTCTTTCGCCCAGGCTGGAATGCAGTGGTGCAGTCTCAGCTCACTGCAACCTCCGCCTTCTGGTTTCAAGTGATTCTCCTGCCTCAGCCTCCTGTGTAGCTGGGATTACAGGCACCCACCATCACGCCTGGCTAATTTTTGTATTTTTAGTAGAGACGGGGTTTCAGCATGTTGGACGGGCTGGTCTTGAACTCCTGACCTCGTGATCTGCCCACCTCGGCCTCCCAAAGTGCTAGGATTACAGACGTGAGCCACCGCGCCAGACCCTCATCCATGTTCTTTCATGGCATGATAGTTCATTTCTTTTTATCTCCCAATACTGTGTCATTGTGTGGATGTACCATTGTTTATTCACTCACCTGTTGAAGGACATCTTAGTTGCTTCTGAGTTTTGTCAAGTATATGTTAGGCTACTGTAAACATGCGTGCAGATTTTGTATAGCTGTAAGTTTTTTCAACGCTATTATAAATTACCAAAGTGTTCTCCACACAGGCTATATTAATTTACCCTCCAATTCAGCAGTGTATGTGATTCTGTTTACTACAAATTCTTACTGACAGTTAATACTGATGAATTCTTTCATCTTTGCCTATCTGAAGAGTGAATGTGGGTATCTATCTTACTGTTATATTAATTTATATTTCCTGATTATTAGTGAGTCATACCATTTTAATCTTGGAAGGACCTTTGAGATCCTCTAGCTAATGCTATATTTTAAAGATGCAAAAAACAAGACTAAGAATATTTTCTTGGCCTGGTGCGATGGCTCCCGCCTGTAATCCCAGCACTTTGGGAGGCCGAGGCGGGCAGATCACAAGGTCAGGAGTTCGAGACCATCCTGCCTAACACGGTGAAACCCCTCCCCCGTCTCTACTAAAAAAAAAAATACAAAAAAATTATCCGGGCGTGATGGTAGCTGCCTGTAGTCCCAGCTGCTTGGGAGGCTGAGACAGGACAATGGTGTGAACCCGGGAGGCGGAGCTTGCAGTGAGCCGAGATCGCGCCACTGCACTCTAGCCTGGGTGACAGAGCAAGACTCTGTCTCATAAAAAAAAAAAATTTTCTTACTTCCTCACTTTCATTTTTCTTTCCTAAGAATATGTTTTTAGTTTCATTGCATTATGCCCCTCATTGTTGTGGCTACTGAGTTCAGTGTCTCATCCAATGGAAATCTTTCATATTTGCCATGAGGGTGGAATATATACAAAGAGAGAAAAAAAAAAAACAAAAGAGTAATATTGCAGATTTCTCCCTTGCACCAACTGCAGATTTTTCACTTGTACCATCTTTATTTTCACTAACAAGAAGCTTCTGTTTCCCAAACTAATTATACACAGGGCCTGAACCAGCGTGAGTACTCAAGCATTCCCATGAATGATGGAATGAACCCTAAGATGCAAGGAGTGGGAGATGAGGTCTGCTTAACGGCTTGAAAATACCCCTAGATCCCAGTGGTATCTCAGCTCTGCAGCTTGAGCTTGACTTCTGATTCTGCCTGTAGCTGCGGTGGACTGGGAATTACTGATAAGGGAAGCAAGTGTTGACATTTTCCATATTAGGATGGGTTCTCCAGTGAATTCTGACCCATGCTCTCGTGGTCAGCTCTCTTGAGGCCAACTTTCCAGAGGCTAGCTGTTGGGACCAGCGGAGTTGACCTCTGGGGCGGGACAGCATATGCACTGTCCTCTGAGGCTAGCAAGTTCAAGACACTCTGGTTTCCCCTGGAAAGCCTTTGGAGTATCGGAGGAGGATTGGCTGGGCTGATTCAGCCAGTCTGTATTTTAACTGCCAGGGAATGAATAAGCCTATCTTTCTGACTCCCTCCTTCCCATTAACAAGCCCGACGCCTTGAGTCCCAGGAAGCATGCCACACATGACTTCAGTGTCCCGTGCACACAGAAGTTTAATTGCTTTGTGATTGCCTAAAATGTGAAATGAAGGAACACATTGCCTATAAGGATAACATTTGCGATTCTGTGCATTTCATTTCATCACACATATTTGTGTCAGTTAAAGCACACGGAAGTGTGTTTGCTGTACTTAAAAGACCTATCTGGATTTTGTGTTTCTCCGTGATTTGGAAGAATAACTGCAGATAAGCAAGCTCTGGGTGTGACAGACAGACATGGGGGCAGAGGTGAGACAAGGTGGAGTCTGGGGCGTGGGGAGGGGGTCGGAAACATTGGGCATTCCAGGAGGAGGGAACAATATGTGCAAGGGCTGGGACCTGCAATAAAGCCTGACCTTTTTGGAGGAATTCTTAGGGTTTTTTTTCCCCATTGTTGTTGTTTTGGTCTTGAAGTATAAAAAGCATCCATGCCTTATTCTTGGGAAAGATTCATTCAGATAAAATCCCATTGTCACTCAAAGTTATGCTTTCTCACACGACCATTTCAGTCCCCCAGTGCCGGTGGCCCACATTACCACTGCTTCATTGGTCTGGCCACAGTGACTTCTCTCCTGGAAATGATTGCTCAGCAAACGCCTTATTCTGGCAAATTTCAGAGCCCATAGTTACAATGAGGACTCCTGATCATGAGCTGTTTGCATTTTATTCAGAAAAAAATTAAAAATGGGGGGAACAAAGAGGGGAAAGGATGTGAGCCAAGCAATAGCTGAATGTTTTTTAAAAACTGGATATTTTGTTTTTCATCAAGTAACGATTACCCAGTTGCGACCACAATCTATTTAGAACTAAAAATTTAAGCCAGCCTTCCAAGCCCCAAAGAAAACTATGGAAAAAAAGATCCAGGAAACTTTTGGTACTGGGGTGTAGTATCTCCTTTTTATGCTAAGTTTGCAAACCTTGCTACATTGCCACAAAGAGGAGGAACATCTCAACACTGATTGGCATCTGGGCCTCGCAGATGGGGTGTGTTTCTTTAAACAGTGTCTTGGTTATAGGAGAACCTTTATTGGAACAACCTGAAGGGCCCAGGGAATTTATTATATACCAGGTTGTTACTTCCGTTAACATGGAGAAGCATCTAAAGGATACATTGTTTGTCAGATATGTCAATATCAAAGGTTAAAAATAGCGTGGGACCTAGGGATGCACCAGAAAGCTGTGCCAATGGCGGGGAGTGGCCATGATAGGACCAAATGAGAAAGAGCATAAGATACCCATAGAAATCATGGCGCACAGTCACCTGTATGAGACAGCATGCAGTGTGCATGGGAGAGGCCTGCCACACGGAGTGAAGGTGGAAGGGGGAGCCACCTAGACATTCAGAGATGGGTCTTGGTGGTATGGGAGAGGGAGTGGACCAGTGAGGATGGAAAGTGCTGGCCCAAACCTTCCCATGCATACCTTAAAATGAATTTCTTTCTGGACTGATTAGAGAGAAAAAATGATTACAATTTTAGGGATTCTGTTTCCCACCCCTCATTTTCTCTTGCTTTTTTTCCCCATTAATATATTTTATTTTTTAGAAGTATTAGATTTACTGAAAAATTGACTAGATAGCACAGTGAGTTCCAATATATGCCTGCTATCCACACAGTTTTCCCTATTATCAGCATCTTGCATTAGTGTGGTACATTTGTTATAATTAAACTAGTATCCATTATTATGAATGAACAACAACAGTTCATTAAGATTCACTTTTTGTGTCGTATGTTCTATGGGTTTTGACAATTGCATAATGGGCTGGGCATGGTGGCTCATGCCCGTAATCCCAGCACTTTGGGAGGCTGAGGTGAGAGGATCACTTGAGGCCCGGAGTTCGAGACCAGCCTGGGAAACATAGTGAGACCCCCATCTCTACAAAGAATAAAAAAAATAGTTGGGTGTGGTGATGTGTGCCTGTAGTCCGAGCTACTCTGGAGGTTGAGGTGTGAGGATTGCTTGAGGCCAGGAGGTCAAGGCTGCAGTGAGCTGTGATCATGTCACTGCACTCCAGCCTGGGTGACAGAGTGAGACCCCTGTCTTAAAGATAAATAAATAAATGAGAAAGACAGTTGCACCGTGTCATGTAGCTACTGTTACAATATCATACAGAATAATTTCACTGCCTTAAAAATCCACGATGCTTCACCTATGCACCCCCCTACCGTCCTCCTGGCCTCCAAACCCCTGGAAACCAGTGATTTTTTTTCAGAGTTGGGGGGATTTCACTGTGTTGCCCAGGCTGGTCTCAAACCTTGGCTTCCAGTGATCCTCCTACCTCACCCTCTCAAAGTGTTGGGATTACAGGTGTGAGCCACTGTGCCAGGCAAACCACTGAACTGTTGACTGTCTTTATAGTTTTGCCTTTTCTAGAATGTTATATAATTGGAATCATACAGGTATTTAGGCTTTTCAGACTGGCTTCCTTCACTTAGAAATGTGCATTTAAAACTTATCCATGTCTTTTTGTGGCCTAATAGCTCATTTTAAAAATTGCTGAGTAATATTCTATTGTGTATCTATACTACAGTTTATTCATTCGTCTATGGAAGGACATCACGGTTGCTTGCAGGTTTTGGTAAATAGGAAGAAGAATGCTCTAAACATTTGAGTGCAGGTTTTTGTATGGACATACATTTTCAACTTGTTTGGGTAAATACCTAGAAGCATTATTGCCAGATTGTATGACAAGATTACGTTTAACTCTGTAAGAAGGTACCAAACTATCTTCAAAGGTGGTTACATCATTCCCCCTTGCTTTTTTATTTTCCATGTGACTGTAGTTTGGGAACAGAAATTAAAGATAATATGTGGAAAAATGCAGGTACTACTTTTAAGGTGTAATACCCTGATTCTGAAATATCCAGAGAAGTGTGTTCTACTGGGTGAGATACAGACTAACAGTGTCCTTTAGTATAAGGATATTAATTGTTTACTTAACCAGAAGTCAGGGATCAGATGGCTTCAGATTCATTAAATAGCTCAAGACTGTCCTCAAGGATCCAGACTCTCTCTCCCTCTACTCTTCCATAAGTATGTTGGCTTTCTGTCTTCTGCTCATACTTCATGGTCTTAAGATGGCGGCTGTAGCACCAGGCATCAAGTTCCCAAACACTTAGGAAGAAAGAGGAAGGGGAAACACCAAGAGCTATCCTTCCATTTTGTTCCTTTTTTCAGAAAAGTGAACACCCCTTTACCCCACGAAAAACCCAGCAGATTTTCTCTGATGTTTTACTGACCCCAAATGGGTTCTGTCGTCACTCTAGCTGCATAGAGGCCAGGAAACAGTAATTTAGAGTCTCTCTAATTTCTGCTCATGGTTTCTTCCTGTAACGATATTCTCACTCACAACCTGGCCTCATCCATTTATCAAGCAGAATATTGCTGGAGCCACTTGTAACTTTTTGTTGCTGTAGGGGAGGGGAAATAGCTTCTTCCCACTCATCAACAGGTTCATGACTGAGGCCCCTATAACAAAAGACAGATTGACAATAGAAAAGGATACACATGTATTTGATGTAAGTTTTACGTGCCACAGGAGTCTTCATAGGGAACGAAAGACCTGAAGAAGCGGGTAAACCTGTGTATTTTTATGCTTAGGTTTGGTGAAGAGTAGACAGTCTTAGAGATGTATGATTGGACAAAGGAGCTATCTGTGATCTAATTGTAATGAACTGTGAGAAATTTAGCAAGGCCTGTTTGATCAGGTTCTTCTTCTCACTTCTATGTCTTCAACTCCTTTCCTTTGGGTATAGGGAAGGAGTCTCTCTCATATGGCTTGACTGTGTGCCCACCCAAATCTCATCTTGAATTGTAGTTCCTATAATCCCCACATGTCATGCGAGGGACCTACTAGGAGGTAATTGAATCATGGTGGCAGTTACCCTCATGCTGTTCTCGTGATAGTGAGTGTATTCTCACAAGATCTGATGGTTTTTTAAGGGATTCTCCCCTGCTTTTGCCTGAATTCTTCTCCTTCATGCCGCCTTGTGAAGAAGGATGTGTTTGCTTCCCCTTCTGCCATGATTATAAGTTTCCTGAGGCCTCCTTAGCCATGCTGAACTGTAAGTCAATTAAACTTGTTTCCTTTATAAATTACCCAGTCTTGGGTATGTCGTTATAGCAGTGTGAGAACAGACTAATACACTGTCTCCTGAGGCTCTTACAAAGTGCTTCAAAGAAAAGTCAGAAAATCCTTCCTCGATTTTATGATCTGCTTTAGGAGAAAAGGGGTGAGGGGAAGGTAAGAGTGACCTTCCTGCTTCTGCTGTTTTCTCAAATGCCAAGGTGCCATGTTTTGGGGTGGTAGGTCCTGAACCCATCCCTTCAATGTCCTTATTTTATCTGTGCATGAGGGCTGAATTATTCCATCACTTTCAAACTGTGTTTTATGGAGCCCCATATTTCTGACATGAGTGTAGGCATCTCTGCAGGGAGAGTGAATGGGATTTGAGAGGGCAGGGCTCTGGCTTCCCACTTCTTCCTGGACAAGCTTACCTTCACTTACTTAAGCTTCCTCCCAGTGTAGGGTTCCTAGGGGTTTTCCTTTGAATTAAACTTCTGCAGATAAAATTAAGGGTGAAAGCATTCAGTCAGGCGGATGTCTCTTTCAATTCTAAGAGTCAAACTTTTGGACCAAGATGAGACAAGGCTATTAGTCTTGTCCTAAGTCCTTTGCAAAATCCCTAGGATTTTTTGCCTTGAAAACTGTACCAAATACCCATATTGTGCACAGGTTGGAAGAAAATTGTTTTTTCTTCTGTCCTAAAGAAAAAGGAATTTCTTTGCCATTTAAAAAGCAGTTTAAATCCTAGCTCTTCCTTGTCAAGTTGATGGTCTGGAGCGGGGAGATAAGAAGATGGCCATCAGTCTAAGTGTTATTCCTAAAAAGTAGAAGTTTTGATCTTTCCTGGTATCTCTAAATGGAATTTATCAAATATTCTGGAGTAACTGAAAGGGGTGATCTGTATTCTCTTCCACCGTTTCCTAAAGCTCTCACATGTTTATGTGAAATTTGTGGACTTTTCAGATGGGCATTTAATATACGATATAGTATTAATTTGGGTTGGAAAATGTTCTGGGCTTTTAAAGTATATCTTAGTTAAAATGCTTTGTAATTTGCATATATGCCCTGAAGTAATTTTATGGAATAGAAAAATACATGAAAACAAAAACAGAAACTAGGTCTGTGCTGAATTTGCTGTTGGGTGAAGCTGACTTTTTTTTTAAATTTTGAAATAACTCCAGTGGCTTCATGGTCCACACAGCACATTGTGATCTATGGACAGTGTACCGATGCGGATTCTGCCTGCCTGATCCTGGAAGGCACACTGGCTTTCCAGGCTTGTTGGTGCAGTATTTAAATAAATGAGCCCTGCTGTGTGCGAGACAAAGGGCCTCTGTACTAACTGAGCATATGCTATCTGATGTTCTATATTTACATGTGTCATCTCATTTACAATGTATAACTCCCTCCAAAATAAGTGTTATCCCATTTTGCTGTGAAGACAGTGACACATCAAACTTGTACCATATTAAATAGCTAGGAAGTGTCAGAGCTGGAGCTAAAGTCTCCCAGAAGCTTGTACATTTGTCACTAAATCAGTAGCTCTGCCTCACTAAAATTAACTGGCATTCTTCACAAAAATGCAGGGGGAAAGGAACTAGTAAATTTTGGAATGCATTTTTGTGCCAGATAATTTGCACATTTCAAGTTGTTTAATCCTCACAACAATCCTGGGAGAAGGAGGTTTATGCCGTGTGTGGAGCGGGAGCTATAGTATTACTCCCACTTCAAGTCACGGGAAATTGAGGATTGAAATTATACAGGAAATGGTCCCTTGAAGATCATGTAATCTCCCCTAAAGATATAGCAGTAATGATGCTGCAGATGACTTTAGGTGGTGGAACTTCTGGCCTCTTTACCAAAACAGAGTCACTCAGCGTATTCTGAATACTGGAGGCCGATGTCATGCATTATCCAAAAGCATGTTGCATGTTGAATGTTCTACCCGAAGAATAAGATGAAAGGTTCTGATTTGCCTCCTTCTCCATGTACTTGACAGCAGCTAGTGGGCAAGTGCTTGGCTTCCCCACCCTGCGTGTGCTGGGCTCGTGTTGGGCTGAGGTAGAGGAATAACATGTGCCTGGTGCAAGGTGGCTATGCCCAGGGCTTCCTGAGAGTGGGTTTATGCCCTGGCCCTGGTAGAATGCAAAATTGGTGGTCCCTTCAGCAAGAACTCACTGGCAGAAAATCCTTACACAAAACCTAAAACTTAAATTGATCTGCAACAAAATTGCCCAGGAACCCACTGCCTCCACTCCAGTCCCGGGAGAGATTTGCTCCCATCTCTGTCTCCCTTCTGCACGAGTTTGTTGAATGAAGGACGTGGTCCCAGCCCTCATGGGCATTTCCTGGCAGAGCCTGGGCAGGCTATGACATCACAGCAGGGGGCAGATCAAGGAGGAGCCAGAACCTGGAACCCCTGTACCTCTGGATCCAGGTGGCTCCTGGATGGGAAGGCAGAGACTCAGCAGGAGAGTGAGGATCGCCGTTCACCCAAGAGGCAGGATGTGGAATCTGACCAGAGGGCTCAGTGACAGGTGCCAGGAAGGCATTGGCTCGTTGGGCTGGTACAGGTACATAAAAGTACATATGGGATACTGCTCCATGCCGCACTAAGCTGTAATAATGCTCATGGAGCTGGGTTTGGCCTGCAGGAACAGGGTGCCTTGAAAGAAGCCTTCCTGTGCTTCTTGGGGGCGAAGGAGGGCCCCACATTGTAGATGCAGACCTGGCTCATGAGTCCAGCAGGGGACTGAGTCTAGCAGAAGGGTCAAAGTGCTGCCCCAGCTGAAGTTATCCTTCTCTCCATTTTCCGAGAGGAATTAATGGGTGTTGGTGCAGCAGAAAACTTAGGATGAGACGATAGCAGCAGTACACGTGAGCAGGGGGTGTCCTCCCATCCCGCATTCTTTCTTGTGATTTCCCTAGGGAAGGAAACTTCAGCCCGTTAGTTTCCTTGCATAGAAAGGTTGACTTTTGTTTCAAGTGTCCAGGAATCTAACATCAGGAAGTAAATACAATCCTGGAAACAAAGCAGAAAGATAAACAAGGTTAGTGAATCCATCGCTTTCTGGTTCCTCCCTGAGTTGCCTTGTCTTTTTTCTTGAATGGAGCAGTGAAGAGGGCTTCAAAAGAAAGACAATGCAGTGATTAATTGAATGTTTACATTTCCATGAATATATAGATTGGGTTTTTGTTTGAAGGAAACTTTGATGTTTTTGAAGATAGGAAGGGAAAATAAAAGTTAGTACATCTTTACTAGCATGTTATGTGTCAGGGAGGCTCTGTGCTAGAGCTCTGTGAGCTCTTTTAATTCTCACAACAGTCATAATGAAATGTGTATTATTGGCCATCCTTTTTAAAATTTAAATTTAAATGTTAAATTCTGGGATACATGTGCAGGTGTGCACGTTTGTTATATAGGTAAACGTGTGCCATGGTGGTTTGCTGCACCTATCAACCCATCACCTAGGTATTGAGCCCAGCATGCAGTAGCTATTTTTCCTAATGCTCTCCTTCCCCATATCCCACCTGCTGACAGGTATGTTGTTGTGTGTGTTTTTCTTCTCCCTGTGTCCATGTGTTCTCATTGTTCAGCTCCCACTTATAAGTGAGAATATGCAGTATTTGGTTTTCTGTTCCTGTGTTAGTTTGCTGAGGATAATGGCTTCCAGCTCCATCCATGTTCCTGCAAAGGACATAATCTCATTCCTTCTTACGGCTGCATAGTATTCCATGGTGTATATGTACTACATTTTCTTTATCCAGTCGATCGTTGATGGGCATTTGGGTTGGTTCCATGTCTTTGCTATTGTGAAGAGTGCTGCAGTGAACATATGCATGCATGTATTTTTGTAATAGAATGATTTATATTCCTTTGGGTATATACCCAGTAATGGGGTTGCTGGGTCAAATGGTATTTCTGGTTCTAGATCTTTGAGGAATCGTATTGTCCATCTTGATGAGGAAACTGAGGTGCACAGAGGTGATGCTGCCCAAAGGGAAATCACAGACAAATAGATCTGAGGGGTCCAGCTGCATCTTCACAGGCATGCTGTCCATAACGCCTTTTGTGCATGGATGCTGCCCAATGGGGCTGTCTTACAGATGCCTTTTATGACCCATACCTTTACCCTATGTATTCCTCATAGAGTTGGTCCAAAGATGGGCTTGAGCCTTCTATCAATTTTCTGTCAAACCTTTGAGAACTAAATATTTCTCTTTTGAGCATGAGATATTTTAAGTGTTGTTATTCAAAAGAGAAGAAAGGGAAATGACAAATAAAATTAACAAAGTCTAATTTGAGAGGTCATGAAAAAAGTATTTTTAAGTTTTTTGTGGGTCTTATGTTGTTCCTTGCTTTGATATATAAGTAAATTAAATAAGGTTCAGTTGACTATATATTTTGCAGACATTCTAACCTGTTCATTACAGTTTACGACTGTGGCTGTCTATATTCCAGCCAGTTTATTTCTTTCTGAGAAAAATTCCTATCTTCAGTCTACCTCAGTCTCTCTTTGGGTTCAGCTATCAGGTAGACAGGTAGTCCTTTATAACATAATATAGTCATATTTAATGTTCTTTTTCTTAGTGCAAGCACTTGATGCTACCAATTGTCCTCTTATTACTCCTTTGCCAATGTCCTATGGAATTTCATGTATAGTAATTTCAGAATCACTAATTTCTGGCTAACACTTATTGAACTCCTGTGATGCAGTGTAAAGGAAAAATATATGCATCTAACACTTGGAAATAGGCAAATAGGCAAAAGTATAACTGCATGTCCCTTCAATGTCATAGTGAATTATTGTCCCCACTCAAGATTATCCAATTCTCTAGGGGTAGGTGCCTTTCTCTGCTATTCTTTAATTTACTGTTTGCTGTTGGTTGGGATATTTTACAATCTATAAGGGTAAATGAATACCTATAGAAAATGGACAGTGATGCAAAGGATTCCTGTGTGATAGCAGTGTGAATGATTCTTGTCCATTAGAAAAGATAGCCCCCAAATTGCCATTTTAATGCCCTATAAAGCATTACCTAGGTTTTTTATCTACTTCAGCAATCTTATTTTATCATTCTTTTCTTTCAGGGACTATATTAATGGCTCTGACATGCATTATACATTTTTTTTGCCTTTTTTGTTTTGTTTTGTAGAGACGGAGTCTCGCTATGTTGCCCAGGGGTCTTGAACTCCTGGACTCAAGCAATCCTCCCATCTTGGCCTCCCAGAGTAGTGGGATTACAGGTGTCAGCCACTGTGCCAGGCTGCTTTATGCAATTTAATCTTCATATAAATCCTCTTAGGTGAGCTTATCATTATGTCTACTGTGCTTAGGAAGAAAGGAGGCTCAAAGGTGTTCAAGTGGCCTGATACAAGATGGATGGCTAGTAATTTAGAACCACCAAGAGAGCAAAGGTTTATCTGAATCAAGGTCCACTGTTGATTACACTTTGTGATGTTACCATGAAAACCCACATTATTCTCACCAAGGAGTGCAATGATGAAGTGCAGCTGAGGATGACTCAATAAGGTGCACAAAAGAATGTAGATTAATAAAAGGAAGAAATAAGTAAAGGCGAAAAAGCTGAGACTGCCTACAAAAAACTATGACACTATTGCATTTTTTCTCACTGTTAATCAAAAATAAAGTGTACAAAATGTCTGTGCACTTGTTTTTATTCCTTGTAGCACTACACAGTTTTACTTGGAAAGTCCCTATCTCCTACCTCAGCCCTGAATGTTTGCTTACAGTGAGTATATAGAGAAGTGGTTTAAAATAAGAAGTAACAGAGGTGCTTGCTTTACATTAACAAAGCAAAACAAACAAGATGTTGAGAGAGAAGAAGAGCCATAATTGCTTCTAGACTCTAACCAAACCCTGGGTTTTCATCTTCCATCATGTAAATGTACAGTTCCTAAGTTCAGCTTTTTATTACTGCAGGGTGTTTTCACTTTTTCTCAAGGATCTCATCAAGTTCTGAAAACAAAATTGGTTATAACTTACTTTCCTTAAAAGTAAATATATCAAGTGTGTCCCATGAAATTAAGTCAATGATGGGCTGCCCCAATTCTAGAATTACTGGAAATGATTAGGGAAGCATACATACATGGTAGGTGGCATTGAGAGAGGCAGGATGAACAACTCTTTTTTTTTTTTTTTTTTTTTTGAGATGGAGTTTCACTCTTGTTGCCCAGGCTGTAGTGCAATGGTGTGTTCTCGGCTCATTGCAACCTCCGCCTCCCGGGTTCAAGCAATTCTCCTGCCTCACCCTCCTGAGTAGCCGGGATTACAGGCATGCACTACTACGCCCAGCTAATTTTGTATTATTTTAGTAGAGACGGGGTTTCTCCATGTTGGTCAGGCTGGTCTCAAACTCCCGACCTCAGGTGATCTGCCTGCCTCGGCCTCCCATAGTGCTGGGATTACAGGCATGAGCCACCGCACCCAGCCTGGGATGAGCAACTCTTAAAACACAGCTCTCTCTCTCTCTTTCTAGTACTGCAAAACTACTCCCAGCTATGCTTATGATAATTACTGCAGGAGGTAACACTGGGAACTAAAATGTAATTAAAATACTCAGCCTTCCATGATATTCATCCATGACTGCAAACTTTGACCTTGAAACATTCCGGTAATCAGGATAAATGAAAATTTGCTGGGGTCTCAAGTTTAAGATATTGGGAAATTGTTCTCGTGTCTGGAGGTGCTGAGTTACCAACACCTGCTCTTCTCATCTACATCCTGATCAAAGCCACCCCCACTGCCATGCACTTAACCCAGAAGCCCCCCAGGCCCTCCTGATAACTCTCAGCCCTTCACTTCTCACATTGATGCAAAATTCTGCAGATCTGGTGTTTCTGTGGAATCTGGTCTCTGTTTCCTCCACACTGTTCCTGCCCTAGATGAACCCTCATCAGCCTCTCTGCTCTGGAAGACACTTCCATTGTCTCCTCATGTATATGCTTATGCCCCTTGCTTCCCTTCTGTTCCCCAATTATTCTCCTTCTGCAGATGGGTTCCTTAGGTTGTTGTAAGAATGTCTTCATGATCTTGGCACTTGGCTTCCAACCCTTCAGAGATTCCTGTTTCTTATCAGCCCAGGTGTAGGCTCTTGCTGACCGTCTGAGGCCTGTCTGATCCAGCTCCTGTCTCCTCGTTCTCTAGTCTCCTCCCACCTGTCACTCAACTTAGCTCACAGTCTGACTGAGGTCTTATTTACAGCTTCTTTCAGGTTTCTGAACATGCCAGACTATGTTGAGCTGCTCCTTGGTGCTGGACTGCTTCCCCCTCCACCTGGTCAAGCATCTCCTTCTCACTGCTGTCCTGTAGCTTTCTAGTAAGAGTATTCTGTGAGAGACCATTCTCTCCTTTGGGGCAGGGTATTGTCCAACATTATATTAGTGTCCCTGGGCCTAACAGGGAGAGGCTCCCCATAAATATAAGTGGCATGAATGAATGAATGAATGAGTAAAAAGGGGGTTATTTCTTGCATCAAAAAGTTAAGGCAGCTTACCTCTACTTAGCTATGGAAAAATTGTGTGAGTAGGACTTAAAGTATTCTGCTATTTGTCCACAAACCATATCATCTCTCCTTTCCACCTATTTATCCCATCTAGGGGGCAGAGCAGGGAGCACTTATACCATACAAGGCAGAGAAGATACAGATCAAGATATGCCCAAGGCCCTTCTAGTTCAGCCTCTCCTTGGAGTAGGTAGGCCAATCTTTATGGGCTTGTGGGGATCTGAGCATAAAAAAGCAAGCTGAGGAACAAATGAACAGTGATTTTGGTTTTTGGATAAACCAAAACCAGGCACCGCTTGATAGCAGGCAAGGGAAAGGCTGCAGCTTCACTTTTCTGTGATATTTCCACCAAAAATGCATAACCTGAATCTAATCAGTAGCAGCAGCACCAGACAAACCCAAATTGAGGAACAAAATAACCAGTCTATAGTCTTCAAAAGGGTCAAGGGCAGAGGAAAACTGAGGGAAGCACTTTAGAATGAAGAGACTGAAGAGACACAACAGCTTAAAGCAATGTGTGATTCTGAATTGGATTTTTTTTAAATAATGTACTATAAAGTACTATTATTGGGACATTTGGTGAAATAATTTACTATAAAGTACATTATCGGGACATTTGGTGAAATTTGAACGAGGTCACAAGGGCAAATAGAATGTGTATTAAATGTTAATTTTCTGATTTGAATGCTTGTGTGGTGGTTATATAGGAGAATGCCATTGTTTGTTGGCAATCTTCACTAAGGTATTAGTGGGTGGTGAGCCACTGGGTTGGCAAGTTACTCTCAAGTTGTTCAGGAAGAATGAAATTTATTTATATTATATCTGCAATTTCTTGTGAATTGGAGATTGCTTCAAAATAAAAATTTTTAAGAAAGAATAAAAATTAATGAACAAGCTTAGACTTTTCCTCATGGACAAGTTGCCCAGGAGAGATGTTTTGTATTATGTCCTGATGGAAATGTGTGCAGAAGTGGTCTTGGTAGACCTTGGAATGAGTTGGGGGTGGGGAGGTGGTGAAGCCAAGGGGCACAACCAAGAGAAAACCTGCATCCTTTCTCAGCAACCCTCAGGAGGTGGCCTTAAGTGCAAACAGGCTCAGAAGACAGCAGGCTCCAGGGGAGCACAGTTACCTCCCAGGGCAGATGCAATTAGCAGGTTTTTAGTGACTGGGGAGCCAGAGGCCAATTTGATGATTTACTGTAGGAAATATCATCAAGACCACTGGTACTCAGACTAGCAGATTTCCTCCCTGTAGGCAGACGTCAAGGGAAGGAGTTGTAATCAGGAGAGCATTTGGTAAACATAGAATCACAGTGAGAAGAGCTAGCCAGTGTGATCAGAAAGTCCAGAGGCCTCCAGAGTCAGGACAGCCCCATCTCTCCATTCTATAGGGAGGCCTCACACCTGGCAGCAGATGTGGAAGAGAGAGGCTAGAGTGGGGCTGCCCTCCCTTGTATAGAGCTGGGGTAGCCTAGCAGCGCCAATTTGCTCAGATTTCATGGTTGGCCACCTCTGCTTCTGACTGACGTGCTCATGCTTTAGATATGCGAATGGCCTCAGCTAGGTTGTCACCAAGTTCTGCCAACTGCAAAGCCCCATGGACTCTCGAATGGCTTTGCAGATCTGGGATCTTGTGTTCCTTCTTTCTGGGTTGGTTTTATACGTTAACTGTCAGAGGCATATGCCACTTTATTCAGGTTCCTTAGAGCTTCTCCTTGCTACCCTGTACTGCCTCAGAGACCACTGGCCATGTGGGAACTTGAGTTAGAGATATGCTGACCTCTAGAGTAGCAACTTCCCTCTTTCTGTTTTGTTTTGTTTCGAAGTCTGGAGCCACATCAGAGGAAGGAAAGACTTTAAAAAAAAAAGTTTACCATCCTGGAATATTTTATTATCTCTAGAGTTCTTTAACTTCCCCGGGTTGCAGACTTCCTTTCGAAATTTAGCCAGAATATCTATATTTCTCATTTGAGAACAGTGTGTCTCCCTGCTGGAAACTCAAGTTCTTCAATTTCTGGGTGCAAAGTCCACGCAGGGCCATTGCATGTGTGTGGAGATTACAGTTCTCTTTCTACAACTGAATGCTTTCTTAGGGGGGTACACACACTTCCCTACAGGCTTTGCTGCTCTTTCTTGCACAGATGGCCACTTCTCCTGTAGGCCTTCTGGGTACTTAGCCCTGGAACCTGTGGTCCCAAATCGTTCCTTGTATAAAAGCCAGCTCTTCCCTGGTGAGTGTTACATGGGGGCTTGCCCAAATCTTGAAGCTCTTGAGTAGCAGAGGCTGTTTCTGAAGAGGTTCCTGAAATCAGGAATGTGGCATGCAAGTCGGCCCCCAACTGGGGTCTCTGGATGGCTCAGTGGCTAGAGACCCACCATGAAGGTGTGGGTCCTTCCATGAGTAACGAAGGCCGTGTGCACCTCCTGGTATAAACTCTGTTTTCTTCAAAGAATTTTTAGAGAGGAAGTACATATATAGACTGGCTTACACTGGTCGAACATAAGAGTCCTCAACTTAGTGTAATTTTATATTTTATATTTTGTCATAATATTATAAGGCCTTGCACACAAATGCCTTTATAAATAACTACTTCTGGGCTGGGTGCGGTGGCTCATGCCTGTAATGCCAGCACTTCGGGGGGCCGGGGTGGCAGATCACTTGAGGTCAGGAGTTCGAGACCAGCCTGGGCAACATGGTGAAACCCCATCTCTACTAAAAATACAAAAATTAGCCGGACATGTTGGTGGGCACCTGTAATTCCAGCTACTCAGGAGGCTGAGGCAGGAGAATCATTTGAGCCCGGGAGGTGGAGGTTGCAGTGAGCTGAGATCGAGCCACCACGCTCCAGCCTGGACAATAGAGCAAGACTCTGTCTCAAAAATACAAAAGAAAGAAAGAAGTAAAGAAAGAGCGGTGGGGGGAAAGAGGGAGGGAGAGAGGGAGGGAGGGAGGAAGGAAGGAAGGAAGGAAGGAAGGAAGGAAGGAAGGAAGGAAGGAAGGAAGGGACTACTTTCCCAGAATATACCTGATTTGGGCTTGATGTGAACATTGAACCACTTCCCTCTATCACATATTCAGTTGGGGATGGGAAACAGTGTCTACAGGGTCACCAGGTCAATTTGGTGTCCTGCCCCAGCCACCTGTGTGCCCTGGCAGTTGTCTATAACCAGATTGTCCTCTCATCTAAAAGTGCAAACTCCTGATAAGCTCATGGCCCTCAACACCTGGTGGATAGAAGCAATAGCATGGGGGCTGGGGGGTGGTAAGCACCTATAAGTCTCAAAGAGCGGAGCCTTGGTTTCCATTTGCAAACAAACCCATAAGCCCTATATGAACTCTGACATTAGTCTTTGATATCTGTTTGATTTTTTTACTGGGTCAGGGACTGTGATGAGTCCTAACCTAGGGGACCATGAAAAGGATTAGAAATAGAATTACTGGAAACACATGCTATTCAAAACAGGTAGGGCCTGAGTCTGCTTAGGAACCTGTAGCTTTTGCTTTTTTTCTGTCCCTGGGCCTCTGTGCGTCTGGGAGTCAGAAGAAAAAAAAAAGGCAGAGTGTAATAAGAAATGTGCTCCTTGGGGCACCCTACTGACCTGTGTCTTTGTCAGTCAGATTTCCTACTTGATGGGAGGAGTTCTGCCACCCTCCACTCTGCGAGACCTTCCCTTGCACAGTGAGTGCGGGCTTCATGTGAAACCGTTCATACTCCATGCAAGTGGCGCAAGCCTGACAGCTGTGAAGAAATGCTTCTTGGGTTCCTGCTCAGTTAAGGGGCTGACTTTATGCTCATAGCGACAGCTGCAAAATACAGATTTAGGGTGGAGGCACCAGGTCTAAATTCCAGTTACCGTTTGTGTTTTTAAAAAGTCTGCATTTTTACGTCCATGGTGCAGTTTTACAACTTGCTGCTGTGATAGCCTATACACAGACATTTCTTGTTCTTTTGATTTTTAACCAAATGATTTCTGGAACCAGAGCATGGGTGACTTCTCAGGGGATGAAAGCGCTAGAGAATCTGAATTTCAAGAGGTGGGATAGGGAAGGCTATGAGATTTTGGAAGTTGGGCAACATGGGAGAGACTGTGGGAAGCGTGCCTTTCTGCTTACGGTGATTAATTTTTGTTTCAAAGAGCAGCTCTCCCTAATGAGGGTTGCACATGCTGGAGAATTAGTAAGAATCTCGGGGGATGCCCGTGCTTCATTCTTTACGCATACCCCTAGGTAGAGGTGGAAGTATTTGGTTCCCCTACACTCCTGACAGCCTATTTCCTATGGTTAAAGGAGAACTGGATTTCCCAGCAAAAGCTGAATATCAGGGTCTGGAGAGTCCTGTGTCTCCCTACTACCTGTGACCAAGCTATTATTCCTGCCTCTTCATGCTCCACAGTGTGGCAGGATGGAAGGTTTGTCTTCTACCTGGACGATTCGAGACTCTCGCTTGCCTGAGGTGTTTTAGCAGTGGACTGAAGTGTACACATTTCAGGTGACAACTTCATTGCTTCCGCTAGAGGAAATAGACATACTGGTCTACATGTGCATCAACACAATGGAGGGAAAAACACTCAACTTTTTAAAATAGACTTTTAAAAACATTACCAAGACTGCTTAACAAAAAATCCTTTTGAACTTGGAAAGTCCTTTCTTCCATACATAAAGGAAAGGTTTTATGTGGCTGTTTTGCTTAATGTGGGCTGGTTTTATTTTGGACTCTTTGAAACCCAGCGTGAAGGCTAAAATTCTGCTCTGTGGAAAAGTCAAAATGAAAGGAATTGCCGGGTTTGGGTTGTGCTGAATTAAAGTGACAAGGTACAGATAACAGGGCACAGCCATGCCCACAAATTAGCCCTCTCTAATTTGCTGCTGTGGAAAGTAGTGCTTTGGTGTTGCATTGTTATTTCTTTCCTTGAATTAAAGTTTAAAAAAGAAAGCCTAGTTTGCTCAAAGGAGGAAACCGGAAAAATGTAAGCACTTCAGTATTGAAATAGCCCATGGTTCCCATGTTCAGGGAATTGTCTGAGGAAGTTCTGCTTCAAAAACATGGAAATTATGTGGTTTTATTTTTAGAAGCCTCACTTCTAAAATGTGTATTGGATTATTTTGTGTGCTACTTAAAGCTATCCCTCCCAAAGCTCTTGTTGACATGCAGAACGTCTTTTGTGTGGGTCAGGTGACGGCGGTATTTTTATTTTAAAAACTTTTTTAGAGACAGGGTCTCTCTCTATTGCCCAGGCTGGAGGGAAATGGCACAATCATAGTTCACTGTAACCTCTATCTCCTGGGCTCAAGAGATCTCCTCCTACCTCAGCCTCCCAAAGCACTGGGAGTATAGGCATGAGCCATGCCCAGCTGGTGGCAGTCTTTTGTGTGTTTTTTTTTTTTTTGCACATGATGTGCCCTGGCATCATGGAGTGACTGCAGCATCTTTCTCCAAGATGGTATGGGGATCCAGAAAGACATTTGGTTTTCCCAGCCAGTGTGCCCTGCTCCAAATTATAATACTCCTTTTTCCCAATTACAACTTCCCAGAAAGCTGAAATGTCATTCTTTGAAATGTGGTGGTACATGATTATAATATTACCAAAAAAAAAAATTAGTTACATAAATTGTGTAATAAATGTCAGGATTACTTATTACAACACTGTACAAAAAAATGCAGTATTTTGGTCTTGGTAAGTCTTGTTTTGTTCTTAGTATTTGTGTATGTTAACTCAAGGGGAGACCTGTTGTCTCTGTATCGAGTTGTCTGCTCCTCTGGTGGTGGGCACTTTCACACTCATAGGAGGCTTTCATTCATCTGTCTGGATAATAATGGCTAATTTCACACTCTGACTTTTAAGGCATTGTTTCTCAAAGTGTATTCCACAGATTGTTACTAGATGGTGATGTTTAAAGGGTTCCTTGCACTTTGGGAGGCTGAGGCTGGAGGATTGCTTGGGGCCAGGAGTTAGAGACCAGCTTGGGCAGGCAACATAGGGAGATCCCATCTCTACAAAAAAAATGTAAAAATTGGCCAGGCGTGGTGGCATGTACCTGTAGTCCCAGCTACTTGGGAGGCTGAGGCGGGAGGAACTATTGAGCCCAGGGGGTCAAGGCTGCAGTGTGCTGTGATTGTGCCACTGCACTTCAGCCTGGGTAACAGAGTAAGGGCCTGTCTCAAAGTAAAATAAAGGGTCCCATGGTTGAATAAATTTGAGAGACACTAGGATAAATAAAGCAAACAGATTGATTTCCTGAAGGATTTTTCTGAGCCTTTTCTATACAAAAGTACATCATGACTTTTCAGGACAGCGAGTGGAACAGACATCTGGTTTCCCACAGGAGTAAGTTCCTAAGTGCCTGCTAGGGAAACACTGCCTCAAAGTTTGGCTCTATATGCCTGTCTGGAGTGAATTGTGTCCCCTACAAAAATGGTATATTCGAGTACTAACCCCCCAGGCCCTTAGAATGTTTCCTTGTTTGGAAATAGGATGGTTTTAGATGCAATTAGCTAAGATGAGATCATACTGGAGTAGGGTCGGCCCCTAATCCAATATGACTGGTCCTTATAAAAAGGGGACATTTAGAGATAGAAGCACACACAAGAAGAACACAGCATGAAGATTGGAGTGTTGCTGCTATAAGCCAAGGAACTACCAGAAGCTAGGAGGGAGGCCTGAAACAGACGCTTCCCTAGTGCTTTCAGAGGGAGCAGGGCTCTGTTGACATCTTGGCCTTGTAACTTCTAGCCTCCACGACTGTGAGACAGTTAGTGATGCTTTGTTAAGGCAGCACTCGGAACTAATCCATTGGCACTCTTGGGTTGAGTTTAGTACCTCAGACTTCTTTTCAGGATAGGCCAGGGCCATATCCTTTGTGCTAGAAGCTGCATACTCAAGTGCATCTCTGGTTCTTTCTTTTCTGTGGGTTTATTCTTTATGCTATTTGTGATGTTTTCACTGGGGCCTGCCCTTACTTCCCATTGACCTGGAACAGAGGTTTCTTACTCTTGCTATATATTAGAGTCATCTGGGGAGCAGGAACAAAACAAAACAAAACTACTGCCTGGGCCTTGCTCCAGGCCAATTAATTGAGACTCTCTGGGAGTGAAGATCAAATATTTTATTAAAAACTCTGAGTCAATTACAATGTGCATGCAAGGCTAATAACCACTGAAGGAAGCAGACACCAGGCCGTGTGCAGGGAAGGGCTTGGGGAGGAGGCTCCAACCAAAATTCGGCAGGGGATGGGAGGATCTTTGTTGAAACCGAGAACTCTCGGGCTGCACGCCTGACTGACATGAGTTTGGACCCTGGATCTCTACTTACCCGACCTGACTGTGGACCCTGGATCTCTACTTACCTGACACGAGTGTGGACCCTGAATCTTTACTTACCTGAACTGAGTGTGGACCCTGGATCTCTACTAAACCTGACCTGAGTGTGGACCCTGGATCTCTACTTACCTTACCAGGACCAGGTGCAGGTAGTTTAGCTGCTCTCTCCTGTGGCGTCCTGATTTAACACTTAGGGACAATAACGACTCCCTAGGAAGGCTGTCGTGAGGGTCTGTGGGAGGCTCTGTACAAGGGCAGTGAGTCCAGGGCTGTAAGGACTATGGGGAGACAGACTGGAGACCTGGGCTCCCCCCTCCAGCCCCTGCCCCCTTTTCTCTGTGGTCTCCCTAGGCAGGAATCATCTATCTCTGTCACCTTCTGCCCATTTTCCAAACCTAGTCCTTGATTCCTCCCTCCAGCCCTCCCTCCCCAGCTACCTGCTCAAAACAATTGCAACATCCGATAGGCTTCCAAATCCAAGGCGACTTTCTGGCTGCACACCGTTTCTTCACAAAGAAAACACATTTGTTGAGGAAGTATGCTAATTCCTCAAGGAACCAGCTCCAGGGCTGGGCATGAAATCACTGTGGCTTGCACCACTGTGGGTTGCAGGCACTTCCTTAAAGGTGAAGTCATTCTGGGTAAAAGGCAGGCAACTAACACAGCATCTGAAAGACAGCCCTGGAGCTCTCCGGTTGAGGAGGGGCCTAGATCTTGGTAAAATTTCTGGCTCCTGCCTGGATCACAGTCAGCTGTGGAGCACGTAACACTAGGACTTCCTGGGGAATTGGCATCTCCGGAAGCTGGGCCTGGCACTGGTAGTTTCCCATGTTCTCCAGGTGGTTCCTCAAAAGCTCTAGGGGCGGTTCTGCCTCTGTGAAGGCAGATTGGCCGCCCCTTCGTATTTTGTGTGTGTGCATGCATTTTGCCATGTGGGAAGCTAGCGCTCGCTCAGCTGTTCACTCAACAAATGCTTATTAGGTGTCAATATCTACCAGACCCTCTCCTAGACACGGGATACAGTGGGAAACCAAATACTCATGCTTGCATGAAGCTTCTTTTCTATTCAGGGATCCAGAAAATAAACAAGTAAACAAATGTCTGAGATGATTTCAGACCCTGAGAAGTGCCATCAAGAAAATAAAACAGGGGAGTGGAGTGGGAAGGACAGAGAGCACCATTTTAGATAGGAGCCAAATCACTCTTCTCTAAGGAGGTGACATTTGAATGGAAACCGGAGTGAAGAAAGGGAGTGAGCCACAGGGCAGTTCGGGAAATGTTGTGGGCAGCTGAACAGCCCTGTGCTTGGCCTGCTGGGGAATAGCAGGGCCAGTGTGGCTGGAGGGGAGGGGGAGATGGAATGAGGAACAGAAAAGGGGCCAGAGGCCAGACCATAGAGGCAGATGGACCATAGCTGGGGCTTCGAATGCTTTTCTAAACGTGATAGGGTGCCTTCGAAGGTTTTGAGTAGGGCAGCCACATGACCTGACTTAGGTCTCAAATGGATCATTCTAGAGCATCAACTACTGTGGGCAAGAGTAGAGTCAGAGAGATCAGCTAGAGGTGGACTTTTCGGCACTGTCCAGGGAGCAGCTAGGAGAGGTTTATGCATATGTGGCAGGTAAAATATTACAGCGAGGCTTTAAAGTAATTCCTAGACAGTGTTTACGATTCTTAGAACTTCAAAGCAAAGTATGGAATATATACTTTTTGCATATTGTCAAATAATTCTGCATCTTTTCAAATGTGATATTTACAGTGTTACCTGAACATGGTCACAAGCTCAAACGAATTCGTGTGCATTTTTACTCATGTCTTTTTTTGTGTGTACAACCGTTGCTAGTTTTATTGCAGATTAGAGTGAAAGAAGTAATTTGTTGAGGTCAGATTTCTGAGGCAACCTCTCAAGTAGATCTAGAACTTACTGTTTTCTTGACAAATAAACAAACTGGAAAGTTCTTTTTTTTTTTTTTGAGACGGAGTCTTGCTCTTTCGCCCAGGCCGGACTGCAGTGGCTCTATCTCGGCTCACTGCAAGCTCCGCCTCCCGGGTTCACGCCACTCTCCTGCCTCAGTCTCCCGAGTGGCTGGGACTACAGGCGCCCACCACCGCGCCCGGCTAATTTTTTGTATTTTTAGTAGAGACGGGGTTTCACCTTGTTAGCCAGGATGGTCTTGATCTCCTGACCTCGTGATCCGCCCACCTCGGCCTCCCAAAGTGCTGGGATTACAGGCGTGAGCCACTGCGCCTGGCCTGACAAATAAACAAACTGGAAACTTCTAATTTTTCTTCAATCTAATTATTTTGCTCATTCCTGTTTATAAATGTTGTGCCTTTTCTAATGGTTTGCACTTTTTATTGCATCTATAACACCTCATTAATCTTGTTTGAGTCCAGGTAATTACATGTGCATAGTATCATCTTAATCGTGTCATTTGTTTTCAGTCTGTGTTACTAAAAGAGGTAATAATCTGTATTATCAAAATAGGTATGACTAAAATAGAATTCAATAGACTCTCTAAGCAACATATTCTATACCATAAGTAAAATATAGAAGCCATCAAAACCTGTATGTTTCGGCCGGGCACAGTGGCTCACGCCTGTAATCCCAGCATTCTGGGAGGCCGAGGTGGGTGGATCACGAGGTCAGGAGATCGAGACCATCCTGGCTAACACGGTGAAACCCCGTCTCTACTAAAAATACAAAAAATTAGCCGGGCGCGGTGGCGGGCGCTTGTAGTCCCAGCTACTCAGGAGGCTGAGGCAGGAGAATGGCATGAACCGGGGATGCGGAGCTTGCAGTGAGCCGAGATCGCGCCACTGCACTCCAGCCTGGGCAACAGAGCCAAACTCCATCTCAAACAACAACAACAACAACAACAAAAAGCCCTGTATATTTCAAACTTTACCTAAAACGTGTATCCTTTTAAATGTTGCCTAAAATAATCTATGATTAGACTCTTTTCCCGTAACATAGTTACGACATTAAAAGGAAATGTGCTAGAAATATTATACCCAATAATAGAAGGAATAATTAAATGGGCAGAACTTAAAGATGAATCCCCAAATAAAATTTCCAAAAATGTAACAAAATATGTAAGCAGTAGACACTTATATAAGTGTGCTCATTTATGAAATGTTTTGAAATTTTTGTCTCAAATGCCGTGTAACATAAATGACAAGTAAAATTTCATTAACTCACCAGGAAGATAACAATTTTAACCAAGTGGTCAAAGTTAACGTCTCTGTTAATGGGACAAACCAACTATATATGCCCTCTGATATAGCATCACTCCCGTGATAGGTCTGCCAAAAATGCATAACCTGACTCTCACTGTGAGGCGAGATGTTAGATAAACTTTTGTGATTTTTTCTGTACTCTTAAAAAATGTCAGCGTCATGAAAGGCAAAGAAAGAATGAAGAACTATCCCAAACTAAAGGAGATTAAAGACACAGAAAAACTCAATGCCCTAAGCAATCTTGGATTGGCTTTTAGTCCAGGGAAGCAAATTCATTTTTCTTTTATAATAAAGGACATTATTGGGATAATTAGTGAAATTTAAAGAGGGCCTGTAGATTATATAATAGTGTGTATCAATGTTAATTTCCTGATTTTGATTATTGTGCTGTGATTATCTAAAAGAATGTTCTTGTTCTTTAGAAATATACATTGAAGTATGGAGGGGAAAAGTGGCATCACATCTGCAACTTACTCATAATACAGTTGAAGGGGAAGGAGAACTATTCTGTTGTCTCTACCCTCCTAGGTTCTGGGCCTGGGGCCCTGCAAATTAGATTGACAAAAGACAGATTAACAAGAGATAGCAAACAGAAGTTTATTAGTACATGCAGCATGCATACACCTGGGAGAAACTCAGTGATGAGTATCTCTGTGGAGTGGTTAGAACTTGGGCTTATCTAGTATCTTAACAAAGAAAAATAAATTTGCAGAGAAGTGATAAGACAAAGGAAAAGGGTTTTAGGCTTCCCAGGGTGGCAGACTGTGGGAAAGTAAATACGTGGGGAATACTAATGGCAGATAAGGGTTAATTTAGTAAGGTTTGTTTGTGCAGGTCCATCCTGATGCAGTCTCATCTCAGGTGATAAGGTTGTTATCCCCTTCCTGGTATGGGATGGTGGGGACACCTTTACAAGAATTTATCTTCTGCTTTCAGGCAGATAGTGAGAGGGCCAAGAGCATGTCCTGTTTCTGCTTTTAAAAAAATTACCTTCAGCTCAAAATAATTCTTACGCCAAAGTGGCGTATTTTTGAATGGCATACTCTGAACCCCTTCACAGTTCAGAAAAAAATAATACAAGAAAAAGCGAGATAAAGTTACTGTGATAAAATGTTACTATTTGGGAAATACGGGTGAAGGGTATACTTTACATTCATCTTGGAATATTTATGTATGTCTGAAATTATTTTGAATGATTGACTCTAAACTGGGCTTAGGAGAAAACATTTTATTTTCTCCAAAATTGCAGAACACCCTCTATCCTAGTGGTTTCTAAGTAGTAGGAAGGAAACTTTTCTTTTTTAAAGGTAAGGCAAGTGTTTCTGAGATTGCCTTAAATGTATATAAAATAGCTAAAATATTTCAAAATTATCTTTTATCCAGAGAGTCTTGACATACCAGAAGAGTGAGTTAGAATGAAATGGACCAGTAGGAAGTATTTTTCTAATGTATAGATTGCTGAATTCTTAAAGAAAACTACTATATAATTTTTTTTCTTTTTCTTTTTGGCTCCTTAGGAGTCAACTTGAAAGTATATAATTTAAAATATTTTATTCCCATTGTTCATAAACTTGCAGAGGGATCCTAACCTTTGTTATTGAATGTGTTTTAGAAGAGGAAATGAAATTTTACTAAGAAGTGAGAAATTCACCATAGAAAGGATTTTTGGAATGGTGGGAGTGGTCAATCCTGGAACCCTGTTGAAGACTCTCTCCATCCCTATGGACTGGGAAGAGGTGTGGACACTGGATTTCTCATGTTCTAGAGATAAATTTCCCTCGACATTGGTTTGTGGATGGTTCAAGCTTTAACTCTGAAAATTTTTATTTTTCCATAAGTTTACATTTATGTTAATCTTATGGTCTACATTCCATCATGAAACCACCCATTGTTATTGTAAGTACTCTGGGATTGCCTTGTGAATTGTCACTTAAGAGGTAGTAGCCAGTTCCCAGTGGTTTCACTCTTCATTAGTGCAGGGTTGTATATTACTGACTACTTTCGTACAGAATTAAGTCCACTTCATGAAGTTCTGCTTCTCAAACTCTGCCTTTGGTACTGGAACTTTAGTAAACCAGTAATCTAGGGGGTTTAAATAATTATGGTCACCCAGATTAGAGAAATGGTACTCTGAGAAAGGTTGGTTCTTTTCTTAGTAATAGTTGTCTTATGAATGACACGGACTGTGAAGTTGGACATTATCTGGGATCAGTTCTCACTCTACAGCAGCTGGGTAATCTTAGACAAGCTATCTGTGCTATTGGCAGATTCTGTATTTGAGAATCCAGTTACTTGCTAGTATCTATTTGTAACCCCCAAATCAGTGCTTAAGGCACTTTTGTGGTCATTTGTGGATGAGCAGAGCAATGAAAAATTTGAGTTGCCTGACGGGCATGTTTCTAGCCCTGTCTTCTTGTTTCATGTCTCATACTGTAAACAAGTACTCTTTTTGTGGTCTATTTAATGCCACGTTTTTCACATTTTTGTGCTTTCTGTTGGTGATTTAGCTTTTTAAAATGGCCCTAAGAGTGGTACTGGCGTGCTATCTAATGTTCCTAAGCACAAGAAGGCTGTATGTGCCTTATGGAGGAAATATGAGTGTTAGATGAGCTTCGTTCAGGCATGAGTTACAGTGCTGTTGTCCATGGGTTCAAAGTTAATAACTCAATAAAATGTATCAAAGAAAGTGTCTTTAAATAGAAACACACATAAAATAAAGTTGCACATTGATATGTTGACAACGATGTTGTGACATTACTCTCAGAGGGACCTAACTCTGTATTTTCCTTCAGGAGCGATCATTTAGTGTTGGCAAATTCAGTGTTTGTGGTGACTTTATAGAACACAACTACTTCTGATAGTGAGAATGCATTGTATTCAGTCTTTCTGACTATCAGCTTCGGAAAGTAACATTGAGACATTATCAGTCATTATGCCAGGGCAACACATGTAAACAAAGGCTATGTCAAGCAAACTGGGTCATATGGTCATCCTATCCCAGGTAAAATGGATATTAAAATACCTCCTTTCAGTAGCATTCAGCAAATAATTGTCCATCCCCTATGTAGCCAGGTACTATACTGGGAAATGGGTGTCAGTGATAAACAAAACCAACATGTGCTCTTTCTGCATGGTGTGTATAGTGTATTGGAATAGGAAGACACAAAATGAATAAGCATACAAATTATCATATTGTCTGTCATTCAAAAAGCCACCAGGATGGCTAAATAGTAGAAAGGAGAGCTTTATTAGTAATATGGGTTTGCAAGCCAGGAAGAGGAAGTCTGTACATGGACTGAAGGTACTCTATCTTGGAAGAGGGGAAGGACAGCTTGGATTTTATGCCTCACAGAATTCATACTACACAAGAGTCACGCATATTCAGCAGGTTTGGGGGAAATCCTGTGCATATTCATGAGAGGATCCAAGTGCATGCACAATGGGTAAACATATATGCAACATACATCCCACATTCACTTTGGGGCATAGTTTTAGAATTAAAACGAGGTGGAAAAGGCTCTTTACATCCAAAGGTGAACTATAGGACACAAAGACAGTTTGTGTGCATCCTCTATAAGCTGCTGAAACTGGCCTAAGGTCTGCAGTACCTTATCCAAAAAGAATGTTTGTGAGGCCCGTCCTCTGTCCAATCAGAGTTGCGGTGGCCTGGGTTGTAAATCAGATTTAGGAGAAGTCTGATATCTCCTATTGTTTAGAAGTTTAGAGCCACAGGAATTTGGAAGTTTGCCATGCCAGCTGGGTCCTGACACCTCAATACATAAAAATCTTTCTTTTCTTAACCTTAGAGTCCATCTTAATTGATAAAGGGGTATCTGTTTTGATCTCTCAGATCACAAGTTATAAATTATGACCAGTTCTATGAAGAAAAACAATAAGCTTTTATTGACAAGAAGAAGTATAGAATTGGGAAGGTGGAATGGTGAGGCATGGGAGGCCTCTTTGAGAAGATGAAATTTAAAGCAAGATCAGTAGATGAGCTTCATTTTACCAGGAGAAGAGCTTCCCAGGTGGAGAATGAGGTAGTCTAGAGCCTGACCCCTTCAAGGAAGATCTTAGTGGCTGAAAAGTAATGAAGAAGAAGAATGTGATGAGGCCGGGCGCGGTGGCTCACACCTGTTAATCCCAGCACTTTGGGAGGCCGAGGTGGGTGGATCACGAGGTCAGGAGATCGAGACCATCCTGGCTAACATGGTGAAACCCCGTCTCTACTGAAAATACAAAAAAATTAGCCAGGAGTGGTGGTAGGCGCCTGTAGTCCCAGCTACTTGGGAGGCGGAGGCAAGAGAATGGCATGAACCCGGGAGGCGGAGCTTGCAGTGAGCTGAGGTCACGCCACTGCACTCCAGCCTGGGCGACAGAGCTAGACTCCGTCTAAAAAAAAAAAAGAAGAAGAATGTGATGCAAGATAAAGTCCTGTTAAGAATTCTAGGAGCAATGGGGATCCACTGAAGGATTCTGAGCAGGGAAGTAATAAGATATTTTACAGTTCTCTGGAGTGTATGGAATTGGAAGTGGAAGGAAGAGCAAGTGAATGCAAAGGACCAGTTACGAGGCTACTGCAGGAGTCCAAGCAAAAGTGATGGTGGCAGTAGCGGTGAAAGGAGAAGATAGGTTTGGAAGAGATACTCACAAGGTCGGATCTGTTAGTTTTGAATATGAATGTTTAAGATAAAAAAAAAAGATCAGGAATGATTTTCAAATTGTTTGAACAGAGGTACCATTTTCTGAAAGGGGAAATGTTGAAGGAGAAGTAGATCTTGGGGCACAGAGTCAAGAATATAGCAAATTAAAGTTCATTTACATAGAAGACCATCTGTAAATATTAGTTTTTTTTTTCGTTTATACCACGGCAGTAGGAATTTTTAAAATGACATTTGTTCCTTTTATCTCCCTCTTTTTCTAGAGGGAGATTTGTAGATTCGTGTTTATCAGAGTCCAGATTTGGTAACCCCTCTTTCTATTTTCGTATCAGTTTTCTGGACATTCTTTTGCATGCATTAGGTGGACAGTGAGTTAATACTCATCTCCTCAGTTCTACCTCTCTCCACAAACTTCTGTGGTTTTCCTGGTGCAGGTTTCAGATCTGCTTCAGGATGCCAGGAAGAGAGAGAACGGGGAGCTTTATCTGGTCTAGATTCTTGTACAGGCCACACAGTACCCCAGCACTGGCCTTCTGAGGCTACAGCTCTTCAGTTCACTCCCAAGCTCAGCTGCTGTCCCAGGGCAGAGTCCCCATCCCAGCATGGCTGGGACCATAGAAGCTTCAGTGGCAGCCATGCCATCAGCTGGACCAACCCATCCATAGGGACCTCCGGATTTTGTTTCTGAACTTGGGTTGTACTTCTGACTTCTCCTCCCATCTTTGGGAATTGCCTTGGGAAGAAAACTTTTCTTCTTAGGGTTGCATGGTCTGAGGGATGGGGGCTGTGCATTAACTGTCAATAGACAGACTAAAAGGAGAAAAGACAAGGTCGATTTCCATATGCTGAAGTACTCTTTGATGAGTGCTACACAGACAGGTAAATTTATATACCAATTTAACAAATAAGAGTAGTGCAGAGCTTCAGTGGGGAAGTATAGCAGGCCCTGTTGTGCTTTTTGATGCTTATGGCAACTGATTTTGTACTTCCTGGTGCCAAGGCGCTGGCTTCTCCCACATAGCAAACAGCCTTGGAGGAGGGGGTTCAATGGTGGCTGAATTTCTCAGAGGTTCTGCTTAAATTCAGAATACTACTTTGGTGGGCTGTTAATCCCTTCAGACCCTAAATTTGCTTTCCTCTCTGAAGAATCCTGGCCCATCAGAGAGTCTAAATTGAATGCCAGGAGAAAAGGGCTCCTGGAGGTGTCTCCTATCCACATGCAAGTATATCTACCTTCTCCCCAGTGACCTGCTCTGTCTACCAGAGAGCGTTGAGAGGGGTGACCGTCCTCTGTTCACAGAAAGGTGGTATTCCCCATTCTACCCTTGTTGGTGGTACTGGCGCATTCCATTTACGTAACTGTGTGAGGCCACTGTGTTGACTCATCCCTGAACCCAGAAGATCTGCCTCAAGTGACTTTTCACTTTGGCTACCCCGAGACACATGGCCTGGCACCTTCACTTTCCTGAAACTTGTGAGACATACCACATCCTATGGTTATAGAGATTTTTAACTACAGATGGTCCCTGAATTCAACTTAAGATTTTTGGGGGTTCAGTGGTGCAAAAGCAATAAGCATTCGGTAGAAACTGTACTTCAAATTTTGAATTTTGATATTTTTCTAAGCTAGCAATATGTGGCGTAATACTCTCCAAAACTTGCAGTCAGCCATGAGATCACATGATTTTGCCCACCTGTAGGCTAATGTAAGTGTTCTGAGCTCCTTTAAAGTAGACTAGGCTAAGCTATAATGAATGTCCTGTAGGTTAGGTATATTACATGCATATTTCACTTATGATCTTTTCAACTTAACAGGATATAACTCCATTGAAAGTCCAGGAGCATTGGTAATGGATTATTAAGGGATGCTGTGAGTTACCAGTTCACAGATTTCTTGCAACTTTTTAATCTCTGATAAATGAAAATGTTACACTCCAGTGGGTTCTTCTTGCCTGCTACACAGATAAAGCCAAAACGCTGAGACGGTGGTGTTGAAATAGGGAATGAGTTTAGTTATCACAAGGCAGCCGAGCAGGAGGACAGGAGATATTTCTCAAATCTGCCTCTCTGAGAGCTTGGAGGCTAGCGTTTTTAAAGGACAATTTGGTGGTCAAGAGGCTAGGGAATGAGTGCTGCTGATTGGTTGTAGATGAACTCACAGGAGTGTCGAAAACTGTCTTCATGCGCTGAGTCAGTTTCTGGGTGGGGGTTACAGTACTAATTGAGTCAGTTCCTTGAGATGAGTCAGGTCCCTGAGGTGGTAGTCGGTTCACCAGAATGCAAAAAATCTGAAACGTATCTCAAAGACCAATCTTAGGTTTTACAATCGTGATGTTATCTATGAAAACAATTAGCGAAGTTATAAATCTTTTAACTTCTGGCAACATGACTTCTGAGCAGTAAGCAAGCTAGGGAACAATAGCTGGTTATCACTTACCTATGCAGGTACTCAGGCCCCTCCCATAGTTAGCTTTGTCTATGCCCAGGAATGAGGAAGGGCTGTTCGAAGCAAGATGGAGTCAGGTATGTCAGATTTCTTTCACTGTCATAGTTTTTTGCAAAGACAATTTAGAAAAATGTTTAAAAACAGTGGGCACTAGGTCAGGTCTGTGATCAAAGGTATAATTCTATACCTTGCTAACTGAATTGGTTCATCACTTCCTTCAAGAGCTGTAAGAATCAGTGTTTTTTTTGTTTGTTTGTTTGTTCATTTTTTTAAAGTTTTTTTGGCTGTAAGTTTATTCAATGTGAAATAATCCTCTCCAGTTTTACTGAGGTGGCTGACCATGTTCACAACCAAATCCTCCTCTAAACTGGAATTCAGTTGCTGACCCAGCCCCAGCCTCTACTTTCTTGTTGGCACCAGGAGGCACAGCAGCACTATGTCTGCACGTATCTCTGTTGGCTTCCCCTCTTGTGAGTCTTGCAGGTTGCTCAGTCTCCAGACCTTTAGGCCGAGGCCTGCCAGTCTCTGGACGGCTGCAGTGTACAGTGGCAGGCACAGTCTCCAGGGTCAGATGAAGGTAATCACTGAGATACTGGATACCCTCATTGGTAAGGTACCAGTAGAAGTGTCTCCAGGCAAACTGTTCCTTCACACAGCCTCGGGACTTGAGAGACTGCATGGCCTTCATGACCTGAAGGTTGGGCACATTCTTGTCTGCCAGCTCCTGGTGCTTAGGCATGGGGGACATCCTTCTTGGCCACCATGACTCCCTCCTTAAAAAGGAGTTTATAAATGGCAATCTGGTTCTTCTTAGGCATCAACATCTTGGTGGCTCTGGGGTCCGGGGCCGGGGCTTGAATCATACCTGACTCCATCTTGCTTCGAACCTCACGGGCTGACTGCCCTTGCTATTCCTGGGCATAAACAAGGCTATCTATGGGAGGGGCCTGAATTCTGCTAAGACCTGCATAGGTAAGTGATAACCAGCTGTTGTTCCTTAGCTTGCTTACTGCTCAGGAGTCATGTTGCCAGAATCAGGTTTTTGGTTAGGAACCATTTAATATTTGTTTACTAGATTACAAAAACAGAAATATTTTCTTTTTCTTTTTTCAGTTACCAAGTGTTTAGCAAGGGAAATGTAATCTGCTACAATATGATTATGCCTTCTCTTGAACACTGTGTTGCTTCTAGGGAGAGGAAATACTAGAGGAATCAGGAAGATGGGAACAAAGAGCAAAAAATTACTTTGTGGAGTTAAGAGATTTTTTCTTTCTTTTCTTCTTTTTTTTGACAGACTCTTGCTCTGTCACCCAGGCTGGAGTGCAGTGGTGTGATCTCAGCCCACCGCAACCTCCACCTCCTGGGTTCAAGCAATTCTCTGCCTCAGCCTCCCAAGTAGCTGGGATTACAGGCATGCATCACCACGCCCGGCTAATTTTTGTATTTTTAGTAGAGACGTAGTTTCACCATCTTGGCTGCACTGTCTTGAATTCCTGACCTCATGATCCACCCACCTCAGCCTCCCAAAGTGCTGAGATTACAGGCGTGAGCCACTGCGCCCAGCCAAGATATTTATTTATTTATTTATTTATTTTGAGATGGAGTCTCGCTCTGTTGCCCAGGCTGGAGTGCAGTGATGCAATCTTGGCTCACTGCAACCTCCGGCTCCTGGGTTCAAGTGATTCTCCTGCCTCAGCCTCCCAAGTAGCTGGGACTACAGGTGCGTGCCACCACACCTGGCTAATTTTTTGTATTTTTAGTACAGATGGAATTTCGCCATAGTAGCCAGGATGGTCTTGATCTCCTGACCTTGTGATCCACCCGCCTCGGCCTCCCAAAGTGCTGGGATTACAGGCATGAGCCGCCACTCCCGGTGCCAAGGGATTTTTTTAAACGACTAACTAATGTTCTTTTTTATCTGGCAACCAGTAATGATGCATTGGTTATAGCATATATAGGTTTTAGCAAGATTTCAAAAAAATTATTAATTCTCGGACAACATGGAGAAATGAGAGCTGGATGCTAATATAGTTAGACACGATGGTTGCATAACAACAGCAAAACCTCAGCCTCCCCTCTCCTTCTCTCCCTGTGGGTACTTGGGTGACCCTGAGCTGATGTTCAGCTAGGACTCACTGGCATACTGGTGTTAGGGCCAGCATTCATTCCGATGGATCATTGTGCACCCTGTATTGTTGTTAAATATTTTAAATATGCTCTCAGGGTGTAATAAACTAGAGCTCTTGGGAAAAGCAGACCAAAGCTGGGCCACAGCCACGTTAGCTCTCTGGGAACTTCATGCATGGTGCCCACACCCTACCTCTAGTTAAAATGAGAAACAACAATAAAATAAGTAACGAAATCCAACACTGTACATTTTCCCCATAATGATGACTTCAATATATCTTTAGAAATATTAAGTAACAAATTATGTTTTATTTTCTCATTGATTGGGTGCTCCTGCTTTGCTGGTGCCTTAAACATGAGCCTTTGTTGAGCTCAGAGTAGGCCTCCCTGAGGCAGCAGGCAAAGGAGAGAACTGAGAATTAAGGATTTGTTCTGTTTATATTTTGAGCTTCCATTGGTAGTTGTATTGGTTTAAAGTGAGTGCAAATTGTTTGCACAGCCATTAAGCGTTTATGATAATGTATTGAGTTGTTTAAAATAAAAGCACTGCTAAAATTAAAAAATTAAAATAGCACCATAAACAAATAAGGCTTGGATTTTTTTTTTTTTTGAGATGGAGTCTTGCTCTATCATCCAGGCTGGAGTGCAGTGGGATGATCTCGGCTCACCACAACCCCCACCTCCTGGGTTCAACCTTTTCTCCTGCCTCAGCCTCCTGAGTAGCTGGGATTACAGGCATGTGCCACCACACCCAGCTAATTTTTTTTAATTTTTAATAGAGACTGGGTTTCAACATATTGGCCAGGCTGGTCTCAAACTCCCGACCTCAGGTGATCTGCCCGCCTCAAGCTCCCAAAGTGCTGGGATTACCGGTGTGAGCCACCATGCCTGGCCACCTTGTAATTCTTTTAATGGAAAAATAAAGCAAAATACTCAACAGAGAGGGATTTACTACAGAAGTGTAAATTGATTAAACTACCGCTTTTGCATATTGGATTGGTGAAATGATTTGCTTTTCACTTTAGGTTAAGTGTGCCTTTCCCAGAACCGACCTCTGCTAGCGCCGTCTTCAGTGTTACACCTGATTCCGTCTCCTGCTGCACCATGAAATGCTGACTCTCAAGGCAGACAATGGGACAGGATTTCAGACAGAACCATTTACCTGCCTGTGTGATGTTTCCCTGTAGGTGACACAGCACGGGTGCCACTTCCGTACCAGCTGTGGAAGTCTGGCTCTTCCCTTTAGTAGCCTCAGGATACAGGGCTGGTTCTGGCTTCATTTACCATCATTAAGAGCCTGTCTGACTGGAAGAGATGTTATCTCATGATAATTGTTCCCTTCTGCTCATTGCCAGGTTGGAAAAATAGATAATGGTGAAAAAGTATGTTGAGAAGCACCAATTGCCAGATCCCCTAATGAGTGAGGTATTAATCTAGAAATATAGTGGAAAATTTCCTTTAAATATGTAAACTAGACTGAAGGGACTGGCAGAAAGTAGGGTGACAGTTGTTTATGAAATTATTGCATTTTTATTAGTTTGAAATACACTTGCATATGTTTCTGTTAGCCCTGGGGAAGAGAGAAAATTTTATTAGTGTAATTCAAAGTTATAAAAAGCACTCATTATTAAATTGCTATAACTTTAAAAATGAGATACGTAAGTTAGGAGGGATAAAAAGATAAATGCCTGGAAAATTTTATTTTGACCTGCTTGACTTTGTGAACTTAGAAAATAATAATGATCATTTATTGAGCATGTAGTATATACCAGGGACTCATTGTAATCATTTAATCATCACAGCAACCCTATGAGTTATAGCAGTATTATTCCCATTTTACAAATGGGGAAACTGAGGCCTGTCAAGGTTAACCGATTTACCCAGAATCACCTGGCTAGTTAGTGCTAGATCCAGGGTTCTAGCCCTGGCCTTCTGACCTCAGAGGTTATGGTCTTCATTCTTCATATTTTAAATGCCTCAGTCACTTAACTTTTTTGGGGTAGTTTCCTTATTTTTAAAATGTGGGGGCAAGACTAGATTCTTTATAATAAATTAGAGTTTTGGAACTGTGCTATCTTTTTTTTTTTAACTGAAACTGAGCAGAGGCAATGTTCATCACATACTCACTGCAAAAGGTCAAGAGAATGACTAAATGGTAATTACCGGCAGTATTTGTAGCAATTTAAGTCATTTCAGGATTTTACCTTTGACAGTTATTAGTTATTAGTTTTAGTAACAGGGACACTGAGAGAAGGTATTTCTTGGTCTACATCTCAGTTGCTTCCTGATTTCTCTCTGAACCAACCTCCCCCAACCCATCTCTCCCTGGAGCTGCCAAATAATCACACCTCAAGCAACGGAAATCGGCTGCTCTTCGCAACTCATCAGGGGAGTGATGACTAAATGCAGGGGATGAGTGAGAAGAGGGAATTCAGGCAACGATTAAGAAGCAGGCCACTAATTAGGAGAACCAGGAGAGTCTGCTGTTATCTTGTGCTATTCAATCTGGAAGTTACTAAACTCTACCTTAGTAGAAAATGTGCGCCTGACTTCTTTAGGAAAGAAAAGAAACGTTCGTTAGCAGATCCTAGATTCCTCTAGATTGCTTGGAGATTCCTAAGACATAGCCAATTGAAATATATATATATGTACTTTCATATTTATTACTGAAGGAACCCCCCCATTTTGTTACTGTGCTTAAGTTTGGTGTTTCACATAAGTTTTCCGAGTAAATGAAAGCTAAAACTAAATAGTTCAAAATAGATTATAATGAAATGTTAAACCTTTATTAAGTATATGATACAAGCAAATGATGCTTTAGAACATCTATGCATTGTTTAGTGAAGAATTATAAGATGAAGATCCATGTACCCATCATGCAGCCTAAGAAATAGAATGCTAGCAATACTTTTCAAGCGTGGATCCCATTCTCTTCCCTAACTCAAGTAAAGATTGCTCTGAATATTTTATTAGTAATCTCTTTGTTTTATTTTAGGGTTACACAAATACAAATGATTTTTTTTTGCAACTTTATAAAAACGGAATGATTCTAAGTTTTTCAGTGGCTTGTTCAGTATTAACATTGTTTCTGAGATTCAACTATGAGAATGTAGTTCACCCATGTAGATGTAGTTCATTTTTATTCTTCAGAGTATATTCCATTTTATGAATATGGGACAGTTAATTTTTTCTCAGGAGAGATAGACATTTGTTTGTTTCCATTTTCTTGCTATTAGGAGGATGTTGTAAATATTTTTGTCCATCTCTCTTAGTGTAGATGAGCAAGAGTTTTTCCAGGATATATACCCCAGGAGAGGAGATGCTGTGTTGAAGGCTACACACACCTAAAATTTTACTGGGCAATGCCAACTTGTTTCCAAAGTAGTTGTGCCAACTTTAATTCTCACCAGGAGTACATGAAAGTTCCTGTTGCTCCACATACTTGCCAAAACTTGGGGGCTGTCAGATTATATACATTTTCTAGCCTTTTGGGTGTAAAATGGTGTCAGCTTGGCGGGGGGTCTCTGCATTCCTCTGATTACTAATGAGGTTGACCTTCTTTTTATAGGTTTATTGACCTTCTTGTTTTTTCATGAAATGCCTGGATATGCCTTTTGGGTTGCTTGTCCTTTTCATATTGATTCATTGGAGTTCTTTATATATTTTGTGTACTAAATCTTTGTTCATTATCGATGTCACTGTAGAGGCAGAAATGGGGTGATCCCTTTTCTCCCCATCATAAGAGTCATAGCCCACACCTTTATAACAAAATATAGATCAACAAGAGAAAAACGTAACAAGTTCATTAATGTACTTAAACACGGGAGCCATACAAAACATATGAAAACTCAAGAAGGAACCAGATGGTTGATGCTTAAATATACTGGGGAGAAGGAGGTGGAGAGCCGTAAATGAATGGGCCCCAAAAAACACACCAGTGGTTTGTAAATGATTCTCTTTGGACTCTGAATGGGACCTAAGGATAAATAGTAGCTGCAGACAAGTTACAGGAAGGTAAGGGCAGAGCCGCATTGTGAACAAAGGTCTTATTATGCAGATAACAGTCTTCCAGGTCTTCACTTGGAATTGCCCTCAGGAGAGCAGAGGCGGAGGCTGACTGGGCGTGGTGTCCTGAGCATAGAGACTTCTAGTCTCTTCTCTGGTGGTTAATGTTTCCTGGTTATTTAATGAGATTCCTAGGGAAGGAGTTTTGAGGCAATTGCATTTCTTTTAGAAGTTTTCTCAATCAGATAAGGGAACTTAAAGAGAGAGCCAGTCCTGGTGCTTCGAATAGTAAGGAGGATCAGAAGGAGTAGGGAGACGTCAGAGGGAGACCTTGAGGCTGCTTCATTAGTTCAGCATGTCAAAGCACCATATTTCAGGGCGTTTTCTGAGCCCCACCATTGAAGATATCTTCTCTCAATATGTGGTTTCTATTTTTTTATTAAAATTTTTTTGTTATATTTTTTCTTATCAAACCTTTGGATAAGCAGAAATTCTTAATTATATTGTAGATGGATTGGTCAGTCTCTTTTTTTTTTTTTTTACATTTTGGGCTATATATAGCTTGCTTAAGAAATCCTTCTTACCCGTTGGTTATTAGGATATTCTTGTATCCTAAGATTTTCTGAGATGTCTGTTTTTCTTTTTCATTCAAATAGTTAATCTCTGGAATTGTTTTGTTTAATGTGGATTGTAAAGTAGAGGCTGATTTCATTTTGCCCCCTACATTGTCCCCATGCCACTTATTAAATACAGGTTGAGTATCCCTAATCTGAAAATCCAAAATTTGAAATGCTTCAAGATGCAAAGCTTTTTGAGTGCCGACATGACACTCAAAGGAAACGCTCATGGAAGCATTTCAGATTTCAGATTTTTGGATTAGGGATGCTCAGCCAGTAGGTATAATGCAAATACTACAAAACCTGAAAGAATCTGAAATCTGAAACACTTCTGGTCCCAAGTATTTCAGATGAGGGATTTTCATCCCTTCCATCTCCCCCAGCCACTGGTCTGCACTGTCACTTTTGGCACATATCAAGCTTCCATATGAGTGAAAGTCCTCCAGACTATAAATGTTACATAACCTTGTTGACATCTTTATAATATTGGGCTCTCTTAATCTTAAACTTTATATGTTTATCCGTTTATTTTGGTGTTCTTTAATGTTTTTCAATAACTTTTATTGCTTTATACAGAAATATCTTGTAAAATGCCGAGAGGGAAAGCTTCTCCCTTCATCTCCTGAAGGTTTGCTGAAAATATACTGACAAAAGGCCAATGAAAAGGAGAGAAAGGCATACAATGTATTTAATGTGCACAATGCAGGGAATCACATGAGAATGATTTACCAATAGCCCAATGTAGTCCAGATGCTTATATACCCTTCTATATGTGGGAGAGAGGAGACAGAGAATGTGCAAATAAGTAACAAAGTTCCCCTGAGCTCTGAGGGAGGTGTCAGGAAGGTGAGGGATGGAACTTCACTGTGAGCAAAGGTCATCTTATGCAGATAAAGCCTCCCAGGTAATCTATGAGAGTTGCCCTTAGGAGAATAGATGAAAAGCCTGTCCAGATGTGGTGATCTTCTTTTCCTGGGTGGTTGATCTTTTTGGGCTATTTGATGAGATTCCTAGGGAGTGGGGTCTTAAGAAATTCCAAAGAGAGTCCCTCCCGGTTCTTTGGGAAAGAAGATCAGAGACAGGGAGGTGGAAGCAGGTCAGAGAGAAACCTTGGTTCTGAGGCTTATTTCTGAGGCTTTTCACTTTTCAAAGCACTTAGCATGCCAAAGCTCCGTATTGTGATGAATCATTTTCTGCACTCCAACACTATCTTCTTGTTTTATTATTATCATGAAATGTATATTTAAGACATAGTTCTTTCTGATGCTTTGTTCCTGGTGTATAGAAATGCTAATCACTTTAATATATTGATTTATACTCAGAAACCTTGATAAAGCCTTATTAATCCTAATAGTTTCTGATAGACAATAATATCATCTGAATAATGAAAAATTTGCCACCCCCCTTCTTAAAATGTTTAGAATGAGATTTCCAGTACAATATTGAATAGAGGCAGTGATATTTGACTTCCTTGCCTTGTTTTTGATTTTAAAGGAAAAGTTTGATGGCTCACAGTTGAGCATGATGATTGCTATAGACTTTCTGTAGATATCCTTTAGGAAGGAAGCTTTCTGCCATTCCTAATTTGCCTACGTTCCTAAGATGCTTTAAAAAATTATGATTGACTTGTGTATTGGTCCTGTTTGGCGATAGCAGAAAGGAGTTACATTTATTATCCGTGATTGTTTTCGATGTCTGCCATGGATATTAGTGGGGAGGGAAAGATAGGAGGAGGTAATATATGCTTATTATATACTTATTTTCTGATTGCTTTATATGCTATAAAATAATTTCATGCAAATTACCTCATTTGGGTTATTGTTTCCAGTGTCTTTTGTTTGTTTGTTTGTTTGTTTGTTTCTGGTAGGGACTTAGAGGATTCTGATTCCATAACTGTGGCTGGTCTTATGCCCACCAGTTTTTCCTACCACACACGGGTGATATTCAATTTGCACTATGCTTAATTAACCTATTCTTTCTTCCTTAGTCTTCTCTAGTCTTCCATGTCACACACTTAGTGAATTGTACCTGTAGCCTGTTATTTTTCACTGTACTCCTGAAGAATTTTCTTAAAGTAACTAAGAAATCAATGGTGCCCTTCCATTCTGATCCTTTTCTTCCTTCATTCACTTATTCACTTGCCAGATATTCATTGATAGCATACTATGTGACCACAGGTAAAATGGTGAAGAAAACATCCCTGCCCTCATAGAGTTTACACTCCAGAGTGGAATTAGGACAATAAACACATAGACCGGTGTGTAACATTGCAAGGTAGTGATGCGGTGAGTAAAGGAGTGAGTGGGAGAGAGAAAGAGAGGGAGGGATTACTGGGAATGTGTGTGTGCCAATTTTACTGGCATTAGGTTACCTAGGAAAGGCTTCCCTGAGGAGATGACCTTTGGTCTGAGTCCCAAATACAGTGAGAAAGTCAGCTGCGGGAAGTTCAGGAACAGCAGATGAATGACAGTGTGGTGTGTCTGGGGAACTTGAAGAAGTCAGGTGTGGTCACCAGAGAGCAAGACAGGAGAAACTGGTAGGGGACAGAGAAAGAGACAGAGGCCAGGAAATGCTGGGCTTGCAACATTCTCATTAGAGAGATTTTGCTTTTATTGATGTGATGAAACTATGTAAGTATATTTTAGTAGCACATAATATCTTTGTTTACTTTCTCAAAGAATTCATCAGTCTGTTATCTGATTTCTGGGAATAAGAACGCATCCTGGGCTTCGCTCTTGTCTCAGAATCTCCAAACTCAGTGATTGATGGGAAGAAGCTTCTTGTTAATATTTTTGAAATGAATAAAGAATCTCTCTTTCTCCGTTAGAGGAGTTCGGAGAATGCTATTGCTGAAGTTGGCCTGGCTCACTGCACCATGTTGGGAGGTGATGCTACAGGGGGGAGATTACAGAGGAATAAGCCAGCATTGAGTTTCCTTTGTGGTAGAGGCTCATTGTGTGAGGACGGGAGATTCTCAGTCTGACTTCCTTCTCCAGGTAGAAACATCTAACTTAACCAAGTGTAAATGATTCATGTGTGACTCCATAACTTTGTCTTGCTTGTGCTCCTGTTCTAAACTCTAGGTGTTGGGAGATTGGAATGGATCTCATTTTGAACTGGATCTTAACTTCTTTGCTTCAATCCCCTGTTGATAAAATGAGATTATACAGCAATATTTGCTGACCTTCCTCACAGAGACCCTACGTGTGATGAAGTGATTTACATGTTGAAAGGGTGGTTTGTTTTCTTAATATATGAGAAATAGTTAATGCTAAAGTCTGATATAAAACGATTATTAATAATAATTTTTATTTTTACTTTATGTAATGTAATTTAACTCTGAAGAAAAAAATGCTGGATATTCTTTTGAGACCACCGAAAGGATATGGCGATAGTTTCTTCCTTTGTCTTGTAGAAGAATACATGCTATAGAAATCGAGGAGCAAAAATCAGAGCATTCTTTCTGAATTTTCTTTCTCATCTTTTAGCCCCTTTGAATATGGTGTGATTTTAGAAACAACTTAGAATTTAGAAACAACTTCTAGGTCATTTTAATAAACTTGGGAACCTCCTTGGTGGAGAGGTCCCTGTAAGTGGTGAATGGAAGTGAAATCTTATCTTGGGCATTCATCTATCAGATATTTTCTTATTAATGTAGTGGCTGTACTCTTTAGTAGGTTCTACAATACATATTAGCCATTTTACATTTTCTTACTTGTGAAACTTAAAAACACTGCACACATTTGATACTACGACAGTACAAGAGGGAGAATGGCGCTTATGATAATACTTTACTATGTCTCTGCCTCGAAAAAGTAAATAGTGAGTTGGAATAATTGTTTAAGTGACTGAAAGAAAGGAACCTACTATTCAGGAAAGAAGACTTTTCAGATTGTCTGCGTTGATTAATGCATTGGTTAGTTCTTCAACTCCCCACTTTACCTCAGAAGCCACATTTTTTCCTGTGTTGTCTTCACCCTGGGTTTGAACTTCTATGATGGCTGAAATCAAGTTTTGGTCATAAGAAAGAATGACTGAGATGAGTAGTTGGTGTTTGAGAGCTGGTGCTTTGCCCATGATGGGTAGAAGAAGGCTTCTCTTCTGCTTTTTCCAGCGGGAGAGCTTCTTCAGGTCCACTGTTGAGCAGGTGTCCTGCTACCCGTTCTGTTCTGCAGTGACTTTGGTGTTGGCCCACACCAACTAGAGGGAGCTTGGGTACAGGGTTGACTCTGTGGAGCTCGGAAGCTCCTGGGTCCACTCTTATCTTGCCCATACTTCAGTAGGATCCCCTGCAGCCAGCCTGGGAATTGATCGGTGCTCAGCAAAACAACCTCTTTTATTTTCCAGTGTCCTTTTGAAAGACCCTTCTCTCTGTGAAGTTTCACAGCCTTTGATTGCTGCAAGAATTTAGGACCACATCATAGAATTTAAAACACAAAGTGGAAATGTGGCCTGGTGTTAGAAGTTATTTCCGTAAGGCGGAATGGCTGTATTTTCCATTCGGTGGGAATGGACAGGAAAACTGCTGTTGCATTTCCATTCTCCGCAGGCTCAGATGGAAACGTGTGGGGGTGAGGAGCTTTCTGTTTGATAAAAGCTAAAAAGCCCACTCGCATTTCTAACCTTTCAAGTTATGACAGTCATTCACGACTGTCAAATATAATGGCATTTTAGACATCATCCAGGAATCGTTAACAGGTTCCAAGTGCCTTGGCACAAAGAGTTTACAAAAACATTCTGAGCTTTGTTAAGAAGACACTTCTGACCCACCTTCAATAGGATTCACTTTTTGTGTTATCTTTCTATCAATGGTAATAGAAAAGCCGATATCCTTAGTTGTCTGGTACCTGAAAAACAGGATATATCCACAAAAGCACTTGAGTTTGCTCTCCTTCCTCAAGCAAAACTTGCCAAATTTTAAAATGGTGAAATGAGAAGAAGAAGAAATTTGGTTTTGAGTTGAATTTTCCCTATCTTAATTACAGAAGGTAAGTATTCTGAAAAAAAAAAAAATTAAGCCAGCATTAAAGCATTAAAGCATGCCTTCTAGAACCTACAAGTTATTTTCCTATGTGTTAAAGGTTTTGAAAACAAGTGAAGAAGTCTCTTTCTCCCATTGGATGAACATTTAGGTATTTAGGTGAAAGCAAAAATGATCAAGTGTGAATAAAACTCTTCAGGAGATCTCTAGTTTAAGAATAAATATGTTTCAATATTCTTGCTTGTTGTCTGAAACTGGGAACAATTTTAGTCATAGATTTAACATCATATTTGGCAGAATACATATTTGGCAGAATACACTCAACCATGGGAGGGTCCCCTGTGTCTCTCTGGAGTCTCATTTTATATTAATAAAGGCATAGATGAAAACTGCTTAGAGTCTTTGGTTCTGAGGTAAACACTGATTGAGGATTGAAGTTTGGCCTGCTGACAGCATGGTCAGCCTTTGCCTGTATATTGGCCCAGGTATGGGGTATGGTGTTGGGGGTATTGTCTGACTTCTGTGGGGAGAGGACTCCTTTATGTCAGAGAGGCCTAAGGCCCTGGCAGAGTGTTAGTCAGAAATGAATTGAGAGAGGGATTCCTGAGGGATTTGCATTAGTCAAATGAAGAAGCATGGGTGAGAGTGGGTGGTGTTGCCTGTGGGGGGTTAGAGTCCTTCTAGGCCTAGGGTGTGATTTTCTACTGAACTCTTCCCTGGCTTCTTTGGTTTTCTAGTCACTTGGTTTAATTTTTCTACCCTGATTCCTAAGCCCTGGAGGTGTCTTCCTTCTCTTTCAACTTCTACCAATGTTTAGATCTTATGGTCACGTGATTTCTGAGAATTTAACTTCATAGCTTATCCTCTTGTCTTCTGACTCAAAGGCAAGCACATTCAAGATTTATTTTTCCCCTTCTAGCAAAAAATGAAAGGGGAGAAGTGAAAGGAGGTAGGTGTGCTTTAGAGTGATTTCAAGTAGCTGGGCGTAGAAAGGGAAAATGGAGAGGAAGAGAGACTACATTTCATCGTAGGAGCTTGGCATGTTTGGGCAACTGAGAGAGGGCTGGAGCCACTGATGTGGGATGGGGATAGGAGAGAGGAATGAGGTGAGGGAGAGAGAGATGGATGGATGCGCGGGATGAGGTCTGGACAGTTGGGCCCTGGTTAGATCACACAGGCCTTTGCGGGCCATGTTAAAGACTTTGGATTTGAGCTTGAGAGCAGTGGGGAGCCATTGAAGGGATTTAAACAGAGGAGGTGTTTGAAAGTCTTTGTGGTTTCGACTTTGGTGGCTATGTAGAGAATAGATCTAAGGGCTCTTGCAAGAGCCCAGGTGGGAAATGTTGGTTTGGCCTAGGGAATGTTTGTGAGGGTTGAGTTGGATTGGTGGTGGCCTGGACATGGAGGGGAGGGAGAAGGACTGTGAAGGACTCCTTGGTCTGGCACAAGCACCTGAAGTCATCAGAGGGCCCTGAAGTTGTCAGAGGGCCCCGAAGTCATCAGAGGAGGCTAGTTCATGCTCTGACAACAGCATCTTCAACATTTCAGGTTACTGCAACAGAGTTTGCTGTCTTGCAAAATCTGCTCTAAGTCCAAGTGACCCTCCAGGGCAGCTGTCCTCAAACTCAATGGTTTAGTCTGCCTTCCATATCAGTACACGTTCTACCAAATTCACTGTGGCAAGGGAAGAGAGAACCTGGCTCTCCAGTGCCTCTGTCACTTCCACTCACATGTCTTTAGCCACAAGAGTCATATGTATGGCTGTGGCCTTATCCTGCAAGGGGGCTAGAAGTGCAGTCCCCTAGAGTGCTCAGAAGAGGGGAAGCAGGAAATCTGGTGTAAAGGTGTACCACAAAGCCATTTTCTAATGTGAGGAATCTGAAGGAAAAATAGCTTCTGGAGGAAAGAGTTCAGTTTTTGATATGTTAAATTTGAGATGCTTGTGAGATACCTAAGTAGCTATGTCAAGTAGGCAGTTGGCTATTTGAGGGAGGGAGGGAAGAAGGAAGGAAGGAATGAAGGAAGGTTGGTTGGCTTGGGTTCAGGATATACATTTAAAATGTATCTATGGGATTGGATGAGACTACCTAGAGGCGATGCCTGGAGAAAGACAAGGACTCAGAAATGAGCCCTGTATTAGTTAGTCTAGGCTAAACTCTGTCGTGGGTCCAAGCAATCTTAAAAGTGCTAGTGGCTTATCACAGGCTTACCCATGCCAGATGTCCACTGGGGGACAGTGGGTGGCCCTGTCATATTATAACTGTACCATCTGAGCAGAAACTTTGTGTTTTGTGTTCAATGTCTTGTGCTCAATACCTAGAAGCATACCTGGTGGGAGGTAGTACCTGGTAATACCTGGCACAAGGATGTAACGGAGAAATTATATATATATATATATCATATACATTTCTATTGAGGTACAATAAAATCAATTTTCATTTAGTGATACTGACCAATGTATGTAGTCATGTAACCATCACAACACAGTCAAGAAACAGACCATTTTACAGCTTTATTTTATTTTTTATTTTCTTCATGCTACCTCGTATAAGAGAAATAGACCAGTTTCATCACCCTGAAAAGTTCCCTTGTGCCCCCTTGCAGACTCTGCTTCCACCTCACCCCTGGTAACCCCTGATAGGCTTTCTTTTTGTGTGTGTGACTGGGTCTCTGTCTCCCAGGCTGGAGTGTGGTGGTGCAACCTCTGCTCACTGCAACCTCCACCTCCTGGGCTCAAGAGATCCTTCCACCTCAGCCTCCCAAGTAGGTGGGACTTACAGGTGCGTGCTACCACGCCTGGTTAATTTTTTTGTCTTTTTTATAGAAACAGGGTTTCCCTGTGTTGCCCAGGCTGGTCTCGAACTCCTGAGCTCAAGCCATCCGCCGGCCTTGGCCTCCCAAAGTGCTGGGATTACGGGCTTGAGCCACTGTGCCCGGATGACATGCTATCAATGTAATTTTGCCTTTTCTAGAATTTTCTAGAAATGGAATCATATAGTATGTTGTCTTTTATAACTGACTTCTTTTATTTAGCGTAGAGATTGGTATACATTTTCTGTAAAGACTCAGATGGTAAATATTTTAGGCTTACAGGCGGGATGGTCTTTGTAGGATCTACCTACTCAGCTCTGCTGTTGGTAGTATGAAATGTGTACTGAATGGGTGTAGCTTTGTTCCAATAAAACTTTGACTACAAAAATAGGGAGAGGGCCGGATTTGGCCCATAAGCTAGAGTGTGCCAATATCTGATGCAGCATAATTCACTCCGGATTTACTTCTATTGTTACATGTATCAGCAGTTTATTCTTTTTTATTGCTGAGTAGTCTTCCATTGTATGGATGACGTTTTGTTTATTCATCGATTGATGGACATTTGAGTTGTTTTGAGCTTTTGGCTTTTATGAATAAAGTTGTTATGAACATTCATACACCTATCTTTGTTTTCATTTCTCTTAGGTAAATCCCTAAGAGTAGAATTGCTGTGTCATATGATAAATATGTACTTAATATTTTTAAAAATGTACCAAACTGTTTTTCAAAGTCTTACTATTTATCAGCAATGTGTGAGAATTCTAGTTGTTCTAAGTTTTTATCATCATAATGAGTGTGTACTGAAGTAAATACTTATTAATATTCAAATGTCAATGGATGTAAATGAATCATTGAAAATGTTGTGAATATTGTCCAGTGTCACTCATATTTTAATGTGAATTTTTTACATGACTCTTATTCTCATAGTTTTGCCATATATTATTAAACTATTTTCTATTCTTTAATCTTAAGGTTTTTATAAAATTTTCCTGAGAACAATGTAGACACCACCTTTGTAGATGGCAGTTAATTCAGTGTTAGACTTACTGATAAGGGGGCAGAGCGCAATTTCTCTTTACACTTTGCAGTTACTGAAAACCACACAGGCCTTACTACTCAGTTGGGCTGAGTATTGGGTTGAAATCTTTGAAATGTGAGAAGCCTAATTTAATCTCACCTCTGAATAGGCAGCCACTTTAGCTCTTCCTGGGTATACCGAGGACTACCCACAGGCAGATTCTGGATTTTTCTCTAAAAAGTTATGCATCTGTTGGACCCCTAGAGTTTTGTCTTTTAAGTGTGTGGCTGAGCTAATTTTTACCTGGAAAAACTTTATGTAGATGTTTGAAATGTCGACCTTGGTGTTTTTTTTTTTTTTTAAAATTTCAGTTAAGTTTCATAAACTTTCATTTTAAGCCGTGTTACTTCCCAGTGAACTCTCTTGCACCTAAGTGAATTGATTTGCTATTTAGGTTCTTTGCCATAATAAGCTCATTAAATGCTGGGGCCTGTTACCAAAAAGTGATTCTTTCAGTTTTGAGTACTTGTTCTGAGGCTGTACTCTGACAGAGCAAGATGTCAATTAAGATTATTCCTTGTTAGTGGAAATAAAATCACCTTATCTGCTTATAAAAGAATCTCTCTGTTCTTTCTCTAAGGGGAGGGAGAGTATATTCAACTCACACAAAGTTTATCCATTCATGAAGTGAAAAGGTAAAAGCTTAGAGGTCATGAAAAGATCCCCGTTTTACCAGAACGGAAATTATGATCCGAGCCAGGGGTATTTTTCCGCAGAGCTGACTCTCAGAGGTAGTATCAAGTTGCAGCTTCTATCACAGCATCAAAAATGGAGTCTCTGTGGAGCTTGAAAATCTCAGGCCATAACTGATTCCTGTCCACAGACTCAAAGTCAGAAGCAAGTTCACCGTGTCGCAGTCAGTATTACACAAGTACAAAGTGAAAAGGTGTGACCGTGATCAATAATGGAAAAGTGCATAAAGCCTTTTTCTTCCCTGTGAACCAGCCTGGATTTGGCTTTCAGAGTCAGGGATAATGTGCCACGCTCTTACTCGGTGCCGGGCACTGTTCTAAGCCTTGTGCATATTAAGGTCCAAGGAAGTTTAGGGTAATGGTTCAGAACACTGCCTTCGGATGGGCTAGATTGCTGACTAGCCAAATAAGTGACCAGTTTCCTCAGTGACTCCATCTACCCATGTTTAGGGTGGGGATTATGATAGCGCCTTTGTCACGGGGCTGTTGTGAGGACTGAATGTGTTAATCTATGTACACTCTTTAATAGGGTACCTGGCACAGGGTAAGTTATATAGGTGTGTTGGCTATTACTGTCATTTTAGTACTCATCCTAAGAAATTGTTGACATAGGTACTGTGGTTTGCTCCATTTTACAGATGAGTAAACTGAGGCACAGAGAGGAATTTTCCCAAAGCCACAAGGCTAGGAGGTAGTGAAACTAGGATTAGAATACAGACAGTCAGAGTCCAATCAGTGGTTGTTAACTGCTGTATTCTGCTGCCTTCCTGCTTATTAGGAGAAAATGGCTGTGCATTTTTAGATGTAATCTGCAGTAAAGCAGATAGTCCTGCAAGGAAGGAGTAGGAAGGCTGTATTTGGCACTGACGGCTTGGACTTTACCACTGGTTCCTCCAGATGAGTCTCTACACCCATTGCCTTGATACAGGTCAACAAATTGGCAGAGAGTCCATCTTCTATTTGGAGTAGTCCTATCTCAGTAAATGACATCACCACCTATTCTGTTATAGAAGCCATAATCCTGGTTCGTCAATGACTCCAGCTTCTCCCTGTTTGTCTATTATCAATTGTTTTGATTTTTTAAATAGCTTATAAATCCATCACCTTTTCTGTCTCCACGACCACTCCAGCCCAAGTCACTGCCATCAGTCACTTTCTTACCAACCTACCCCGTCATCCTTGCCCCATGCCAGTCTGTTCTTCATGTAGGCAAAGGTAAAATGCAAATCTGGTCAGCTTGTGCCCGGGCTTAACACATTACCTGCTTTTACATTCCAGTCCAGGTCTGTCTGCCTCCAAAGCCTGTTCTCTTTTTTTTCCCCATATTTCCTCTATAAAGTTTGTAGGAGTTTCAAATCAAGGCCGAGAAAAGTAAGATTTGAAAGGCTGAGAAAAGTAAGATTTTTTAGGTGTCCAGTGGAATCTGGTTTTCTTTGACCTTTCTCATCAAATTCACACCTCAGATAACTAGGCCCCAGAATCTGTACCCATTACCAGACCTGTCAGCAGAACTCAAGTGTTCCAGATGGGTTTATAATATCTGGTATTTTTCTGGGCAATAAGATGCAAGATGGCCTTCTCTAATTTTTTTCACAATTGCCTTCATCAGTCTAGCTAGGGATTTGTGTGTCTGTATTTGTGTACTTGTTTTTATTGTCATTAGTTTGGTTTTGGCACAATAGAGTCCTTGTCAAAGTGGATATTATTAGCAGGTTGAGTTTCAAGTTTGCTAGAACTGAATGCAGATACAAAGCATTTGAAATTATCAGTATACTGTTAATGGAGGCTAGAGGAGAAATCAAAGTAAATTTTCAGAAGTATGAAATTAGCAAACTGCCAACACAGGGTTGGAAGTTTCTCTATTTTCCTCTTACCAGCTTTTAATCTGGTAATTTCCCAGGGAGTACAGACAGGCTGTGGGGAAGCTCTCTGCCCATGCTAACTTGAGGGGAAAATGAGCATTAAAAAAACAATTCATTCAGAATGCCCTGGGATACCAGTGAGCAGATCAGCAACCCTAGGATGTAATCAATAATATTGGCTTTCAGAATAGAACCACAGACCACTTTCCCCCCAAATATGCACCACAGACTGCCATTCAGCACCTCAGATCTTATTTATCTATGCATTTGAGCAGGAACAAGTCTTTTTGTTCTTAAGCATGGCCCACTGGCTCCACTGTCATCTTGATGTTTGTGTGAAAAGCTCTCACAGTATGGCCGTATGGCCATGCTGATAGCATGTACCCTGACTGTGTTTTATCTTAAACCAAACTGCAGCAAACATGTGAGGCAGCTCAGATAAAAACTAGAAGGAAGAGATTTTATCATAAAATCCAGGGAGTTTTGGCAGAGCCTCCTAAAGTGAAAGAGATGAGAAGGAAAAAATCTATAGGTTTGTTTGTCTTACTAGTGAGGGTAGGTTTGTGGCTAATAACTAGAGAGATAAAATATCTACAGCACTGAAAATGGGGGAAATTTGTTTTTTAACTGCATCTTTCCTGAGAAACATTCTGAGGTTCTGCTGTTTAGAGCCATGATAAGACAACCCTAGGAATGAAGCTGAGTAATCATTATGTCTTAGTCTCCACTAAAACCACAGCTTCTGGGGGGCAGCTGGGCTGAGGTCTCGCCAGCAAAGCTCATTAGGCCCCAGGTGGATTATGCCTACTATAGCAGGGAAGGGTGTGATACCTGTGTTCAACCATCATATGGGCCACTGTTGACACTCCTGAAACCAAAGACAGGTTAGCAAGCGAAAAGCATAACACATTTATTTAATATAAGTTTTATATAACATGGGAGCCTTTAGAAACGAAGACCAAAAGCCCCAGAAATGAAGACCCAAAGCCCCAGAAACAAAGACCCAAAGCCCCATAACTATTCTTATGTTTAGGCTTGATAAAGAATGGACAGCCATATAGAACTATGATTGGACAAAGGGTGTGACCTAATGGCAGTATGACTGAGGAGGAACCTCAGCAAGGGCTGTTGGTTCAGATTCTTATTGGTCTGTCTGTGTAGCATGTCTTCCTCCTGGATATAGGGCAGGACTCCTCTGGAAAGAGGGTCTTTGGGGAGAAGGAAGAAGGAAGAGAGTGACCTTCCTAGGTTTCATGGTTTACTTTGGTGGAGATAGGTTCTAGTTTCTATGACCCACTTTGTGGAAGAGGATTTTTTTATTTATTTATTATGCTTTTATTAAGAAATGCTTAAAGGATTTTGTGAATTTGTCTTCCTATCCATTGATCATTTTTCTTTTCTTTTTTTTTTTTAATTATACTTTAAGTTCTGGGATACATGTGCAGAATGTGCAGGTTTGTTACACAGGTATACACATGCCATGGTGGTTTGCTGCTCCCATCAACCTGTCATCTATATTAGGTATTTCTCGTAATTCCATCCCTCCCCTATCACACGGGCCCCGGTGTGTGATGTTCCCCTCCCTGTGTCCATGTGTTCTCATTGTTCAACTCCCACTTATGAGTGAGAACATGGGGTGTTTGGTTTTCTGTTCCTGTGTTAGTTTGCTGAGAATAATGGTTTCCAGCTTCATCCATGTCCCTGTAAAGGACATGAACTCATTCTTTGGAGAAATAGGAATGCTTTTACACTGTTGGTGGGAGTGTAAATTAGTTCAACCACTGTGGAAGACAGTATGGTGATTCGTCAAGGATCTGGAGCCAGAAATATCATTTGACCCAGCGATCCCATTACTGAGTATATACCCAAAGGACTATAAATCAATCTACTATAAAGACACATGCACGTGTATGTTTATTGTAGCACTGTTCACAATAACAAAGACTTGGTACCAACCCAAATGCCCATCAATGATAGACTAGATAAAGAAAATGTGGCACATAGACACCATGGAATTTTGTTTTTTATGAGTTGCTTCAGTGGGGAAAGAGAGATGGGAGAAAGGAGAGCAGTAGAGGTCAGAGAGACCTTGGTTCTGAGACCTTCCAGTCTTCTTTAGTTCAGAGTACTCAGCATGCCAAAGCTCCATACTTTGGGGTATTGATTGTTTTCTAAGCCCTAACACTACCCTCTGTCTAGTTGCTGGGAGGATCAGACAGAAAAGGACAGATGTCACTCTGCAAGGCTGGAAGAACATACAGTTGGTGAAGATGTGCAGTAATAGTGGGGCAGATCCCCCTCTGTGCAGAAGCTCCCCTGTGAGCCTTCTTAAAGCACTCAGCCACCTCATAACTCAAGATGACATCCATTTCTCCTTGCGGAGAAAGGATTTAGAACAAGTTGAGTCCTGGTCACCTTTGTGTTCTCAGAGAACTTTCCTGGAGGACTAGACCTGTGGTCAGGAGGGAAAATGGTTCTCTTATTTTCCATCAGGGCATCTGCTCAGGCAATTCTCTGTGACTTCCTGCCTTTGCAAATGTAGGTCAATCCTTCCAGAATCTTACCCTAACTTTCCCCCCTCCGATTTCTGTCAACACAATCGTTCACCTAGAATCTTTTCTATGCCCTCAAAACTTCAAATCTAAAAACTCCCTGAACTTAAAGCAAAGTTATTATTTCCTTTCTAGTGCCATAGCTCTTTGTCCAATTCGGTTATGATGCTTACAGCAAAAGGAATTCTCATGCAGTGTGGCTTCTGTGTGTTTCATGAGACTGGACTACAGATGTGTTTCCTCAGTTTCATTTATCCAGCTACCCCATGTCTGGCAAATGATAATCCCAGGTCAGGCACTACTCTAATTGCTTTATAGATATTTTATCTTCATAATAATCCCATGAGAAAGGTACCTCTGTCATTCCAGTTTCACAGATGAGGATACTGAGGGTCACATGTTGTGTAATTTGTCCAGAGTCACAGCGTTTTCAATGTGGGTGAACCAGGATTAACACCCAGGCCAACAACTGACCCCAGAGCCCTCATAAAAGTCTGTGCTCCTCTGGGAATAAGGACGTCAGGCCGGGAGAAAGAGCCTAATGGTATTCCGTGAGAGGCGGCTATGCGGCATTGCATTATGCATCAGAATGACTAATTCTGTGTACGAGGGTTGTCAGGTGAAACCCAGTGGAGGCACAGCCCAGAGTTCTGCAGGGGCCTTCGCTGGTAATCTGATGCAATCAAATGTTCTAGGGGTGGTAGTTAGAGCTCTGCTGTTGCTGGAGAGAGGCCCAAGAAAGAAGTTTCACATATTGTTTTTTGATCAGCAGGTTTGGAAACTTTGAATGTTTGGCTCACAGGATGGTGGAAATGCTCCAGCACTTCCTGTGGCTTCGAGTCTGGTTTCTGCGATAGGGAACTGGGCTCGAGCCTTGCCTCCTCCACTGGGGACTGTCTGCACACATCACCGAGTGACAGGCTTGCTGGGAGGAAGGGAGCAGCCACTGGCATTACAACAGCTGAAAAGGAATTTGAAAAGCAAATATCCAGAAAACCAGAACAAGGGAGGAAGTGTGTGCATTAGTTTGCAAAATGATGAACTTTCCAGTTGAAATGCTGATTCCCAAAGCGCAAGAGAGCTTGGAGTGAAGGGAAGAGAGTGAGTGGCTCAGCTCAGGTCTCATCTTGTTTTTGAAAGAATTTTTCCAGGAGGAAAAGGAATCTGGAATAGGCCCTCCTCTCACCTCTCAGCAGCTCCCTTTCTATTTCTGTCCAGTGGGAACAAATGAATAGCTGCTGCTTGAAGAAATGCCGGAAGGTTTTCTGTGCAAGGAATTCTGGATTTTAAAAATGCATCACTGGCTTGAGTAATCCTTCACATTTGTAATTTTAATCTTTGAATTTGGTTTTAAGGAAAGAGTGGTTCATTTATTCATTCACTTGTCTGGAAAATATTGAGTTGCTCTTTACCATGCTGTCTGATCAGGTCTGGAACAACAGAGATGAGTAAGATATGAGTCCTACCCTCAGAGAACTCATATAAACAAATAGGATAAGGTGTGGAAAAGTGCTCTGGTAGGTCACTGTAAGCGCCTAAGAAGACAGATTCAGGGCAGTTACTTCTAGCACGGGAGGCCGTGAGGTCAGGGAGATCTTTAAGAGAAACTGGTGCATGAGATTGGCACTGAAATCTAGATGGGAATTTTTGAAGCAGACCCAAGGGAAGGAAAGGACATTGGAGGTAGAGAGAACATTCTGAACAAAGACAGGGTGAAAGCGAGAGGTGGAGCCGACTGGGCTTCTGGGTTGGGTGGGGACTTGGAGAACTTTTGTGTCTCGCTAAAGGATTGTAAATACACCAATCAGCACTCTGTGTCTAGCTAAAGGTTTGTAAACACGCCAGTCAGCACAATGTCAAAACAGACAAATGAACGCTCTGTAAAACGGCCCAATCAGCTCTCTGTAAAATGAACCAATCAGCAGGATGTGTGGGTGGGGCCAGATAAGGGAATAAACGCAGGTCACCTGAGCCAGTAGCAGCAACCTGGGTCCCCTTCCACGCTGTGGAATCTTTGTTTTTTTTTCACTGCTCGCAATAAATCTTGCTGCTGCTTATTATTTGGGTCCGTGTTACCTTTATGAGCTGTAGCACTCACCGCGAAGGTTTGCAGCTTCGCTATTCACTCTTGAAGCCAGCGAGACCACGAACCCACCGGGAGGAAGAAACAACTCCGGACGCGCCACCTTTAAGAGCTGTAACACTAACGGTGAAAGTCTGCGGTATCACTCCTGAAGTCAGGGAGACCACGAACCCCCCAGAAGAAACTCCGGACGCATCTGAACATCTGAAGGAACAAACTCTGGACACACCATCTTTAAGAACTGAAACACCGCGACAGTTCGCTGCTTCATTCTTAAAGGCAGTGAGACCGAGAACGCACCAATTCTGGACACAAAAGGACCTTAGCAGGCTCAGGAAATGGCAAGCCATTTATGAAGAGGGAAGAGATAGCAAACGTTGGTCTCAAGTTCTCTAGTTCTTTACCCAGACCATAGCTGGCTGGGGGATGATCCTGATTTAGTCTGGGGGGTTCCTTTACGCATTGCCACCAGCAGGTGCCGCAAATGGACCATTGGCAGTCTTAAGGTAGAACCAGTTTTCCATGTCAGACTTACAGAGCCATTGGATGTGCCTGGGGTTTGGGGAGCAGGGACTCGTTGGGTGGGGGAGGATGCACCGGTGGTACCTGGATGCAGGCTGTGAAAAGTTTATATCCTAGAGGTCCCAAGTCACCACAGATTTAAAGCAGGAAGTGAGATGTTCAAATGATCACAAATACAAGTATTCTGTTTCTTTTACTGTTTTATCTTCCGTTGCTTTGCACAGTAGAAGTTGCAGTTAATAGAAGTTTTACTGTTCTCTGAATTGGAAAGAGTTACTCAAAAGAATTGGGCTACTTTCCTGGAGACAAGCCCATAGATGCAGGTGGTGATAATTCAATATGGGACTAACGGAAAGTTTTCTCTGCCACTTTCCATTGCATTTCTGGCCAAGACTATTTAGCGATTCTTTCTGAGAAACCGAGGAGGCAAATAGTCTCAAAGTATGTCCTATGAGAAACGTGTGCCGCAAGATGTTTCGTTAAAAAAAAAGTTTTCTGGACAGATACATTTGGGAAATATTATAGATTGCATATGGACATTTCACAGAACACGTGTTACGTTAAAGTCCCTGAGAAGTCCTGCAGTAAAGGAAACTTTGAAAAGAACGGCGTAGAGCCCAGCACAGTGGCTCATGCCTGCAATCCCAGTACTTTGGGAGGCTGCAGCAAGAAGTATCCTTTGAGCTCAGGAGTTCGAGACCAGGTAACATAATGAGACCTCATCTCTATTAAACAAAAAAATGGCATAGTGGTTACGAACATGAGCTATCAAATCAGACATGTAGATTTCATTCTGGCTGGGTTCCGTATGTGGATGTGAGACTTTGGGCAAGATATTTAATGTCTTTACATCTTGGTTTCCTTGTTTATAAAATAGGCTAGTAATGGTACCTTATTCATAAAATTGTCTCTAAAAGTATATAGTAAGTGAACTAGTAAGTTATTAGTGGATATTATTCTATTCAGTTTTTTCCAAGAATCCTGACTCTTTATTTTTGCATTGCATTTATAAATAACTCAGAGAAGCGGTGCTGTGTGGGAAATGCTGGAGTGAGACTAACTCTTGCAATCCATGCGTGACTTCTGATAGCAGTCCCACAGAGGAAAGGCAGGCCCTAGGTGCTGAGCGCTACGTCACAGATGTGGACTTGCAGCTATATGAAGCTCTAGAATTGGGGAGCAAAAGACCATTTCCTCTTGACTGCAAGGTTAGAGTGTGTAACTTCAGTCTGTTTTGCCTTCCAGTCATTTAATGACAAGTTTGGAACTCAGGGCAGTAAACAGATATGGTTAGGTTGATATATTAGGAGTTTTTCAATTGTAAGGGACAGAAACAACTCAAGCTGATTTAGCGTAATGAGGAATTTATTAGTTTGTCTATCTAGGAAGGATGTTAGGGTAGTACAGAGAACTGAAGGAAAAGTGTTAGGAAACTCAACAGAAACTGAACATAGCTAGGCCTTCTGTCCTTGTTCCCTTTTGAATGTTTTCCTCTTGACTTGTCTTTGCTTCTCCTTGCCTCATTCTTTCCTATTGTGGATGACCTTTCCCCATGGAGGGAGCATGGCTGCAGACAGCTTCAGCTTCAGCTTCATCCCCAGCAGAAGGCAAGAACTCCTGGTGATCTACCTGCCTGGTCCCTGCAAAGTGCTAGGATTACAGGCGCAAGCCACTGCGCCCAGCTGACAAATTTATGAGATCCTTATTAAGGATATTTATACTAGGTTGGATCACATTTATTGCAAATTTTTTTTCAGATTGTTATTCGTGTTTAAATTTTTTAAATACTTTAATATATAAAAATTACACATGGGTCATGCTAATCTTCTCTGTATTGTTCCAGTTTTAGTATATATGCTGCTGAAGCGAGCACTGTCTCTAAATTTTTATAAAGGTTTTTGGAATTCAGAAGTTTTTAAGCTTGCTTGTATCAAATCATCAGGCTCTTCTTTGACGCTTTCTGCCTTTTGTGTTTTATTAGTTTGCTAGGGCTGCCATAAAAAAGTACCACAGACTGGGGTGCTTAACTAACAGAAATGGGTTTTCTCACTGTTACGGAGGCTAGAAGTCAGAGATCAAGGTGTTATCAGTGTTGGTTCCTTCTGAGGGCTTTCTCCTTGGCTTACAGATGGCTGTCTTCTCCCTGTGTTCTTAGGTGGTCTCCCCTCTGTACCTTCTGTGTTCAGATTTCCTCCTCTTAAAAGGATAATAGACAAACATGCTGTATTAGGGCCCGGCCTGAAGACCTAATTTTAACTTACTTCTTTCGAGGTCCTGTCTCCAAATACAGCTACATTCTGAGCTACTGGGGGTTAGGATTTGAACATACAAATTTTGAGGGGGACACAATTCACCTGTAACAGTTCTCATACTAAAGAGGCCTCTATCAACCTGAGAGGATTTAAGGATTTGAAGGAAGTCATTTAAACTAGTTAAGATTTAGTATCTTCATTAATTTACTGCAAATAATAACACCTGTCACTCAGGGCTGTGAAGAAGAGTGAGTAAAGTGCGTGTCCACGGTGCCCAGCCCCATGCCTGCTCTAGGCGCCTGTCTGCCACTCCTTCTGGCAGCTGTCCCCTAGCCTTCATGATGTCAATGCCAGACACTGGGAAAGCAAAGACTTTTCTCTGCAAGTTTCCATTATATTGCAAGCCAACCGTAGCTAATAGCACATTTCCCCACCTGTCAAGTAAATGGGCTGAATTGTTGCTGAGATTAGCATACATGGCTAGCGTGTACAGAAAATGAAATACTGAGCCTCCACACTGGATTCCATTCTCTGTTTATTCTCTTTCTGCTGAGTGCTTGCATGTTCTGTTCTGAACACACCGTGTTCCCTCATTTCTGAAGCCACAAACTTCCTCTTAGGCCCCGGGCTGTCTTCAGAATGGCCATCAGGTCCCTGATACGGGAACCTGAAATGACACCCCCACCATATACCCATCCATCCAGACCCTCCAGTGTAGGGCAGGTGGGGGGACATGTGCCCACCACTGCTGCTCCCATGGGAAACAAAGACTGGCTTCAGCAAACCTGGACACTCATACATCCTGAATAATGTCAGCTGACCACACCACCGACTTCATGTATTCCTTGACCTAGACACTAAAGGTATTGAGACAATTTCAGTCTGTTTGGCATAAGAAGGATGGTAGCACAAAGAAGAGAAGAGCAAAACTTTTACCCAAAGCCTATTTCGGTGGCCCCTTCTGAGGTTCAGTGTACCATGCAGGGCGGTGTTCTCAAAAGTGAAGACTAGGCCAGGTGTGGTGGCTCACGCCTATAATCCCAGCACTTGGGGAGGCCGAGGTGGGCAGATCACCTGAGGTCAGGAGTTCGAGACCAGCCTGGCCAACATGGTGAAACCCCATCTCTACTAAAAATACAAAAATTAGCCACGCAAGGTGGTGCCTGCTTGTAATCCCAACTACTCGGGAGGCTGAGGCAGGAGAATCACTTGAACCCGGGGGGCGGAGGTTACAGTGAGCTGAGATTGTGCCACTGCACTCCAGCCTGGGTGACAGAGTGAGACTTCATCTCAAAAAAAGAAAAAGAAAAAAAAAGTGAAGACTAGAGGGCTCCAGGAAGACAGCAGTGCCAAGAGGGAAGGGCTGCTTTCAGTGGGTGATCCTCCTGAAGCCCTTTCCCTTTCTGCCTAACCTAATGCAAGGGGAAAATGTGGTCTATGTCTTTTTCTATCAGAGACAACTCAACATTAAAAATATGAGATGAACAGCTCCCTTTCCACTATCCCCATCATCATTATAAACCCATTATCCATCATCAGTAGATAATGACTTAGCGGGACAGAGGACAGCTTTTCTGGTGAGGAAGGAAGGGGCTGAGGAGTGGAAGCAGATCGTTTCTCCAGCTGTTTGGTGTTTCTCTCCCATTGATCTGCCCTGGCCTCCACTGGCCCATCTGTTGGGCTTGTGAGTGCAGTAGGGGAGGGGACACACGGTTCACCAGGGCAAGTGTGTTCGTTTCCCCAACACACAGCTTCTACAGGAATGGCCATACAGGCTTAATTTTTTTCTCAGTAGGGTTTACTGTGCAACAGAAAGACTACAAAGAGCATTAAAAGGTTCAAAGCCATTGCAGTCACCCAAAACTAAAAAACTATATGGGAAATTCAGAAAAAACAACAAAAAGTGATCAGGTATTTGGGACCTTTGTGGAACCGAAAGAATTAATTAAGCTGTATGGAAAAACCTGTAGAGATGTAACAGATCTTTAAGAGACTACAGCAAGAGGCATGTTGAACTTGGGGCATAGAACAATGTGTAGAGAGATGAGTTTCTAGGTGGGAGTCAAAGCGATTTCTGTCTGTCGTCTTCAAAATGCCACCCAACCTACGGAGACATTTAGTGGAAGAGTGGGCTTGTTCACGGGTTATAGAGTCAGATGTTACTGCTATACAGACTTCAGTACCTAACTCTAGAAGAAGTGATTCCTCTTTATTTAATCCACTCAACTATAAACACACCACTTAACATGCATATCGAGGTGATAGAATCTTAATATTAAACATGGAACAATTCCCATATTTTTGGAATGGAATAAAGTCAAGCCAGCAGGCAAGCAGGAACGGTATAGCATTCTCTGCCCATTCTTTACCCACCACCTGGGATTTGATAGTGACTTTGGAAGGCATGATGATTAGAATGTCTAGCCACCTGCCTAGACTTCCCTTTTGTTTCTCCCTTTAATGGTTCTTAAATTTTAGTTTGTATAAGAATTATTGTACCCGGCTGTCTACACAACTTCTTGTAGCTGGTATTTTACTGGGCAATTTAAGTAATACTAGGTTATCTACTTTGGTAATTTTGATAACACTAGGCTCAGTACTGCTGGTAGCTCTAATGAGATGTTCATTGAGGAGGGGATGCATTCATACAACAGCTATGTATTAAAATGCCTGCCTGCCGCGGCCCTGAGTCTGTAACTGTGAATGCGATGTGGACCTTGCCCTTAGAGTACTCCAGATGTAGTGGGGAGAAGTTGACAAAGGGAGTCTAGTAACCCCAGAGTTATGCTGGGGGAAGCATAGGACACCAGGATGCTGACTTTGTTGGCTGAAGATTTTAGAATGTATTTCCTTCTCAGTTATGCCTCACCAAGAGGAGTTGGGCTTGTGTGCTGATCTTTCCTGGAGAGCCTGATGAGACCATGTGCCTTGTGTCCAGTTCAAGGATGGGATAGGTTGCCCTGATCATCGGTAATCTGCCTAGAGGATTTGCTAGCTTACCGCCTGTATTAGTCCGTTTGCATGCTGCTAATAAAGACATACGGGAGATTGGGTAATTTATAAAGGAAAAAAAGGGTTTACATGGACTCAGTTTCATGTGGATGGGAGGCCTCACCATCATGGCAGAAGGCTCTTACATGGCGGCAGACAGGAGAGAATGAGAACCAAGTGAGAGGGTGTTCCCCTTATAAAGCCATCAGATCTCTTGAGGCTTATTCATTATAAGAATAAGAATAAGAATAAGAATACCATAAGAATAGTACCGTAAGAATAGTATGGGGGAAAACTTCCCCTGTAATTCAGTTATCTCCCACCGGGTCCCTTCTACAACATGTGAAAATTTGTCGAGACTGAGGGGAAGGGACTGTTGACCTCTAGAGGGTGGAGGCCAGGTATGCTGCCAGTCATCCTGCAATGCTCGGGGCAGCTCCTACAGCAAAGAAGTATGGCCCCAGCTGCTAATTGTGCCAGGAATGAGAAAGCCCAGGCTAGAACCTTTCTTCCCTAAATTTCATCAGAAGTAACAGTGATTATATATAGAAGCCTTAAGTGCTGTTTTCTTGTGAAAACATAAATTTAAGAGGATAAAGTCTGGACTTCTGAGGATAAAACATGAACTAGATTATCCATTCTGCAATTGTGCACCTGGCTGTATCCCAGAGGAGCCTTGCTATGCCCCCCTCCCTTTCTCTCGTGGTTTGTTAATGTTGGGGAAAACTGATGAGGTCTAATTGGGCTTGGTTAAGTGAATTCCCAAGGGGAAGCCTCCTTGCTCCTTTGCTCTCTCAATGGCTGCTTTGTGTACAGCTCCCCTCTGACTCTCCACTGGAGCCACGTTATTGTATTCTCACCTGTTCAACAGGTTTTCCCTGAACGGTCTGAGAAATAAATACCAGTTAAAGGGGTAGAAAAACAAGCTTGGCCTTTGATTCCTAGAAGGTTAGATGACCTTTTTTGCTGTAATTCTAGACAATTTTATGTAGAGGTGGGGGCAAGGTACTTAAAATGCATTTTAATTTTTATTATTTACTGTCTTAACCCCCACGATTGTGTATGCTTTCTTTTGAATAGTGTTACCTAAAATTCACACAATCTGTTTGCACATTAGAGCCTGCTTTCTTAATTCTTATGCTAGGATATGTAATTGAACTTGGATGTCGAACTGAAGTAATGTAGCACAGATAAAACGCATTGTTCTTAGAGCTCTCAAGTATTCAAAGAGCATACAGACTATGGAGAGGAAGTCCGAAGTACAGATTGTTTGCTTGCATTTGCACAAAGAAGACACTATAATTACTTAACAAGTCCCTATTGTTGGATATTCAATTGTTTTCAAGTTTTGAGAATTATAAACAAATTGGCATTGCTATGGTTAATAATTATTTCTTGAGGATAACATCCTAGAAAATTAAAATTACTCAAAGAGGATGCGAAATTTTAAGGCTTTTCGTATAGTTTGCCAAAGGCCCTCTGGAAAGCTGTGCTGATTTACACTCTGAATAGGTGTGCAGGGACACACAGCTTCCTTCTTTAGAAGTCACAAACCAAGAGGTGTGGTGGAAGTGTCCAGGGGGTCAGGAGTTCTCTGAACACATTCACTTACTGTTCTTGCACTTACTTGGCTTCAGCAAGTCACCTGTTTCAGGAACATAACAGGCATGCTCCTGCCTTGGGGCCTTCGCACTTGCTGATTTTTTGGCCTAGAACCTGATTTCTCCAGACGTCCACAGGGGCCCCATCCTCACCTCTCAGATGTCTTTTTTTTTTTTTTTTTTTAGATGGAGTCTTGCTCTGTTGCCCAGGCTGGAGTGCAGTGGCATGATCTCGGCTCACTGCAAGCTCTGCCTCCTGGGTTCACGCCATTTTCCTGTCTCAGCCTCCCGAGTAGCTGGGACTACAGGCACCCACCACCACGCCCGGCTAATTTTTTGTATTTTTAGTAGAGATGGGGTTTCACGGCGTTAGCCAGGATGGTCTCGATCTCCTGACCTTGTGATCTGCCTGCCTCGGCCTCCCAAAGTGCTGGGATTACAGGTGTGAGCCACCACACCCGGCTTGAGACAGAGTCTCGCTCTGTTGCCCACGCTGGTGTGCAGTGGTGCGATCTTGGTCCCCTGCAACCTCCACCTCCCGGGTTCAAATGATTCTCTTGTCACAGCCTCCCGAGTAGCTGCGATTACAAGCACCACCACGCCAGGCTAATTTTTGTATTTTTTAGTAGAGATGAGGTTTCACCATGTTGGCCAGGCTGGTCTTGAACTCCTGGCCTCAAGTGATCCACCCGCCTCAGTCTCAAAGTGTTGGGATTACAGGCGTGAGCCACCGCACCTGGCCTCAGATGTCTTTACTCAGGTGCTGCCTTCTCGGTGAACCTTTCTCTGAGTTTCCTGTTTAAAATTGTATTCCTGCCCCTCCCACACTGGTAGAGGCACAGGCTTCAGTTTCCTTCGCTGCTTGATTTTTCTTCATATCCTTTGTTGCTATATCCCAGATTTGCTGCTGTATATCCTCAGCATGGGGAATAGACCTGGCACTGAGCAGAGGCTCAATAATTATTTGTTGAATGAGTGACTAAACCACTGCTTTGTAGATTTGCTCTTGCTAGTTACCACTGATTAGCTTCTCAGCAGGCTTCCCTAATCATCTTTGGCCAAAGGAGTAGCGGTTTTGTTTTGGTTCATTTCCTTTACTTGTCAGCTGCGCTGAAGTTAGTTATTTATATAACTGCTGGTGTTGTTGAGGCTTCCATTATTAACTCTGCTATCTCTATTGTCTCAGTAATGTCCAGCTACTGCTGAGATCTGGGATAGTAACTCACAAGGCCTACTCTGGTCTGGTAAAGGACCAAATGCACATGTTTAAGATCTTCGTTACAGATATCAATTTCTCAAAAAAGACAAGAGAACCCAATAGAAAAGGGACAAATGTTTGGACTGTTCACAAAAAGGGAGCGTGTGTCTTTTCCTCTTTATGTTCAGCCTCACTCACAATAAGAGAAATATAATTTTAAAATACATTAAGATTTTATTTTTCAACCTGTCAGGTTTGCAAAAATTCATTCTGTTGGTGAGGCTGGGTGTAAATAGACAACCTCATACAAGTCCAATGGAGAGAAATTTGGAAATGGCTATCAATATTAACTGCACCTATGTTTTGACCCAGCAGTTTCAGTTCTGTGAATCTATTGTAAGGATGTACTTGCATATGTGCAAAATCAGTTATATATAAGTTTATGGATCACAGTTTGGTTTATGATAGCTAAACTTAAGAAATCACCCAAATGGCCCACAGCAGGGGACTGGTTCATCAAATAGGACACATCCACACAATGAACTACTATGTAGCTGTGAAAAGAATCAAGATGCTCTCTTTGTACTAACATAGAAGGATTTAGAAAATATACTAAAAGAAACAAAAAGAATGCTCCCTTTTGGCCAGTCACGGTGGCTCACGCCTGCAATCCCAGCACTTCAGGAGGCCGGGGAGGGCAGATCACCTGAGGTCAGGAGTTCAAGACCAGCCTGGCCAACATGGCGAAACCCTGTCTCTACTAAAAATACAAAAGTTAGCCGGATGTGGTGGTGTGCGTCTGTAATCCCAGCTACTCGGGAAGCTGAGACGGGAGAATCGCTTGAACCCGGGAGGTGGAGGTTGCCTTGAGCTGAGATCATGCCCCTGCACTCCAGCCTGGGCAACAGAGGGAGACTCTGTCTCAAAAAAAAAAAAAAAATGCTGCCTTTTATATAAAGAAAGTGGCAAATGTAATAATGTATTTTTGTATTTGCCTTCTATACTTGAAGAAAGTTTGGAGGGATACCTAATGACTTTGGATAACTGGAAGTATAAGAAGTGAACGCAGATATTGGGCAGGTGGGTGACACTGGGAGAAGAGACTCTACACTGTCCGTCTTTGTACACACAAACACACATACACACACAAGTTTGTATCACATGATTGTTAACAAAAAATTAATTTTAAAAAGAAATGGGGCTGGGCCAGGTGGCTCACGCCTGTAATCGCAGCACTTTGGGAGGCTGAGGTGGGCAGATTACCCAGAGTTCAAGACCAGCCTGGCCAACATGGCGAAACCTTGTCTCTACTAAACATATAAAAATTAGCCAGGCGTGGTGGTGGGCCCCTGTTATCCTGGCTACTTGGGAGGCTGAGGCAGGAGAATTGCTTGGACTCAAGAGGTGGAGGTTGCAGTGAGCCAAAATTGCGCCACTGGGCAACAGAACCAGGCTCTGCCTCAAAAAAAAAAAAAAAAAAAAAAAAGAAATGGGCTAGCCTGGGAAGAGGCAGCAGAGGATAATGGTTACCTCCTTTGTGTAAGAAGCACGATTCATTCAAGTGAGAATTCAAAGTCTGTTCTGAATGCCATTCAGTCCACATCTGTACATTTTCTGCCCCACCCCCACCCCCCACCGAAGGTGCATTGTGTGAACCGACCTTGGGGAGGGAGTATGGGTGTGCATGTGTGTGAGCTCTCAGGGTGTTTCTCCTTCTTCATGATATCCTGGTTGCTATAGTGTGGAGATCTGTTTGTGACACACAGAAAACACTTTAAAGAAACACTGCTTCCTGACCATGACTTCCTGGGCAATCTGTCCTTCCTCAGACTGTTGAGTGCCAGACGTTTATATGCATGTCTGGACAGAGAGTGAGCCTGGCTCATTCAGACCCTGGGCACCATTCAGAGCAGAACTCAGTGGTAAGGAACAGCTTTCTTTCCACTGAAGATTCGCGCAAGCCGTGCCCCACAGGGCAGCGTCTCCTGGCGGCTTTGACTCAAGGGCGTTGGCACGGGCACCCCCATCTTTCTTCTTTCCTCAGGAGCCCATTGTACCGTTGGCTGTGCCCCTGCACCTTCAGCACCCAGGCACCAAGGGGAGCCGTTTTTCATACCAAACCACCAGTGAAAACAGGAAGTGATGAAGCAAAATTCACCCTGCATCTGCACTGAGTGACTTCTCTTTCTTTTTCTGTCATTCCTCATTAGGTATAGACACGTGTGGCCGTTTACGCTGTAGGATCCTCATTCCCACTGGCTTTGAACATTTTGGGGACTTACAATGCCGCCACCCGCGGACATCGTCAAGGTGGCCATAGAATGGCCGGGCGCCTACCCCAAACTCATGGAAATTGATCAGGTTAGTAACGTGACAGCATTGGGTGTCTATTTTCAGTTTCCTTTCTATACTGGAATTTTCATAGACTTTGGATAGCTCACTCTTCTCCCTTTCTCTCTCTAGCTGTGTTGAAAAATCTGTGCAATAATAGTTGCAATGTGCTTGATTTCTGTAGCACATACAGTGATGGATGGGGTTTTTATACTCTTCCAGCATCCACTTGGATTGTGTCAATACAGGATTTGTGTCTGAAGCTAGGAAGGAGGTGGGAGGGACAAGTGGATCGGGCCCTGGGCAGTTGACACAGTGGAGGCTGCCCCATCCCTGCCTTGCCATGACACATGGATATGTGCAGATTGTTGGAACACAGGCAAGACAAAACTTAATTTTTAAAATCCCTTTTTTTTCATTTTTTGCAGAAGCAGCCAAATGCATTGGTACTTTGTTATATTAATAGCTTTGTAATGAAATTAGTATAGAGGGGTTCAGTCTTGGATTTCAGCCAATTGTAATTTTTATTTTTAGTGTAAAATTCACAATGTGTCTAGCATATTGTCTGCCATGTAGTAAATACTCAACAAATGTTTATTGAATTAAAAAATATCAAGAAGACTTATAAAAGTGGCTTGACCCATAAAGGCATCCTTTAACTTGAATCTTGAGAATTGTATGGTGTGATTCTCATGCACTATTTGATTATAGGTTATCTCAGAATGGTTACTTTTGTCCTCACTTTACTGTAGTCACTCTAGAGCAAATGATTTAAGGAATAAAAGGTTGAGACCTATTATATACTTACAGGTTTCATAATGTATATAGTATAGGGTTCTAGATGGCTTTCTACATTTTCAAAATTACAATAACCATGGCAACTCCAATCTTTATGTTCTCCATACTATTTTACAATTATGATTTACAATTTTTTTTCCTGGTCAGATTTTATTATCTGGTGGCAGATCAATGCGAGAGTTATATGGAATTGTGCGAATCCAAAGGAATCATTAAAATGAATTATACGGGTCAGCTCAGAATTAATTGAACTTAAACTCAAATGTAAGAAAGGGTAAATTTTTGGGATTTTTGTCAAAAAAGCTGTTATCAGACCACACATCATTGTCATTTTAACTGCTCTCTGAGGTAGTTTTCTACTGACTCAAGAAGGAACCTATACAAACAGAGAAAAGTAGAGATGCCTAATAGTTTCGGATATATTTGAGTCAGGCAACAGATGCTTATCTGCTTTCATATGTGGTTTGAGATGCTAGTTAAAATTTACCTTAAGAAAATGTTTGGAGATACTCGGTGCAGACTAAATGTAGTTTGGATTAGGTTTGGCCACAGCCTAAGAGACCAGTGGCTTCAGTGAGATGGAAGTTGGTCTCACACACGTGTAGAGAGGTCCTGAATGCCCCGCAGTGGCATGCACTGGGGCCCTCTGTCTTGTTGCATTGCCCTTCTCAATCTGTGGAGCTTTGGACCACATGCTTGGGCATCACCCGAAAGCACATTAGAAATGCAGAATCTCTGGTCTTATTCCAGACCTCCTGACCCAAGTCTGCATTTTAACAAGATCTCCAGGGTATCCCTGTGTGTAGTTCAATCTGAGACGTGCTGAGCTGGATACCTGGTGCCCAAGCCCGAGTACTAATCAGAATTACCCAGGCACTTATTCGAAATAACTATTTTCAGTGGTCCCATCCCAAGAGACTCTAATTTAGTGGTTCTGGTAAACTATTTAATTTTGATTCTGCCATGGTCAGTGCAGTTTGGGAACCTCTGCTTTAAGACAGCAGCTCTTGATAGACAGTCCTCCTCCTTACCTGTGAGGTTAGTGTAGTGTTCTCTGCCTTTGGAGATGGCCTTTGCTATGTGTGTGTTTTAATATATATATTTTTAAATTATCTGCTTATTTTGGAATAATTTTAGATTTACAGAAAATTACAAAGATTGTATATGCTTACATTTATACCCTATTTCCAGTTTCCCCTTATGTTAATATCTTAATCTTGGTACATTAGTCAAAACTAAGAAATTGACATTGGTACATCACATTAACATAACTACCAACTTTATTTGGATTTCACCGGATTTTCCACTAATGTCCTTATTCTGTTCGAGGATCCAATCCAGGGATACGAATTGTCACGTTTCCTCAGTCTCCTTCCGTTTTGGACAATTTCTCAGTCTTTCCTTGTTTTTCATGGCCTGATAGCTTTGACAAGTAATTTTATGTTGATACAATTTTAAACACACAAAAATTGCCAGGATAGTACAAAGAACTCTGTACCTACTTTTTCTGAACCATTTGATGGAGCCCTGGAAGCACCATCCCCCTTCACCCCTGAACACTCAGTGTGTATGTCCCTAAGATTGTAGCCATTCTCTTACATAATAATCACAGTACATTTATAAAACCAGAAATAAATTGAATACTGGTATAATGCTATCGTCAAATTCACAGTTCGTAATCCATATTCAAATTCCATCAGTTGTCCCAATAAGATCCTCTATAGCTATTTTCTCTCTGGTGTAATATCCTGTCCAGGATCATGTACTATGTTTATTGTCAGGTCTCTTTGATCTCCATTGATCTTTAGAAATTTCTCAGTCTTTATCTTTTGTGACCTTGACATTTTTGTAGAGTACAGGACAGCTATTTTAGGAAAAGTCTTCAGTTTGGGGTTCTCTCACATATCCTGCTGATCAGATTCGAGTTTTGTATTTTTGGCAGAAATGTAGAGAAATGATGTGTCCTTTTTGGCTCATCATATCAAGAGGTACATGGTGTTGCATTGCCTAATTCTTGATAATTATTCTGGTTTTACAGATGACAAGTGTAAACAGTTGGTTAAATTATAGGCCTCCTATTAATCACATATGGAAACCTAGACGGGCAATTAGGAACCCAGTTCCTAATTGCCCTGCAGTTGCTGGAATTACAATGAGACTTATGGAAGTGTTGCTGTCAGATGTTGTTTCTTGATTGAATCAGAAGTTGGCACAAGAATTAGAAGTATGTTTTCACATGCAATGAAGAGTAGAAGAAATGATTATTACTTGGGTTTTCTCCTAATCTTCTACCTTGTTCAGTAAAGATCACATAACCTGCCTCTCTCCCATAGCATGTTAGCTTCATTTAGAAAGCTCTTTGCTTCTTTTTAGCCTGGATAGCTGCTATTTCACTAAAAGCCGTTTCCAAAAGTTGGGTTAAGCACTGCTGCTCTATTGTCTCCCAAAATTTTGGGTGCCCCTCCACTTATCACATTGTATTGTCCTTGTCTATCAACTGAACCCAGTGGTCCTCAACCTTGACTGTGTACAAGAAGCATCCAGGGAGCTTGTACAAAATGCATATACCAGCTTGTGCAAAATGCAGCCCCAGCTGCAGAGATTGTGATTCTGCTGGCCAGGGGCAGGGCTTTTCATCTGCATCTGTGATAAGCACCAGATGAATCTAATCCAAGGGCTTCCACAGTTTGAGAAGCAGTCATTAGACTGGGAACTGCCTGTCTTTGAGTGTTGTTTCTCCTTGCCTGGTGAACAGTCCTTAAAATGAAAAGATATTTCATGAATGAATAACTGGGAGGCGGTGCTTCCTGAGTAGTGATTATCTTATCAGGTGCTCAATTCTGCTCAGCCACCCTCCATCAGTGCCTGGAGTTTTCAGAGGGACGTCTGCCCATGATGGACTTGTTTATCTTCTTTCTAAATATTTAGGAGAAAATTCTGTGTTTCCACTCAGCAGGAAAAATCCCCAGGAGCTTCTTAGACATGGACTTTGCTGTATCACAGGAAGGTCTCAAAAGAATTATCAACTCACTGGTTCCTGACTCCTGCTCTCGCCTTCACAATGTATTGTTGAGTTTCAAGCCCGGGGAGCCGCTTGAGGATGAGGATGCTTGTTGTCTGGATATATCAAGGCTCCTGCATGCACTGTTCTTGTTAACCTATTATGTCCTGAATAATGTATTTGTTTCTCGGTCAAGAGTCTGGAATCCCAAACACTTCAATAAGCAGCATCTAGTAAGAGGCAGTGGGCTCCAAGGACATTTAAACCTGGATGTGAGCACTTGTTTTAGTTCCTTCAGCTGCTATAACAAAGTACCTTAAACTGGGAAATTTATGAACAACAGAAATTTATTGTTCACAGTTCTGGAGGCTGGGAAGTCCAAGATCAAGGCACCAGTGGATGTGGTGTGTGATGAGGGCTTGTTCCTCATAAATGGTGCCTTGTATGTTTCCCCACAGGCAAAAGGGGCAAACAGGCTCTGTCAAGCATGTTTTTATACCACCACCATGGGGGCCAGGTTTCAAACAGATGAATTTTGGGGAGACACAAACATTCAGACCATAGCAGTCCTGGAGCCCTGCTTTCTGTGAAAGGCTCAGTTAGCCTTGAGCCTCAGTTTCTTTGGGATAATAATTTGCTACTTTGATGGTCCTTGTGAAGATTAAAGAAATCATGTGAAAAGAGTGTAGCATGTTGCATAGCTTAGAGTGATTCCTCAATAAAAGCAGCCATTATTAGCTAGATTAGAAAATTAGGTACTCTGGTTTTCCTTTTCACCTGCACTTCCATTGTGAACATTTGCCCTCTGTTCTCATTCTTTCTCTGCCTAACTTTTTCAATGTTTAGGAAGGAGAAAAAATTAAAAGACAAGTGGGAGGCATCCTCTGGTAATAAAGAGGTGTCCTAATTGGACACATAGCCAATTTGTGCTATGGAATATTCACTGGCTCCCTAGTACTCTGTGATTTTTTTTTTCCATCTTGGCCACTCACCATTTCTGAGCAGCAGCTTTTCTGTTCCCTGCATAAACTCTTCAAGCCTCCAGTATTTCTTGTCTCTGCCCTGCCCCCTCAGGCCTTGCTTTTCAAGGAAGACACAGACCAGAAAGCTACCACTTCTGTCTTTGCCTAGAACTTCTCGGCCTACATATTTGCATGGCATCACAGACTACCTGATGCCTTTATCTCCTGCCTTCCTGTTTTGTTTTGCTTTTTCTACTGCTAGCAGAGAAGGGAAGAGGTGGTCCCAATTTGTTTCCAGTGCTTTCAGCTTATCCCAACCCCCAATGCTCCACATAGGTGTTTTTTTTTTTTTTTTTTTATACTTTAAGTTTTAGGGTACATGTGCACAACGTGCGGGTTAGTTACATATGTATACATGTGCCTTGTTAGTGTGCTGCACCCATTAACTCGTCATTTAACATTAGGTATATCGCCTAATGCTATCCCTCCCCCCTTCCCTTACCCCACAAGAGGCCCCGGTGTGTGATGTTCCCCTTCCTGTGTCCATGTGTTCTCATTGTTCAATTCCCACCTATGAGTGAGAACATGCAGTGTTTGGTTTTCTGTCCCTGCGATAGTTTGCTGAGAATGGATCCAAAGGACATGAACTCATCATTTTTTATGGCTGCATAGTATTCCATGGTGTATATGTGCCACATTTTCTTAATCCAGTCTATCATTGTTGGACATTTGGCTTGGTTCCAAGTCTTTGCTATTGTGAATAGTGCCGCAATAAACATACGTGTGCATGTGTCTTTAAAGCAGCATGATTTATAATCCTCTGGGTATATACCCAGTAATGAGATTGCGGGGTCAAATGATATTAGCCCATCCTTTCTACCCTACCTGGGGCTTTGTCCCAGCCATGTTCTCTTCTCTTATTCTTTTCTTCTTCTCTGTCTTCAACAGTGAACTCTTCTGTTTTCACCTTGGAAAATCCTCCCCTTGACCTAGTAACTCTCTTTTGGTAGTATTTTATTCTGTTTTTCCATTCCAGGCTTATTTAAATGTTACCAGTATATGCCATCTATGTTGTTCCATGCTTATTTTAATATTTGCATGAACAACAATTTACCTCTCTACAGGGCTCCCCTTTTTGGTGGCACCTCTGCCTTGGTTGTCCTCACCCTCTCGGTTACGCTCGGCAAAGCTGCCCATTCTCATCTTCTTGAAACTCTCCCTTCCTTCCTCTAGCTTCAGTGCCTGAGATTCTTCCTCCCTGTTTGATTCATCTGGGATTGTTTCCTTCCTGGTTCCTCTTCTTTCTAGATCAGTTCCAACCTCAGTGCTAAGCCCTCTGGTCTGTGTGTTCACTGTCGACACTCTTTGTCTTAGAGTCCATGTTCGCTCATGACGTTAAAGTTTCACCTCTGCCTACATACATAACAACAGTTCCCATCACCGGCATAGCCTGCCAGCTAACCACTAGTTTCATTTCTCTGTTGGGTGGATATATGGTTCCCCTCTCTAACTTCAGTTGTCTACAGACGAGACAAATGGTTAGTGAAACTGCCCATATGTTAACCTGAAGAAAGGAGTCTCACAGGTATTACCAACTTTTTGAGGTTATATCATGTAGAGGGGGGACCATTAGATATGTTCTTTTTTTTTTTCCTTGACGCAGGGTCTCACTGTGTCACCCAGGCTGGAGTACAAAGGCTCAATCAAAGCTCACTGCAACCTCTAATTCTGGGCTCAAGATATCCTCCTGCCTCAGCCTCTCGAGTAGCTGAGATTACAGGTGTGCACCACCATGACCAGCTAGTCTTTGTATTTTTAGTAGTGATGGGGTTTTGCCATGTTGCCCAGGCTGGTCTCAAACTCCTGGACTTAAGCGATCCTCCCACCTCAGCCTCCCAAAGTGCTGGGATTACAGTCCATGAACCACCACAGTGCCCTGCCTAGATGCGTTCTTTATGGCCCAAGTGTAGGAACTCCATCCTATTTGTGCTAGGAGACACATTTCACCTTCACCCAAGAAAAGCCAGCACGGGCCATCTCATCAGGCGAGGGGATCCATCATCTCTACCAAGTGTGCATCAGACAAATGCTTGGAGAAGATGTTCTGAGCATATTCAGGCCCAAAAAGGGCAATGGGAAGAGATACATAGTTTTCAACCTTAGTTCTGCTTCTCAAATGGCTTGGGGCAGAGGGGTGGCTGCCGAGGGCTTCCGGGCACCCCTCGCTCACTCCTGCTGCAGCACCTTTGTATTGTCCCATTTTCATTTGCGTATGATTTGGGGAAAGATTTTGTTTGAAAAAAGTTTATCAGTTTAAAAAAATAGACATGGATGATTCTTGAGCTTTCTGGTATTCCTGAGACTTCAGTCAGATTCTTTAGGGTGGCTTTGCATCCTTCCATATTTTTCATAAGCATTGTCCCTGGGCCAAGGTAGTGTCTGCAGGCACTGTATGTGATTCCCAGGTACCCCTCTGTTTTATAGAAGCTGCTCCTTTAGACGCTTGTTCCCGCACATTCATGGTCTTTTTTCATCTCTTGCCGTTTCCTTCTAAAAGTATGCCACCTTGAATGCCCCCTGCCTTCTCCCAGCTCTCTACTGCTTTAAATCCTGGCTTTGCTAAGCACTGCAGAGAGCCTCCTTTGTACTCAAACCTTTTCTGATCGCATTATAATGCAGTCTTTTCTCCAGTTTTCTAATTTCTTATATCATTTTCTTTGCCTGTAGCTTTTATTTGCAGTTAATATATTTCACACGTAACGTAATTTACATTTTTCTTTTTTCATGCTCACTTCTCTTGAAATAGATTATAAGCTCTTGGAGGTCAGCCAGTGGCTTACATACATTTGTATCCTTTGGTTCATCACATTGATCTCCGTTACTGTGTGTGTACAATAGGTTTCAATTCTGAACAGTGAAGATAAGAATAAAACACTGGTGGTCTTCATTCTCCAAACAGAAAAATTATAATAGCACGCCTACCCCAGTATATTGGGAAGGGTTTAATTCCCTAAAAGAAACACAGATGCATGTGTTTTAGGTAAGTGTGATTGCCTGCAGTTTTTCAACTACCATATTTCTATAGCATATTTAAGATATAATTCCATATGCATAAATTTGATTTACACAAGACCTTTGAAAAGCTCATTGAGTAAAACCCATTTGAGTTTTTGTACTTGACATGGAATTTTGCTCGTTAGTAGCAGTAATAATAACAGCAAGCACCACACACTATGTGGCAGGCAATAGAAGGCCTTGCACGTGGGATTTCATCACCTTACTACAGCCTTCAAGATCGGCTTAGGCTCCCTACTTCATAGTTATTCAAAGGTTCATTAACTTGCCCAAGATTACTCAGCTAGGAAGGTACTGATTTGAATCCAGCACTGTATAACACCAAAACCCAGGCAGTTTTTTGGTTTTTTTCTTGTTGTTGAGATGGAGTTTTGCTCTTGTTGCCCCGGCTGGAGTGCGATGGTGCAATCCTGGCTCACTGCAACCTCCGTCTCCCAGGTTCAAGCGATTCTCCTGCCTCAGCTTCCCGAGTAGCTGGGATTACAGGTGCCCGCCACCATGCCTGGCTAATTTTTGTATTTTTAGTAGAGACAGGGTTTCATCATGTTGGCCAGGCTTAGACATTGCCAAATGTCTCTTGGGCGGTGGACAGAGTCTCCTCCTGTTGAGAATGGACTAGGTCAGGGGCTCCTGAGCTTGCTTCTGTATCAGAATCACTCATGAAACATGTTGAAAATACACAGAGGATCATTGTGTAGTGATTCAAGGTTCAGGGATCCTTGTTTTTATGAAGCTCCCCTGGTGATGCTCATGCTGTTGGACCTACATTTGAAAACATTGTTGTGAAGCCCTTGAAATTTATCACTCTCCCTGCAGGAGCTACCTTTGGCTCCCACGGTAACTTTTAGTGAGTCCTTTAAAGATAGTGCCTCAATTTATCCATGAGGGAAATGGTCCTAAAAATTCTTAGCCTCTCCTTTACAGAGAGTACAAACATAGTTTTAAGAGCTCATTTTGCTCCAATTAAGAAAGCTGTAATAAAGACTGTGATACTGCACCATTGCTTTCATACCGTCATAATAGGTGAAATGACATTGGTAGAGGAATAGACATCCTTCATCTGATTTTTGCAACTTTTAGATTTGGTAATGTAACAGATATTTCTTAAACTTCCTTTAAAATGAAGTGACTGGGGTACTTACTTTTCTGGTTTTAGCTCTCTTTTCTTGTGTGAGAGAGTCTATATAACCTCATAAAATCTTAAAAATTTGCCAAGTTTTTGAAGAAAAACACAGCAAACATATCTCTCCCTTTAACTGAGCTGAGTTTAATTGAGCGAGAATGAACTCTGGCATTCTCCTTTTCCTTCAGCAAATGAAATGCAGATTTTTAGTTTGCTCTGTAGGTGGGTGCTGGTGGGATTCTCTTCTGTTCTACTTCCTTCCACAACACTGCCACTCTGAGAAGTTCGGGCAACTCAGGACACTCTTGTATTAACTATGTTTTCTTAAGACTTGATGACTAAGACCTCTGACATTTCTAGAACCTTTTGTGAATGTTACACTTTGTGCTTATTTTCCTGTTAGGTCAACAGGTTAATTGTGGCAGGATATCTAAATATGTGGATTTCAGTGTTGAGAAGGAACTCTGGGTACCCAGGAACAAACAGCTTGTACTTTAGGAGTATATAGACCAATGTGCAGTGTGTCCAGAACTCCAAGGAAATGAGAGCAGCCTCTAGCAAATAAAATATGTGCTTTTCTAGTTTCTTGTTCCTAGCTTTCCATCAAATGCATTCATGGGTCAATGGCATCACCATCATGCTTAACCCCCATCCCCACAATCTCCATAGCCCCTCAAATAGCAAGTCCTGTAAAATCAGCCTCCTAAGTGGGCTTGAGTCCATCCACCCTTTTTCCGTCCTAGCCGCCACTGCTGTAGCTTATTTCCCCTAGGTGGCTTCAGTAGCATAACAGCTGGCTGCCAGGCCACGCTTCTTCCTTCCCCTCCAATCCATTCCCCTAGGCCTAACATTCTGCACTGGCTTCCATTGCACTAGAATAGAATCCAGACGTCCTTGCTGTGTTGGCAGGGCCCCCTGCCCCCAGCTCTTGCCAGTGCACTGCCTTGCTTAGTGCCACTCTGGAGTTCCCCAACGCCACCATCTGAGTTCTCATCATATGCAAACATTTTCTCCTTTCACAAACACAAATTTCTTCCTACTTCCAAGTCTTTAAAAATGTGATTTTCTCTTAACTAGAAATTATCCTCCTCAGTTCTCTGCATGTCTAACACCTGTTTATTCTTCCATCCCAGATGAAGTGTAAGTTCCTTAGACCTTTCTCTAAGGCCTTTTCTGACTCTTCAGACCGGATGAGGGTGCTTGCTGTGTAGAACTTGTAACATCCCACAGGGCTCCACTTGTCAGCATTGTAATCACTACGTGATGCTCTGCATGGGCCAAGTATGTCCCCAGCGCCAGCATAGGGCCTGCACGTGGTAAACTCATAAGGAGTGTTGAGTAAAGGAAATAAGTGATATTTATACTTTTTCTGTCTATTGATACAGACAATAATACATGAACAGGAATGACTATGGTGAAGGCATTCTTTGCCTTGTTTGCACCATGTATTCTAAATACATTATTACATTTTATAAATTGGCTTTAGGAAAATCTTTGTGTGTCTTTCCATCAAAGCCATCTGTAGTTAAAAGACAATCAGTGACTTTGAGACAAACCAGCTCAAAATGATGATGGATGAATCCTTACTCTGGGACAAACTCGTGGCGATCTGTTTGGATTGATCAGCCTCATCATCATGAGATGCTCATAATTTCCGGCTGTCATTTCTTCGTTGACCACCCTGACCTGTATAAACAACCATCCATCTGCCTGTCTGCCTTGCTTATCTACATGGCTCTTGTACCTCAAACTCAGCATATTCAAACGGTCCTTGTTGTTCCTCCCACCTCAAACCCATACAGTTTTGCTTTTCTTCACGTTTTCCTTTTCTTGGTGACAGATGTGAACTACACCCAGTTTGCTCAAGCTGACACCATGTTGTGTCTTTTAGACTCTTTTTTTCTCCCTCATCTTTTTATCCAATCAGTCATCACAGAAAACTGTCTGCATCTGGTCTCGGTCACATCTGCTGCTGCCACCCTCTCTGGACCTCTTCCTTCTGGTCAGTGTGGAGGAGTACACAGAGCAGGAGAGAGCTTAAACATCGGTGTGTGTTGAGTATCCTCAAAGCACTTCAAAAGAGAGAGCATAATATCTACACAAACAGGAGATTATGAGGACAAAGCAAATGGGTATAAATTGTGAACAGGTGTATGTGAGAAAGAGCCAATTAGACATCTTATAAGTGAAAAATGCAGTAGTCACTGGGCGTGGTGGCTCACACCTGTAATTTCAGCCCTTTGGGAGGCTGAGGCGGGCGGATCATGAGGTCAGGAGATCGAGACCATCCTGGCTAACACAGTGAAACCCTGTCTCTACTAAAATTCCAAAAAAAAAAAAAAAAAAAAAAGCCAGGCGTGGCGGCTGGCGCCTGTAGTCCCAGCTACTCGGGAGGCTGAGGCAGGAGAATGGTGTGAACCCGGGAGGCAGAGCTTGCAGTGAGCCGAGATTGCACCACTGCACTCCAACTTGGGCGACAGAGCGAGACTGTGTCTCCAAAAAAAAAAAGAAAAATGCAGTAGTTTTTCCCTTATCTGTGGGTTTGCTTTCCCCAACCAACTACAGTCTGAAAATGTTAAATGGAAAATTCCAGAAGTAAACACTCATAAGTTTTAAATTGTGCACTGTTCAGTGTACTGTGATAAAATCTTGCATTATCCTGCTTTGTCCCTCCAGGACTTGCAGCACCCCTTTGTCCAGCATATGCACGCTATAGACACTTCCCATTTGTTAGTCACTTAGTAGCCATTTCCGTTATCAGATCAACTATCATGGTATGGCAGCACTTGTGTCCATATGGCCCTTATTTTACTTAATAATGGCTTCAAAATGTAAGACTAGTGATGCTGGCATTTCAGATATACCCAAGAGAAGCTTCCTTTAAGTGAAAAGGTGAAGGGTCTAGATTTACTAGGGAAGGAAAAAAAATAGTTGCTAAGATCTATGGTAAGAATGAATCTTCTTTCTGTGAAATTGTGAGGAAGAAAAATAATTCATGCTCGTTTTGCTCTCAAACCTCAAAGTGCAAAAGTTAGGGCCACAGTGTATGAGAAATGCTTAGTTAAGACCAAAGAGGCATAAAATTTGGGGGTGGAAGATATGAAGAGAAACATATTCTGATTGATGGCAGTCAGGTTCAGTACTATCTGAGGTTTCAGACATCCACTGGAGGTCTTGGAACATATGCCCCTCAAATAAAGGAGGGACTACTGTATATGTTAATAAAATGAAAAAAAAGAAACAAAACAAAAACCAACAGCAGAAAGATAAAACAATAAAACACAGAGTAACTCTAGAGTGGATTTGGCTAAAGAGAGAATTGGTTAATTGAAGGTTGAAAACAAGGAATTCATTCAGAACATGGCTCAAAAGAGAAGGGAATGAAAAATATTAATACAAATGCTAAGCTGTGTTGAAAAGGATAAATTAAGAAGCTATAATCTATGTCTAATTGGCAGTTCCACTAATAAGGAAATGAATGTTGGAGACAAAATATGTAAAGAGCTTCTGGCTAATGTCATGCTTCTCTGGAATTAAAGGGAAATCTGACAGTGAGAAAGAACAGGGGCTCTGGATTTGGCCACTTGGATCTGTGAGGCTCTCCCATCAGAAGCCATGTGGACTTTAATACCGTGTCCAAGGGAGTAGAAAATGGAAGATTTCTAAGCAGGGGAGTGACGTGGTTAGTTGTACTTTTAGAAGGTGCCAATTGGAGAATTGTTTTTTGAGGGCAAAATGGAAAATGAGAGGCTAGATTGCTCTTGCAGTAGCCCAATCAAGAAACAACTATGCCATGAACTGGGACAGTGATAGGGAGACACAAAGAAGTTAGGTATGTGTCCCCGTTGTGACATATGGGAAGACTAATTTGACAGAAAATTGATGATTGATTATGTGTGTGGGGTAAGGCAGAGTAAAGTGCTAAGGGTAGTTCTGAGATTTCTGGTATGAACAACTGGAAGGATCTTGGTGACACCTGCCAAGATAGAAAACATCTGTAGAGGACTGTTTAGGTGGACTTGCATTCCTCATGGACACCTTACAGAGGGGTACAGGCAATTGTTCAGGTGTCAGCATATCTCCTTTCATATTTCCTTCGGGTTTTGATACACTGGCCAGTTTTCCCATTTAACTTCTCTCAACCCCAGTGCAATCCCCTGTCATTTGAGATTGCACACCTGATTATGCTGCTCCCCTGTCTAAAAACCCACATGGGTCCAAACCTTTAAGAGTTGTCATAGTTCAGACTCACTAAAAGAGAGAATTGTAAATATTCTCACCACAAAGAAATGATAAATATTTGAGATGATGGGTATGCTAATTACTCTGATTTGATCATTCCACAATGTACACATGTATCAAAATATCACTTTATACCCCATAAATATGCAGTTATTGTTTGTCAATTATAACTAAAATAAAACTAAAAGAGTTGTCTATAGGAATTAGGCATTTTTTCCTCTATCTTGCCTTTTGAGCCACTGTCTCATCTTTCATTTGTGTGACATTATCAGCTCCTCCATATGCAAAGAGGGTCATCCATTTTGCTCTGCCTTTGCATTTGCTGTATCTTCAACCCAAAATGCCTTCGGAAATCCAGATAGCACTGACTTGTGCTTGCTCCCCTGTACCCACAGGCAGAATAAAGAGGACAGCTTTGAGAGTCACTCCGGACTGCATTGGCAGGACAGGAAACAAACAACAATATGAAGGAGAGAGGGAAGATGTAGTGTTGATTCCAAGTTTATATTCTGACAAACTAGAAGAAGATGAATAAAAGTTGAAAACTGGGAAAGAGAGTTTTGGGGTAAGATTTGAGTTTGAGGTTATGAAAGGATATGCATTCAGGTTGAAATGGTCTGAGACAGAAAGGACTACAGAGAAGTTGGGGTTGGAGATGGTGATTTGGGCATCCAGAGTGAGCTTGAGCAGAGAGGCTCTCCTGGTTGGTATCAAACGTTCCAGTGTTAATTTAGGATTTTATAATTTATGCATGAGGAAGGATCATCTACTATTCATATGGTGATGCTAAAACATTGCACTTCAAATAAGATTTCTCCTGAACTTCCTATGTGCCAGGAACCAAGGCACCCAGCTCCAGAACCCACTCCACAGGTGTTAGCGCTGAGCACCTGGGCTTGTCGTTCATGGTTTTGAGGACTTGGTAGATTTGAGATGGAGTTAAAGGGTAAGGATTGTGGAATTGTACAGGTCTGTGTTCAAATTCTGACTCTCTTCCATGTGCTGTGAGGCTTTGAGCAAGTTACACAGCATCTTTTTTTTTTTTTTTTTTTTTTTTTGTGGCAGGGTCTCCCTATGTTGCCCAGAGCTGGAGTGCAGTGGCATGATCCTGGCTCACTACAGCCTTGACCTTCTGGGTTCAAGTGATCCTCTCACTTCAGCCTCCCAAGTAGCTGGGACCACAGGCATGCACCACTATACTCGGCTAACTTTTTGTATTTTTTGTAGTGATGAGGTTTTGCCATGTGGCCAGGCTGGTCTCGAACTCTTGAGCTCAAGTGATCTGCGCACCTAGGCCTCCCAAAGTGTTGGGATTACAGGCATGAGCCACTGTGCCTGGCCAAATTACGTAACGTTTTAAGAATCCCTCATATGGTTTGCTCATTAGTGAAATACACTTAGTAATATCATCTGGTAGGGAGTATATGGTAGTCACTCAAAAAACAGTAGCTGTTGCTACACTGTATCATAATTAGAAAGGCTGGCCAAGTGATGACAGTAAAAGAAGACAGTAAAGTCTGGGTTGATGATATATTGAAGGTAGGGGTGAAGAATGTGAGATTGTCATTATTGTTTGCATAGTTTAGACCCTTCCTGAAAATCCTGTGTTACTATTCTTCAGGGCTGTAGGTTCTGCCTGAGGTTGCCACCATTAACTTAATGGGACATTTTTTGAGACTCAGAAGCCACGTCCCTCCACTACCTGCTGGCAGATGTCTCATCATGTCCATTGCCACTCAAGAAAGGAGGATGAATTGCCATTAGTACATCCACTCAAAAGCACGCAGACCAACTAGTAGCAAAGAGAGACAAGAAGTACAAGAAAAAAATAAAAAAACTAAATGAGAAACATGAACTAATTTCATACTTTTTTGGTCACTTGTTCCTTTCAGTGTTCTTTTGACTGCTGTCTTACTTTCAATCTCAGGTTCCTTGCCATTGATAAACCTTCATAGTCCTGTGTGGAAATTGAGCCTGAACCCTACTTTGCCTTCAGGGCTTATTGGCTTTCTCATATCTACTCTCCTAGCCTGATAACATCCTATCCATTGGAGCTGACAGTCATTTCTGTTTATCCTATTGAATCTGTCTGAATTTTTATTTTTAAGCTATGCACATAAATACAGTTAATTTTACAAAGGTGAACTTGACACACATAAATGAATTATTTCACATGGGTGAAGGTAAGCAGACCATAAGGCCTGAATTGATTCTCCCTGTGAATCATTCATTTCCACATGAAAGGAAACACTTGATTACAAAGGCATGGTGGAGTGCAGTGGCCTTCTGTGCGTCTAGAGTCATCTGGAAGTACTTGGAAAAGACTGATATCAAGGAAGTTTGAAGACAATATGGGAATTAGGAAAGTGGTTGTTGTTGCTGTCAGATATAAGGAAATTGGGGAAAAACGTTGTTCTTGATATCCATAGCAACATTGATATGTAACAATATTCACTAAAATAATCAGGAACTAGGAGAATCACAAAAGATTATAATTGATCTAAGTAGTCCTTTATTTTTGCATTGTTCATCTCTATAGTTCTGTCATTATCTAAAGTTGCAGTTTCCCTTCCAATTGAAGGGAAATACAATGTCTGCTGAGCAGAAGCATGTTAGAATATCTAAAGGAGAAGGTAGGTCTGCTTGTCTTTAACCCGTTAATACATTCAACATAATTATTTCTATCTTTGCTTATCTTCATAGTTTAGTGATTTTTATGACAGAAAGACTGTACTTTATCCTGGTAAAATCTAATACCTAATTTGTTTCATGAAGCTTGAAACAAGACACTTTTGGTAAACCATTTAACTGTTTTTTTGAAATGAATCATCATTTGTCAAGAAAAAGGTGGCAGAGTATCATCTTTCATTTTTTTTTTTTTTTTTTTGAGATGGAGTCTTGCTCTGTTGCCCAGGCTGGAATGCAGTGGTGCGATCTCGGCTCACTGCAGCCTCTGCCTCCCAGGTTCCAGTGATTCTCCTGCCTCAGCCCTCTGGGTAGCTGGGATTACAGGCGCACCCCACCACGCCCGGCTAATTTTTGTATTTTTAGTAAAGACGGAGTTTCACCGTGTGGGCCAGGCTGGTCTCGAACTCCTGACCTCAGGTGATCTGCCTGCCTTGGCCTTCCAAAGTGCTGGGATTACAGGTGTGAGCCACCGTGCCTGGCCCATCTTTCAGTTTTTAAAATTAATGTGATCCATGGTTTTACTACTGTGGAGAGGTTGCTGTAAGCCCCCTTTGTCATTTTTGATAATTGCTTGAATCTTGGGTCTGTTATTCACACAGCAACTGTTGTCAGAATACTTGCTTTCCAAGAACCAGCTGAATTTGCCTCAGGAAAGTGGGGCTTTGTCGTTACCTTTCAGATTCATCAGGCTGTTATTAGGAAGATAGGGTATAGACACAGCCTTTTCAGAACACATCTGATTCCTCCATACAAAAGTAGATGGCTCAGAAGCATGGAGAGTGGTGGTAGGATCATTGGAAGAAGAGTAGAACTGTTATAAAGTGATTGGTGTCATTGACACAATGTCACGAGGCGCCTCTGGGAGCTAGATGGCTTATTGTACATTAAAGTTCCTTCAAGTCACATTGTACACGTTGTAGTCAACATGCTATCCTCTCTCAGTGGTGTCCTGACATTTGAAAGCTAGATTTCTTTTCTTCCTGGGCCAACGTTACTAATAACTGCAGAGCAGAATATGTTCAATGAATTTCTATCTATAAAAGCAAAGTAAAATTCCAAAGTAAAATCCCAAGTGCTGTGCTGTACCACCTCAAAGTGTTAGAATAAAGCATCTGTCAGGTAGGTTTTTTTTTAAGCACTGGAGAAATGCTTTTTAATAGTCTAGGACCAAAAACTTTAAGTCTTTGTGGAAAAGCATTTTGCAGTTAGAGGGCCATGAGGCTATCGCTGGACAGAAGGGTGGAGGAGCAGTGAGGACCGGGGACCGCTTCTGTCCTCTGCTTGCTGTGATCCGTCTTTAGCTGCTCCCCTGAGCCTCCATGGCAGTCAGGAAGAGACCAGAAAAAAAAGAGAATCTAAAAGTCTGGAAACAGAAGATAGGTTTTTAATCAATGTTCATTAACTGCATGCCTTTCCAGGCCCAGCAGCCACGCGCCTGGGAGGGGACAGTGTCCCACAGGCAGTCTCTGCCACCAAAGTAAGTGCCATACAGGTGGCAAAACACAAGAAGATGAATTTAAGAATAAACAGCAGGATGCGGCAAGTGCCAAAGGCAGCATCGGGGGCTGGAGTCACTTTAAGGAAGAAGGAGGAATTGGATTTTCATTCATTTATTCACTCAATTTCTTTAACCAGCATTTTTTTTTAAAGTGTGTGAAGTGTCCAAGGGATGTAAGTTAATAAAAGAAGCTATCTGTAGATAACGTTATGTAATGCCCTACTATGTACCAGGTGCTGTTTCAAGGATTTTACACCATTATCTCAATTAATCTTCATAACGGGAAGAGAAAACAGAAGCACTGAGAGAAGTAAGAAGCCCAGGTTCCAAAGCCAGGGACTGCAGAAGCCGTCCCTGGAAGTCCTCTAAAGTCATTGATGGCCAGGTGCGGTGCTTACGCCTGTAATCCCAGCACTTTGGAAGGCCAATGTGGGAGAATTGCTTGAGGCTAGGAGTTCAAGAACAGCCTGGGTACTATAGCAAGACCCTGTCTCTACAAAAAGTAAACCAGCCAGGTGTGGTGGTACACACCTCTAGTCTCAGCTACTCAGGAGGCTAAGACAGGAGAATCCCTTAAACCCAGGAGGTTGAGGCTGCAGTGAGTCAAGATCATAACACTGCACTCCAGCCTTTGTGACGGAGTGAGACCCTGTCTCAAATAAATAAATAATAGAGTCATCCAAGAGCTCATAGTTGGGGGGAAGATAGAGAAAAACACGTAGTCAATAAAAATTCATCATTCTAAAACCTTTTCTCGTGTCTGTTCACTTGATACCACCTCATGAACATTTTCCCCATGTCATTAGAAACATTTGAAATGAATAAACTTGATGGAAGCAGCCTTTTTTTTCTGGGTGATGCCCATTTTGAGGCAGGCAGAGGCCGGAGAAGTGGATGTCAGAGCTGAGAACGGCAGCCCATGCTCCATAGTGGCTAAAACAGGTGTGTGGGCACATTGGCTGGGGGCGCTGCCAGTCTCAGCAGGCCAGTGTCAAGGCAGAAATGTGGGCAGCAACAGACTTGAGCTCTCCAAGGTGAGCATTTGGGCTTAGTAAAGTCCCCAAGCCAGGTGCCTTGGCCAACAGACAGGAACAGGTGGCTGCGCAGCCAGGGCCTGCCAGTGCTCATCAGAGGCGGGGCAGGGAGGGGCTCTGATGAGGGCTGACAGCTGGGGGGTCTCCTGGGAAGGTGCTTCCAGGAAGGCTGGACTGGCCATCTCCTAAATAAACAGCCAAGGACTCCCCTGGTGGCTGGGTCTCCAGTGCCTTAAAGGAACATATACTCTGAGTGAGAGAGTGATCATATTTTTTTTAAGAGATCAAGAAGAGGCAAAAGAGAATTGTTTAGTAAGAAAGAAAGAAGTGTTAAATTTAAAAGGGTGGCAGGGCATCCTTGTGATCCATGGATCCGCATAATGGGTTATGCAGGACTAAACCTAGAAGACGGCTCAGAGGGGAGACATGGATTTAGAAATTAGTGGTACCAGCATTGTATTATGGGCAAAGGAAAAAGAATATAGAAAGGAAAGCAAAAGACCAATACTCACTTTAAGGAATAGAGAGAGAGATAGATTGAAAATCAGCTGGTAGAGAATTTGGCCATTTTCAATAATCTAGCTTTTGTTTTTTTCCTCTGCCTCCTGGCTCCAAGCAATTCTCCTGCCTCAGCCTCCCTAGTAGCTGGGATTACAGGCGCCTGCCACACCCAGCTAATTTTTGTAATTTAGTAGAGACAGAGTTTCACCATGTTGCTCAGCCTGGTCTCAAAACTCTTGACCTCAAGTGATCCACCTGGCTTGGCCTCCTAAAGTGCTAGGATTACAGGCATGAGCCATCGCGTCCATCCTTAAATCTAACTTACGTTACAAAAATTGGCAATAAATCTTCTTGTGTAGGAAATTTACTTTGTGGACTTACTGTCTTTAGTAAAGTAACAAAGGAACTCTTTTAGAGAAAAAGAGTTAAGATAAAAAGAGGAATACATCCTTAATAAGAAAAGCTACTCCTTGAATGTAGCTATTGACACCTGGTACTTTGCCAGTCAGATTCATATGGAAAGGCATACTTCATTTAACAAATAACGATATTTTTGCAAATGTTAAAATTTCCCCGGAATATACTATAAAGTGAAGAAAGACTTTGATATGCTGCAAGATGACCTCATTGTTGGGAAGGGGAATGGGGAAAAGAATGTGGGGTCATGGCCTCCGTGCTTATGGGCCTTGATCCCCGCACATAGAAATGTGGTAACTGCCTAATCCTCTAAGTTATTCTGAAAAAATTCCTGCTTTTGTTTTTCAGCTCACTGTTGAGTCTGAGAAGGCAGTTTTGATCATCCAAACAAAAAGCTTAAGATATTTAGTGATGATTTGTATAAATTATGGAAACATACTGAAGCAGTTAAAATAATTTGGTCTCAATACCAATTTTTTTTCGAGACAGAGCCTGGCTCTGTCACCCAGGCTGGAGTGTAGTGGTACTATCTTGGCACGGTGGTACTATCTCGGCTCACTGCGACCTCTGCTTCCTGGGCTCAAGCAGTCCTCCCACCTCAGCCTCCCAAGTAGCTGTTACTATAGGCACACGCCACCGTGCCTGGCTAATTTTTGTATTTTTGTATTTTTTTTTTTTTTTGGAGAGAGAGTTTTACTGTTGTCGCCCAGGCTGGAGTGCAGTAGCGCGGTCTCAGCTCACTGCAACCTCTGCCTCCCAGATTCAAGCGATTTTTCTGCCTGCCTCAGCTTCCCAAGTCAATAGGAGTATAGGTCCCCACCACCATGCCTGGCTAATTTTTTGTATTTTTAATAGAGATGGGGTTTCACCATGTTGGCCAGGCTGGTCTCGAACTCCTGACCTCAGGTGATCCATCTGCCTTGGCCTCCCAATGTGCTGGGATTACAGGCGTGAGCCACCACATCCAGCCTTTAATTTTTATATTTTTTGTAGAGATGAGGTTTTGCCATGTTGCCTAGGCTGGTCTCAAACTTCTGAGCTCAAACTATCCACCTGCCTTGGCCTCCCAAAGTGCTGGGATAACAGGCATGGGCCACCACGTCCAGCCCAAATATTTTCCAATAGAGTACAGAAGTTAATTCTTAGGGCCAGGTGTGGTGGCTCATGCCTGTAATCTCAGCACTTTGGAAGGCCAAGGCGGGCGGATCATGAGGTCAGGAGTTCGAGACCAGTCTGGCCAACATAGTGAAACCCCGTCTCTACTAAAAATACAAAAATTAGCCGACTGTGGTGGTGCGTGCCTGTAGTCCCAGCTACTGGGGAGGCTGAGGCAGGAGAATCACTTGAACTCGGGAGGTGGGGAGGTTGCAGTGAGCTGAGATCATGCCACTGTACACCAACCTGGGCGACAACGGGAGACTCCGTTTACAAAAAAAAAAAAAAAAAGGGAGTTACTTTTTAGTTCCTTTTGGGTTTATGGAGTTATAGGGAGAAGAATCAAGCAGTTTCATCATTTTGAACTAAATTAATTTTTCTCCTGGGGCTTTTCTTTTTTCTTTTCTGTGTTTTTTTTTTTTTTTTTTTTTTGAGACGGAGTCTCGCTCTGTTGCCCAGGCTAGAGTGCAGTGGCGCGATCTCGGCTCACTGCAAGCTCCGCCTCCCGAGTTCACGCCATTCTCCTGCCTCAGCCTCCCGAGTAGCTGGGACTACAGGCGCCCGCCACCACGCCCGGCTAATTTTTTGTATTTTTAGTAGAGACGGGGTTTCAACGTGTTAGCCAGGATGCTCTCGATCTCCTGACCTCATGATCTGCCTGCCTTGGCCTCCCAAAGTGCTGGGATTACAAGCGTGAACCACCGCGCCCGGCCTCCTAGGGCTTTTCTTTCAATGAAATGAAAAGCAAATTATTCAGCGGGTCTACAGAAAGGTATTAATATATTATTCATATCACTCTACTCTCAGGTCTTGGAGAATTGGACAGATAGACGTACCTTACGTAACCTTTTGGGCAAATGTTAACTAAAAAGTCCATAAGGCAGAGCTGGCGTTTGGCTTGGAATTTACTGGTCAGGCAATGAGCTCATGTCAGACAGAGGGCTTTCTATAGGAAATGAGAACAAACAAGGATACCAGGCTAGTGTTTTCAAGATAATTGGGGTATCTTGGTCAGTCTTGTCTGCTTATGAGAGTAGAAGGCTCACCTCTTTGGTCATGCTTACTGATGGTGATACTTGTTTGATTGGTATCTGATTTATCATCTGTTGAATTACATTCTTTACCAGCTGGTGTTCAGTGCTCTTCCAAGCCATGAATTGCCTAATTCCTACATGAATCATTCTGCATAGGGAGTAGTGACAGCTTTCAGTGTCTAACAGCTTATGGCCAGCGGCTGCTCACAGTCACCCAGCAGTGGTAGGAAATGGGAAACGTGCTGGTTAATCCAGGCTATCATTAAAAATAGTTGGCTTTTTTTGTTGTTGTTGTTTTTTAAAGGAAAGTTCGTGAATGTATAGATTTTTTTCATTTAGCAGAGGTGTATTGAGTCTCCTATTAGATCCTATTCACACCTACATACTGTGGTAACTAGTACTGAGGGGTGGGGAAGGCTACAGAAATGAACTAAGATGCCTTGTTCTCAAGGGACAGAGAGATAAGATAGATATGTAGAGTCCTCAGAAGTTATTAATTTAATGTGCTAAGTACACAGAGGGAGTAATTACATCTATTTAGGGAGATAAGGGGGCATCTGATTAGAGGAGGTGGCTTTGACATGGATATTAAATGGTAAGTAAGAGTCCCTTGTTAGAGTTGGAACAGAAAGAAGGAGAGGGCCATTTCAACAAAGCAAATGGCATGAGCGAAAGTGTGGAGATGGGATTTTTTTTTGTTTGTTTGTTTTTGGTGACTCACCATAAAGATCCAGAAGCATGGGGAACGTGTACAGAATAGTAGAATTACAGAGACCAGATTGTGGATGGCTTTGGCTGACAAGCTAAGTGACTGACACTTTTTTTTTTTTTTCTTTTGAGACAGAGTCTTGCTCTGTCGCCAGGCTGGACTGCAGTGGCGCTTGATCTCAGCTCACTGCAACCTCCACCTCCTGGATTCAAGTAATTCTCCTGCCTCAGGCTCCCGAGTAGCTGGAACTACAGGCATGGGCCACCACGCCCAGCTAATTGTTTTATTTATTTATTTATTTTTTTTGTATTTTAGTAGAGACAGGGTTTCACCATTTCTGGCCAGAATGGTCTCAATCTCCTGACCTCATGATCCGCCCACCTCCGCCTCCCAAAGTGCTGGGATTACAGGCGTGAGCCACCATGCTCAGCTGGGACTTACACTTTTATTGGAGCAAACGAGTAATATGAGCAAAGTTTGTGGGGAAAGTCTAATTTTGTGTATTTATAGTTGACATGGGGATTGGAGAAAAAAAAATTGGAGATGTGGAGACTTATCTGCAGGGACCTGGTGATGGGATCTTTAGAACAAAGGTGGTAGGAAAGGTCTGGAAAGATAAAAAGGGAGAGAGGTTGTGGAAGAAGTAGTGATGAGACTTAGTGTCTTGTAAATGTGTATGTCACAGAATGTATTAAGGAAGAAAGAGAAGACAAGGACAAGTTCGCTAGAAATGTGCCTCAAAGATCTGCTGAAAGTAGGCAAGTTGAGTGTAGGAACTGATGGAAGGTACGATTTTGGGTTGATTCGCTAGGGAAGCAGTTGATTGGAAATTCATGGCAAATAGTTATTAATGATGGGCTGGTACTCAGGAAAGGGTGCTGGGTCAGAGGAAGCAGAATTAAGGGTGATGAGATTGGGGTGTACGCTCAAAGATCTATTTGATGGCAGGAGTTGGAATGAGGAGAGTCAGGAGTTCAGAAGAAGAGTTAGGCGGTGAGAAGCAATGCTGTGGACATCACAGAGGAAACAGCTACATAACCTGTTAGCACCTTATATCTGAAGAGTGAAGACATAAAGGTTAACGAGACTCCTGGGCAGTAGTGGTGCCATAATGAGGGCAGAGAAGTCGTGGCAGAATCAGGTGTGGGATCTGAGGGATGTGTGCTACCGTTGGGTAGATTGAGGGGTAGGGAATGTGAAAGTGATGATTTTTGTTTCCACTTTTAATAAGATACCTGCAGGAGAGTTAAAATGTTCTGTCTAACAGACTGTTAGAGATTTGCAAGAGAGTGGGGCTACAGCTGTAGACTTAGGACAGTTGAAGAGAATGAGATCCATGAGGAACTGACTGATTAAATAAAAGCAGAAAAGAGGAGAAAAGAAATCTGGAATTAGAGAGCTACAGGTAAAAGAGCAACTATGAAGGATTTGTTGGACTTCATTGAAGGATTAGTTATATGTGTAGGAGAATGAAGAAAATATTGCGCTATATCATAGAAGCTCTGGAAAGGGGGTTTCAAAAAGAAGGAAGTAGTAACAGTGTCAAATAAGGCAGACAGGAAAAGGAAAGTAAGACCGGTGAAAAGGTTATTGGAATTAGTTTTTGGGTGGTGAGGGCTAATGTTTGATTGGGGTAGATGGAAGAATGGAGGGGCCCACCATTATGTAACACTCATTTTGATTGGCTAGGCTAACCTATGGGTGTTCACTCAACTATAATTCTTTTTCCTCTGTGGTTTAGTTTTTCTTTCATCTTTGTCTGTTAAGTCTCTAAGCTTTGTGCATCTGTGGTCTTTATTCCTTTCATATATCCAACTTCATTATGTTCTAGGTATAATAGTACCCTAGAGACCTCTGTCTTTTAAAACTTGATTCTCTATCTATGAATCAGACCTGAATTAAAATCCAAGTAATTCCTCTGAGACTTCAGTCTCTAAGTCTAAATCTGGGAGCAGTTGCTTTTGATGCCTTCTCCTACCTCAACAATACCTTCTTGGCCTGACTTTTTGTTTCAATGTAATTTAAGACTAAAACCTGGCTCCGTTATTTATGTTTCATTTTTGAGGGTGCATGAAGTGAAATTTGGGGAGATTCTCTGATAAGTAATCACAGATCGATGGCCTACAGGGATCTCTGGCAGCTGGAAGGGCAAAATTCTTGTCTTATGGAAATAAGTTTTGTTTCTGAAGTTCCTTTGTCATTTGGTTGAGCGAACACATTTGTTCCTCAGCTCACAGCAAGAGCCATAAACAGTGGACAGCTTCTTGCAAAGGCCTAGGACTTATGTAACATGTAACTACAGTAGAACCCAATTGCCATTGTCATCTTATTCTAGAGGACAGATTCAGGATATAAGGAATACCCCCACCATCTTTCTGCTCCTCAGTAATTCTAGGTTTCCTTTTCTCTCCAACCGCATTCATTTATTTTTTTAACTTTTGTGCGTACTTAGTAGGTATATGTATTTGTGGGTTACATGAAATGTTTTGACACAGGCATGGAATATATAATAATTTTATTGTGGAAAATGATGTATCTATCCCGTCAAGCATTTATCCTTTGTGTTACAAACAATCCAGTTATACCGTTTTAGTTATTTTAAAATGTGCAATTAAATTATTGACTATAGTCACCCTGTTGTGCTACCAAATACTAGGTCTTATCATTCTTTATTTTTTTTTGGAACTCATTAACCATCCCCACCTCTCCCACAAACCCTGCCACTACCCTTCACAGCTTCTGGTAACCATTCTTCTACTCTCTATCTCCATGAGTTCAATTGTTTTGATTTTTCGATCCCACAAATAAATGAGAACATGTGATGTTTGTCTTTCTGTGCCTGGCTTATTTCACTTAACATAATGGCTTCCAGTTCCATCCATGTTATTGCAAATGACAGGATCTCATTCTTTTTATGGCTGAATACTTCATTGTGTATATGTTCCACATTTTCTTTATCCATTCATCTGTTGATGGACTCTTAGATTGCTTTCAAATCTTGGATATTGTGAATAGTGCTGCAACAAACACCTCCAAGTGTGTTTATAGTTGTAGGCGAAGACAGACATTCTTCTGCACACGTGGTAGTGAATGTGCTCATAGAGGATTGAGCTCCAGTGGGAGAGAGTTCACTGGAGGGACACCGTACACTGAACTGGGCCTTTAGCAGGGGTTAGGGAGGCCCTTGGAGAGGACTATACAAACGGTGTTCAGAATTCACCAATGGAGCAGGCGTAGATAGCATCACGTCCAAGGGTGAGGATGCAAGGAGGAAATGGAGCCCTTTCAGGAGTCCTAATCCTTTTTTGAAGTCTTTTGCCCTTTGTATTAATTTAATATAATTAATATAATTTAATTTTTATAACAGCCTGAGGGGTAGGTAGAACCTATTGCCATTTTACAGATAAACTAACTGGGGTTCAGCAAATGAAGAAAATTGCGGTTACTTACGCTGCAAACAAGCTGATAGAGCTGGATTTGAACTGATCTATTGGATTCAGAATCTCTTCGCAGATACCACATTGCCCTTCATATAGACAGGAGTAAAACCTGCTTATATGTAGACAGCTTTTTTATGGTTTTGTATCTGAAAATCCAGGACCATGTATTGTCCATCTCTGATTTCTCATCTTCTCTTCCTCATTCATTTCTTGTCTGTGATTTGTTCTTTGGGTTGACATGATACTCCCCATCCTAGAGACAGACAGGGTCTTGTTTGCATCCAAAACAGGAAGAGTTTCCACATCTCTGGGAGAGCTGGTGTGTCTCTCTGCTGCATTCCTTCTATCTTGGGGGCAGGCGGAGCACAAGTGTGGCTGTTAGGCACAACAGAACAGCTGTAGTCACCCGCCAGTTGACACCAGGGCACATGGTGTCATGGTCGCATTACTGGAGTGTGTCTGGCTCAAGCTGCTGCATGATTGGCATTTATTGGGGCCATCATCAGGGGAAGAATTCTATGTACTTTGTAAGAACCATTTCGTAACACCTCATTTTCCATTTGCCACATGTTCTTATAAAAATATCATGAATCCAGGCTTTTTGCATGAAGCCAAACTGCAGCTTGCCTGATTCATGTACTACTCCTGAGGGATTCTGGTTTTGACTTGGCCTCATGGGCTTCCATTTTCTGTGAGATCTTTGAACAAAGTTATATTTTCACCCTAATTTCAGTGTGGCTAAATTAAATATGATGCATATTTTGTTCAACTAATATGCTAAGTATAGAAAAAAGGACCACAGGGGTAATAAATCATTAATAAATTTGGTGGTGACAGCTGGTAGATTGTTACCTTGAGAAAAATAAGAGACTCATTGACAACAACTAAGAATAGCAAATGTAAATTCTCTTTGCTTAGATAATCTTTTTATGAAGCTTCTTCTTTTTTTTAATTTAAAATGATGAAACGAAACTAACAAGTATTTCCTTTTTTGTTATTTTGCAGAAAAAACCACTGTCTGCAATAATAAAGGAAGTCTGTGATGGGTAAGTGTTACTCAGGATTTATCTAAGGCATTCTAGTTGATAAATTGACAAGCAAATAATATATTTCCAGTAGGATAGTAAAATATTATTCATAAGTCACCCACTGACTTGCTCAAAGTCAATAAGAATTACTGTGTAGGAATATCACACCCTTTTCCAACAGAATTCACCATTAGTCCTCAAAGAGCAGAAAGTGTGAAATGGCTGTTATGTGCACAGTGGGGTTGGCTTTATTTATTTTAGGAAGTTGTGTTCCTTTTGTCCTACCTAGCAGGGAGTACTCTAAAGGTTTTTGAGGACACAGTATACACTTGATCTGGTATAAACTGAGAGGACCACTCAGGTCCCCATAGAGGATGAAAGAATTGAACAGACAAGGCAGTGGGTAATTGTGCTGCTCCGTGGGATCTCACACTGATATGACTTTCCTACTTCTTTGTGGCTGCTCTAAAGAATACAAAGGAAATGTATATATGGTAGCTGCATGACTTTGTTTTTTTTTAAACCAGAACTGTGAAAATAGTTGTGTTAACTGAAATTTATATAAGGTCTAGAGTACTTAATTGGAGTGTTTCAATCTGCATCAACTATACTGATAGGGGATTGTAGAATACAGAGACAATTAAAATGTGCCAACTTTCAAAAACTTAAATTGCATTTATTTTCTTTGTTTTTCTTTCTTTGCTTCAATCCCTTAAAATAAGTAGAATTGTAAAGATTTGTATTTAAATCTCCCACACCAAGCCTTGAGGATGAACTGCTTAAAGGTGAGCAGTAGGCCTAGCATCAGGTCTAGACAGTCTACACATGAAATGATTGGTCTCAGGGTAATGGAAGGTAGGCTAAAGTCATTTTGCTTTAGGAACTGCATTGTGGTATATGTTGGGATTGGTCCAATTCCAATCACAGGGTGCTTAGTTCATCCAACACTAAAAAATTGTAAAAATGAAAATGGCCACTTTCATTTTTCTAATCAGTATACGCTTGTATTTTTAAGGTGGTCTCTTGCCAACCATGAATATTTTGCACTCCAGCATGCCGATAGTTCAAACTTCTATATCACAGAAAAGGTAGGTCAACTACATTATTTAATATGGGATACATATTGAAGGAAAGTAAATCATGATGATGTTTTCTTTGTTCGGGCCTAGACATGCAGGTCTAAATTTTAGGTCTCTACTATCCACGAAAATAGAGTCTGTAAAGCAAACAACTGCTACTTTAGAATCCACAAGATGATATTTGCCAGCTCAAGAGTAAAGACCAAATATGTTTCGTGTCTTGTTTAGCAACTGCAGTTGCCTTCTAACAGTGAATATGTCTCTCTTACTGCTTGGTTAAAGAATTTATTTGATACTTAATGACTTAGTTGGGTTTTCCTTTCTCAGATTTTGTTTTTTTCAAAGTAGCCTCTAACCCTTGCTTAAAGTACGTGAAATAATGACAAGAAACCTTTTCAAATGTGGAATTATGTATGTAGGCACTAAGAGTGTTCTATGAATCTTGGGAACCCAGCTCTCTCCTTGGGTGATTTTAAATCTTTTTTAGCAAGATTAAAGGAGAAGGAGGGATTTGTGAAGACAGCAATGGCCCTGGGAGCAAGTAAAATTAATATGTACAAGATCCCTGATAGAGGAAGGGCACACTGGAATTTATTGAGTGCATACTGCATGCCAGGAACTGAGCCATGCACATTACATCTGTTTAGGATTTCTTCCTTAAGACTAACCTGGGCTATAAAAATACTGGCTTTGGTTAACAGGTACGACACTGAGTCATTGAGGACAAATGGTTAGACTAATGCTTCATACTTGATTCTACAAGAAGCAAGTTTAGACTTTTGTGCTTCTTTGATTTTTGTCTTTTGGAATTTCCACAATAGTTTCGCATCCGACACAACTTTAGGTTGAGCTCACTGAAATGCATATGAGCCAGTTTTGTCTTCTAAACTGATAATCTTGGGGGCCAGCAGGGAGGGAAGGAACAGCCCTGGTAACAGCTGTCATTATAACAAGGTGGCCAGTGCTGAAACAGAAGTGAGTACAAAGTACTCTTGAAGGAGGGAGAATCGGGTGGCCTCAGGCTTCAGTGTCTTGCAGGCTTTGTCCCAGTCAGTAGTCCCTAGAGTGACTGTAATTTTATCCATGAATCAGGTGGTGGTAGAAGGTGGAGGCAGTAACAAGGGTTCTACTTCCCCTTAGGACTCCCTTGCTCTACCCCAAAGAAGGAGGGAGGGCATTCAGTTCAGCAGGAGAGAGGCCTCAAAGGCCTGAATGCTTCTCAGAAATTGCTTCGTTCTTCCCAGATGAACACTGGGAATTTTGTAACTGATGCTGTTTTCTTCTTCACGTCAAATGTTTCTTTGTAACATTGATTGTTACAAAGCTGGGAACTGGGCCAGGTGCGGTGGCTCACGTCTGTAATTCCAGCACTTTGGGAGGCCAAGGGCGGCAGATCACTTGAGGTCAGGAGTTCGAGATCAGCCTGGCCAACATGGTGAAACCCCGTCTCTACTAAAAATACATAAATTAGCTGGGTATGGTGATGGGCGCCTGTAATCCAAGCTGTTCGGGAAGCTGAGGTGGGAGGATCACTTGGACCTGGGAGGCGGAGGTTGCAGTGAGCAGAGATCGTGCCACTGCACTCCAGCCTGAGCGACAGAGCGAGACTCCATCTCGAGAGAAAAAGAAAAAACAAAGCTGGGAGTTAACAAGTGAACTTGATTTCCTGGCATGCCTTGTATATTAAGTTTACCTTTGATTCCTTTGACTTAAACGTTTAGTTTCCTGTCTCTATTTTCCCTTTGCTTCAGTTTCTTAATGTTTTTCATTTATTTTATACTGCATCTATATAATTTGCATGCTATTCTTTGTGAGATTAAAGAGGTTATATAGAAATCCAAGTTAAATGATAGCAGTTAAAGGTATTGCCATCATTTCATTCATACCAGTTAGTGAGTAGTGAAATCAATTCAGTTAGTTGTCAGAGCATTAAACACTGGAACATAGTAGAGTAGATTAGGTCAGAGTATATCTCCTGTGTTGCTTGTGAAATATTTGTTCCACCTACCCACATGTATAATACATGTAGATTACACTGGTGATTTACCCTGGGTTGTGGTAAAAAAGCTGTTGAGTCGTGAATAGTTCTGGCTGTGAATAATCTGTGCTAGTAGATGGCCCCTGGTGGTGTCCTGTCTTCTGTCACCATTGTCTGGAGACCTCAGTGTAGTGAAGATTACTAAAGATGGGGTTCTCAGACTTCATAGAGAACATAAGCATGGTACAGTGAACCCTTAAAAAAATATGTAGGGCTTTAGATCCCAACCCCAGAGACTCAGAGTGAGTGGGACTTGGATATAGCCTAGGAGTTTTCATTTTTAAGGCACCCTCTGGGCAGTCTCATGCTGGATACCTGGAACCACTGGGAGAAACAGCCCTGGGGCCTATTTTCTAAAGAGTTGGAACCCATGTGTACAGGACATTATGCCTTCTGTCCAGAAGTTGTGCACAAAGTTCAATTTAGGAATGTGGGCTGGGCACGTGGTTCACATCTGTAATCCCAGCACTTTGGGAGGCCAAGGCGGGTGGGTCACCTGAGGTCAGGAGTTCGAGACCAGCCTGGCCAACATGGCAAAACCACGTCTCTACTAAAAATACAAAAATTAGTTGGGTGTGGTGGCACATGCCTGTAGTCCCACTCAGGAGGCTGAGGCAGGAGTATCACTTGAACCTGGGATGTGGAGGTTGCAGTGAGCCAAGACTGTACCACTGCACTCCAGCCTAAGTGACAGAGCAAGCCTCCATCTCAAAAACAAAAACAACAACAAAAAACAAAGTATGTAGGAATGTGTTTGTGTGCTGCCATTTCTTGGCATAATTTGAAAATTATTAACATCATATAATGGTTATGCTTTTTTCCTGATTAAAATTCATATATACTCAGAACATTCAAACTATTGAGAATGGAGGAAATTATTATTTTATGGTGTATCTTAGTTATTTTCTGGGAATCTTGTTTTGCCTGAGGACATTCTTGAAGTTGAGTTTATAAAGGACTGGCCACAAAGTCTGTCATGGAGTTTTTCATCTTCAGTGGGCTGTAGCAGAGATTATTCTTTTATGAAGAGTTTAAGGAGTGAGAAGACTCATCTTCCCTATCGTAGTTCTTTGTTTGTAAATACGGTGTCATTGCTCTTCCTCATGCAGCTGTCACTGGGCACAGCTGTGGGTGTGCATGTGTCACGGAGCTCAGCACGCACAGAGCAGGAGATGACGGTGACTCCTGGCTCCACAGGGTCGATCCTGGGCTGCCTTCAGTTTGCTGCTTTGTCCATCTAGTTCCTTGCAAGTATTCCTAAAAATACAGACATTTTTTCCCATTTTAAAAATAATGTACTTAGCATCATCTTGGTTACTTACAGCCCAGTGATTTGTTAGGTTATATTTTCATCACCATGGTAACCAGTGACTCATTTTTGAAACTTGTGCATGCTGTTAGTTACTGATTTTCCCTTATATATGAGACTGTCTCTGTCTTTTCGCTGAAGATGAATATCACCTTCAGAAAATTTTTTTCAGAAAAAAAAAAAATTCTCTAGCTGGCCAAACAATCCAATAGAAATAGTGGTTGATGGATGCTTGTGATTCTCTTCTAAGATCCTCCGGAAGGCACTTTCCCTGCTTTTCTAATGTTCTCCAAGCCCATTTTTTGAAATAGTCTTCCTTTGCTTATTAGGCCATTAACTGAGGTTTTTTTTTGGTGCAGTGGGGGAAAATGTCATGTTAAGTAGCATTCAGCAGAAGCATTGCTTGGAAATGCCTCAGAGAAAGTTAAGATTCAATGATTCACAAGTTCAAATTCTGCTCTAGAAACTTAACTATTTCAGGGTGATGTCCAGGAGAGAGAGAGAGGGAGAGAATAAAAAATGATAAGTGAAGGGTATGTTTAGGTGGAATTTGTCTTTTGAATAAGAATTCTACTGAGACAGCACTAAGCATTGTTAGTTTATGACCCTCATCACAGTCCAATGATGCAGGTATTGGTGTCTTCATTTTACGAGAAAAGTGAGACTGAGAGAGGTTACTCAACAACTTGTGGGGGTTGTACAGGTCAGAAGTGGACAAGCTGAGACTTGGACCCAGGTGGGTCTGAACCCAGAGCTCTCTATGCCATCTCTGAGAAACCCTCTGTACCATTGCCTCAGCCCCAATTTGTTTATGATGCCCTTTCTTTGGGCATCACTGTCATCAAGCCAGTGATCCTAATGGTAACTGCCTCAAAAACAATAAATACAGGAAGTTACAGACTATGAACACTGGTTACCAGCTTCAGTCTGTGGCTTCCTTATTCCTTCTGAGGGTAACTTGGAGGAAGTTGTAACAGGTAACCTTCCACTTACTAGAGCTTCACAAAGTGCATTTATATTTGCCTTTGGTATGGATCGTATAACTGCCTAAGGCAGTATGATTGCACGAATACCATTCTTTTTAGACAAACAGGAAAATTGCCTTGTCATCCCTAATCCTAAGCATGTATGGAGATGAGTCCCCAGAAAACACAGGGCACAGTAGAGGAAAGCCATGAGGAGGTTAGGTTGTGTGCTTGTGGATAATTGAGATTTTATTATGATTGCAGGATGATACTCACTTCCTCCATACTGAGACCTACTCTAGCATGTATGAAGTATAGTGATGTATCGCTAATGTCTTATTTAGATAAATTCCATATCTTGTAATCACAGAAATACGCTAAGCCTCATTCAGGCCCTCTCTGCAAAGCTGGCCCCAGGCACCTTTGGTAAGGAAGTAGGGTTGTTTGGGGGGCACCCCCTTTTTTGTCTTTCCCACTTCCTAAGTGCCCTGGGTTCTCAGACAGCCCCTGAACCTCCCAGAATCCCTGGCAGCCAGAATTGTGCACTCCCTTGGATTTGTACATTTCATTCTGGTCAGGAGATGATTCCACTATTTTGCAGAATTCAGTTCAACTATCATGCTTTGGTAGATCCAGCTGTAAGTAAGCAGGGTAATCCCAGTCTCCAGAAAGGATTGAAGCTTAGAGGTAAGCAAGGATGAAGGCCTGGGAGGGAATCAAAGGAGATGGACAGAGAGAAGCCTGCAGTCCTATTTTCCAGCTCTGGTTTCTGTGCTTCCTGTCTTTGCATCCTTGTGAGAGACCTGCTGTGACTTTTCAGTCCCCGCCCCTTTGCTTAAATCACTTTATGCTTGTCTTTGTTACCCTCAATCAAAGAGCTTTCTCTAGGGCAGGCATTTTAATGTGAGCAAACTCACGCCCAGGAAAGCTGTAAATTTCCTAAACCAGCCAAATACCCTATACAACATTCCCTTTCGTGCTGCCTTTGGTGAAGGACTCTGGATTTGATCAACTGAAGTCACTGTGGCTGCCTCAGCAAGACACACCAGCAGCCCTGGGCTAGCTCCTGTTGGGCCAGTCCACAGGCAATAATGGGTGGAGAAAAATGTTCCTGCCTGATATGGTTTGGCTGTGTCCCCACCCAAATCTCATCTTGAATTGTAGCTCTCATAATTCCCACGTGTTGTGGTTGGGACCTGGTGGGAGATAATTGAATCAAGGGGGAGGTTTCCTCCGTACTGTTCTCGTGGTAGTGAATAAGTCTCTTGAGAGCTGATGGTTCTATAAGGGGAAACCCCTTTCTCTTGATTTTCATTCCCTCTCTTGTCTGCTGCCATGTAAGATGTGCCTTTCGCCTTCCACCATGATTGTGAGGCCTCCCCAGCCACATGGAACTGTGAGTCCATTAAACCTCTTTTTCTTTATAAATTACCCAGTCTCAGGTATGTCTTTATTAGCAGCATGAGAACGGACTAATACACTGCTTTTCCCTTTGGCCTGTCCCTTTATCTCTTCAGGGTTTCCTGACTCCAAGCATTTCTCCTGTGCTGCCTCTTCTTCCTGTTCTGAGACCCTGCTGCCTAACATGCCTAACATGCCTAACATGGGTCTCCTCTGTTAAACCCATGTCTTGCTACCCAATTATTTCCTTTTTGCCTGATGACCAAACCTGATTTCTGCTATGGATGTTGCGTGGATGCCCAAAGGCTGCTTGTATTCCTGTCCCCAGCCTTTGGCAAGCACTGGACTCTCCTAGACAGGCTGCTTATCTGGGCTCTGCCACTCATCATCTGGGCAGCCAGAGAGAAATGGACATGCTGGGAGGAAAAAAGCCACATGTGAACACATCCAATAGAGGAGACTAGAAGTGACTCCCCAGTGTGTGCCAGGTACTGTGCTAAACCCTGGGGATATCTCTAACCTTCCTGATAATCACAGACAAAATAAATCTTTACCTGAAATTAACCAGTTACAGTGACAATGAGTGCCACAAAGGAGAAATGTGAGTGTCTGGGCCTAATTAAGCCTTGAGGAAGTGACATTTAGGCAGAGATCTAGAAAGAAAGGAGGGAGGATAGATGGGAACCTCTTAAAGTGGGCTAGATTGATGGTGTGCAGAGAAATAGTGATAAAGCCAGCGTAGGACCATCCAGATGTGGCTGGAAAGTTTTGCATATGCCCTGATTGTCAAGGCTTTTTAAGGTCATCTTAAAGATCTTGAACTTCATCCTAAGATCATAGGGAAGCCTTGAGATGGTTTTAAGCTGGACTTGATGACAAACGATTGGATTGCAGACTTCCTTGTGATTACTCTGAATACACTCTGTTGGAAGAATTGTCAGCCTATGGCAGAAACAGTGAGAAAACTGTTGAATGGAGAGGAAAAGAATGCATGGGTGTTTTATTTTTTAATTAATTAATTATTTATTTATTTGAGACAGAGTCTTGCTCTGTCGGGCAGGCTGGAGTGCAGTGGCGCAATCTTGGCTCACTGCAACCTCCATCTCCCAGGCTCAAGCAATTCTCCTGCCTCATCCTGCCAAGTAGCTGGGATTACAGGCATGTGCCACCATGCGCGGCTAATTTTTGTATTTTTAGTAGAGATGGGGTTTCACCATGTTGGCCAGGCTGGTCTTTTAATTCCTGACCTCAGGTAATCTGCCCGCCTCGGCCTCCCACAGTGCTGGGATTACAGACGTGAGCCACCACACCCAGCTGCATGGTTGTTTTAAAATTCGCATAGAGATTGACAACAAATGCTGGGTAGCACTTTGAGTCCAAGGAAAACATAGAACGAGATGATAGTCTTAAATGTCTGCCTTCGAAGAGCTTACTATCTATTATCTCCTTGACAGCTTGGCTGAGGGTAGTAATGATACACTGCAGTTGAATAAAACAGCTCATTTTATTTATTTCCAAAGTGATATCTTCTTGATAAATTTGCCTGTTTACACAGCCTGATAAAATGTTAATATTCGGTTACCTGATGTATTCATTCCTGTCCTTTCTCATGCTGCTATAAGGACATACCTGAGACTGGGTAATTTATAAAGGAAAGAGGTTTAATTGACTCACAGTTCCGCAGGGCTGGGTAGGCCTCAGGAAACTGACAATCACGGTGGAAGGGAAAGCAAACATGTCCTTCTTCACATGGAGGCAGCAAGGAGAAGTGCAGAGTGAAGTGGGGAGAGCCCCTTATAAAGCCCCTTATAAAGCCATCAGGTCTGTGAGAACAGAATGGAGGTAACCACCCCCATGATTCAGTTACCTCCCATCGGCACGTGGGAATTATGGGAACTACAGTTCAAGATGAGATTTGGGTGGAGACACAGCCAAAACATGTCACCTGACTAATTTATATCAAATTTTAACTTCCCCTTTGGACATACCTAATTTTAGGATTCAGACACTCCTAGCATAGGACTTTAAGAAGGAGAAATGGATTTGCCCAGATTTGACAGTTAATGTGCTGCAATGAGAAAGATAATTAAGGTACAGTCCTTGTCTCCATAGAGTTTTCAATCTAGAGGAAGATTGGGTTGATAACAATTCCAGTCATTGGGGTAATTAGAAGGGGTCCTGTGTGAAGAGATTATTAGGAATATGATTTTTGAGTCACTAGGTTTATAATTTGACCATATGATTCTGTGTACCTTAAAAAACCTTTTGACTAGGATATGAACTCTTCTTTTTTTTTAACATCATAATTGAGGTAAGATTTATACACCCTAGAATTTGCCCATGTAAAGTGTACAATGCAATGGTTTTTATTATATTCATAGAGTTCTGCAGTGCTTTATTTTTTTGATAGCAAAGCTGTGATATTTCCACCTCCAGTATTTTCATCTTCCAAAGCTCTTAGCCTTAAATGTAGATTTTGGCTCCAAATTTAGAGATTTGGATTCTGTAGTTCAAGGCTAAGGTTCAGGCATCTTTAACAAGTACAGCTGGTCCTAGTACCAAGCTCAAACACTTTCCAGTGGAACAGTGAGCAGCCTTTGGATCTTTCCACTATTCCTGCATGAGATGAAAAACCATATTTTGAATTCATACTGGCTTGTAGGCATGGACTCCCCATGCACTCCCTGAGCTGAGGGTGTCATTCTGATTGGTTTCCACTGTTGCCAACAGAGAATGAAGTCCAACCTCCTTTCTTAAGCCAGTGTTCAAGGTGCATCACAAGTCAACATTTTCAATTTTATTCTTTCTCTTATTCCTTCAATTTTAGCCAAACTGCTGTAGTGTTCTCTAAATATATGTTGATTTGTCTCCTTGGTGTAGCTTTACTAACCTGGAATTCAGTTCTCTTTATCTCCCTCCTATTATTTCAGGTACTAGATTAGGTGCTAAGGATAAAGAGATGAAATGACATACTCCTTGCTTCGAAAGCTGAATCTTAGAAACAAACACACACCTAGGAGCAATATCATTTAAATGACTGCCATTTCAGGACAACAGTTCATCCTCTTCTTACCAATCCTAAATTGTTTGAGCTGGAAGAAACCCTGGCTTCTTGCCTAACATAACTGTAGCCCCACTTTTGGAGATTCGTCTCTTAATTCAGTCCTCTTATAAATCTCTACCCCTCCTCTCTGCTGCTACAGGTATTATTGTCTACTAGTTCTTTTTCTCTCAGGTATCTGTTAGCTGATCAGGACCTACATCGCTTTATCGTTGTCTTGAACTGTTGTTTAACTATTTCTGTGCTGATTTATGTTTTCCTCTCAGCAAGGTTCCAAGTACTTTACAATCAAAAACTGTATATTCCAGCTCTGTGTCTCACGTGGTTCTGTGAATATAATATGTAGGTGTTGGAAGATTGTGGGTTTTATGTTACATAGTTTTCTTTGTAAGATAAGAATACAATTAGTTGCTTAATAAATTATGTATGATGTTGGTTAATTCAATTACCAGAAGACGCACATACACATTAAGATTATTCACAGTGGAGAAATTGTAGAGTGAATAAATGAATCTTAATGTTCCTCTTAGAGTCTTAAAATGGTGTTAAAAAGTTTAGTTTGGCTTTCAGTCTGCAACAACTGATTAATTACCTTTTGAAAAGAAATATGCACATACACACACACACACACACACACACTATCTGTACTGTGCTGGATATTGACCAAAAATTCTTAAAAGATACAAGGGAAATAAGGAACAGAGACCGTCTGGTCCCTTATAATATACAAATAACCATCACGATGCAGATCATCAAACAGTAATACAGTTTCAAAGTATTATCACTTTTGTTCTCATTATAGCAAATAACGTCCTCTAAGAACCAAATGGTGTTTGTGAGAGATAATGTACTCAAAATTATGTTACTGCTCAATTTTGAGAAAGTGAGTTTTACTTTATTTCACCCTAGGCTAAGATCCATTAATAATCACATGACTCACCATCTTCAGTTCTTTATTTCAGGCAGTTGGCTCTGTGGGAGCAGCATCACAGAAGAGTAGAGAGAATTGTTGGCTTACATACATACAAAACTTTAGAGCTTCTGTGAAGGAAAACATGGGCACTGACTTAGAAACCTTGCCGATATTTTCTCCCCTACCCCCCACACGCTTTTTCATTAAATAAAGGAAAAACTTTGCACAGTCACACTCCACTGTGGTGACACATTTTCCAATAACCGAGGAACAACTGAATGCAACTATTTGCAGTTAGAATTCTCTGTACGTATGTGAAAACAAGCCACTTAAAACAAAACTTGGAGCAGCAATTTTGGAAAACAGGAAAAACTCTGAAATATGCCATCTAGTTTGCTTGCAACACAGAAATCGTGAACCAAGAGTGTTTTACTTTCTTTTCTTTCTATTTTTTTGGAGACAGAGTCTCGCTCTGTCGCCCAGGCTGAAGCGCAGTGGCGCAATCTCGGCTCACTGCAACCTCCACCTCCCGGGTTCAAGCGATTCTCCTGCCTCAGCTTCCTGAGTAGCTGGGATTACAGGCGCACGCCACCACACCCAGCTAATTTTTGTATTTTTAGTAGAGACAGAGTTTCACCATGTTGGTCAGGCTGGTCTTGAACTCCTGACCTCAGGTTATCCACCTGCCTCAGCCTCCCAAAGTGCTGGGATTACAGGCGTGAGCCGCCGTGCCCAGACGCCTCTGCCCTTTCTCAATCCATCAAGCACAACTTGTGAAAATTGAAGTGCATATGTACACACACACACGCACACACACACACCCTCACACACCCTCCTCAGATTGTCCTGACTTCCCCTAGGAGCTATCCAGCCCTGGCATTGGGCTTCAGCCAGCCATTCCTCTTTCCATCATCGTCACCCCTCTTTTGCCCTGGTGTCTTTGCTCATAGTGACTCAAACTAAATTGGCAGTAGACTTTCTGAAGCTGTCTCTAAAAACATTTTTGGGTGGTTTTAGACTTTTCTAATTAGAGTTTGGGAACTGGATGGGAGCTATCATTTTAAATCATTTGCTATGTTTCCTCTAGAGAGGACTTGGAAGCATATATACTTATTTCAGGATGAAGAAAAAAAAACAGCCTAAGTTGAGTCACCTAAATGAGAGGGAGCTCGGAAGAGCAGGGCAGCGACCGCCACCAGCATTACTCAGATGTCGGTGGGTTTTATGACATGTTATTTAATGTTTACACTGACGGTTGGATAGAGGCTATAACAAGATGATTACACAGGCAGCTAACTTTGTAGCTTAGGCTCCCTAGCTTATGCTTGGTAAGATGCAACTGCCTCTAGAATTGCAGGCAAGGACAAATGCCAGAGGTCATGATCATTCCATGTTCTCCAGTTCAGCTATGAAACTAATGAATAGATTGACTGAAGTACTGAAACATTTAACTGTGTAATGCTCAGATACAGAATGAGTGACACGTGGGTTTCCTCCAAACAGGCACTTCTTTACCAAAAATGACCCTAAAAACACCAGAACACTTTTTCCAAACAAAACTAACTACAGTGAAAAGCAAAAACCATTATTAGTAAAGAAGATTACTTCTAAGAATGGCTCTGTGATTCTTATAATTTGTTTCAAGGCCAGAAACTTAATTGCAGATCTTCTAAGCATACTCCTGTTCATGTTTTTATACTTCTAAAATGAGATTTATTGTTGAACAGCAATCAGATTATGTTGGGCAAAGTTTTGAAATATACACTGTGTATATTTTTGTGTGTTTGTGTGTCATGGGTAAATGAAATATCGATGAAAAAATAGTGACTTTACTACTTGGAATGCCTTTTTGTTGTTTTTAGTCTGTTTTCTATTTTTAAAATATTTGTTAGAACCCATCAGGATGATTTTATGACTACTGATGGTTGTGCTCCACAGATGGAAAAACATTTCATTACACTCTTTGCTCTACAAGGTCAGAAACAAAGCTAGATTCCTTTACTTCGGTTATCCCAGTGTCTAGCACAGTGCTCTATAAACATTTGTTTAATGGAATAACGAACATCTACTATGAGCATAAACTGGTGACCCAAGGGCAGGCATAGGGGGCAGGCATGAAAAAGACCAAAAAGAAAAGGAGAAATAGAAGAAAGGTAGAAAGTTAGGCGGAAAGTCTGGGGAGAGATAAGAGGAAGATGAACTTATCTCTACCCAGGAAAGGTAGTGTGCCTGCAACTCTTTTCTGGAGGTGACACTCAGTAACATTAGGGCCCTAGGTTGCCCATTCTTTCCACTGTGATCAGAATCAAGTTACAATAATTTATTGTCTGATTGTTTCTTTCTGATCCCCATTGTTCTGGTTATCTATTGGGGCATTAAAAAACACCCCAAATTTAGTAACCTAAAGCAAAAATTCATTATCAGTAGAGATGATTACTTATACTCACTGTTTCTCCAGGCCAGGATTTGGACATGACATCTTCCCATCCATGATGGCTTGTCTCTTCTTGATGTCTGGAGTCACAACTGGGAAGACATGAATAGCTGGGGGCTAGAATCATTTGGAAGCCTCTTCTTCACTCATGTCTGGCTTCTGGGCTTGGATGCCTCAAAGACTGGGCTCAGTTGGGATGGTAAACTTGAGTGCCCTACATATGTCCTTTCCATGTGGCTTGGGCTTCCCCACAGCATGGTGGCAATGTTCTGAGAAGGAGTTCCAACAAGAGGGCACTTCCAGAGAGGGAGTGTTTGAAGAGAACCAAGCAGAAGCTGCATGGCTCGTTATGACCTAGCCTTAGAGGTTTACAGGATCATTTCTGCTGTACTTTATCTCTCCAAGTAGTCACAAGCCTGCCCTGATTAGAGGGGATGAGACATAGCCTGGTGCATGGCACACACCTGTTGTCCCAGCTATGGGGACTGAGGTGTCTGCAGGCTGTGTTGAACTGTGATTGTACCTGTGAATAGCCACTGCACTTCAGCCTGGGCAATATTGCTAGACTCTTGTCTTTAAAAAAAGGGGAATGGAGGTGGGACATAGACTCCTCCTCCCCATGGAAGGAGTGGCAAAGAATCTGGGGGCTTTTTAATTAAACCACCCATCATTTCTTTACATTTCTCTTTCAGGGAAAAGTTGTCAGATAGGTATACTATTTTCCAGAAGTTATCCGAAGGTTAAACTGTGTCTTTTACTTTTGCAATTATTTAACTTTTTAAACCAAGAGGAAGGACAAAGAGATAAAGTAAGAAAAATAGAAGAAAGTGTGCATCATACAAACATAGAGCAGCAACAGTGAGGTAATTTTCTCCATTGATAAATGATAGAGATCTATTGCTTCTTTTAAACGTGGGGTGGGGGAACAATAATCGTGTAAACCAAGAAATTTAGAGGGAGTTTATTTGGCACTTTGATATTTACACCTTCTTTTGAGCACAATTTTGGGAGAAATTGGGATTCACCGCCTTTACCATGTCTGAAGATTAAAGTCAAAAAATAAAAGTGACTGCTTTGTTGCCATCAACTGCACTTGTAAAGCAGTAACGATTCTTTATTTTTCCAAGGCAGCCTTGTTCTTGGTGCTTTGACTGAGAGAAAGGGCTGGAGAGGGGTGGGTGGGTGGGTGAACTGCAGCTCTTTACTGTCTCTGGGAATGGCGTAAGTCAAGGCAACCTTGGTCATCAAGCACAAGCTTCATTTGCTTTTGAACTCCTATGGGGGAGAAATACTACAAAACACAAACTTTAAAAGTGATTCATTGTGATCTTATCTGAGATTTTTCATTTCATTAGGAGATAAAGAGGAGAGAATAACTTCCTCTTCCAATAGTTTTTTTTTTTTCTGATATATTCTCATTTCTCATTTTTTCTCTGCTCCCTAATGCTTATTTTTCTTTCTCCTCTGGCCCTTTTCCTTCTGATTGTTTTTCCTTCCTTTCCTTCTCTCCATGACTTCATTCTTATTTTGCTCCATCTCTTCCTCACTACCATCTCCTTTATTGAGTTATTAGCCATCTTTTTAAAAACTTCCTAGTCTTACAACAAAAAATGATAAAGGGGATATCACCACCGATCCCACAGAAATACAAACTACCATCAGAGAATACTACAAACACCTCTACGCAAATAAACTAGAAAATCTAGAAGAAATGGATAAATTCCTCGACACATACACTCTCCCAAGACTAAACCAGGAAGAAGTTGAATCTCTTAATAGACCAATAACAGGAGCTGAAATTGTGGCAATAATCAATAGCTTACCAACCAAAAAGAGTCCAGGACCAGATGGCTTCACAGCTGAATTCTACCAGAGGTACAAGGAGGAACTGGTACCATTCCTTCTGAAACTATTCCAATCAATAGAAAAAGAGGGAATCCTCCCTAACTCATTTATGAGGCCAGCATCATTCTGATACCAAAGCCGGGCAGAGACACAACCAAAAAAGAGAATTTTAGACCAATATCCTTGATGAACATTGATGCAAAAATCCTCAATAAAATACTGGCAAACCGAATCCAGCAGCACATCAAAAAGCTTATCCACCATGATCAAGTGGGCTTCATCCCTGGGATGCAAGGCTGGTTCAATATACACAAATCAATAAACATAATCCAGCATATAAACAGAGCCAAAGACAAAAACCACATGATTATCTCAATAGATGCAGAAAAAGCCTTTGACAAAATTCAACAACCCTTCATGCTAAAAACTCTCAATAAATTAGGTATTGATGGGACGTATTTCAAAATAATAAGAGCTATCTATGACAAACCCACAGCCAATATCATACTGAATGGGCAAAAACTGGAAGCATTCCCTTTGAAAACTGGCACAAGACAGGGATGCCCTCTCTCACCACTCCTATTCAACATAGTGTTGGAAGTTCTGGCCAGGGCAATTAGGCAGGAGAAGGAAATAAAGGGTATTCAATTAGGAAAAGAGGAAGTCAAATTGTCCCTGTTTGCAGATGACATGATTGTATATCTAGAAAACCCCATTGTCTCAGCCCAAAATCTCCTTAAGCTGATAAGCAACTTCAGCAAAGTCTCAGGATACAAAATCAATGTACAAAAATCACAAGCATTCTTATACACCAACAACAGACAAACAGAGAGCCAAATCATGAGTGAACTCCCATTCACAATTGCTTCAAAGAGAATAAAATACCTAGGAATCCAACTTACAAGGGATGTGAAGGACCTCTTCAAGGAGAACTACAAACCACTGCTCAAGGAAATAAAAGAGGATACAAACAAATGGAAGAACATTCCATGCTCATGGGTAGGAAGAATCAATATTGTGAAAATGGCCATACTGCCCAAGGTAATTTACAGATTCAATGCCATCCCCATCAAGCTACCAGTGACTTTCTTCACAGAATTGGAAAAAACTACTTTAAAGTTCATATGGAACCAAAAAAGAGGCCGCATCGCCAAGTCAATCCTAAGCCAAAAGAACAAAGCTGGAGGCATCACACTACCTGACTTCAAACTTTACTACAAGGCTACAGTAACCAAAACAGCATGGTACTGGTACCAAAACAGAGATATAGATCAATGGAACAGAACAGAGCCCTCAGAAATAACGCCGCATACCTACAACTGTCTGATCTTTGACAAACCTGAGAAAAGAAATGGGGGAAAGGATTCCCTATTTAATAAATGGTGCTGGGAAAACTGGCTAGCCATATGTAGAAAGCTGAAACTGGATCCCTTCCTTACACCTTATACAAAAATCAATTCAAGATGGATTAAAGACTTAAACGTTAGACCTAAAACCATAAAAACCCTAGAAGAAAACCTAGGCATTACCATTCAGGACATAGGCATGGGCAAGGACTTCATGTCCAAAACACCAAAAGCAATGGCAACTAAAGAGCTTCTGCACAGCAAAAGAAACTACCATCAGAGTGAACAGGCAACCTACAAAAATGGGAGAAAATTTTCACAACCTACTCATCTGACAAAGGGCTAATACCCAGAATCTACAATGAACTCAAACAAATTTACAAGAAAAAAACAAACAACCCCATCAAAAAGTGGGCGAAGGACATGAACAGACACTTCTCAAAAGAAGACATTTATGCAGCCAAAAAACACATGAAAAAATGTTCATCATCACTGGCCATCAGAGAAATGCAAATCAAAACCACAATGAGATACCATCTCACACCAGTTAGAATGGCAATCATTAAAAAGTCAGGAAACAACAGGTGCTGGAGAGGATGTGGAGAAATAGGAACACTTTTACACTGTTGGTGGGACTGTAAACTAGTTCAACCATTGTGGAAGTGAGTGTGGCGATTCCTCAGGGATCTAGAACTAGAAATACCATTTGACCCAGCCATCCCATTACTGGGTATATACCCAAATGACTATAAATCATGCTGCTATAAAGACACATGTACACGTATGTTTATTGCGGCATTATTCACAATAGCAAAGACTTGGAAGCAACCCAAATGTCCAACAATGATAGACTGGATTAAGAAAATGTGGCACATATACACCATGGAATACTATGCAGCCATAAAAAATGATGAGTTCATGTCCTTTGTAGGGACATGGATGAAATTGGAAATCATCATTCTCTGTAAACTATCGCAAGAACAAAAAACCAAACACCGCATATTCTCACTCATAGGTGGGAATTGAACAATGAGAACACATGGACACAGGAAGGGGAATATCACACTCTGGGGACTGTGGTGGGGTCGGGGGAGGGAGGAGGGATAGCATTGGGAGATATACCTAATGCTAGATGACGAGTTAGTGGGTGCAGCACACCAGCATGGCACATGTATACATATGTAACTAACCTGCACAATGTGCACATGTACCCTAAAACTTAAAGTATAATAAAAAAAAAAACTCTTAAAAAAAAAAAACAAAAAAAACTTCCTAGTCTTGTCCACCTACTTTTATTCTACCTTTTTGATGTTCAGGTCCCCCCTCTCTTGTAGCTCTAGACTTGTCAGCACTGTAGTTAGGTTTAGATTTTTAGATGCTAAAAAATGAGGTACCACTTTACTGATTTAATACAACTAGTATAAAGCATTCTTTTTTCAGTGTCTGCTGCTCTGAAGCAAGCAGATACAAAATCTCAAGTATCTTCAAAAAACATTTACACAGATTAGGCATATTGAGACATATTAGAAAAAAGTAAATTAAAAAAAGATCAAAATCCTATTACTTAGAGAAAACCAATGGCATTCTACTGTATCTACTTCAAACATATTTAAGTCTAGAAGTATATTTGTGTTTTACAAGTGTGTAAAATATACACATTGTTTCACAGCTCTAGACTTAATATATAGCAGCCATCATAACACAGTAGTTAGTATACTCAGCCTACTTTATTATATAATGAGGATTAAACAAGGTAATGCCAACAACACAGTTTGCAAGGCACTTGGCCCATAGTCATTCCTCAGTGAGTCATATTTCCTATTTATTTGTCAAACTTTCCTAATGGCTGAAAAGAATTCAACTCAATTCTTGAAGTCAGTTCTTTGTATTTGGACTTTTAAATTGTTTATCTTCCTCTCTCTGTCTTTTTTTTTTTTCAAGCAGTGCTAAAGGGGCCATTCTTCAAAGTAAGTCTTTATGTAGTTCCTTAACTATTTCATTATAAACTATTGATAAAAGTTGAATGATGAGTCAAAGAAATTGTGTCATCTAGGTATATGTGGCCATCATTTATGGAGGACCCCCTAGGTGCCAGGCACTTTCATGAGTTATTTCATTTAAGCTTTTAGGATTCACAGTAGTCTTAGACATTTGGGAGTTTTAGGTCACATAGCTTCTGAATGCCGGAATTGGAACTGAAATAAGATCTTTTATATTATTGTGAAGAAAGTTCCATTTCAGCAACTTTTCACAGGTGCTTCAGGAATTGCAGAAGGAGTTGACTTATACAACCTTTAAAAATATTGTTTTGAATGATTTAAACATGAATAAAACAATCAGCGTAAACTCTGATAATGGATAGGAGCACAGTGAAGGCAAGCTTTATTATTATTATTAAGATGCCAGGCTAAGTTGATTTTGAGAGAGCCTCAATATAAAGCATTTCATTTCCTCCTCCCCCATGCATATATTTACACTTCTTATAAAATATGTCATTGACTGGGAAGATTGCTTTTATCTTAAATCAGGCATGAATCCACCCACTCAAGAAAAATCATCTCAGCAAGTTCGCTGCTGCTGCACCTGTGTCCTTGGCTCATGGAAGGTCAGGGATAGTTCAGGCGTATTGGCTTGAGAGCATGTCAGGTGTCTAATGAAAGAGAAAACCTAATTTTCCTCTTTTCTGTAAGTTTTGAGTACTTTTCCCCGATTTCCAGTATTTATTATAAGAAAGGAGTTGAGATTAGATGTTATTTATACAAATTTACATGATGAAATAAATATCCAAGTATCTGGAAAGATTCCTGAGATTTCAAGGTAAACTTTTAAAAGCAATTTCCAGCTAATGCTCTGTGTTGACAGATAATGCCTTGTGTATGATATGGTAAGTGGAATTCTGAGATGGCCCCAAGATTCCCACACCCCTAGTGTTACACACCCATCTAATCCCTGTCTCTTGAATGTGATCTGGGTCTGTGAATAAGAGGGGCTATCACTTCTGTGATTGTGTCACAGCGTATGGCAACGAGGATTTTGTAGGTGTCATTAAGGTCTTCAATCAGTCGATTTGGGAGTAATCAAAAGGGAGAATATCTTGGTAGGCCTGACCTAATCAGATAGACTTTTAAAAGAAGGTGAAGCATTAACGAGATGTCTTCCTGTTGGCCCCGAGAAATAGCGAACTGCCATGTTGTGGAGAGGGCTACAGAGAAAGGCCCTAAGATCAACCTCTCAGAGCTGAGAGGGGTCCCTGGCCAACAGCCAGTGGGAAATAGAGGGAAGAGGGATCTTGGTTGTGTAATCACAAGAAATGAATTCTACAACAACCTGAGTGAATGTGGAAGAGGGCTCTGAATTTCAAATGAGGACCCAGCTGACTGACACCTTGATTTCACCCCTCACAGACACCCAGCTAAAAGGTGCTAGACTCCTGATCCATAGAAACTGTGGAGACAGCTAAAAGGTGCTAGACTCCTGATCCATAGAAACTGTGGAGATAAATATATCTGTGCTGTTTTAAACTCTTAGATTTCTGGTAATTTGTTATACAGCAATGGAAAACTGGTAAATACACGGTGGGAATGTATTCACGTTTCCTCCACATTAAGTAAGGCAACAACACACAAAAGCGTATTGAATGTGGAAGCTTGCTATATTATTATAATGATCACCTATAATATCAGAGATTGAGTTTTTATGTTAATAAAAGTCTTATTATTCCTGCCTATTACCTTAATAAAATATACATTGACAAACCTAAGCTCAAAAAACATATTAATGTTGATACAATACTTCTTTCTCTATTTGGGCTCTGAGGCATTATCTGAGCTTTTTTTCCTCCTTCTAGAACAAAAAGTTTCCATTATTTGAAAACAACTGTCTTGACTAATAGGTGCTTTTTAAAAAGACTGCATTTTGGTTGTTGTAAGAATGTAACTGTTGGCAGGGAAAGGAAAAGCAAGATTGTGCAAGGCTAATTTATAGTCAGTACATTGTTTCAAAGTGTATGTTTATCTTTAATTGTTCTCTCATTACAAAGTAAAGCATAGATGTAAGAAATCCAGCCATCGTTTCAGACAGATGAGTTTTGTGCTAGTGATACTGTTTTTTAAAGTCAGAATTCATTTAAGTAGTAATTTAAAAACTTTTAAATCATACAATATTTCAAACATATCAAAAAACTACAAAAAATGATATAACTGACACTTGTACAGCCCACTGTCTGGATGTTGATAGATGTTAACATTTTGCCTACTGTTTTGCATCACCTTTAAAAAACCTTCCAAGCATAGCTAAAACCTTACTCTATCAAATTTTCTATCTCTCCTTCTATTCCTCTCTCCCCAGAGGTAAGTAGTAGCCTGAAATTGAAGTATATCATTCTCATGAATGTTTTATAGGTTTTCTACATAGGTATGTGCTTATGAATAATATCAAGAATTGTTTTATGTGTTAAAATTTAAAGCATTGATATCCTACTCTAGGTAACTTTTGCATTTAATTTTTTCACTCAGTAATATTTTTGAGATGAATTTTTTTTTTTTTTTGAGGCGGAGTTTTGTTGTTGTTGCCCAGGCTGGAGTGCGATGGCGGATTGTGGCTCATTGCAACCTCCGCCTCTTGGGTTCAAGTGATTCTCCTGCCTCAGCCTCCCAAGTAGCTGGGGTTACAGGCGCCTGCCACCACACCCAGCTAATTTTTGTATTTGTAGTAGAGAAGGGGTTTCACTGTGTTGGCCAGGCTGGTCTCGAACTTCTGACCTCAGGCGATCCACCTGCCTCTGCCTCCCAAAGTGTTGGGATTACAGGCGTGAGCCCCCGCGCCTGGCCTGAGATGAATTTATGATATCCCATGACATAAATAAAACACAGTTGATTTATCCATTTTTTTAACCAATAATCACTTGTTTCCTCAATTTTGGTATCACAAAGAATACTGTACTATGCATGTATTTGTGTGGGGCTGTTTAAAAGTTTCTCTAGAATAGAATGTAGAAAGCTTTTGGATTAGAGGGAAGGTCATTCTCAACTTTACTGCTTTTCAAAGTGGTTCTACTAGCTTGCAGTCCCACCCGCAATTATCAGCTTTTCTATTCCCGTCACCCTGACCAGTGCTTGTTTGCATAGCCTGGCTAATGTTAGCCATGGCTAGGACACCATGGGACTTCTCCTGTCCTTTTTTTTTTTTTTTTAAATGGCTTCTCGCTCAGTCACCTAGGCTGGAGTGCAGTGGCAGGATCTCGGCTCACTGCAACCTCCGCCTCCCGGGTTCAAGGGATTCTCCTGTCTCAGCCTCCCAAGTAGCTGGGATTATAGGTGCAAAGGAGAGAATACCCAAGCCTATGAGTAGAAAAGTGGGTTATGTGCAAAGAATTAAACAGGCAGATCAAGATCTTCTTGCAGTGTGAAGTCAACGTAAACATAGTTCCAGATTTGTATTGATTCTGAAAATATATTAATCTTTTACCTGTATTTTAAAAAGTATATGCCATCTGAATGAGAGAAAACATCAGATAACAAATTCAAGAGTGTAAGTTTTATGGTGTCAAAAGGGCAGTAACAACTGATAACTCTTAGTTCAAATAACTGTATAAAATTTACTCAATGACACCAAAAGCAAATCTCAATTTTATATATATGAAAGAAGATATAGACTACAGAAGTTATTTAATTAAAATCTTAGTGGAAAACTTAAAATTATATTGTGAAACCCAGGAATGAAATTGATTATGATAGAAAAAAGTTTTTAAATTTAACAGTTCCTTTTTTTTTTTTTTTTTTGGATATAGAGTTTCACTCTTTTTTTTTATTATTATTATTATTTTTTTTTTTATTGATCATTCTTGGGTGTTTCTTACAGAGGGGGATTTGGCAGGGTCACAGGACAATAGTGGAGGGAAGGTCAGCAGATAAACAAGTGAACAAAGGTCTCTGGTTTTCCTAGGCAGAGGACCCTGCGGCCTTCCGCAGTGTTTGTGTCCCTGGGTACTTGAGATTAGGGAGTGGTGATGACTCTTAAGGAGCATGCTGCCTTCAAGCATCTGTTTAACAAAGCACAACTTGCACCGCCCTTAATCCATTCAACCCTGAGTGGATACAGCACATGTGTCAGAGAGCACAGGGTTGGGGGTAAGGTCACCGATCAACAGGATCCCAAGGCAGAAGAATTTTTCTTAGTACAGAACAAAATGAAAAGTCTCCCATGTCTACCTCTTTCTACACAGACACGGCAACCACCCGATTTCTCAATCTTTTCCCCACCTTTCCCCCCTTTCTATTCTACAAAACCGCCATTGTCATCATGGCCCATTCTCAATGAGCTGTTGGGTACACCTCCCAGACGGGGTGGTGGCCGGGCAGAGGGGCTCCTCACTTCCCAGTAGGCGCGGCCAGGCAGAGGCGCCCCTCACCTCCCAGACGGGGTGGCTGGCCGGACGGGGGGCTGACCCCCCCCCACCTCCCTCCCGGACGGGGCGGCTGGCCGGGCAGGGGGCTGACCCCCCCACCTCCCTCCCGGACGGGGCGGCTGGCTGGGCAGAGTGGCTCCTCACTTCCCAGTAGGGGCGGCCGGGCAGAGGCGCCCCTCACTTCCCGGACGGGGCGGCTGGCCAGGCGGGGGACTGACCCCGCCACCTCCCTCCCGGACGGGGCGGCTGGCCGGGCAGAGGGGCTCCTCACTTCCCAGTAGGGGTGGCCGGGCAGAGGCGCCCCTCACCTCCCGGACAGGGCGGCTGGCCGGGCGGGGGGCTGACCCCCCCACCTCCCTCCCTCCCAGACGGGGTGGCTGGCCGGGCGGGGGGCTGACCCCCCCACCTCCCTCCCGGACGGGGCGGCTGCCGGGCGGAGACGCTCCTCACTTCCCAGACGGGGTGGCTGCTGGGCGGAGGGGCTCCTCACTTCTCAGACGGGGCGTCCAGGCAGAGACGCTCCTCACATCCCGGACGGGGCAGCAGGGCAGAGGTGCTCCCCACATCTCAGACGATGGGCGGCCGGGCAGAGACGCTCCTCACTTCCCAGATGTGATGGCGGCCGGGAAGAGGCGCTCCTCACTTCCTAGATGGGATGGCGGCCAGGCAGAGACGCTCCTCACTTTCCAGACTGGGCAGCCAGGCAGAGGGGCTCCTCACATCGCAGATGATGGGCGGCCAGGCGGAGACGCTCCTCACTTCCCAGACGGGGTGGCGGCCGGGCAGAGGCTGCAATCTCGGCACTTTGGGAGGCCAAGGCAGGAGGCTGGGAGGTGGAGGTTGTAGCGAGCCGAGATCACGCCACTGCACTCCAGCCTGGGCACCATTGAGCACTGAGTGAACGAGACTCCGTCTGCAATCCCGGCACCTCGGGAGGCCGAGGCTGGCGGATCACTCGCGGTTAGGAGCTGGAGACCAGCCCGGCCAACACAGCGAATCCCCATCTCCACCAAAAAAATACGAAAACCAGTCAGGCGTGGCGGTGCGCGCCTGCAATCGCAGGTACTGGGCAAGCTGAGGCAGGAGAATCAGGCAGGGAGGTTGCAGTGAGCCGAGATGGCAGCAGTACCGTCCAGCTTCGGCTCGGCATCAGAGGGAGACCGTGGAAAGAGAGGGAGAGGGAGACCGTGGGCAGAGGGAGAGGGAGGGGGAGGGGGAGGGAGAGGGAGCAGAGTTTCACTCTTGTAGCCCAGGCTGCGGTGCAGTGGTGTGATCTCGGCTCACTGCAACCTCCACTTCCCGGGTTCAAGCTATTCTTCTGCCTCAGCCTCCTGAGTAGCTGGGACTACAGGCACCCACCCCCACACCTGGCTAATTTTTGTATTTTTAGTAGAGACGGAGTTTCACCATGTTGGCCAGGCTGGTCTCAAACTCCTGACCTCAGGTGATCCACCCACCTCGGCCTTCCACAGTGCTGGGATTATAAGCATGGGCCACCACGCCTGGCCTACGTGTCTTTAATTTGCATTTCTCCAACTGCTGAGGCTGAGCATATTTTTCTGTGTTTATTATCTAGTCAGTTTTCCCTTCTATAAACTGCCTATACATTCTTTGTCCAATAGTGGGTTTGGAGTGTTTCATTGTCATGGATTTACAGGAGTTGTTTATATGTTGTGGACACAAATTCTTTTTCCTAAATTTCTACCCAGTCCATAGTTGTTTTTTCTATTGTGTCTTTTGTCAAACAGAGGTTTATAAGACCATTTTAATCAATCAGATTTGTCCTTTTTTCCCTTTTGTTACTTGGGCTTTTTGCATTTTATTTAAAAGCACTTTCTCTAGCTATATATTTTAAAGAGATTCTCTTGTGTTTTATTTCAAAAGTTAGAAAGTTTTGATTTTCATATAGGTCATCAATCTATTTTGAAAGTGTGTGTAGGGGGTATTATATGGCGATCTAATTTTATCTTTTGATGGAGACAGCCAGTTGTCTTACCACTGTTTATTGCATTATTCATTACCTATCTGCCACTTCCATGACTTGCATTGTCACTTCTTTCATATGTCAAGGTTTTGTGAATATAGGGGTTTCTGTGGCTCTCTATTTTGTACCATTATCATACAGCTTTGATAGCTTCCAACTAACAAGACTAGATTTCTAGTAGAGTGAATGTCTGTGCCTTTTTCTTCCTCTTTCTCTTCTCTTCTTCAGTGTCATCATCTTCTTGTTCTTCTTTTTCTCTTCCTCTGTTCTTCCTCTTCTTCTCTGTCATCATCATCATCATCATCAAAATCACCCTGCTTCTGCCTTTTACTCCTCCATATGAATTTTAGCATATGCTTGTCAAATCCCATTAGAATTTTGATTAAAATTGAATTGAATTTATGGACTAATTTTGGGAAAAATTTGCATTCTCTAAGATATTGCCTATCCCATCTATGAAAACAATATATTGTTCTATTTATTAGAATATTCTTTAACATTTTCAATAAAGCTTAACCATTTTTGCCCTTAAAGTTTTTATACGTATATTTAGTAAGATATATGCCTAGGTACCTCAGAATTTTGTATCCATCATAAATTGTACGTGTTTTAAGCACTTCCATTGTTTATAGCTGTTTATATAGCTCTTATTGAATAGTTTCTGTGTATAGCAAATTCTGTTGAGCTTAATTAATTTCTGCAAATACACTGAGATGTATTTATCATCTTTTAAAGATTAACAAAATAAGTATCAGAGATTACATAATTTTAATATGATTATATATGACTAGTGTACACCCTGGATTTGAACTTAGTTTTAGCTAAATCTTTACCTTTTTCTGAGAGCCTTTCCTTTTACATCAGCTAATGTTTCTCTGACGTATGTTATCTTGTTTAGCAGGATTTTTTTTAATACTAAAAAACTAAAATCTCATTATAGAGCCTGTATGTGAAAGAGGCACTTAATTCACCCAGTATATGTCTCTTAATATCAGTTAATTAATTCATCTGGATAGCCACATTCATGGCAGAGAGTAAGTCTATAAAATAAATGCTTTTTCTGGTCATTATCTTTGGATCAGCTCTTAAGGAAAACACCCATCCTAATTGAATTAGCGTGGCTTTCCCAATTGCTCACTGTCTTACTTATGCTTAGGCCTATGTTGCATTAGTCCCTCCCAACAGATCTGGAGGCAAGGCCTAGAGCATAGTGTGGGTGGTCCAGGGCCAAAGGAGAAAAGCTAATGTGGTAAGGTAAGATGAAGACAAGTTTTTAATGCTTGTAATGTTGAACTGTTTAACTCTCTCCTCTGACACCTAGTATCCCTACTAACTCCTCCAGAAAAGCCTCAGATTTTAATTTCACTCCTGGCAAAAAAAAGAGAAAATAGAGAAGATAGAGGGAAAAAAATCTCGAATGCAATGCAAGTGAAAGCCCATTCTTTCTCTGGTGTGTGCTGCTGGGTTGTTTGCTTCCAGCTGTCAGTCCAGATCCCATTTGTCTGGGGTTTCTTTCTGGCATCCTCTCTTCGTCTCATACTAGGCCCTTCCTCTTAGGGCTGGAGCAGGTGCATTTCTGGGAATGGTTCTGGACAGCTTTTTGAGCCTCAGAGCACAGTAGTTATAGATGCCTGGGGCTGTTTGTAACTTTGCTTCAGTGTTGAGGCTGCCTGGTGCTGTGGCGTTAGTGAACAGCTGATGACAGATGGTTCATTTCTGTGCAGGATGTGTTGCAGACATGTGGATTGGTAGTGGAACCTGAGCAAATATATCTCAACTCTCTCTTTTAAAAAATGCTTAATAATAAGTGTGCCCATAGTAGGTATGAAATAAATATCCACTCGTTGACTGAAGGTTATAGCATAGGGAAAGAAAGGAAAGATGGTTTGAAATTTATTTGGATTGTGAGAGAGGGGAAGGGGTTGTTACCAGTGAGCTTTAGTTTATAGATATTTTCACTATTGTTCCAGACTCTGTTATGATTATAATATTCATTCTATTCACTCAAAAAGCATTTGATGAACACATTTGATATACCAGGCACCATTCAAGGCACTGGTGATGAACTAAACATGGAGATGCCCATTCTTCTTGGGCATCTGTTCTTTTGGGTGTGGAAACTGACAGGAAAGACTTAGAAAACGAACAAGGCAATTAATTTTAGATCGAGGTAAGAGCTATGAGGAAAATGGAGTAGGACAGCCCCCAAAAAAGACATGGGGGCAGAGTGTGGTAGGTGTTGCTGCTTTGGTTTACCCTGCTAAGTGCTTGGCCATAGAATATAGGTTCAAGTATGACCCAGAAATATGACTTGCCTAGGTTCATGTTTATAAACAACCAGATTTCAAAAAATAAGACTACATGTGGGTGTACATGGTTTCCAGAATTGAGGGCTTAAGGCCTTTCATCCTCCAACCATATGAGTGTCAAAACTTATACACTAAGGCAGTCATTCCGCCATCAAGATTTGTGCTAACCAAGGTTAATGTCTGGGTTCTCCATCTTCGCAATGTGGTTGTGCCAGCTTGGGGCAATCAGCCTCACTCTGCAAGGCCCTGGTTGTCCATCTGTAGGCCTTGGCCAAGATTGCTTTAAGGTATCAGGGAAGGTCTCTTTAAAGAGGTGACACAAGGTGGGGCATGTAATCCTCATGCCTGTAATCCCAGCACTTTGGGAGGATGAGGTGGGCGGATCACCTGAGGTGGAGAGTTCAAGACCAGCCTGACCAACATGGAGAAACCCCATCTCTACTAATAATACAAAAATGAGCCGGGCATGGTGGCGCATGCCTGTAATTCCAGCTACTTGGGAGGCTGAGGCAGGAGAATCGCTTGAACCCAGGAGGCAGAGATTGCAGTGAGCCGAGATCGTGCCATTGCACTCCAGCCTGGGGAACAAGAGTGAAACTCCATCTCAAAAAAAAAAAAGTGACACTTTGGGAGGCCAAGGCTGGCAGATCACCTGAGGTCAGGAGTTTGAGACCCACCTGGCCAACATGGTGAAACCCTGTCTCTACCAAAAATACAAAAATTAGCTGGGTGTGGTGGTGCACACCTGTAATCCAAACTACTTGGGAGACTGAGGCAGAAGAATTGCTTGACCTGGGAGGCAGAGGTTTCAGTGAGCTGAGATCGCACCACTGCACTCCAGCCTGGGCAACAGAGTGAGACTCTGTCTCAAACAAACAAACAAATAAACAAAAAAAAGGTGACATTTGAGCCAAGACTGGAGGATAACAGGGAGCCAGACCCTAGCATTGTAGGAAAAGAAACAGCCAGCAGAAAAGTCCTGCAGCATGAAAGAGCTTGGTGTGTTAGAGAACAAAAGGGAACAGGATAGTGAGCTGGAAGTGAGAGGAGGTACCAGAGAAATTGTCGATGTTGACTAGGGCTGCATCACAGTGTCTTCTAAACTATAGTGGGAATTTGGATCTCCTTCCAAGTACAATGAAAAGCTACTATTTTATCCTGGGGTTCATGAACTTATGTAGGAGGAACACTACAGCCATATAAAAACGTAAACTTTTCATTGCTTGAATCACAAATGTCAGCAACAAGCCATGATAGGATAAGCAGTATCTGTGCCTTTATTATGAACAGAAATTAAAGTACATCCATTTATTACTGTTTATCACAGTTATCTCTAAATATCATTTATCATCTTATGCCTAATTAGAAATTATGGTAGTTATTAGACCTTACAACAGATCTTGTTATTTAATGCTTTAATACAGGGGTCAGCAACTATAGCCTGTGGACTATGTCCAAGCTGCCACCTGTTTTTGTACATAAAACTTACTGGAACACAGCCAAACCCATTTATTTACATATCACAGTTGCAACAGAGGTATTCTAGCCTGCAGTGCTTAAAATGCTTACTGTCTGGCTGGAAAAAGATTGCTGACACGTGCATTGATAAAGCAGCATATATATTACTATGATACAATTTTTTTTTTTTTTTTTGAGAAGGAGTCTCTTGCTCTGTTGCCCAGACTGGAGTGCAGTGGCGTGATCTCGGCTCATTGCAACCTCCACCTCCCGGGTTCAAGCGATCCTTCTGTCTCAGCCTCTCAAATAGCTGGAACTATAGGCATATGCCACCACGCCTGGCTAATTTTTGTATTTTTAGTAGAGACAGGGTTTCACCGTATTGGCCAGGCTGCTGTCAAACTCCTGACCTCGTGATCTGCCCGCCTCCACCTCCCAAAGTGCTGGGATTAGAGGCATGAGCCACTGTGCCCAGCCTATGATACAATTTTTAAAATATTTGGATAACTGTTTGGTTTCTTTGCAAGCTTATTTATTTTATTTTATGCATTTAAAAACATTCTGAAAAGAAGATCCATAGACTTCACCAGAGTTCTCTAAGACATCCATGACTAGGAAAAAAAGAGAAAGAAAAAGAATCCCTATATTTCATTATCTAAGGCTGGGGATCCAAATGGGCGGACTTGTATTTATTTCCTCTGCCTGAGATTCTCTCCCTTCTCTCCCTCCTTCTTTGGCAGATTTTCCATTTCTTTTGGAGTGTGGTACTGAAGCTGCCTCCTTTTTATGAATAATATATTGGATCCTACACATTTACTGAATGAGCCAAGCAGAGGCTTTATTAGCAGTGTCCAGTGTAATGCCCATAATAACACTGTGTGGTGTGGGTCTGACTGTCTTCATGTGGCACTGCAGAAAGGGAGGCCCCAAGACGTTGTCTTGCCCATCATTCATTTACCCTGTATTCACTGAGCACCTATTGCTTGCCAGGGGCTGTGCCAAATTCCCAGGTGACAAAGCTGTTACTGGTGAAGCCAAGTTTTGGATCAGGCCCATCTGACACTAGTGTCTGGGTGGCTAATGCCACAGCAGGTTATGTTCAGGATGTCATGTGACACCCTGCTGCCTCAAGCTTGGCCACTCCTCCATCCCTAGTGTTTCCAGCCGCATTGTTCCTTGGCTGTGAGCTGTAAATGTTTTTATCTCATCCTCTCTCCACAGACCACTATTTGCATTGTTTTGCCTAGAATGGGCCATGGAGTTAGTATTTTCCCAGCTGTAGTAGCATCTTCAGTGATCCCTGCTCATGCCACTGGAATGGCCCTTTAAAAATGTTTTTTTTTTTCTTTTTACAAGCATGAGTTTCTTTCCTATAAGTGCAGCTCTTTTTTCTTGTCTCTGTAGCACTTTGTGGCTTTCTGAGACCACAGGCTCTAACTTGCCCATTGCACCCCATGTTTAAGCATTTGCACATGTCGTTTGATTGAGGGGTAAGTTAAAACTGCTGGCAGTGGGAAGGGCTGGCAATCAGGTCTCTTATCTCAAGTGGATGGAAAAATAAGGCTGTTCAACGTGGTTCGCTCAACTCGTACAGGTCCCTTCTGTGCAAAACCAGGGAGATTGCTTCTCCCCTGGAAACACAGGCACTCCTCATTGGCTGGGTTGGGCAAATACCCATAATATTAGGCATTTTTCCTGCTTTTTTCCCCTTCTTTTGCAGGTTGCAAGTGATGGCAATGTACATGGGATTCTCAAACTGGTCACCAGTACTTAGTGCATGAACACACATTATATTCTATATGTTTGGTGCAATTTTGCTATTTTGCATTCTGCTTTTGTCACCACAATACAGTGTCCCAGGGTCCCATATTACTGAACATTCTTTCATAGCAGCACTTCGATGGCTACATGGTGTATCTTTGGCCTGCCTTACCATAATTTGCTTCAGTTTTCCTTTGTGTTAGGGGACATTTGCAAGACTTTGTATATCAGCCAGCATCTAGTCAGGATACAGAAACCATACTGTTATTTAAACAGGGTATATTCCAATGTAAATGATTGACAACTAGTAGAAGCTGGTTAGTTGTGAGTAAAAGAGAACTCTTATGGGTCCAGAAGAAGCTGTTGCAGAAAAGAAGCTATGGCCTCCAGTTTGAGGAAGAGTGGGCAGTTGAGGAACTAAAGACCAAGAGCGGGCATTGCTCGTCCCCCAGAGTTCTTCAGAGAGGGCATGGCCACCACAGGGACATCACCACCCACGGGTGATGCAGAAACTTGTCAGAGGAAAGCAGCTGGCCAGCTGGCTGTGCAGCACTATAGACGTGTCTCTGTTGCCAGAAGCTTGGGTAGGCAGAACTGCTTTGAAGCAGTCCCTGGTAGGGAGAGCAGAGCCCGGGTGCAGGAGGCCTGAGGCCTTCCCCATGGAATAGTAATGGTGGATCCCAAAGGGAATGTCCTTTCCCCAGGCAGAATCACTCCAGTGCCCTCTATTGGTGAAGTGTCACATTGCCGCAGCTGGCAACCTGTCAGAAAGCAGGGCCAAGAATGGTTTTGAGTTGAGAGACAATAAATGAATAACTGGAATATTTGGGCTTGCTTTTAGCTTTTTTTTTTCTTTAAACCGTTTTGCAGTAAACATCTTTCATAAAATGTTGATTGCATCTCTGATATGTTGGTAGGATAAATTCATAGAATTTGAACATTTCAAAGGCCTTAGTCATATGTTACAAAACCATCCTATTGACTCTCCTAGTTGTTGTATATGGGAGCAAAGGCATATAGCCTTGTTATAGAACTTGTTACTCCTTAACCTTTTGAATCTTGGCCTTGTTTGCTGGGTTGTTAACTCTGAGGCTGGGAGATGCTCAGAGCCAGCGATGTCAAGGTTGGAGCCTGCAGTCTGATGTAATAAGGGCCAAGCTCTGCCGTGGAGGGAGGGAGTAGTGTGTTGCTGAAGTCCTCCCTCACCTCGCTCAGTCTTCTGAACGCATTCCCTTCCCATCTCATTCACTGCTTCAACAAATTCATTCCCTAAAACATCCCCTTCATCACATCAGTAATCTTGCTCAAAAGCTGTAAATGTTTCCTCTTTGTTTATGGCAATGCAAATGAAAGAGGAGGGGAGAGAACTGACCTATGGCCCTGGGTCCGTTGCCTCCATTCAGTTGTTGAGGGTCTGAAGCAAATTGACATGCCCAGGGTCACGTGGGAAGTAAGTTGGTCAGGGCCAACCAGGGCTTCCTTCCTCCCAGTCCTCTGCTTCTCCCAGATACCAGACCATTGTTGCTCCATCTCCCTAACTCCTCATTGTCCTCCCAGCACAGCACCTGTCCCACGAGAGGTTTTATTAATGTGTATCATACTCCCCTAGTGCTCACACTATCTCTGAACTCTTATGGGTCCAGAAGAAGCAGTTGCAGAAAAGAAGCTGTGGCCTCCAGTTTGAGGAAGAGTGGGCAGTTGAGGAACTAAAGACCAAGAGCAGGCATTGCTTGTCCCCCAGGGTTCTTCAAAGAGGGCATGGCCACCACAGGGACATCACAACCTACGGATGGTGCATAAACTTGTCAGAGGAAAGCAGCTGGCCGCTGGCTGTGCAGCACTATAGACGTGTCTCTGTTGCCAGAAGCTTGGATAGGCAGAGCTGCTTTGAAGCAGTCCCTGGTAGGGAGAGCAGAGGCCGGACGCAGGAGGCTTGAGGCCTTCCCCATGGAATCATAATGGTGGATCCCAAAGGGAATGCCCTTGCTGGGGCTGCCCCACTGTCTGAAATGCAAAGATGGCCCCCCTCAGCTGCTGTGCTTAAGGGGACTGCCTACACCTAACTTCAAGGCCAAGTCCAAGATTCACATCTACATAATTACATTCCATTACTGTTTAACAGATTAGAGTCAGTAATTCTTATCCTGGGGTATTAGAGATGTGGACATGAACTGGGTTCTACCCTGAGCTTTTAGTCCCCAGCCTAGACACCAGGCAAAAAGTAGGTATGTGCTGGCTCCTATCATGTGAAATTGGCTAAGGAAGCAAGCAACTTGGTGTCTTTGGACAGGGGGCTGCTTTTTTTAAATTAAATTTAATCTTTTTTTTGAGCAGTCGTGGACATCTGGTTGTGCATGTCCCTTTAAGGCGAGTTTGTCGTCTCCAGAAAAGCATGTTGTTCTTTCTCTCTATCTTCCACAAGTCCTTGATTAAAACACTGAAGGAGACAGACAGGCTCCTTCTGTCCTTTCCCTCAGGCTTGCCATGTCCTGGCAGATTCCCTGGGCTCCTGGGAACTGTCTACCCATCTCTGTCTGCTCCTTTTGACCCAGATCTTATTACAGATACAGAGAGAGCAAACCATTTATTGCAGAACAGGCCCTTCACCTTCATGTTCTGTGTTTATAGACCACAAATAGGTAGTTAATAGATATCTCTTAATACTTGTTCTTTCTTTTTTTGGCTTTGGGAATTTGGTACAGGATATCTGGGTCCTGTGGAAAGTGAAATGATGCGAGAAAAAGACAACAGCTGAAAATGGAATCCTCACTTAGGAGCATGAAAAAAGTAGAAAAGAAGTCAAACCACAAATTCTTCAAATTAATGGGTGGGAATGAAGTGCTGCCACTCTAATGGGGTGGCGGGGCTGCTGTTTCTGATGGTGAGCAGCCCCTGCAAGGCTAGAGCCTCAGTTATGGGGAATGGGCATTTACAGCAGCTGACCACTTTTTCTTCCTTATCCTTCTTCCTCATTCCCACCTGCCTTTTTTCCCCTGTTTCTTTTTTTGGGGGGTGGTGTCTGGATTTTATTTTAGGGTATTTCTAATATGCTTCCTTAACGGTCGATCCGTAGTCCTGTCTGGAGACATTGCTGTGTAACTTAGCAACCAGCGTATCATATATTGCCCTCAGTTGTTTCATTAGCCTGAAGATGTGAACATCAAAAAAATGGACACACAGTTGGACAAAAGCGATCAGGCTTGCATGCAAAAACAGTTTCTGTGATGATTAAGAAATGGACCTGAAGAACAGCATTATTTTACAGTAACATATCCAAAGTAAGGGTGTCCTCATATCTGGAGAAAGAGACAGACACAGACAAGGATGGAGAGGGAGTGAGAAGAGACAGAGCCAGGGAAGATGCTGGAGCTGCCTGCCCTCCACAGGGCCTGAACGCAGAGGATCGGAAGCCTTCCTCCCTGTGGACCTCCTGTTGTCCTTGCTAAAAAACAGGAAGGAGAATAGAATTGGGATTTTTGAGTAGGCATAATTCTTCATTTATCTGACTAAGTAGAAAAGTTGGCATAACGAGAAAAACAGATTTCAGAGGGAAACATATGACAATGACATTTTTCTGTGCCATCTTATTACCCATCCACATGGAGGCTGAATCGATGAGCTAGTAAAGACACAAAGACATCCTATCGAGATGCCTGTGAATGGCAGGGGCTGGTACAGTCTGGAACTGCTGGCTATGAGTAAATATGACAGCAGGGCTTTGGCTGGCTTTCACTGGGCCACTTGTCATTCTCCTCGTACATTGTGTGCAGTCAGGACATTTCCCTGCAGAAATGTTCTTTCTGCTGCTTTTCTCATCATTTTTGAGAAGCTGGCATGAGTTTTGTTTGCTTCAGACTTTATTTATTACCTTGAAATTCAGAATATTTATTCCAAATGTCATGTGTAGTCTTAGAAAAGTTTAGACTGTGACGATTCTGAACTTCATTTTGCATCAGAATTACTTGGGATCATAGTAAAAATGCAGCAAACCAGGCCCCTGATTCACGAGCTATGGAGGGAAATCCCCAGAAATCTGCATTCTAACACTCACCCATGGTGATTCTAAAGCAGATGGGCTGAAGATCATAGGATAAATGAAAGATTAAAGACTCATTTTCCAGAGAGGGCATGTGGCAATTTCTTGGCACTGTGAGTTGATAGATACATTCTTTGCTTTCATGGAATCCCTTTCCCTGTTTGTGGGGGGTATTGCCTCATTGTTTTTTTCTTCCTCACACACTTTATTTCCCATAAGTTATTGGGGTAACAGGTGGTATTTGGTTACATGAGTAAGTTCTTTAGTGGTGATTTGTGAGATTTTGGTGTACACATCACCCAAGCAGTATACACTGCACCATATTTGTAGTTTTTTTATCCCTCACCCCCCTCCCGCTCTTCCCCCCAAGTCCCCACAGTCCATTGTATCATTCTTATGCCTTTGTGTCCTCATAGCTTAGCTGCCACATATCAGTGAGGACATACGATGTTTGTTTTTGCATTCCTAATTTACTTAGAATAATAGTCTCCAATCTCATCTGGTCGCTGAAAATGCTGTTAACTCACTCCTTTTTATGGCTGTGTAGTATTCCATCATATGTGTGTGTATATATATATATTTATATATATATTTTTATATATACCACAGTTTCTTTATCCATTCGTTGATGATGGGCATTTGGGTTGGTTCCATGATTTTGCTATTGTGAATTGTGCTGCTATAAACGTGCATGTGCAAGTATCTTTTTTTGAATAATGACTTCTTTTCCTCTGGCTAGATACCCAGTAGTGGGACTGCTGGATCAAATGGTAGTTCTACTTCTGGTTCTTTAAGGAATCTCCACACTGTTTCCACAGTGGCTATAGTAGTTTACGTTCCCACCGGAAGTGTAGAAGTGTTCTCTGTTTACCACATCCATGCCAATATCTACTGTTTTTTTTATTTTTTTGATTATGGCCATTCTTGCAAGAGTAAAGTGATATCGCATTGTGGTTTTGATTTGCATTTCCCTGATCATTAGGGATGTTGAGCATTTTTTCATATGTTTCTTGGCCATTTTTATATCCTTTTTTGAGAATTGTCTATTCATGTTCTTAGCCCACTTTTTGATGGGATTTTTTTTTTCTTACTGATTTGTTTGAATTCGTTGTAGATTCTGGATATCAATCCTTTTTCATATGTATAGATTGTGAAGATTTTCTCCCACTCTGTGGGTTGTCTGTTTACTCTGCTGACTGTTCCCTTTGCTGTGCAAAAGCTCTTTAGTTTAATTAGGTCCCAGCTATTTATCTTTGTTTTCATTGCATTTGCTTTTGGCTTCTTGGTCATGAAATCCTTGTCTAAGCCAATGTCTAGAAGGGTTCTTCCGATGTTATCTGCTAGAATTTTTATAGTTTCAGGTCTTACGTTTAAGTCCTCAATCCATCTTGAGTTGATTTTTGTAAAAGGTGAGAAATGAGGATCCAGTTTCATTCTCCGACATATGGCTTGCCAATTATCCTAGCATCATTTGTTGAAAAGGGTGTTCTCTCCCCACTTTATGTTTTTGTTTGCTTTGTCGAAGATCAGTTGGTTATAAGTATTTGGGTTTATTTCTGTGTTCTCTATTCTGTTCCATTGGTCTATGTGCCTGTTTTTATACCACTACCATGCTGTTTTGGTGACTATGGCCTTATAGTATAGTTTGAAATCAGGTAGTGTGATGCCTCCAGGATTATGGCTGCCTCTGTTGAGTCATGCAGGTTGTCAGGGAAGTGGGGGAAGGCCGGCCGTGACAGGCTTCACCCAGCTCCCATGCAAACTGAAGGGCCAGTCTCACTCCCACCATACAAAGTTCGGCTACAGATTTCCTTCTCCCTGTGGAGTTATACCCCCTGCTCCACTGGCCACCCTCCCGTTGGATCCCTGTGGTGCCAGGTGGTAATGGCCTGCTAGGGGACGCAGCGAGCTCCCAGGACCTTTCTGCTGCTTCCTCTACCCTGTATTTCTCTCCCGTCTCTAAATTGGCTCAGCTCCAGGTAAGGTCGGAAACTTCTCCCGCAAAGAGACCTTCAGCTTCTTTAGTGGGGGTGTGTTTTCGGAGAAGAGGGTCTCCCTTTCCTACTTCCACAGTTGGGGCACTCACAGTATTTGGGGTGTCTCCCGGGTATTGCAGGAGCCAGTCTGCTTCCTTCAGAGGGTCTGTGGGTCCTCTCGGGATTACTGGTTTGTCCTTGCAGTCTATCTGGAGCTAAAATCCACAAAGCGAGCTTCCGCACGCTACTCTGTCCGGAGCTGCAATCTAGTCCTGCCTCCCGTCCGCCATGATGATCCCCTTCCCATTTGCCATTTTAAAGCCTTAGAGCCACGTCTCCCCATTGAGTTGAAATGCCCTGGTGAGGTAGTAGCCCTCACACACTTTTTGTTTGTTTGTTTGTTTGTTTGTTTTTGAAACGGAGTTTCGCTGTTGTTGCCCAGGCTGGAGTGCAGTGGCGTGATCTCGGCTCACTGCAACCTCCACCTTCCAGTTTCAAGCGATTCTCCTGCCTCAGCCTCCTGAGTAGCTGGGATTACAGGCGCCCGCCACCACGCCTGGCTAATTTTTTTGTGTTTTTATTAGAGACCGGGTTTCACCATGTTGCCCAGGCTGCTCTCGAACTCCTGACCTCGTGACCCACCGGCCTGGGCCTCCCAAAGTGCTCGGATTACAGGCGTGAGCCACCGCGCCTGGCCCCTCACACACTCTCATACGTCATTTGATGCAGTTTCTTCTCTGGCCTGAGAAAAGTGACCTTGCCTCAGTTAAATGCTGGTTGGATTGACCCTGATAAGACAGAGATGACCTTGTTGCTCACCTTGTTGAGGGAGAATATCAGCATGAAACACTTTGTCAGTGTCTCAGGCAGAGGTGAATTCATCAGGACTCCACTAGAGATGCAGTACCAGTAGGAGATGTATAGGAACTGACTGCAAGGAATTACCTCATGGGATTATGGGAGCTGGTTAGGAAAACCCTAAATCCACAGGGTGGGCTGGAACTCTGAGACACAGACTGAATCTGCTATCTACTGTCCACAGGTAGAATTTGTTCCTTCAAGGTACCCTCGGCTCTGTTTTATTGTTAGTGTTTTGTTTTGTTTTGAAGAGACAGGGTCTTGCTCTGTTGCCTAGGCTGGAGTGCAGTAGTGGGATCATAGATCACTGCAGCCTTAACTTTCTGGGCTCAAGCAATCATCCCACCTCAGCCTCCCAAGTAGCTGGGACCACAGGCATAAGCCACTATGCCCAGCTAAACAACTCTGTTTTTAAGGCCTTTCAATTTATTGAAACAAGCCCATTGAGATTATCTAGGATAATCTCTCTTACTTAAAGTCAAGTGATTATAGACTTTCATCACATATACAAAATACCTTACAGCAACATCTAGATTAGTATTCGCATAACTGGAAACTGTAGCCTAGTGAAGTTAACACATCAAAAAGGGCCACCCAGTACCACACCACCCCCAGCCCCGCCAAAAAAAAAAAAAAAAAAAAAAAGGAAAAGCTATCACAGAAAGTAAAGTCAGAATTTATTGAGAATTGGAAGTTTGGTTTAGTTGGGTCTTTCAAAGCATGCATGGGTCATGATACAACAGTTTGGATTGGTGGAAACTGCAGGCTTTGAGGCAAGGGATTCAAAGAACCTTAGGGTACAAACAGTTGATGTTTTTCATTTGAGTTTCTGGGTCTTTCAGAAAGTTCCTGTAATGAGCAGTCATGCCATCTGCCTAGGCAGGAGACTTCTGGAAGAATAAAGTTATGCCAGTAAAGACAGAGGAAGCATACAAAGTGCTGTTATTGCAGACATTGGAAGGTGTGCGTTCTCAGTAACCAGCTGAGTGTGGGGGTGAGGGAGATGGTTTCTATTCTCAGCCCAGAGGCTCTGGATTCCTTTCTCATGAAGCGGGCCACATGACCCTTGTTCCCAAAGCCTGAGCCTTGCATTTCTCCTTAGGAGAATATCTGTGGACAGATATGCCGGCCATATTGCCCAGCTGGCTCAAGAGAGAGATGACATGTTTGCTAACAGCAAATCAGAGCTGGAGTGCCACCCCTTACTCCTGCTCTTCCCTCTTCTTAAATGGTGGAAGATCAGTCTACCTTTCAAGAGTCCCGTCTTCCTTTTCTTCCTGCATCTCCAGCTCTAAGCGACCACATAGGACTTTTCTCTGTTCCATGAAGATGTCTTGTCCTTTCATGCCTCAGAGCTTTGAGATGTGCTGTTTCCTCTTCTCCCCTGGGAAATCCTGCCTATGCCCAGAGGGCCATCTTGAATGTCATCTCCTCTAAAAGCCTGTGCTGCACACCCTGTTCTTCCCCTCTCTCTGCATCACACCTATGTGCTGATGCAGTGCTGGTCACCCCCAGGTCTCTGCCATGGTACAGATGCAGTTATTATATGTCAGTTTCTGTCACTGACCAATTCCCAGCGGACAGGAATTAGTCCTGTTTAACTTTGTATCTGCCTTGGTGCCTCATCTGTGGCTGGCATACAGTAGTTTAGCTATTTATTCAACAGATAGTTTTTGAGTGCCGGCATGTGCCAGGTCATAGGTGTCCACTCTTCTGGATGGGAGTGATATAGACATAATAAACTATCTGCTCTCATGGAGGTGACATCCTAGGGGTGAGGAAGACAGCCAATGAACAAAAAAGATGCATAAGTAAAAGCACATAGACAGCACTTATTGATGCTCCGAGGGCTGCTCCCTCTGAAACAGACTGAGGACTGAATAGGATAAAAAAAGTGGGTGAGAGATTCCCTGCCTCCAATACAAAGCATGCTTGTGAGACAGAATTCCTCCTTAGACATGCCGGTCAACTTACAGAAGAGGTATGCATTTGCTAATATTTGTTATCCTGCTGGGTAGACGTTTCTGTCCTTGGTGTAACATAGATTGTACTATTATTTTTATTTATTATTTATGTATAGGGTCTAGCTAAAAACAAATAAGGGTCTAGCAGTGTGCTTTTTATGTGTTTTATTTTATTTTATTTTTTGAGACGGAGTCTCGCTCCGTCACCCAGGCTGGAGTGCAGTGGCGTAATCTCGGCTCACTGCAAGCTCCGCCTCCCGGGTTCACGCCATTCTCCTGCCTCAGCCTCCCGAGTAGCTGGGACTACAGGCGCCTGCCACCACGCCCGGCTAATTTTTTTTTGTATTTTTGGTAGAGATGGGGTTTCACCGTGTTAGCCAGGATGGTCTCGATCTCCTGACCTCGTGATCTGCCTGCCTGGGCCTCCCAAAGTGCTGGGATTACAGGCTTGAGCCACCGTGCCCGGCCTACGTGTTATTTTTGTGCTTAATAATAAACAGCGAACTCTCTCTCTCTTTCTCTCTCTTCCTATCTCATTTCTTTTTAGCATTTGCAATTTGCCAGGCTGTTTTAAGGACTTTAAATGGATTATCTCACTTGGTCCTCAGAACAACCTAGGAAATAGGCAGTATCCTCATTTTCCATGGGAGGAAGCCGGGGACATGAGAAAGCTGGGAACATGAGGACAGCCATGCCACTTGCACCAGGTTTTCCCGCTCGGAAGTGAAATGTGTGTCCAGTCTGGGTGGCCCCATCACTTTTAAGCTATGCACTATGCCTCCTGTGTGGGATTTATGAAATCAGAACAATGACAAGCCTCTTTCTTTCTTAATGAAGTTTACATCCCAAGTTAGGCCTTTCAGAGCCAAAGGTGTCATCAGCATATGGTGAAAAAGCTGTAATCCAGTTGACTTTCTGGATAGAATATAGTCTCAGAAACAGTGGTCTACCATTGCCTTTGTTTCTGAGTTTGCTCTGCCTTTCTGTCAGGACCTTAACATTTTTAATGCATATTTTAGTAGTTCTACATATCTCCTTTTCATTTAAAGTACAAGACACTGATTTAAAAGCATGGGGGAAGGAAGGGAGAGAAGATAAATGTAATTGTTGATTGAGAAGGCACAGGCAGAAGGTGCTGTTGTCTCTGGGACAGCAGTAATTGCTCTCATTCTTGAGCCAGTTGGAGTCTAGATGCAGTGCCTGCGTCCGTTTCCTCTTGTTCTTATTCACCTCTAACAGTGCATTGTTCTTCCCACTTTTGGGAAGAGAGTTTAGGTCTGAGGAATTAAGTAGCTTTTACTGAGTCCACTCAGCTGGTGAGAAGCAGAGCAGGAATTGAGCCCAGCTTTATCAGAGAATTTAATCATGCTTTGCTTTGAAACAAACAATCATCAAGACCCTTTCTTGAAAGCAATCTTGCTTGGGTTCCAAAAAAGAAGGAGTGAACCTTGAAGGAGTGCCTGAGGGAGCCTAGAGGCCAATGCGGAACTTTTCCAGCCCTCCTCCCACCCAGCACCCAGTACATCACCTTGGGTGTGGCAGGGAAGCCCTGGGACTCCGAGGAGCATTCCTTAGCAGTTAGGAATCCAGTCTTGATTATTTGCTGTCATGTATGTTGAGCGACTGATGAACTCTTCCTCTGAGGGTAAATGCAAGGCCTGGCTCTTACCTTTGTCAGGCAGACAGAGCACAGCATTTGTTGTCAGACTACCTGGGTTTGAGTCCTCTCATCCTCCTCCATGATGTTGGGCAAATAACTTATCCTCTCAGCAGCTTTGCTTTCTTATCTTTAACGTGGGCATAGAGTTATAATGTTGGTTACATAAGCATGAGAAACAAAAACTCCGAGCCCAGTTCCTTTCAATAAATGTTAGTTTATTGCTTTTGTTAGGAATGTCTCATTGCAGCTCCAAATTTCCATGATTATTAGAAAGATTATTTCTGGGCCAGGTGTGGTGGCTTATGCCTATAATCCCAACACTTTGGGAGGCTGAGATGGGCAGATCACAAGGTCAGGAGTTTGAGACCAGCCTGGCCAATATGGTGAAACCTCGCCTCTACTAAAAATACAAAAATTAGCCGGGCTTGGTGACAGGCTCCTGTAATCCCAGCTACTCGGAAGGCTGAGGCAGGAGAATCGCTTGAACCTGGGAGGTGGAGGTTACAGTGAGCCCAGATCGTGCCACTGCACTCCAGCCTAGGTGACAGAACGAGACTCCTTCTGGGAAAAAAAAAATTGTTTCTAAACCCTCCTGGCCGCTTCATACCCTTGGGGCCTTCTTCCCTTCCTGTTTGGAAAATTTGGGAAGAATAAACTAGACCTCTTTCCTCTTGGGAAGGGACCTGCCTTAAGTCTTACATGAACAGGTGTGCCTGGCCCAAGGGTTCAGTCAGCACGTCTGCTGGCTCACTCTGAGCGTTGTTCTCCATAATCACTAATATAAAGGATTTTTAGTTCTCCATCTTATTTTCTCAAGTTGTTTAGAGCTTGAGCAAAGAAAGGGTATGTTATGTATTTGGCTTCCTTAGAACTCTGTTGTTAGTATTTGCCATCTTCCTTTCATTTCTCACAGAGTCATAGAATTTTAGAGTTGAAAAGAGATTTTAAAAATGACTTGAATTCATTTCCCCAGCTCCTATCTCAGCCTGCCTGCCAAGAGGCATTCAGTACCATGTTTGCATGCTTCTAGTAACAATGAGCTAGCTCTCTCCGGAGGTGACCCAGTGCATCAGGGGATGCTCTACACTGGGCTGAATTGCACACATAGGGCCTGGATCTGGTGGTGTTGGGTTTTCGGGCCTGCCTGCACTTGGTGTGAAATGTTCAGATCTGCTTTTCTTTGGGAAGAAATACTGGCCTGAAGGCTGCCCCTTTTTGGGTGGTTCTTTTAGAAAATTCATTGTCCAAAAAATCGTCAGAATTGGCTGAGGAAGCAAGCAATCTTATATGTCTTTGGCATTTCATCAAGAAATTTCCCACCACCTCAGTGTGTCTGCTGAGTCCTGAGCAAACTCCAGCTTGTGGCTCGTCTTAAATTATGCAGGGTAGTGATCCTGAAGGCAGATTTATTAACCCCCAACTTCAGCATACCAGGTAGGGCATGCGACCACGGTGAGTCCTGGAAGGCCTCCTCCTGGAAATTGGGTGTGGTGTGTACTCTGCTGGAAGAAAATAAAACCACCAATGAAATTCTATCTTCAATGTCAAAGATGCTGTATTAGTCTGTTCTTACACTGCTATAAACAACTACCTGAGACTAGGTAATTTATAAAGAAAAGAGGGTTTAATTGACTCACAGTTCCGCATGGCTGGAGAGGCCTCAAAAAACTTAACAATCATGGCAGAAAGGTAAGCAGGCATGTCTTACATGGCAGCAGGTGAGAGAGGGTGTGAAAGAAGCAAAGGGGAAAGAGCCCCTTATAAAACCATCAGATCTCGTGAGAACTCACTCACTCTCACGAGAATGGCATGGGGGAAACTGCCCCTATTATCCAGTTGCCTTCCCCAAGGTCCCTCTGTTAACACATGGGGATTACAATTGAAGATGAGAGTTTGGTGGGGACACAAAGCCAAACCACACCAGATGCTAAGTGATAGCTTCATAACACTTACTTCAAATATACTTGCCAAATGGAGGCAGACTGATTGGAGAGCTGCTTATTTATGCTGTTTGTGCTTAACTTCAAGGCAACATGCAAAAGGAATCAGCAAATGTTAAGAAACCAAACTCCTTAATAACCCTTTTAAAGAAACAGCTTTACTGAGACAGACGTCACAATGATTCACCTTTTAAAGGTGTCCAATTTGGGGGTATTTAGTGCATTCACAATGTTGTGCAGCCATCACCAATCTAGTTCCAAAACATTTACATCACCCCAAAAGAAAACACTGGACCCATGGAGCAGTCATTCCCATTCCCTCCCTCCCCCAGCCTTAGGCAACCATTTATCCTAATGGCTGATTCTATTTATTTGCCTATCCTGGACATTTCATGCAAATGCAGTCATATAACATGAAGCCTTTGTGTCTGGCATCTTTCACTTAGTGTAATGTTTTCAAGGTTCATCCATGTTATAGCATGTATTGGTACTTAATTCCTTTTTTTTTTTTTTTCCTTTAAGACGGAGTTTCACTCTTGTTGCCTAGGCTGGAATGTAGTGGTGCTATCTCAGCTCACTGCAACCTCTGCCTCCTGGATTCAAGCAATTCTCCTGTCTCAGCCTTCTGAGTAGCTGGGATTACAGGCGCCTGCCACTATGCCTGGCTAATTTTTTCTTTTTGTATTTTTATTAGAGACGGGGTTTCGCCATACTGGCCAAGCTGGTCTCAAACTCCTGACCTCAGGTGATCCACCTGCTTCGGCCTTCCAAAGTGCTGGGATTACAGGTGTGAGCCACCACGCCTGGCCCTTCATTCCTTTTTTATGACTTACTAATTTTCTGTGGAACGGATAGACCACATTTTGCTTATCCATTTATCAAGTAATGGACATATGTATTGTTTCTACGTTTTGGCTATTATAGATAATGTTTCTGTGAACATTAGTGCACAAATTTTTGTGTGGACATATGCTTTCACTTCCCTTGAGTAAATATGTAGGAGTGCAATCGTAGGAGTCAGGAATTGTAGAAATGTAGGAGTCAGGTCATATGCCCTTAATAACCTTTTAAAATTACTTTTTTTGTTTGCTATACTTGGGACCCATATTCCTTTTCTTTGGGTTTGTATTCACTTCCTTTGTACTGAATATTGTCAGATAGAAAGTTAACAGCCTTTATAGAAATAATTAAAAATTATTCAAGTGAGAATAAACTGAATGCCTGTTATATCTGCTAGATTATATTTGCCTTTGTTCTCTTCTTTACCAAGCTTCTACTTGAAAATTTACAAAGATTTTTTCTTCTTTTCCAGAACCGCAATGAGATAAAAAATGGCACTATCCTTCGATTAACCACATCTCCAGTAAGTTGATCTTAGCTTCTGACTTCCAGCAAACTCTTTGCTCTGCGTTTCTGCTATATGTGATTGTGGGATATTAATTTTTGAGGTTGACTTTAGTGCAAAGCAAAAGGCTTCCAGAATGTCCTGACATGCAGATTCTGGATTAGCAGGAATGCCCCTCCGTAGATTTCCCACTGCAGAGGAGGAAGACCTTATTCCAGGCGAAGGGCAAGCTTGTCTAACCTGCGGCCCAGGATAGCTTTGAATTCACAAATTCGTAAACTTTCTCAAAACATTATGAGTTGTTCTGTATTTTATTTAGTTCATCAGCTATCGTTAGCGTATTTTATGTGTGGCCCAAGACATTCTTCTTCTTCCTGTGGCCCAGGGAAGCCAAAAGATTGGACACTTCTGCTTTAAGATTTGAGTTTGGAGGTCATCTTAACAACTTCTGTGTTACAGCTGGGATCACTCACCTGTACCAATTGGTTTTACCCACCTACTCACACATCCACCTAATGCCATCTGAGCAAATTCAGACAACAAACAAAGCAAACAAAACCAAAGTCAGTTACTTTCCTTTAAAGTCGGTTACTTTCCTTTAAAGTCAGTGTGGCTGGGCGCGGTGGCTCATGCCTGTAATCCCAGCACTTTGGGAGGCCGAGGCAGGTGGATCAGGAGGTCAGGAGATCAAGACCATCTTGGCTAACACAGTGAAACCCTGTCTCTACTAAAAATACAAAAAATTAGCCGGGCGTGGTGGTGGACGCCTGTAGTCCCAGCTACTCGGGAGGCTAAGGCAGGAGAATGGCGTGAAACCTAATAGGTGGAGCTTGCAGTGAGCAGAGGTAGTGCCACTGCACTCCAGCCTGGGTGAGAGAGTGAGACTCCATCTCAAAAAAAAAAAGAAAAAAAAGAAAAAGTCAGTGTGTGTGTGTGTGTGTGTGTCTGTGTGTGTGTGTGTGTGTGTGAGAGAGAGAGAGAGTTTAAGTATTTTGTAGCTTTAATGGGTTATTATGACAATTCATAAAAATAATTTAGAAATATTGACCACTTCACTGATCCATTGACAGCTGATTCTACATAAGAACTTTAGAGTCTTCTGAATTAAAGCTGCTAAACAAGACGCTACAGTATATTTAGACTATTGTAGCTGATGATGTCTCTCTTCTTGGTCTTTCCTACTTGCTTGGAGATACTTTAGGTAGTAACATTAGCATATTTAACTATATTATTTTACAGTGCATTTCATTGCTTTCCTAAAAAATTATCTGCCCCAAATACACCAAGTGTTACTATTTTCACTCTGCATATGTGATGAAAACTGTGTCTAACTATCATTTTCAGTTTCCACTGAAGCCATGTGGTAGACTAAAAATAAATTTAAAAATTGGGAAAAGCATCTGGCTAAAATTAAGCTGTGGGTACTGTAACTACCATAAATCCTTATTGTTGAAAATTACATTAGTGTGGCTTAGAAACTCCTAAACATTTTGCCCAATAACATCCTGAACCTAAAAACAGTGATGAGCTCAATGGAGTGAGTTGCTACAGTTGGCTGAACTGTCTTTGATGCCTGCTTTGCTACTTAATGGAGATTATAATCTACTCATTTTTCAGTGGCTACATGATGAGCTGAGGCGTTTTCGTCTGACTTTGCATTGGTCTTCTTACTCAAGTCAGCATGAATGAATGTTAATTTGACCTTTACACCATTGTTTTATGTGTTTTTTGTAGTTTCTGATTATCCTGCTAAAAGTCATCATCTGCTTGCTGGACAGAAAAAGTAGACCTTGCCTTTTATTTCATTTTAGAGTCTAAAAGACAGCTTTTTAATCAAAGCCTTCTCTAAGCCAAAGAAGGAGTTAGTTTCATTTTTTTACTGCTGTGGATTTATGAACAAAAATTCCGCAATCTAAGTCACTCCTTGAGAGAAGGCTTAGATGTTAGGCAGAGTGAAGTTTTTCAGCATCCCAAAAGAAACTTAGCGTGACTTGTCATCAGGAAGAATGGAATTTGTGTTCTTGAGATAATGATCCTCACATTCCCAGCTCAGTGAATGGAAAGATGTGAAAGCCAGTGTAAGAGGCACTATTAAAAGATGGGAGCAGCCGGGTGCAGTGGCTCACGCCTGTAATCCCAGCACTTTGGGAGGCCGAGGCAGGCGGATCACCAGGTCAGGAGATCAAGACCATCCTGGCTAACACGGTGTAAACCCCGTCTCTACTAAAAATACAAAAAAAATTAGCCAGGCGTGGTGGCAGGCGCCTGTAGTCCCAGCTACTCGGGAGGCTGACGCAGGAGAATGGCGTGAACCCAGGAGGTGGAGCTTACAGTGAGCAGAGATGACGCCACTGCACTCCAGCCTGGGCAACAGAGTGAGACTATGTCTCTGTCTCAAAAAAAAAAAAAAAAAAAAAAAGATAGGAGCCCAGCTACAAAAGACTGGCTTACATTTTCCAAAAAGCAGTGATCCCCAAACCTGGATCAGCTGTGGAAGTTTGAAAATGCTGATGTCTGGGGCCTTAATAGAGAGGCTGGATTACAATATTTGGGAATAGGCCCCAGGAATCTGCATTTTAAGCAATCACCTTGTGGTTTGGCTGTAGCCACAGGGTCTAGAATTGAGAAGTTACTCTATAAGCCAGAAATTTGGGATCTGTGAACTTTAAATAGGTTATTTTTTATAGTTTTGCATGTAGCTGAAAAATATACTTGCATATGCTTGTTCATTTTTACATACACAATAAAAATATGTTAAAAACAACAACACCTATTAGAGTACCATAAAGAAGCCAGCAGATGGTGTTATACTAGCTTTCGAAGTTCCTTCGTCTGCCTCAGCTGAACTCTCCCTGAAGCCAAATAAGGACATCTCAACATCCACATGGGCACACACACGCCTGCGCGTGCACACACACACACTGCTGTTTTTATGTAACGTGTAGCTATGCTGAGTTTTACCTCCACTCTGTCAAAGGTGGTCTTTTTGTTGATTGATGAATTTGTTTTCTGTCTCCCTTTATCACAGAACAGTCCCTTCTGGATTGATCCTAGAGAAATGGTCACTAATACTAGAAGATCTAAACAAACAACCTGCACTGTTTAATTCATTTGTAATAGGCCTTGTACATGGCTGCTGCTTCTCCACTGCATGGTACATCTTTAGACAGTCTCTCTAGTGGCCGTGTTAAACAAGCGTATCTTTCTAGTGTGGTATCTTTATCTATCTCCTGCTACCATAAAAAATATAGGCTGGGTGTGGTGGCTCACACCTGTAAACCCAGCACTTTGGGAGGCCAAGGCGGGTAGATCACGAGGTCAGGAGTTCAAGACCAGCCTGGCCAAGATGACAAAAACCCCATCACTACTAAAAATACAAAAATTAGCCGAGAATGGTGGTGGGCACCTGTAATCCCAGCTTCTCGGCAGGCTGAGGCAGAGAATTGCTTGAACCCAGGAGGCGGAGGTTACAGTGAGCTGAGATCATGCCACTGCACTCCAGCCTGGGCGACAGAGCGAGAGCCTGTCTCACAAAAAAATATAGCCAGGAACACACCCAGAGAATGTGTGCAAATGTGTGTGACCTTTGGAGCAGTCAGGATTTGGGGAGCTTCTATATGCAGAGCTGAGTAGTGTCTTGTAGTGTCTCCTACCTGCCATGATCATAATAGCTGTGGGCATAGAGTCTGAGGTCCTCTGTTGCATGCAGCATATTTTAAAATCAGCTTTGGCTATTGTTCGTATCAGAAACAGCTTGGCTTGCCAGACCATTGTTACTTTTCTGAAATTTTTGTTTTAAGAAGTGCTTATGGTGACTATATTTGTAGTCTTGAAGTAGAGAGAAACTTCTAAGTAGAACACAAAATGCAGAAACCATAAAGAAAAAGATCAATAAATTTGACTACCAAAAAATTAAAACAACCCCACAAAAACTTTGTGTTTGGAAAGAATTCCAGAAACAAAGTCAAAAACAACATTGGAAAAAATAATTGACAGCTGCATAATGGAGGTCCGGTTCATTCATTTGCAAGATTTTTTATGAGTGGATCAAGAAACCGTCCCAAAAGACAGGCTGCCAAAAGCTATGAACAAGGGAAAAATAAACAAAATAATGTCTGTGCATGTATGTGTGTATGTATCTATCTGAGAAGAAGTTCAATCTCTCTTAGAGATGAAAATCTACAGTCCTAGATAATCTAAGTGTGAGGAAAAGATGCTGTGGGGTCAGGATTTTGAAAATTTGAAGTAGAATCTATTTGTATGCCCTCTTCGGGGGCAATCTAGTGGTATTCACCTAAGTTTAAAATACATATACCTTTGTCTTAACAGTACTGCTGCTGGGAATTTATATAATAAATAGACTCACAAAAGCACTGCAGGATGAACACACACACACACGCGTGCGCGCGCCCAAGCATGGCTATATGCATCATTGTTTTTAGTGATCAAAAACTAGGAACCTGTTATGTATCTATCAGTTGGACTAGGTAAGTGCAGTAGGTAATTTTTATGTTGTAGAATACTGTGCAGTTGTTAGTAAGAATGTGATACGTGCTGCCGAGGAGGTATCCCTAAAGTATGCCATTAACACAAAAGCAGGTTGCAGAACATCCTGTATAGAGGGATGCCTGTTATGTATGTGGAAGGGAAGTGTATGTATATTCAGATAAAAGGATAAAATGTTTCTCAAGGGATACCCACAAGAAACTGTTACCTTTGGGCTAACTTTATTTTTTTATTTGGTAACTTCCAGTAGTACTCGTGTGTGTGTGTGTGTGTGTGTGTGTGTGTGTGTGTGTGTGTGTGTGTGTATATATACATATTTTTTTTTTTTTTTTAGATGGAGTCTTGCTCTGTCGCCCAGGCTGGAGTATAGTGGCACAATTTCAGCTCACTAAAATCTCCGCCTCCTGGGTTCAAGTGATTCTCCTGCCTCAGCCTCCCGAGTAGCTGGGACTACAGGCGTACGCCATCATGCCCGGCTAATTTTTGTATTTTTAGTAGAGATGGGGTTTCCCCATGTTGGCAAGGCTGGTCTCGAATTCTTGACCTCAAGTTATCTGCTCGCCTCAACCTCCCAAAGTGCTGGGATTACAGGTGTGAGCCACCATGCCTGGCTGTACTCATGTATTTCTACCTATCTCATGTGCTGGTATTATTTTTAATTAAAGAAATACACAAATATATATTACAAAGCCATTATAGTACAAAAGAGGTGAATCATAATGCCCTATGCTAAAAACATGTCAAGATTGCAAACTATGAGATTTTTTTGTGAACCCTATTATAAGCGAACTGAATTATTGACCATTATGCCTTCTTTTGGCCTGTGTGGATGTATTATAGAAAGCAGAACTGCTCATCAAGTCCCTACTGTTGCTTTGTCAGCTGTAAGCATAATCCTTGCTTTCTACTCTTTCTGGTTTAGGGAGCCGGTATCAGCATTATTTAGGTCAGAGGGCCTGTCATCATGATTTTTGGGTCTTATTCCCTCTGGCAATAAGAAAAATAGTATTATCTCAGTCATTGTGTGGATTCAGGTTATCGGAGATTCTTAACAATAAGCCCATTAATTTTTTTTTTTAATTCCATTTTTCAATTCAGGTTTTCAATTTTTCTCTCCTGGTTTGAGAAACTAATAAAGGGTTGTAACATGCCTTAAATTCTATTTATTGGCATCACTCTCAGCGGCCTAGCTTATGGGAGAAGAAGCCAGTGGAGGCTGGCAGGCAGAGGCGACACAGGATCCCCAGGCTGCTGCCCAAGGACAGATTGCAGGGGCGGCCAGGGCACCGGGTCAGAGTTTCTTGCAGGTTCAGGAGATGCAGGGGGCTTGGGCTACCTGCCTTGTAGGGAATTGGAGAGTTGGAAGGAGTGTCGTGGAGGGCAAGCCCCAGAACTTCAGCATGTGGTGCTCTTTGAGGAAGGATGTCCTGTTCCTCCCGGTGCTCTGGCAAAATTAACTGCGTGCTGTTAACTAGGAAGCCTGGACAGATGCAGGTGTGCCAGCCACCCCCATGGAAATGGCATTTAAAGCTGTGGGCTGGAAGAGGTCACCATGGGGAAAGTAGAGGAGAGGGCTCAGCACAGACCCCTGGGGACACTCTTAAGGTTTAGAGGAGGAGCCTAGCAAGAAGCCAGGTGAGCAAAGTGTTTCAAGGAGGAGGGAGTAGTACTTAGGTGTGTTGGAGGCTGTCCAGGTAATAAAGATGATGCGATGAGGGTGGTCCCTGGGCTGCCACCTGGAGGTATTAATAGCATGGTGGAGACACTCTCCATGCAGGGCTGGACAGGGACGCCTCATGAGAGCGGGGAGAATAGGAGGTAGAACGGAGGCAACACTTTCGAGCTACTCTCTCTTCCAAAACTTTTGCTGAAAATGCAAGCAGAGAAATGAGGAAGTAGCTGTAGGGAAACTGGGTCAATGGATGTTTTTACCTTTCTGTTTATTTTTTTTAAAGATGGGAGATATTAGAGATTTTTGCAGCTGGAAATGTTCTACTACAGAGAGAGAATTGATGATACAGAAGAAAGGGAGATAAATTTGAAGTAAAATACTTGAGAAGGCCAGGGGAGAGGAGATCCAGAGCTGAGGGGAAGAGCTGACTTCTGATAGGAAACAGGGTCCCCGCCACACAGCATCTATCAGGAGGAAGCAGAGCTTGAGGGTAGAGATGCCAGCAGCTGGTGCTGTTAGAAGTAGGAAGATGAAGGAACTCCTGGCTGATTGCTTTGATTTCCTCAATTAAATGATCACCAGTGGAGGGGAGGCAGCAGAAAGGCATAGAGGGGGTTTAAGGAGAGTAGAAAAGGTATGGAGGAGTCATTCTGAAGGGACACAGCAAACATTCCAGGAAAATATTGGATTGCTGGGCAACATTGAGCGTACATTTGAAGATATCTATTAAACTGTTGAAACTAAGGATGTTTTTAGACTACTTTTTAATTGGCATCATGGATCCAGAGTTATGCTAGAAGTTTCTTGGGGATGATTTTAACTTGTATCTTCAAGAGAGAGAAATGTTAAATGCTTGACACACACACACTACCAGTACCCTTTCCTGTGCCCACGGCTAATCCTTTATGAGCTGTTTCCTCCCTTGGAGTCTGGAGTCTGGGTCCAGAACCCTTTCCTATCTGGGACATGAGGTAGCCACATCAAGCTGTTTCAATGGCCCAAAGTAAAACTTTTTTCTATCCTTAGAGCAATACCAGAAAATATAACTTGCTGTCTGATACAGAGACCTACATGACTATTAGATTCTTTTCATGTGTGCTGGTTGCTTGAAAAATCAGAACCAAGGCTATCTTATTTTTTTAATAATGTTGACTCTTTCCTCCCAAATATAAAAATGGTGCAAATTCATTATGGAAAATGCAAAAAATAAGGCTTCCTGCAAAGAAAATTGTTTAGAATATTACAATTCATAAATAACCACAGGTCACATCTACTTGCCTTCTTTGACCATTTGTATGCAAATGTGTGAATACATATGTGTGCATACATGAATGTATATATATTCATTTATAGGTTCATATATATATTCATTTATGCATTCATATATATATGTGTATTCATTTGTACATTCATTTAGTGAAATGTGTTTTGAACTCATGGTAAATGCCAGACACACTTCTGTGTGCTGGGTGACATTACATTCTGGCAGATACACACACTCCACTGCGCATATTCCCACCTCCCATAAACAATAAAATATGTTTGCGTCTTGGCTGTTTCTCTTAATATTGCCTCGTGAGGATGTTCTCACACTATTTTACATTCTCTAAAAGTTCCATATGTAGTTCTATATGATATTTCATCCTATGACTATGTCATGACTATTTCACCATTGTCCTATTGGTAAACACGATGGTTGCTCAATGTTTGGCTATGAATGCTGTTTTAAGGGCTCCAAATGTACCACACATCCATCTCCGATATTTACATGCATCCATTCAGGGAAGCACATCACCACCAGGGACTCCTTCAGCTCTGCATGCTCATGAACACCCTAGGCTACCTTGTCTACTGCTTCCACATCCTCACTTCCCTCCACACCCCCTGGCCTGCAGACCCCAGACACATCAGTCCTCTCCTTTCTCTCCCTCCAGACAGGCCAGGCTTGTTCCACCTGAATCAGGGCTTTGGCACTAACCATTGATGCTGCCCAGAATATTCCACTCCCCAATGTGGTGGGGTCCTTCTTGTCAGTCAGATCTCTCCTTGAATGTCACTTCCTTAGGTTGCTTGTCCCTGAAAACCACTCCATCTAAAGAAGCCATCAGTCACTCTCTAACACAAACCCTCCACTTTAGGTTTTGCTATGAAACATCAATATTTGATTTTTTATTGCTAATTTTAAAAGTTGTCCACCTGCCACACCAAGGTGGGTGAGCCCCAGGAGGTTGAGAACCGTAGCTGTCTTATTTGTTGCTGTATCCCAAATGTGCGGAACAAATGTCAAGCTTTTCAGAAGTATTTGTTGAATCAGTGAATGAGGATGCTGAGGATTTTGAAGGAACATTCCTTTCCACTGGATAACTGGAAAGACTTGTCTGAGAATACATATATTTATATATATAAAATATATAAAATTATATAAAGAGTGATCTGCAATAACTGATATCTGAGAACAAAATTTCCTTACAAAACTCCAATCTTTTCAGAATAAAAACTTTGATTCCCACTTTTTTTATATAATAAATGTTGTATTTCCAGATTATTTAGAAATTAGAGAAGATAAAAAGAAGGTATATCCCTGCCTGTTCTGGATCCAATTGGAAAAATATTGCATTAAAAGGGTCCCACCAGTTTGACATAATATTTTGATTGGAGGTCACTTCTGGGACTCACCTCTGTGGAGCACCTTTTCCTGGCGGACTCCATGATGAGGGTTACTGCCCAGCTGAGATGCACTCTGTCACACTGTGGGTGGAAGGGAACCTTAAACATGATCTCATCACAGTTCCTTGGTGTACCTACTGATGGGGAAAATGAGGCCAAGAGAGGTGAAGAGAGAAGTTCACTGCAGCCCTGGAGGTAGCCAATGGCAGAGATGTAAGTAGCCCTGCCTTGGACTCCTGGGTCATGGAGGTTTCCATCATGGTCCCCTCGCCACCTGGCTTGCCACAGTCCTCCCCTCCTCTTTAGTGATGTGTCTCCTCCAGTTGTTCACCTATGTCCTAGGATGAAGAGGGAAATTTACCCTAAAGCAAACACTGTGGGAACTGCACTTTTTAAAGAAAAGTTGTCTCCTTAGATACGGGTACCAAGGGAAGGAGCAAGGCCTGTGGGGATAGTTAAGAACAGCCTCATGCCAACAGAACACATCATTCTCAGGCGCTGGGGTGAGTGAAGGAGAGGGGTGAATAGTTCTGTAGGAACTTTCCAGGCCATTGAGTCTATGAGCTTTTTTGTAGTTTGACAATTTGGAGAAGGCTTTACTGCTATTACTGGGAGTGACTCCTTGGCTAAGATCCCAGCAAGTTAGGATATTGCTTTGCTATTCTTACATGTGACCATCTTGGTAAAATATTTTCAATTTCTATAGCAGCAACCCATGAGCAGTTGTGGGATTTGGGAGGACTCCACAGTCTTGATTCCTCTGCTTGGGACATTTGTCCTTTTCAGGTTTCTGTTGTTTCTCTCCTCACTTCTTTTATTTTAAAATTTATTTATTTACTTTTAAGTAGGTAAGTATGAAGGCATGTAAATGAATTAGGAAGAATAGATATAATAAAGTATATATTAATAAGAGTAGGTATAATAAATTCCATCTACTTAGCTTCCACATTATTGACTTTTTCTTTGTTTTCTTAGCAAAGGTTCTTCCTTAAAGGTGCACAGCTTTTAAAAGGGCAAGCACATTTTCTTTAGGTACTGTAAACCAGGAGGGCCTCCTTGTGTTACAGCTGGGGAAGATCAGGTGGTAGTTGAAAAACACAATCAGCTGGGCGTGGTGGCTCACGCCTGTAATCCCAGCACTTTGGGAGGCCGAGGCAGGCTGATCACCTGAGGTCAGGAATTCAAGACCAGCCTGGCCAACATGGTGAAACCCTGTGTCTACTAAAAATTGAAAAATTAGCCAGGCATGGTGCAAGAACTTGTAATTCCAGCTACTTGGGACGCTGAGACAGGAGAATCGCTTGAATCTGGGAGGCGGAGGTTGCAGTGAGTCGAGATTGTGCCACTGCACTCCAGCCTGGGTGACAGAGCAAGACTCCCTAAAAAAAAAAGAAAGAAAGAAAAACACAATCAGAGCTGCTCATTCTATCATCACGGAGAGATGCAGCATCCTGAGTGATTTAGAGTGGTGGTCCTCAGCGTGTGATTCCCAGGCCAGCAGCAGCAACACTTAGGGGCTTGTTAAACACAAAACTTTTGGGACCCCACCCCAGACCTTTAGAACCAGAAACTCTAGGGGTGGCCCTTGGTCTGTGTATTAAGAAGTCATCCAGGTGATTCTTACACAGGCAACAATTTGAGATCCACTGTTTACAATGTGTTTTCTGGAGTCCAGCTGCCCAGTTTCTATTTTAGCCTCAGCACTGATAAGCTGTGTGACCTTGGGCAAGTTACCTAACTTCCCTGAACTTCAATTTCCTTTGTCAAATAAAGCCTATGATAGGACCTACCTGTTGGGACTATTGTGGAGATTAAATGAATTACTTTATGAGGTATTTAGAATAGTGGCTTATAAAAAGTGCTAGGAAACTTGGCTATTTTTTATATTGGTATCAACTGCATCAAACACTATTAGCATTAATAATGACAATGAAATAATTTTTGGGTACTCATTATTGTCATAACCTATATAGTAAATGCAAACATCCTTCTTGGAGAAAAAATACACTTTTCAAGGAATTTGAAATGATTTGCTTGGGTTAACTATTAAATGTTCATGTGAATGCTGTATATCCATTTGAAAATTTTGGAAAGTACTATATCCCTGAACAATTTTAAGAGATAAATAATTCTCACCCAGCTCTCCACTCTCCCTTTTAATATTTGAGTGATGTGTGGGTTATCTGTAGATCAGTGAATAGATAAGTAGGGAGGGCTCTCGTTTTCCTCCCTGCTCTTTTCCTTCTTTTCTAATTTCTGATGCAACGTGTCTGTTTTTGGTTTTAATTAAATGGGAGACCTGCCACATCTGTGACCAAGTGATCGGGGCATGGGTTCTATCCCTGTCTCGGGTCCTAAAGAATTGCATCAGTTCCCCTGTTGAATCCTTTTCTCTTCTTGAGGGCTGCTTCCAGGTGACAGTGGAGGGAGAACTGGGCAGGGAGGGAGGGCTCTGTGGCTGTGGACCTGCTGGGGTGGAGTCTTTCTGCTCTTAGGACCTGCATGGATTCCCTCCCCTATTCCAGGCAGAGTCTGTGGCCAGCACTGGTTTTGCCTTCGATACCTAGGTGGTTCTCCTGCCTCCACTCTGCAACCTTAACCCTGTGATAGTTCACAGGGGGTTCCTGAGAGAGTTGTAACCAGTTGTCTGTTGAGGAGAGATACCTCATTAATGGGGTCGACACCCTATCTTCTCCCTCTCTAAAATATAACACGGTTTCAAAAGAGAAAGCAAGTACCCGAGAAGGAGAATATGATGATAGCAGAGTGCTTCAACCACAGTGATTTTGAGTTAACTTGGTTATCTGTATTAAGCAAAAACACAGGCAGAACATTTTATTCCTTTGTTTTTCTTACTGCCTGCCTCAAGTGAAAGGTAGATATGAAAACCTTGACTTGATGAATAAAACATCTGGACTACAAATTATTACCCAGAAGTTCAGCTTCTCTAATATATTTCGATTCCTCTCTGTCCTGCATGTAGAAGCCAAGTGCAAATGCCTTAAAAGTAATTCTAGGCATAGCTGTTAATTTGGTTTCCTAATTATTTAGTTTTACATTCACACAAGTAGCCAATGCATGTGAAACAACATGTTGTTGAAAATTGAAATTTACAAGCATCGTTGTGGAGTGCTGGAAGATTTGCAGTAACCTAGAAAGATCATTTGGGTGGCTAATGAAGCTCCCGAACATGTGTAGGCAGTTATTACTCAGAGTATTGACTGAACGGGTGAGCGTGCTGTATAAATTTGTGTAATTGCTTAACTAAGCAAATAGCTTTCAGTTGCTTTTACATAATAATTTTACTTAAAGGGTAAATACTTCCCCTTTCCTCCCTCCTTTCTGCCGCATCCTGTTCAGTTTCTAGGGCTTTAATATTCTTGTACTCTTGCTCTTGCTTTTCCTCGAAATGGAAATCCAACTCCTTTGAGAAGAATGCAACTGCTTCCTGTTGTGACATGAGCAGACCTCGCTCTGAAGGTGGAGTGTTTGGGTTGGAAGCCTTGAAGCCTGTCGTTGAGATGCCCACTCTGTAATATGCAGATAGTCTTGCGCTTTTGGCTTTTGTATCTCTGTTCCTCATTGAAACATAAATCTGTTTTGCTGTTGTGGTTTCGTTTGTCAACACTCTTCCCTTTGCTTTTGCCCCATAAGGCTCAGAACGCCCAGCAGCTCCATGAACGAATCCAGTCCTCGAGTATGGATGCCAAGCTGGAAGCCCTGAAGGACTTGGCCAGCCTCTCCCGGGATGTCACGTTTGCCCAGGAGTTTATAAACCTGGACGGTATCTCTCTCCTCACGCAGATGGTGGAGAGCGGCACTGAGTAAGCGTCTTTTTTCCTAACTTCCACAGCTGTCCTGCGTGTCTCCGCGTTTTGAATATTGTTACATGCCTTACACTTGCAAACTCTGTTTTAAAGACCAGAGCCTTGGTTAGACTCAGGAAAAAAATAGTTTTTAAGATAGTGGCGAGGCAGTGGGTTTGTAATTTCAAGAGTTCTCCATCCTTTGCCCACCACCATCTAGTATCTGAGACAAAATAGAAATCCATCAAGTGCTAGAAATTTCAGGTTTATGTGGGAAAATATCATGCCATTATCTCAGAGGGCCTTGGCAACAATGAAAGTATAACTCGACAAAACAATAGTCCCTCATATTCGTTGCCTATCCCTAAGAAAAATTTTCCCTCCCTTAATCCATTAAAAAATTAGATTACCTAATTATGTTTCTTTTTTCATTGACAGCTCAAGCTAGTTCAAGTTATGTTTCAAAGTATAAAACCAGGTCAAGATATAATCCCTGAAGTAATTTTAAAACTTAACACTTGAATGATTAAATACTTGTCATTAATTACTTGAAATTAAATGCAGTCAACATGTATTAACTACCTACTCAGTGCATGCAAAAGAGTTGAACAAAGGAAAATTTTTTCTTACGAGCTTGCCTTCCAGAAATTGATGGAGACTATCATATGGGCAGAATTCTATTGCGTGTAATTCCTCCTGAGAGCCAGGAATCTAGAGGGCGGACCCATTATCTCTCTCTCTCTCTCTTATTTTTTTTTATTTGAGATGGAGTCTTTGTTGCTTAGGCTGGAGTGCAGTGGTGCAATCGCTGTTCACTGCAACCTCCACCTCCTGGGTTCAAGTGATCCTCCCACCTCAGCCTCCTGAGTAGCTGGGATTTCAGGCATGTGCCACCACACCCAGCTAGTTTTTTTTTTGTTTTTTGTTTTTGGTAGATGGAGTCTCACTCTGTCGCCAGGCTGGAGTGTAGTGGGACGATCTCGGTTCACTGCAAGCTCTGCCTCCTGGGTTCAAGCAATTCTCCTTCCTCAGGCTCCCGAGTAGCTAGGACTACAAGCGTATGCCACCACACCTAGCTAATTTTTGTATTTTTAGTAGAGATGGGGTTTCACCATGTCAGCCAGGATGGTCTCGATCTCTTGACCTCGTGATCTGCCTGCCTTGGCCTCCCAAGGTGTTGGGATTACAGGCGTGAGTCACCACGCCCGGCCTAATTTTTGTATTTTTAGTAGAGATGGGGTTTTACCACGTTGGCCAGGCTGGTCTCGAACTCCTAACCTCAAATGATCTGCCTGCCTCTGCCTCCCAAAGTGCTGGGACTACAGGCGTGTGACACCACATGCAGCTAATTTTTGTGTTTTTAGTAGAGACAGGGTTTCACCATGTCAGCCAGATGGTCTCGATCTCTTGACCTCGTGATCCGCCCACCTCGGTCTCCCAAGATATTGGGATTACAGGTGTGAGCCACCGTGTCCAGCCTGATTTTTGTATTTTTAGTAGAGATGGGGTTTCACCACGTTGGCCAGGCTGGTCTTGAACTCCTGACCTGAAGTGGTCCACCTGCCTCTGCCTCCCAGAAGTGCTGGGACTTGGGACTACAGGCGTGTGACACCACACCCAGCTAATTTTTGTATTTTTAGTAGAGACAGGGTTTCACCATGTCAGCCAGGATGGTCTCGATCTCTTGACCTCGTGATCTGCCCATTTCGGCTTCCCAAAGTGTTGGGATTACAGGCGTGAGCCACCGTGCCTGGCCTAATTTTTGTATTTTTAGTAGAGACGGGGTTTCACCACGTTGGCCAGGCCAGTCTCAAACTCCTGACCTCAAGTGATCCACCTGCCTCTGCCTCCCAAAGTGCTGGGATTACAGGCATGAGCCACCATGCCTGGCTGGAACCCATTAAATCTCAGCCTCACAGAGGAGATGAGTGTGAACTGTCCTTGAGGGAGTTGGAGTTCCATCATGAGGGAGGAAGGAATGTCCCTTCCTGCCGGGGAGCTTGCTCTCTGGTGTGACTGTGGAGCGTCAGGAGCCAGGCGGGGCCAGCTCTTATGTTGGTGGAGAGACAACTCCTTTAACCACTGAATGCTGAATGCCTGCTAGGATGAGCAGGAGGCTGCCCCTGCCATGTGGTCAGGTGCTATTGGCAGAGACTAGTAGAGCATACAATTTAAAGCATGTGAAATTGCTGAATCAATTAATTGCATATGAATATGCTAAGCTAATAAAGTACAGTGTCAGGATAGGCATTTATTATGAAAGAGTAAGTATCATTGAGAATGGAGGTTTAAAACTGGGTTGTTTAAAGGGTACCTAGTAATACAAAGAATGAATTGATAACTCTGCAAGTTAGAGATCTTTCTGGGCCCCTCCCCTTCTGTCCCCTTCCTCTCCTTTCCCTCCCTCCCTTCTCCCTTCCCTTCCTCCTCCCTTCTCCCTTCCCTTCCCTTCCCTTCCCTTCCCTTCCCTTCCCCCTGCCCCTCTCCCTTTCTTCCTTCCTTTCTTCCTTCCCTCCTTCTCCCTTCTCTCCCTCCCTTCCCTTTGTCCTCCTCTCCCCTCCCCTCCCTTCCCCTCTGCCCTCCCCTCCCCTTTTCCCTCCCCTTTTCCCTCCCTCCCTCCTTTCCTTCCTTCCTTCCTTCCTTCCTTTCTTCCTTCTTTCCTTCCTTCCTTCCTTCCTCCTTCTCCTCCCTCCATCCTCCCTCCCTCCTACACTTGGCATCATCTGGCCTCTGCAGTTGGTACTAGTGAAAACATTTTTTTTCTCATTCAAAGACAAGATATTCTTTAGAGTTTGGAGTTGGGGATCTTAACTCGCAGTCAAGTAGAGAAAATCCCTAGAACTGAATGTGAAGAACATCATGTCAGAGAAGACCGACAAACAGGCCTGGGTGATCGGGAAAGGGTCAACTGTAGACAGGTATCATTTATTTTTTTCAAGGATGACGAAACCTCTGCTTATGAAAGTTTGGGCATACCTCAACGTGGAGTGGTACAGGGAAATGTAAACCCTGGATGTTGTCAGAATCCAGTGTGGTTACTGTAAGCTGGAGCTGGAGCTTGAATCAGCGAGAGGGAAGTTGAAAAAGTTTAGGGATCCAAGGAGCTTGACAAAGGAATGGATACAGAGGGTCCTGTCTGTGAGGGGAGCTCCAGGCTGGAAGCTGGTCTGGAATGTGTCAGGATCCTATTGCCTGTTTCTGGGGAGCAGAGGAGGAGGACGAGTTGTTATAAACACCTTCACTCATCACTGGATTACTTCATGTACCTGCCAGACATGGTAGCCTATACTACATACCCCCCACGGCTTCTGGTGAGAGAGTGGGGCCTGGGGGAGGCTGCCTCGGCAACACTAACATGTTAAATAAAAATGTAAAAATGTTTACCCCTGTTTATTGATTAAGCTAAGTCAAGGACAATGCATCAGAGCCAGTTGTAATGTCACCTGCTGATATGAGTTGGTTCTGCCACAAGTACCTAGGTATCCAGGGCTTGAGCTCTGGCACATTCAGAATGATATTTGCAAATACTTCTGAAATTATTAGAATTGCAATTGTAATTACGGTTACTTTACCGTGGTAAAGACAGCAAAGCAGGGGCGCATGTGATCTGCATTCTGAACAGGGGCCTGTGGTGGAGCCCCTCACCTCCAGAGGCCGGCAGTTACAGACTTCGACAATGAAACTGCCTGCTAGGAGCTTTTGTTTTCAGTTTCTCATTGCTTTACTTTGCTAGGGCTGCCATAACAAAATACCACAGACTGAGTGGCATAAACAACAGAAACTTTATTTTTCCTCAGAGTTCTGGAAGCTGCAAGTCCATGATCAAGGTGTTGGCAGGGTTGGTTTCTGCTGAGGTTGCTCTGGATAGTGGATGGCTGCCTTCTCTCTCTGTCCTCATGTGCACATCCCTGTTTTTTCTTTTTGTCTTCAAATCTCCTTTTCTTATAAGGACAAGAGTCAGATTGGATTAGGGACACCTAATGGCTTCATTTTAAATTAATCATCTCTTGAGAGGGCTTATCTCCAAATACTGTCCCATTCTGAGGTACTGGGGTTTAGGGCTTAAACATGTGAATTATGAGGGGCCACACTTCAGTCCGTAATGCTTATAAAAGGGACACAATCATTTTTGCTTTAAAAGAAAAAGAGTAAGAACTGATGCTATGTATGTGCCTTGTCAACATTCTTACTTTTTCTCAGTGCTGTGGCCTTACTTTATGACACATCTCCACCTGCAGAACAGTCCAAAAGATTCACTATTCCTCAGACCCAGGATGGGGGACAGCAGGTCTGAATTCTGTCTCCATGTTGCACACGTATTATACAATGTGAGAGAATGTCAATATTGAATGTACTTTATGTGAGCTAAAGCAACTGAATGCCTTTCTTAAAAAAAGGAGTATCACACTCATTAATATCTTAACTACAGTCACGCACTGCATAAGAACATTTCGATCAGTGATGGACCACAAATATAATGGTGGTCTCATGAGATTATGATGGAGCTGCCCTATACAGTTGTGCCATTTTTTATATTTTATACCATGGTTTTACTATACCTCTTCTCTGTTTAGATACACAAATATTTGCTATTGTGTTACCATTGCGTACACTACTCAGCCTAGTAACATGCTGTACAGGTTTGTAGCCTAGAAGCAATAAGCTGTGCCACATAGCCTAGGTGTGTTGTAGGCTATACCATGTATGTTTGTGTAAGTACACTCTACGATGTTCACACAACAGAATCACCTAATGATGCATTTCTTAGCATGTATCGCATTGTTAAGCAACACATGACTGTATTTATAATAATCAGTAAGCCGTCCCAGTTTGATACATACAGCCAGGTTTCAGACAGATAAACAGAGCTTAAGGCCAGGTGTTGGGTGAATTCTCTTTTGCATTTGTCTCTTATACTTTCCCATCACACTATGTTCGTGGGAAGGAATGATGTCTCTCAGGGTCATCTTTGGTGTCCCCCTTCCTGTTTTATGTAAATTCAAAGTTACGCTATTTTCGGGGATGGAGGAAGGAGGGACTGGAGTTGCAAGGCCTCCTGCCTTCCTTCTGCTGGTCCTGCATCTCATGCTCAGAGGTGGCTTATTTAATAAACAGCAAATTTTTCAGATCTTTCGCTAAGATTAAAAAGGAAAGAGAAAGCCATTTTTCTATAAGAAATCCTGGCTTCTCTGTTAAACTTAGAGCAAGACTTCAATTAATTAACAGGAAACCTTTGGGATAGAAACCACATAAATTAAATAGATCCTGTAATTTGGAAGGCATTTAGTCATGACTCCTGGGCAATGTTCCAGCTGGAGAAGGTGGTCGTTTCCTAAGCAGGACCTGTGGAAATTTTCGTAAACATTGAAGAAATGTTGCTGGAATTTTTCTCCTTACTTTTAGGAATAATGAGATTCAGAGATGACTTGCCCGCCCCTCATTACCCAAGGCTGGGCTTTTTGTTTTTTTTTTTTTTTTACTTTAAGTTCTTGGATACATGTGCAGAACGTGCAGGTTTGCTACATAGGTATACACATGCCATGGTGGTTTGCTGAACCCAAAACCCGTCATCTGCATTAGGTATTTCTCCTAATGTTATCCCTACCCTAGCCTCTCACCCTCTGACAGGCCCTGGTGTGTGATGTTCCCCGCCCTGTGTCTATGTGTTCTCATTGTTCAACTCCCGCTTACAAGTGAGAACATGCGGTGTTTGGTTTTCCGCTCTTGTGTTAGTTTGCTGAGAATGATGGTTTCCAGCTTCATCCATGTCCCTGCAAAGGACATGAACTCATCCTTTTTTATGGCTGCATAGTATTCCATGGTGTATATGTGCCACATTTTCTTTATCCAGTCTATCATTGATGGACATTTGGGTTGGTTGCAAGTCTTTGCTATTGTGCACAGTGCTGCAATAAACATACGTGTGCATGTGTCTTTACAGTAGAATGACTTATAATCCTTTGTGTATATACCCAGTAATGGGATTGCTGGGTCAAATGTTATTTCTGATTCTAGATCCTTGAGGAATCACCAGACTGTCTTCCACAATGGTTGAATTAATTTACACTCTCACCAACAGTGTAAAAGCGTTCCCATTTCTCCACATCCTCTTCAGCATCTGTTGTTTCTTGACTTTTTAATGATCACCATTCTAACTGGCATGAGATGGTATCTCATTGTGGTTTTGATTTGCATTTCTCTAATGACCAGTGATGATGAGCTTTTTTTCATGTGTTTGTTGGCCGCATAAATGTCTTCTTTTGAGAAGTGTCTGTTCATATGCTTCACCCACTTTTTGGTAGGGTTGTTTTTTTCTTGTAAATTTGTTTAAGTTCCTTGTAGATTTTGGATATTAACCCTTTGTCAGATGGCTATATTGCAAAATTTTTCTCCCATTCTGTAGGTTGCCTGTTCACTCTGATGATAGTTTCCTTTGCTGTGCAGAAGCTCTTTAGTTTAATTAGACCCCATTTGTCTATTTTGGCTTTTGTTGCAGTTGCTTTTGGGGTTTTAGTCATGAAGCCTTTGCCCACACCTGCGTCCTGAATGGTATTCCTAGGTATTCTTCTAGGGTTTTTATGGTTTTAGGTCTTACGTTTAAGTCTTTAATCCATCTTGAGTTAATTTGTGTATAAGGTGTAAGGAAGTGGCACAGTTTTAGTTTTCTGCATATGGCTAGCCAGTTTTCCCAGCACCATTTATTAAATAGGGAATCCTTTCCCCATTGCTTGTTTTTATCAGGTTTGTCAAAGATCAGATGGTTGTAGATGTGTGGCATTATTTCTGAGGTCTTGTTCTGTTCCATTGGTCTATATATCTGTTTTGGTACCAGTACTATGGTGTTCTGGTTACTGTAGCCTTGTAGTATAGTTTGAAGTCAGGTAGCGTGATGCCTCCAGCTTTGTTCTTTTTGCTTAGGAATGTCTAGATTATATGGGCTCTTTTTTAGTTCCATATGAAATTCGAAGTAGTTTTTTCTAATTCTGTGAAGAAAGTCAATGGTAGCTTGATGGGGATAGAATAGAATCTATAAATTACTTTGGGCAGTATGGCCATTTTCATGATATTGATTCTTTCTATCCATGAGCATGGAATGTTTTTTCATTTGTTTGTGTCCTCTCTTATTTCCTTGAGCAGTAGTTTGTAGTTCTCCTTGAAGAGGTCCTTCACATCCCTTTTAAGTTCTATTCCTAGGTATTATATTCTCTTTGTAGCAATTGTGAATAGGAGTTCACTTATGATTTGGCTCTCTGTTTGCCTATTATTGGTGTATAGGAATGCCTGTGATTTTTGCACATTGATTTTGTATCCTGAGACTTTGCTGAAGTTGCTTATCAGCTTAGGGAGATTTTGGGCTGAGATGATGGGGTTTTCTAATTATACAATCATGTCATCTGCAAACAGAGACAATTTGACTTACTGTCTTCCTATTTGAATACCCTTTATTTCTTTTTCTTGCCTGATTGCCCTGGCCTGAACTTCCAATACTATGTTGAATAGGAGTGCTGAGAGAGGGCATCCTTGTCTTGTGCCCGTTTTCAAAGGGAATGCTTCCAGCTTTTGCTCATTCAGTATGATATTGGCTGTGGGTTTGTCATAAATAGCTCTTATTATTTTGAGATCTTCATAAGTGAAGGAGAAATAAAATCCTTTGCAGGCAAGCAAATGGTGAGAGATTTTGTCACAACAAGGCTGGGCTTTTAAAAGGTCTCTCTCCAGCTGGTACTGGGTGGGGCCATGGAGCAAAGTCAGTAACAGAGGAACAGTGAGGAAGTGTCATCTTGACAGAGCATGAGCACAGTGTTTAAAACCTGAGTTTAATTGTTCTATCCTTAATGGAGTTTTGAAATTTCATTCCTAATTTCTGCTTGAAACATAGGAGTGAAAGCAAATACAGCTGTGGGGAAACATGTTGCCCCAGCCTGAGCAACAAAAGGAATATTGAGGAATGGACAGTGTTTCCAGAAACAAATATCAAAAAGATGGATATCAAAACATTTCTCAGAAATGATATATTTTATTTTATTTGAAAGAAGGAAAATTGTGTCCACAACTCTTAAGTCCAATGTCATAAAAAATACTGCTCTTCTTTGGGTTTTAATAAAACACCACAGTCTTTGTCCATGCCTCTAAGCACACAGACAATGAGAAAGCCTACTTCTGTGTCCTTCCACTGTTAGTCAGTCATCACTAGGGGCAGAAAAACAGGGGAAACATTTCCAAGAATGAAAGGGCAGGGTACTTATAGTTTCCTTCCCGCTTGGCAATGTGATGGGAAAATTACGCTGCTGGAATATGAGTAAGCTGTAACACCACCCTGGGCAGGAAAGTCAACTGCGAACAAAAGTTAAATTCATGTATTTATGATGAACTTGGAAAGTTTCTGGTTTTTTTTTTTTTTTTTTTTGAGACGGAGTCTTGCTTTGTCACCCAGGCTGGAGTGCAATGGCGCAATCTTGGCTCATTGCAAGCTCCGCCTCCCCGGTTCATGCCATTCTCCTGCCTCAGCCTCCAGAGTAGCTGGGACTACAGGCACCTGCCACCACACCCGGCTAATTTTTTGTGTTTTTAGTAGAGACAGGGTTTCACCATGTTAGCCAGGATGGTCTTGATCTCCTGACCTCGTGATCCACCCGCCTCGGCCTCCCAAAGTGCTTGGATGGAAAGTTTTTTTAAATTAACTTTCTTTTCTTATGAAAAATTATCTGTCGTTTGAAAAGTATATAAAAAAGCAGAAGGAAAAAATAAGAATAATTTGTAGTGTGCCTTTCCACAGACGACTATTTTTAATATCTTGATGAATATCGTTTTTTATATATTCTTTTAGATACACACATATGCACAGGCTTTATAAAAGTAGAATTATAATACTCATGTTTTTATAACCTGCTTTTTGTACCTAACAATATTTCCATGTGATTAAATATTATTCTCCCCTGTCATTTTTGTTGCATGCGTACTGTTTCATTTTTGCAGCTTTATAGCTTATTATGTACAATTAATATACAATAATTTGAAGAATGTGCATAGTACAGTGAACTATTTCCCTATTGTAGGACATTTATATTGTTTTTAGGGTTTTTCTCTGAACTTTTATTTTATTTTATCTTACTTTTTTTTGAGTCAGAGTCTTGCTCTGTTGCCTAGGCTGGAGTGCAGTGGCACAATCATAGCTCACTGCAGCCTTGACCTCCAGGGCTTAAGCAGTCCTCCTGCCTCAGCCTCCTGAGTAGGTAGGGACTACAGGTGCCACCACACCTGGCTAATTTTTAAATATTTTTTATAGAGACGAAGGTCTCTCTGTGTTTCCCAGGCTGGTGTTGAACTCCTGGTCTCAAGTAATCCTCCTGCCTTGGCCTCCCAAAGTGCTGGGATTATAGGTGTGAGCTACCGGGCCTGGCTTTCTGAATATTTTTAAATCAGCTTTTCTTTTAGCAAAATTTTTGTGGATATTTAATTTATTTTGTTGGAATAAAATTCCTGACTCAGAGTATGTATACATTTTAAAGCTGTTTTAAAATAAGAATAGCCCAATAGCTTGCAGAAATGTTCTAATTTATACTTTACCATTCTTGTAGGAGTATGTCTATTTCCAATACCTTGGTCAATACTCGGCTGGTTTTCTGGTTTTCCTCAGAAAGATAGCAGTGGTATTTGTGGAGTTCTCACTAATCTGGGGAATTTATAAGTGCTGTTTTATTTGTTTCATTGAGGTCATTTCTCCAAAATCTGGCTGTATTAGGAACATTGGAAGGAGTCCCATAGTTATTTTAGTGATATGTAAAGTTCTTAGGTAATTGTCTTAAAAAGAAACATTAAGTGTATAAATTATTAGTTCCTCCCCACTCTGTCATACATATGACACAGATGGAAAAGTCTAGTGCTGTGTGTATGTATATTACATGTATATAAAAATTGTCATCATTTTTGCATTAATACAAGAACAGTCTTGAAACAGGTTCCCTCCATCTCATATTAACCTTTCGTTATTCAAATTCTTTTCATCTTGCCTGAACCAGAGGTGTTTTCATTTTCTGAATGTTGTGAAAACTGAGGTATAGCTTGAATTATACACTTTGTTTTGATGTTCCCTAGCACCCACACTTGAGATGGATTTGTATGTTTTATTGATTCAGCGAAATGTACGTTACTGAGGGCTGAACCATACTCCTCACACTGGGTTAGGCATGTGAGACGTAAGAGGAGGTGCATGGAGGATAACACAAAGATGTATATGACAGTTTTCCATTATGTGTGACCTTTTCCGGAATTTTGCCTTCACACAAAAGATGAATTTCTGTTTTGAAACTTTGTTAACCTCCAAGGACACAGATGATCAGCTCTAACTTATGCTATTGCCTCTGAGAACTTGGTGTCTCTTAGAAGTCTTGGCTGTTCTGGGAGGTCCAGTGCAGGCCAAAGCGATTCATCTACTTGCTGCCTTGCAGCCAAGGCCAGCTGACACCATGCACGTTTTGCACTTTACCTCCTCAGAGGCCACAGACCCAGACAGAAAGAAGCTGCTCCTGTGGTCTCTGCAGTCAACCCCAGCTGTGATGGCTGCCACATCTTCCCAAGGCTTTCTGCTGTTTTCTTGGAGCCTGCAGTGCACTCTGCATTGCTCAGGGAGCTCCAGCTGGAACAGCTCTTGAGGGCTCTCCCAGAAATTTGCATCACAAAGGCCAAAGAGGCCAACCTTCTTGGGCTTTGTCAGAGATTGTGTGGCAGAAAATTCCCTAAACAGGATCTGCCCCCTCCTCACTCCTTTTGCTTTCTCTGTGCGTCTTTGTCCTTCACTCTGGTAATGGAAATGAGAAAGGGTCACACAGCCCATTTGAAGAAGAGATTATCTTCTGTTGGCGAAAAAAAAAATGCCGTTCCTTGGGCTGAGGTGAGAGGTTTCTGGCCACTGTGAAACATCAACCTTTCCAGAGTAATTTCTCTTCTAGTCACGTTTCTCTAAAAAAATAGGTATATTGAGACACACACACACACACACACACATATAAAATCCCACTTAGGGCAATAGACAGATGTTGCAACAAAAATTTCTCTTCTCCTTATGCATAATCTGAAGCCAAAGTGAGGATGCAAATTTGAGGAGTAAGAAGCACTGTGACTCAGCACTGAGTTATGTCTGTGCTCTGGTCAGGGAGAGCTCTCCAAGGTCAGGGATGCTGGAGGAGGCGGAACTCATATAAAAACCATAAGCATGCTCAGGCCCCAGGCCAGAAAGTTATTTTAAAAGTTTACAGCAACTACTTTATGTATTACACACACACACACACACACACACACACACATTTTATTTCAAAACCATTTTAAACTTAAAACTTGCAAGAACAGAGCAGAAAATCCCCTCTTGCTCTTTTCCCAGAGACCCCATTTAAGTTTCACCTGTTGTCCCAGCTCTGTCCTTTAATGGAAAGAATCTAGCTCCAGGTGGCACCTTGCACCCAGGTGGCCCGTCTCCTCCTAGTCCCCTCTGATCTGGAATTGTTCTTCACTCGCTCCTTTTCTTTCATGACTTTGGTGTTTTTAAATTATAGGTCAGCCATTTTATAGAATACCCTGTAATTTGGGTTTGTTAAAGGGTAATTTGTTAAAGGTAATTTTCATGGAAAAGTAAAATCATAACTCTCATACAGATGTGAAAATTGATTATACAAATTGGGTAATTCTTGTCACACTCAACTAAGTCACAGTTGAGGAGCTGAGGCAGAAAGCACATGGGCACATGGCACCTGCTCCAAGAATCGAATTGTCTGCAAGTCCAGCTGCTAAGATGGCCTGGTGTAACCCTAAGACCAGTTTAATCTAGTAGCTGCTGAAATGACCTGCTGTGACTTTAGGACTGGTTTTACCTACCACTGTCACTCACCAATCAGAGCTTAGCAGCTCTCAAAAATTCTAGTGCCTATAAGCTTTCTTTCAAAACCGTAGGTAACATTCCTATTTCTAATAAAACTCCCAACCTTTCCTTTGTTCCTCAGACATACCAAAGTCTACCAGTCTATGTGTATGCTTCAAATTGCAATTCTATGATTCTCCAATAAAATGTTTAATTTAGAGGTTTCCCTCTATATTACATTTTGACTTCAGATATACAAATATGTGTTAAAATAATTTATTTTACTCATATGATATGATGAAACTAGGCAGATGTTATAACTTTAAAGAAAAAGTCAAAAGAGCACAAATTTATATGAAGCAAAGGAATGTTGAGATGAATTGCAAATGAAGACACAACTAGTTTTCCACCAGTGGAAAGGAAGTCAATTAAATCACTGCCAGACAGGAGATATAGATAGATAGATAGATAGATAGATAGAGATATATATAGATAGATATAGACAGATATATACAGATATATATATAGATAGATATCTATCTATCTATCTGTCTGTTTATCTATCTATCTATCTGTCTCTCCATCAGTTACCTACATCTTAACAAAGCGTTGTAAAATAACTCAAAGCCAACAGGACTAGAATCTGATAGCCCAAAAGGATATGTTGTAGGCGCTGCTTAGTTTTCTACTGAAACACAAGATTTTGTTTTTTACAGATTTATCCAGTGTTCTCTCATCACAACAAACATTACAACAAAAATTTCTCTTTATGAAGACCCATATTGTATGTCTTTGGCTGGAATATAACAGATGGTTGTGATTTTTTTTCCCCCATTTCGTCCTGTTGATGGCACATGGTATCTCTTTGTTTTATTACTGGTTATAACTTTGACCACTTCATTAAGATAGCATCTTCCAGATGTCTCCACTATAATACTTTCTCCCTACCTTAGCAGCTAATTCATGAAAAGTTTGTAGGGAGACACAGTGAAACTATGTAAAGCCTCATTACCCCAATTTCACCCATCAGTTTTGGCATTGACATTTCTTATCTGAATTAATTATTGCTCTGATGATTTCCAAAGGAAAATTTTCTAATACTATGATTTCTTCTACATGTATTAGTTGGTTTTCTTTGGTAGTAAGAGCTCTGTTTTTTCCCTACGTATTTATTCACCTACATGTTTATCTCCAGTGGGGAGCTCATACCAGCTCCTGAGAGCCACTTTTGTACAACTCTGTTCTGCTCTGCGTTCATTGACCTCATGTTGGTTCTTTAAGTTGGCCATAGTGAGAGTCGTTACACTGTGGAAATCGGAAAATAATATCAAGCAGATTCGTGTGTTTTTCCCCAGAGATCTGGTGTTTCAACATCAGCACATCACTCTATAACAATGTGGACTAATTCATTCCTGTTTTATTCAGTGGGTTTAATCTATCACTATTATTATTGATTTTGATGCTCAGCGTGTCCCTGATGTGGCCTGTGGGAGCTCTTTCAAGCTGACTTCTGTGTCCTTTTGACCTGTATTGCGTTATGTTTTGAGCATTTCTTTACTTTCTGGCTCAACAAGATGTTCCAGAACTATCTAGATCTCCTTGCCCCACCCCTAATACGAGCCACTTCCCCAAGGAGCCCTGGTTCCTTTTAGTGGAGAGTAGCCTCTGGCCCTTGCGTGCTGCCAATTTATGCTCAGGCCTGCCTCCCCGTCTCACCCTTTCACCCTGCCCAATGCCTTTTTGATGAAGGAAGGATGGGAAATAGTAAATATTTTTTAAAAGAAAGGCAGGTAAAGGAGGGGGAGCAGAAGAGGAATAAAAATATCTCTTTATATGCATTTTTAATCCCCCTCCCACAAATTTTACCAGAGACTAAATTTAGTCTTTGCCTGGTGATTTGGATTTCTGAAATGGTTACATTTTATGTGGTTGAGAATGTGAAAATTTCTGAAGAGCAAAATCGTTTGTCAACCGTGTATTCAGTCCCTACTCTGGATGTGCCTCACATTACGCTATTGTCACAGTGCAGAGTCCTAGCCCTCAAGCAGCTAGAAGGACAGTGAGATGTCCTGAGGCTTATAGCTGATGTGTCCTCAGGGCCTGTGGCCTGCGATGCAGGCACCATCTATGCTGTCTGAGGAAGAGAAATCAGAAGTCAGAGAGACTTCCTAGAGGACCCCAGAATGAGCCTAGAATGAGATGAGTTTGGGGGTAGGACTTAGCGAGTTGGGCAAAGAGGGGATGGATGTTTCATAAAGAGGGAAGATCATACTTAAAGCCAGAGAGATTTGGCAGACTTGAGGAATGAGAGATGGTTTGGCCAGTTTTGAAACACTTGTTTCTTCATATTCTTGAGCCTAGTTTTTTTAAAAAAGCATAAGTATCCTTTATTATAGCCAGATTTGCCTATTCTAAGCCACCAGCCCAGAGTTCAGTTTTGGGATTTAACACTAGTGCAATGTCTTATTGCAAAGAGATTGATTGCAGCATCTTCCCACAGAAGAAGCCACCTGAGAGAGAAAAGAGAAAGTAAAATTAGTGGACATTCTACCAAAGAAAGATAATAAAATATTTCTTTATAGTCTAGTGGTTTTTGTCTCAATGTTTTTTCATTTAAAATGTATCAATTCCTATCCCTATGGGTACCCCACCCCGCTCCATTGAACACAGACCCATTCTGATCTAAATGGACGGTTTTGGATGCCTTTACTCATAAGCAAATGCAACTGGTTAATGACAGTAGTTTAATGCTGATCTTTTGATTGTTTGTTTCTGATCATTAAAGAACACCAGTTTATTACTTTGAATGATGTCTTGAAATGGATAAAATTCTTTTACTTCATGGCAGTTAAATCTGTCCTAAATCTAATCCTGAGTTTTCTTCAAGATATGTTCTTTGTGTAAAAATTGTTGCTTTTAAGTATGCTCCTCACATGGTTGTTTTTAAATTTTGCAGGCGATACCAGAAATTGCAGAAGATCATGAAGCCTTGGTAAGAATATTTGATCGATTGATATTGATGATTTAACCCTTCCTACTTTCCTGCATAATTGAGCCCTGTCATCTGACTGATTGTATAACTATGCATCTAGTATTTTGAATAAGTGATTTTTTGTTATTTTTGTTTTCTATTTGATGTTCTTTTATAAACAACTTCTTCAAAAATGTATTTTCCCCCCTTTTTTTGCTTTGGAGTAGAAAGAATATTTTATGTATGTAACCACTAAGTGATGCTGTAACCACAGAAAGATTGCTACCCTACTTCTGGAGCAGTGCTAAGCATAATTTTATGTATTATTTTAAACAAAACTAACTTTTATGTGGCCTGTGTGATGTTCAAAGTCAAAAGTCTTTGATTTTCTTCAGTGGCTTAGAAAGAAAACGGATTCACATTTTTAAAAGTATCCAGGATTGAAGGATGCAATGAAAATTATTTACTTTGAGTCTGAGAAAGTGCTCGATCACCTATCTATGAAGTGAATTGTATGATTGTGTCTGAAGATAGAAACCTTCTTTCTTAGAGTTTTCCCTTCTAAGTTTCTTTCTTAACCATTAAACAGGGTGAGTCCAAATATGGTTCTAACAAACTGTTTGAAGTAGGCCGAACAGATTTTCATGGTGCCAAGCCATTAAGCAGATAATTTCAGTTTGAGAAGGAACACTGACCAGCGTCTCAAAGTGTGAACCTTATTTTGTAAGCTCTCAGAGAAAATCCTCATCACCTTCAATGTACTATAGTATTATGCTGGTCTCAAATCATTCACACACAGAAAAGTATGAGTTGCAGGAATTCTTCTGTTTATTAAATTCTAATAAAGTAGAAAGCAATATTGAGCTTCTAGGGTAAAGCTTCTTAAATTTCATTTTGATGTATTTAATACAGTAGAAGCACTTAATGGTAATGACAGTAGAAGCCACTTTTTATGAGACTTTATCCTGGGCATTGTCTCAATGTTTACACTCATTACTCCAAATCCACACTTACATTCAACATACAAGCTCGGTATTTCCTTGGTGCAGAAGTTAAAATCAGATGGAGGAGCTGGGATTCAAACTTACTTTCTCCCCATCTACTTAACAGAATTTGCAAATATAGAGGAATTTGGGGCCCTGAAGCCAAAATAATTTATTTAAAATTTATTAGACAGTAGTTTTAATCTTTTGGTATGTAGATATGCTGGACAGTTTGTAGTGTAGTTCATGATTTTTATTGATAAATCATAGACAGAAATGAATAGTCAAGGCCCTGGTTCTGGTAATGGCACAGTAGCACAATCAGACTAACACAGATAACAATTATGAAATCCGGACAAAATATTATAAACAAAACATCTTAAACCAACTATATGAAGGCACTGGATAGCAACCCAAAACAGGCAGAAGGTAGAGGGAAGTTAACCCTTGAGAGACCAGATGGGTCTTTGATGGGATTTGTATGTTTGAAGCTTTTTCTCTGAGAACACCTACTCATCCAGGCAGCATGGGGTGGCAGAGAGCCTCAGTCTTAGTAAGTTACTAAGAAGATGTAGTTTGGGACTGCAGAGCAGCTAGCTAATTAGAGGGAATCTATGAAAGACGAGAAGCTCAGAGAGTAGGAGACTCCACATCCACATGTAAACCCTGTCGCAGTCCACTGCTGATCACTGAAGTGCAAATGCACACTTTAATGGTAAAAACAGCAACTTAAAGATCTGAGCAAAGATGTCAGCTGTCACTCACTTCAGAATTTAGATTTTTACTTCCTGCTAGAACAAAAATTATCACTCTTCAGAGGAACAAAACTGATATCTGAATATTGACAGTGTTTTGTTCACAATATCCAGTATATAATAAAAATGTGCTAGGTATGTAAGGAAATAGGAAAAGACGACCTATAGTTAAGAAAAAATGTAGGTAGTAAAAACTGGCCCTGAGATGACCCAGATGTTGGAATTAGCAGATGAAGGTTTTTTAAAAACTTTTATAAATATGTTAAAAACTAAAGAAAAGTATGAGTGTAATGAATGCACAGATGGGGAGTCTTAATAGAGAAATTGAAACCATAAAAATAACCAGATGTCAGTTATAAAATTGAAAAGCACAATAAAGTGAAAATTTTACTGTATGAGGTTGAAGATGTCAGAAGAAGAGATAGTAGCCTTGAAGATGTATCAGTGTAAGTTACCTAATCTGAAAAGTTGATAAAATGAATAATGAGTACTTGACCTGTGAGATAATAAGTTATCTGAAATACATTTAATTGGAGTCCCAAAAGGAGAGGAAAAAGAATGGGGAAGGCAAATATTTGAGGAAATAATTACAGAAGAAAATAATGATGGAGATATATGAAGCAAGTTCTTCACACTGGAGAGACATGATAGTAGATAGATACTCAGATCTGTAGGAAAATATGAAGAACAACAGAAACTAAATATGTGGGTAATATAAAAAGACAAAATGTAGTTTTACTTTCCTTTAAATTTCTTTAAAAGGCTGTAACTATATAAAGCAAAAATTATAATACTGTTTGGTAGGGTTTATGACATATGTTGATGCAATATGTATGACAATGAGAGCACAAAGGATGGAGGTATAAGAGCAACTACACTACAGCAAGCTTCCTAGTGTATAATCTTCCGTTTAAGTAGACATTAATATACTAATGGTGCACATTGTAATACACAGAGTCACAACTAAAAACAGTGCAAGGAAGCATAGGCCAAAACACAAAGGAGGGATTAAATCAGACTACTAAAAAAATTTGATTAATTCAAAAGAAGGTAAGGAAAGAGAAGTAGAATAAAATATAGTTAAGACAAACAGAAAACAAGTTGGTTGACTTCAATCTAATCATATCAATACATTAAATGTAAATAGACTAAGCAGCTCAATGAAAAGGTTTAGATTGTCAGATGAAATTTTTTAAAAAGCATGGCCCAGCTCTATGCTGTTTATAAGAGATGTACTATAAAGACAAGGGCACATGTACGTTGAAAATAAAAGGATGGAAAAACATATACCATGCAAATGCTAATAATAATAAAACTGAATGGTTTTATTATCAGGAAAGATAAGACTTGAAAGCAATATGTTATCAGAGTTAAAGAGGGATAATTAGTAATAAAAATGGTCGCCTCATTAAGAAGATTTAATCCTCCTTTTTATTTTAAATGTGTATGCACCTAAAAATTTTAAATGTGTATGCACATTTAAAATTATTATACATGTGTATAATAAAGTTTTAAAATACGTGAAGCAAACACTGACTACTAAGGAGAAAAAGAGGCAAACCCATCAGCATAGTTGATGATTTTAAGACCAGTCTTTCCTAACTGGTATGAAAACTAGGCAAAATGTTAAGGATATAGATGATTTGATCAACACTATCAAAGGTCTTGCCTTAATTGTCATTTATAAAGCATCAGACTCAATAACAGCAAAATATACATTATTTTCAAATGCACATGGAATGTTCATCAAAATAGTCCATAGTAAGGCTCAAGAATTTTCAAATGATTAAAATTACACAGATTATGTTCTTTGATCACAAGGAAATTAAATTAGAAGTCGGTAACAATAAAATAGCCGAATAGCCTCGGATGTTTGGAAATTAGAAAACACTCTTTCATACTATCAAAGAGTCAAGGAATAACTCAGTTGAAATTATGAAATATTTTAACTGAATGGTAATGAAAATACAACATACCCAAATTTGTGAATGCAGCTGAAGCTGTGCTTAGGGGGAAATTTGTAGCATTAAATATCTATGTTGAAAAGGAAGGATGGTTTAAAAAAAAATGGTCTAAGTTTTTACTTAAGAAGCTTTAAAAAATGTGAATTAAGTAGAAAAAAAGAATAATAAGAATACTAACCAATGAAATAGGAAACAGGCAAATAATACAGAAAATTAAAGCCAAATATTTATTAGGAAAAAAAAGAAAAGAGAAATCCAAATATCAACACCAGGGATAAAAGAGGGAATATCACTACAAATCATACTGACATTAGAAATAAAATAAAAGAATATTGCAAATAATTTTACATTAATAAATTTAATGTTTTAGCACTTGGGGAGGCCAAGGCAGGTGGATCACTTGAGCCCAGCAGTTCAAGACCAGCCTGGGTAACATGGCAAAAACCTATCTCTACAACAAAATTCAAAAATTAGCTGGGTGTGACGCCTTGTGGCTGTAGTCCCAGCTACTTGGTAGGCTGAGTTAGGGGATTGCTTGAGCTAGGGAGGTGGAGGTTGCAGTGAGCCAAGATCATGCCACTGCACTTCAGCCTGGGCAACAGAGTGAGACTCTGTCTCAAAAAAAAAAAAGAAAAAAAAAAAGAAAGAAAATTAAGGATGAAATAGACAAATGCCATGGAAAACAGATTTACCAAATGTGTTAGTCATGGAAATGCATGGCTTTGATCTCCTTTCAGGAAGAACTTGCTAGTCAGCCAAGAAGAGTGCAGTTACCTGATAGTTTTCAGTTATCACATGTTCCAGATTCATAGCAGCTTTCAGTACTCTCCAAAGGCAGCATTTAGTTATTGAACATGGTGGGGATACCAGAGCCTGGTCATTTCTACCCATTATGGGATTCCTCTAAGAGGCACTGTTTATTCTGCAGCGTTCCACTGAGTTGGCTGAGACATTTTCAGATCTGCATTTGCTTCTTCCCCTTCCCTTCGCAGGCATCAGATCTGTTTCATGGTCCCAAGGCTTTCCATACTCAATCCTGCTTTCTGCCTGCTTTATCTTCCACAGGCATTGCCCAAACTCGTACTCAATCTCTGTTCTCATAACTTAGTCTCAGCATCTGCTTCACAGAGGACTAAAACTGACACATCAAAACTGACTCATGATGAAATAGAAAATTTGGACGCCCATAGTTATTAAAAAAATTGAAATTGGCTGGGCGCGGTGGCTCACGCCTGTAATCCCAGCACTTTGGGAGGCCAAGGCAGGTGGATCACGAGGTCAGGAATTCAAGACCAGCCTGGCCAAGATGGTGAAACCCTGTCTCTACTAAAAATACAAAAAAATTATCCATGCATGGTGACAGGCACCCGTAATCCCAGCTACTTGAGAGACTGAGGCAGAGAATTGCTTGAACCCAGGAGGTGGAGGTTTCAGTGAGCCGACGTCGTGCCACTGCATTCCAGCCTGGGCGACAGAGCGAGACTCCATCTCAGAAAAAAAAAAATTGAAATCATTTCTCGAAAACCTTCATACAACAATAACAGGTTACACTGGTGAATTCTATATTATATATTATAGAAGAAATACCAAATCTAAACACATGCTTTTGGAAAATAGAGGAGAGGGACCAGTTCTCATTATTTTATGATACCAGTATCACTCTGATACCAAAACCTGGCAAAGACAATACAGGAAATAAAAATTATAGACCAGATGCAAAAATCCACAGAGGCATGTTAATAAATACAATCAAGCAATATGTTAAAGGGATAATACCTTGTGATCAATAAGAGCTTATCTCAGAAATAGTTTAACATTTGAAAATCAATCAAGCAGCTCAGTGTTTTATGAAATAAAGGAGAAAACCTAAAGAGAAAAATCATCTTAATGGAGAGAAAGCATTTCATAAAATCTAATGTATATTAATAATAAAAATTCTCAGCAAGCTAGGAATAGAGGGAACTTCCTCATCTTGATAAAGTAATCTACAAAAACTCCATCATACTTAATGTTGAAAGACTGAATGTTTTCTACCCTACAGACTGAGAATAAGGCAAATATGTTTGCTTTCTGCAGTTCTGTTCAACATTGTATAGGATTTCTTAGCTATTGCAGTAAGTCAATAAAGAAACTAAAAGCATAATATAAGAAAGGAAGATGTAAAACTACCTCTATTCATAGAAAACATGATTATCTATTTAGAAAATTCTTAGGAATCTACAAAGAAACTGCTAGATATAATTGAATTTAGCAAGGTTTCAGGATACAATGTCAATAAAATAAAAATGAATTTTTATATTTTAACAGCAACCATTGGAAAATGACATTTTAAAATTTCCACTTATAAAGTATCAAAATCATAATTTGTAGAAATAAATCTTTATTTTTAGGGATAAATTCATCGATAGACATGCAATATCTATTTATTTGCTAAAAATAAATAAATGAGGGGAAATAAAGACCTAAACAAGTGGAGGGATAGACCATTTCATGTGGTGGAGGACACAATTTTAATTAGATAGCAGTTCTCTTCTGACATCCTTTGGCAGGGACACAGAGCCAAAGCATATCATCTTTATACTATAGGTTCAGTGCAATATCAGTTATTTTTTAAAAGAATTACAAATCAATCCTAAAACCACTGGTAATGTGTGGGACCTAGAATAGCCAAAATGATCAACAATAAAGTTGAAGAGTTTCGTTGACTGATTTCAATACTTCCTATAAGGTTAGCTATCAAGATGGTCTGATATTGGTATAAGGGGGTAGATAAACAGATCAATGTAGTAGAATAGAGTCCAGAATCAACCTGCACTGAAATTTTTAACAAAGGAGCTAGAAGAATGTTTGCTGACATAAGTCATGCTTTTTGAAGGTAAGGGGTGTGTCTATAGGATGACTTATAAATCCATACCTTTCAATGTATATACATTTTACTTCCTCAAGGAGGAAAACAGATGGAAAAACTCAAAGGGCAGGGCAGAACTGTGGCCATTAACCTTGACAATTAAGGATCTATTGAGTACAATTTATCATAGCTTTAAAAGTGGCCTTTATTTTCATCTTTTTTCAAATTCTGTATTGGGGCCGGGCATGGTGGTTCACGCCTGTAATCCCAGCACTTTGGGAGGCTGAGGCGGGCGGATCACCTGAGGTCAGGAGTTTGAGGCCAGCCTGGCTAACATGGCGAAACCCCTTCTCTACTAAAAATACAAAAATTAGCTGGGCATGGTGGTGTGCACCTGTAATCCCAGCTACTTGGGAGGCTGAGGCAGGAGAATCGCTTCAACCTGGGAGGTGGAGGTTGCAATGAGCTGAGATCGCGCTACTGCACTCCAGCCTGGGCAAAAGAGTGAGACTCTGTCTAAAAAAATAAATAAATAAATAAAATTCTGTATTAACGGGCTTGCCACTCCATGGAAACATTTGGAAGCACTATTCTTTTATAAAATTAGTAGCATAAATTTACATGCTTGTTTTGAGATTGGCTGAATTTTGTTGGAATGAAGATGGTGTCTACTAAGTTGATGAGAAACATTTATTTGAATCATTCCAGCACACATGGTGTGTTGGCTGTGACAGTGGCTTTCCACCAGCATGTAAAGTTTGCAGTTGGCTTAATTTGTGGCTGTCAGTACTGCACAATCTTTAGCCTAACAGTTTACAAAATACAAATAATCCAAACAAATAAAAATGTTCCTGGATGTGCCATGTGGTTGCTTTATATTTGTAATTCTTTTAGCCTTGACTCTCTATACCCAGCATTGATTTCAGAGGTAGAACTTGCCTTCTGCTTTCCCGGTTTGGAGCCTGAATTACTCCTCTAGGAGTGGAAATAAACACCTATGTCAAGGTTCAGTAAGAGCTTTTATAGCCATCTCACTTGAAAGAGGTGATTGAATCCCTTGATTTGGAATGTAATAAAATTTTAGCATGGCCATCCTTTCTTTGCAACTGAGAGTTTGAAGTTGAATTTGGAAAAAGTTCTTCCATATGGGAACTTACTATGTCACCCAGCAACCGGTCCTAATGAATATGTTATATACAGAATATGTGTGTAATACAGAATATTATGTAATATGTATATATTATATACCTATGTGTATTTTACATAAATATTATATGCTAGTAATATATAAAATAGGTCCTATTATATATTCCTATCTGTCTCTGCCTATCTGTCATGTCATTAGATAGATCAAGAGAGCTATCCTTCCTCTGAGTACCTTGACTGGTGTATGCTGTGAAAAAGCTTTACTCTCACTTACCAATCATTCCCACTAATGGATACTTGAGAAGCACATATAGCTCTATTTGCAGTCTCAGAAATGGTGCTGCACCTCCTTAACAGCCATAGAGATTGAAATCTTGACTCCCAAACAAGCATGGGGATTTGGAAACCAAATGATACTTTTTCTCCTTCTCTCCAGCTTTTTTTTCCCAAAGTCCTTGCAGCCTGTTCTGTCTGAGGAGTCTGTAGACAGAGCTCTGGAGTGTAGTTTTGGGACGATTGACTGTACCAGATGTTACTAAGATCATTTGGATTAGGGCTCTATTGAGCAGGTAGCTAGGGAGCAGAGTCATATTGCTTTCATATATTAGAGAACATAAATATACTTTATCTTTTGCTTTTAAAGGAGCTACTGAAGACTAATGTCATCTGGTTTCCTGATCTTATCTGAGTGCTGTCTAGCTAATGGGAATGCAGAGAAGAGTATTTTTTGTTGTTTATTGGTTTATTTGTTTTATCTTTCTTCGAGACAGAGTCACTCTGTCGCCCAGGCTGGAGTGCAATGGCACGATCTTGGCTCACTGCAGCCTCCACCTCCTGGGTTCAGCCTTCTGAGTAGAGTAGCTGGAACTACAGGCGCCCGCCACCATGACTGGCTAATTTTTGTATTTTTAGGAGAGACGGGGTTTCACCACGTTGGCCAGGCTGCTCTCGAACTCCTGACCTCAGGTGATGCGCCTGCCTCAGCCTCCCAGAGTGCTGGGATTGCAGGCATGAACCACGGCACTAGGCTAATAGTTTGATTCAGTAGTGTGTGTGTTTCTCTGCCACTGCCTGTTCCATTGCCTGTGCTGCTGTTGATGTTACTGAGGCAGGTTTTTTGCCTTGTACAGATGCTGTGAATGCTGTCCTCCCATGGCGTGTATATGGGAATTTTTTTGACATTTGAGGTCTTTTAATATGCTGGGTATGACCAAATATCCACTATTAGTTATCATTTGGTTCTTGTTTTTCCTCTTTTTAAGTAAATAAAATAAATGAGCTAATTTTGCTTACTGCTCATGCTGTATGTTATTATGTAATGATGTTTTCACAGTAATACTAATGCCTACCCAGTCTATTAATAAATCTTACTAATTGCTTTTATTTCCTGGCTCTTATTTTCCTGAGGCAGTCTTTTTACTTTCTTTTCTTCTTCTTTTTTTTATTTTGCAATCTGATATTTGGATTTTCTTGTGATCCATTGTCTGTAGAAAGAGTCATTCTGGAATTTTTCTTTAACCTTACTCAATACTCTCTTCAACCCATTATTCCACCTGTCTTTCTAATGTTCTGTTCTTTTCTTCAAATAAGTTTGTGTTGTCTGGTTTGGAATTTCTTTTTGAGGCATGATCCTTTGATGCCACCTAGGGGGCACCTGTAAGATCGAGGTTGCCCTTTGCAGCTCTGAAAAGCCAGAGATATTAGCTGCTTTTCTATCTGGTCTGAATGGTTTGGCTTTCCTTGCATTGCTGTTTTTGTTTTCATTTTCTAGTTCTAAGAACAGAGAATCCTTAACACAAGGTGAAACATTTGAAAATCTTGTCCTTCATTCACGTTTTAAAAATCTCACTTTTGCATAGTGAGAATGTAGTAACACTCACACGCTACTTACAATTCACTGCACAGCATTTGGAGGGCTTTAAGCATGTTTGCTTGTTTTCATTTCTCCAAAAATCTCTGAGCTAGTTGTGACTACCACTACCATCATCATCATCATCATCATCCCCATTTTTAATAAATGAGGAAAGAGAAGCATAGGATGGTGCATAACTTGCCCACTTAGGGCTGAAGGGAGAACCCCTGCTGTCTGACTCCACAAACTACCTACTTAGCCGTTTTCGTTTAGCTGGTTGCATCCCCTCTGTTGCCCCTGGTCTCCGGCAGCTTTGGATCATTGTCTTTCCCTGAGAACCACTTCCCCTTCTATAGGTTCCATTTAGCATTACATCTTCTGTGGTGATGCAGAATTTCAAAGGTCATTTTTGAGGCTGGGCTGAGTAGAACAGTAGGAAGAAGGGAAATTGAGAAGCTGTTTTAAAAGAAATGTTACCTGTTTTCTATTCTACTAGTTGGAAATAAAACTAGTTGGAAGGTTCAATCTAAATATGTTAGGAGACTTTGTAGGATATCAATAATGGTATGCATGAGCCTACAAATGAAAAATCTATATAACCAACTTTATTTTTTTAAAAATTGAACCTAGGAATCAGTGCTGTTACATAATACAGTGTACAGATCCTGACTGGCATAATTCAATGTACTCAAAGAAAGAGTATTTATCATAAAGGTGTTAATACTTATAATGATGATAATTTACAATAAAGGTGAATATCTATGAAAGATTCTGTGTATCTAAGTCTCTGCTAAAGTGTTGTTTTGAAAGCTGTAGACACCAGGATATTGTCTAATAAGGGTCCTAGGTGGAACTGCATTTGCCCAAGCCTAATCTCTGTTTGGATTTTCAAACCACATATTAGACCCACCTTATAGCCTACTGAATCTCAGCAAGTCTTTTGGTCAGCAAACCCATTATGTGGAGTGATTATCTCCATCGATATGCCAGAAAAGTTACTAACTAAAGACGAAATGCTGGCCAAAATCAAAATGAGTATGTTTACTTGCATACATGTTTGTATCTGTGTGTCCACACAGAGGGATGTATAGACCACTTAAAAAAAGTACTAATTCTCTTAATAGAAGTATTTTTAATTTTCTCTTTGGATGTGTATGGGTAATAAAGGAAGCACATTGCCCTGCCTAAGCAGCTCCAAATTTCATTAGCCAAGAAGCTTTTCTTTAAGCCACCATTTACTGAGTGTCTATATGCTACATACTTTATTAAGTAAGTAGCTCTGTGGCTAGATAGATATCACCATCTAGTTTTTCAGCTGAAAAAATAGAGGCTCAGGCAGGGTCAGTGAATTGCCCAGAACAACACAGCTCACCAGAACGAGAGTTGGTGTGAGCCCGGGTCTGTTGGATGCTGAAGCCCTGGTTGACCTCATCAAGGCCGTCCTGCCCAACCTCATCAAGGCCGTCCTGCCCCTTCATGTCACTCATGTTAGTGAAGAAGTCACCTGTGGTCCTGCTATTTGTCTCTTGATCTTTTAAAATTCTGCTTGTATTCACTTTCCCAGAACTTTCTTGCTTCTGTGTCTTTGCTCAGCTTTGGGGCTCTTGACTCTTGTGCCTCTCTGTCTTTTTCAGCTTTGGAGACATGCTGTCCTTCACCCTGACGGCCTTCGTTGAGCTGATGGACCATGGCATAGTGTCCTGGGATACATTTTCGGTGGCGTTCATTAAGAAGGTAAGGTGGACTCTGCCTCTTTAGGCTTTCCTTACTGTCTTCTGTCATAGCTATTTTTCTCTGCTTTGAGGATGTTTCATAATTGTCTTTCCTTTAGTTCTTTATATTAAAAGATGGGTATGATTTTTTATAATATTATGTATGTGGGGGTCAGGAAACCCAAATTCTGTATAAAAATGATTGTAAGAGATTATAAGGGATTGCATGTGCGCACCCATAGCTCAGACCAGATAAGTGTGTCACACTGTTAATAACTGCACAAGTGTGTTAATTCCCCATGTGTGACTCTGTTGGTTTCAAGACCTAAACAGAGTTCCTACTGTCATCCTTCTTGAGCCTTTAATCCCCAACCTGGTGTCCAGGGAAAAGGAAAGAGGCAAAGTATACTGATGACCTGCACACCTAGGTTTGAAGCAGGGTTATATGAAAAGGAGGGATGCCTGAGTCCATGTGTCTTAAGCAGAGTGAGCCTGCTTACTTGTAATCAGGGTGCAAGGAATATCTCAGACATCACCCAGTTCTACCAGTTCTTCATTTGGGAGGAAGCAAATGAAGATGGACCTGGTGCAGGAAGATGGGGCAGAAGAGCCCTACCATTCCTTGCAATTGAAGTGTAACAAATTTGCAACTCTGTTTCCATTCTTCTGACTAAAAATAAACAGTCTTGATCTTGTCACTCTTAAATGTAGATTAAATCATGGACAATTATCATTTATTGATTTATTTTTTCCTTTCTTTGTATTTGCGAAATGGTTTATAAATTCATTGGCATTTCTCCTCCCTACTACTGTATTAGGAATAAAGAGATGTTTGGAATTCATAACTTTATTTTATAAGTATCGGTTACTGGAAAGAGAATTTCAGTGAATCTGTGCAAGCCAGAAAATCAGAGCAAAATCCATTAAGAGTCACTTGAAGTTTTTAAGCCTTTTATTTTAAACTAATGGTAGACTTAAAGAAAAGTTGCAGCAAATTGGACTTTGGGAGGCCAGCGCAGGTGGATTATTTGAGGTCAGGAGTTCAAGACCAGCTTGACCAACATGGTGAAACCTCGTCTCTATGAAAACTACAAAAATTAGCCGGGCGCAGTGGTGGGAGCCTGTAATCCCGCCTACTTGGGAGGTTGAGGTAGGAGAATCACTTGAGCCTGGGAGGCAGAGGTTGCAGTGAGCCGACATTGCACCACTACACTCCAGTCTGGGTGACGGAGTGAGACCCTGTCTCAAAAAAGTAAAAAAAAATTAGTACAGACTGTTCCTATAAGCCCTTCATCCAGCCTCCCCTAAAGTTAACATTTTGCAAAATGACAGTACGGTTATCAAAATTGATAAATAAGCTGTGGTGCAATGCCGGCATTTGATTTCACCTGTTTTTCTATGAATGCCTTTCTCTGGTTAAGGATCTGATCCAGGATCCCACACTGAATTTGGTTGTCATGCCTCCTTAGTGTCCCCAAGTCTGTGACAGTCCCTCAGGTTTTTTGTTTGTCATTTATGATTTTGACACTTTTGAAAGTTAACAGTCAGTTATTTTGTATAATGTTCCTCAATTTGGATTTGTCTGATATTTCCCTCATGGTTCAATTAAAGAAGGTTATGCATTTTTGGCAAGAATGCTACAGAAGTTATGGCACATCCTCAGTGCATCCTTTCATGGGCATATGATGTCACTGTCCTCTGACTGGTGATGTTACCCTGGATTACATGATTAGGTGGCATCTGTAGGATCTCCCCACTGTAAACGTGCTGCTTTTTTTTTTTTTGAAATTAATCATTATCTTAGGGGAGATGTTGCCTTGAATCGAAGGACATGAGATGGCCCTAATCGGTTGAATGAGGGGGGTAGGATCAGAGGCCCCACAGGTGTCATGTCCGCACTATGTTTTATGTTCATTTAAGACAAGAGCTGATTGGAAACCCAGGGCCTTCTCAACACATCTCAGAATCAACTCTCTTTCCTTATGTAAATCCATAAAGCCAAAGGGGATGAGCAAAAGGAACCCTGTAGAAAACACACAGAAAAGGAAGAGGCCCCTTTTTGCCTGTATTTATCAGTGGTATGAATTGCCATAAAGGAAAGAAACTGTTGGAATTGCCATTAAGAGTAATGCAAAAACCGCAATTACGTTTGCACCAACCTAATTGCTAAAGAAGCCAAAGACATCCCGATGTGTTATAAAGTACTTTCCTGCCACCTTTGGTGGTGGCAGGGAATGTAAGCATTAGATTATGAGAGGAAAAAATAAATGGCACTATTTTGCCTCTCTAAGATCAGTTCCAGAGAAGCAATTCCAAATCTGAAGATAGTGAGTATCATTGATTTTTTAATACTTAACAAACATTTTAACTTTTTGAATTTACAGCAGGCTTTCTTTTCTACCTCCAGAGTGCCCGGCTTGTCTGTTATGAGAGCCTCTTTTGCTATAGAATGTAACAACAATGTTGTACTGAATGTGAATTCCTTGAAATTATGTTCTACTTTCACCAACATTAGCTCTTTTGATTCCCCACAGCAATCCTTTCCAGAACAGAACAGATAGTCTTGTTATTTCTGGTTAGGAGGCAGGGATGCAGTGGCTTGCCGAGGTTGAATGAGGTCACATAGTGAGTGGGCGTCCTTGGTCACATGGTCAGGGTGCTTCTCCTCCTCATCATGCACCTGTGCTTTCCAAGTGGTGGAAGGCATAGTTCCCGGAGCCTTGCTTAACCAGCCTGTCTCTTACATATTCCTCCCTGACCTTACTGCTTAGAGTTAAGCAATTTCTTCTGCTCTCTGTTCCCCTGGGATCTCCTGAATGCCCCTGTTCCAGCACTTGTCACATTTCGGTGAATTTTTTATTCATTTAACAGTATTTCCCAATAGAGTATTACCTCAGGAAGGCAGAAACGTGGCTTTCTTCATGTCTTTATCCTCGGGGCCTGGCACAGAGTAAGGTCTTAATACATTTCTGTGAAATGAATGAATAAAATTTGCTTGGAAGCATTAAAAATACCCACAGAATTTGAAGAAGAGAAGGAAAAAAAAGTACTGTATTTAAATATATTTTAAGTAAAATTTCGGTGATGAGTGGAAAGGAATTAGAAAGCTGTGTTTCTTTAAATGATGTGAGCAATGGCCAAAGAGAATGACAGTCATTTAATTTTCTAACAACTTAAGAAAATGTTTTTCATTCATTGAAATTAATTCAAAAATCATATTAAATGTAAGAAAGTAAAGACTGACAGTCTTGGTGGTTTAAATAAAAAATTAAGTATTTTTTAAAAAGCAGCACATTTAATCTATTTCATGTCCTCATTCCCAGTCTCATTTTCTTTGCATTGCTACTTAGAGATCTGTTACATGAATTTGAAAAAATAGTCATCAGAAAATTACTTACTTTTCTGTAAGGTTAACTTTTTTATTCATTAGCTGGACCAAATTCAGCACTTTGACAACCCAGGAATTGTATGCAGGCAACTGTCTTTTAAATGGAGCTTTATCTCAACAAAAATCGACTAGGAAATGGGCTGACAAAAGATGCCTATCTCTGTGGTCTAGAGTTGGCTTCCTATTAATGCCAAATTCATACCACTTTGGAGAAATATTTTTTTTCCCTGCCAGCCTCTGTCTCCTTCTCTATTACTTTATCTGTTTTGTTATGTGTGAATCTAGATTCTGGTTTACAAATTTTGGCTGCAATAAATAGCATCATTTCATAAACAGCTCTGAAACTTGGAATTCCTTGATACCAATATATAATGTTGCATTTTAAAGACTCGGCTACTTAGGGAGAGAGTAAGAAAATATGGAGTAGAAAGAAAAGAAAAAAAAACTTTAGGTGTTATGAGTTGGTTTTTCCCTAGCCAAGTATAACATCAGTGCCTTCTTTTGGAAGGAAAGTTTCATATAAATGCTCTTGAAACCCTAGCTGTGCAGGAGAACCTGGCTTACCCCGCAAATGTTTTCAGTGCCTGGACAAACATCCCACCATTTTGCTTTAGAGACCTGGTAATTTTTGCCTCTTAAAAATTTGAGAGATTTACAGGCATCTACCTAGATAATTTTAAATACAGGAGTGGAGCTTCATGTTCTCCATGGCTGGTTTTTTGTTTTGTTTTGTTTTTGAGACAGAGTCTCGCTCCGTCACCCAGGCTGGAGTGCAGTGGTGTGATCTTGGCTCACTGCAACCTCTGCCTCCTGGGTTCACGCGATTCTCCTGCTTCAGCCTCCCAAGTAGCTGGGACTACAGGAGCCCACCACCACGCCTGGCTAATTTTTTGTATTTTTAGTAGAGATGGGGGTTTCACCATGTTAGCCGATCTCCTGACCTCGTGATCCACCCGCCTCGGCCTCCCAAAGTTCTGGGATTACAGGTGTGAGCCACTGTGCCCGGCCCTCCATGATTCTTTTAGGTTTTGATAACATAGGAGAATTTTAAGATCTCATTCTAAGTGATTCTAAGAAGTATTTATTGGATCGTTGATTCATGCACTGTAATGCCCCTTAGCTTCTTAAAAGTTACATAAGTATTTCTCTTATTTAGCCAAGATTTTTAAATGAATGAGCAGTACAAGGAGCTAGTGTGTATAATTAATTACTGCTAACTCCTCTTGCTTCTTCCTTATGTTACAGGCCTACTTTCGAGAAGCTGTACTGTGGCTGGCTTGGGTTGGCTCACTTGTGTCACCCAAAAGTACAGTAATGGAGCTGGGATAAATTGAAAGGCAGAGGGAATCATTATTACTCTTTTGGGGGATAAAGGAAATGAAAATTTAAATAGGCATGAATAACCTTCTCTAGCTATATGAAGATCTATAGTTTTCAAACTGGACGTAGAGACATGTGTCCATTAACTAATTTATACATTCAGTTATAAGGAGTTGGTCTCAAGCTCCCTGGAGGACGACAGTTATTACATTCACTTGGATCAGCCCTGATGCGTTGGTTATTAATACTCATTAAGTGGAAGTATTAGGTCATTTGAATATCTGGCTAAAACCAGTGACAAATAAAACAAAAGAAAGAAGTTAAGTTTCAGAAAACCATTAGCATCTACTTCAGACTTGTACATAGGACTGTAATGCATTGAGTGCCCCAGGTGTGTTACACAAAATGCTCATTATGTAACATGCTTTAGGATTGCTGAAATGATTAGTTTATTTATGTCAAGGAAGAGGTGAATTACTAGGAACATGAATTTTAAAGAATACTTTCATGAAAGTAAGGGATTCATTTCTTAGGAGAAAAATAATGAATGGAAATGGAATATGTATGTGGGATATAAATATGCCTGAATTAAAGCAAAGACAGCAAATTATTTTTACCACCATTGAGCAAGCCCACTGGCAGCAGAGAAGAGTTAATGATTTATAGAGAACTTTAAAACCCATTATGAGAAGGTATACTTCATATCAGAAAACACTGAGTGTAGGCTGGGTACCGTGGCTCATGCCTGTAATCCCAGCACTTTGGGAGGCCGAGGCGGGTGGATTACTTGAGGTCAGGAGTTCGATATCAGCCTGGCCAATCTGGTGAAATGCCATCTCTACTAAAAATAGAAAAATTAGCTTGGCGTGGTGGTGCATGCCTGTAATCCCAGCTACTTAAGAGGCTGAGGCAGGAGAATTGCTTGAACTGGAGAGGTGGAGGTTGCAGTGAACTGAGATCATACCATTGCACTCCAGCCTGGGCAACAGAGCAAGATTCCGTCTCAAAAAATAAAAAATAAAAAAGAAGAAAACACTGAGAGTTCTGATTGAATATTTCAAGAAAGGAAATATTGTAAAAAGGATATTTATGGAAGTAGGCAACTAATTCAGGGGGTAAATTTCCATTTGATGGAAAACTTGAACATAAAATAAACTGCAGAAGATTATGTTTCAGTAACCCAGCAATGAGTTAGACCACTGGGCCAGTGTTATTTGTATATACTCTGTATCAAAACGGAGACATGTCAGATGTATCACAGGGATATAAAATAGGCAGCTGGAAATATGAATCACCAGTGATTATGGATTCTTAGAAAAGAGTGATAATTGGGAAGAGAGGAGTAGGAAGACAATGAGATTGATAATCCCCCTTTTTAATTTTTGGCTTTTTTGGAATATCCAAATGGTGGCATCCTTTTGGATGCCAAGAATAGGCCCGCAGTGTACTTCATAGTAAATGCCTTTTTATCTGTCCATACTAGACTGTAAGGTCCTTGAAGTTTGTTATTTTCATCTTTGTATTTCCAGCTCTGTGGGACAGGGCAAGCCTGTTACATAGTACACACGCAATGCATGTTACTGAAATGGATCACTTAATGATGAGTAAATATTGGCTGAATGAAAAGAGTGGATAAAGATGGAGGCGGAGGGTGCTTGACAATATCAGCAACAGCTTCTCAGGCAGAAGCCTCCATGCATCCTTAAGGCACATCCAAATTTAATAAATAGAGACAAGCAGGGGAGCCGGGAATGAGGAGAAAATTAGTTGCAAGAAAATCTGAAGTATTGTCAATGAATTTCTTTATGAGTTCTTCAGTTTCCTAATACCAGTGCCAAGAATTATGCCGAGAGCGTGAAAAATGGTTTGGTGGGGTGGGGGAGGAGTCAGATAATTTATCCTCTGTTTAGAAGATGTCTAAGTTAAGTATTAAACCCTGAACACAGTGTGACAATAATTGGATTTTTGTCAGAGAAAGATGGACCTAGGGAAAGAAGGGTGGCCTTAGCATGGTAGATTTGGTGGATTGGAGCAGACTGCGAGGAATAAGTCAAGGGCTTGCCAAGGATAGTAAACATGTCGGAGAAGGTTATTAGCCATGAGAAGAGCTGAAGCAGTCTTTTGAGAACCTGAAAATTTCCATACTCTTCCTGAAGTTTGTATTTTAAAATAATAGCTTTTCGGAATGTAAAATCATAATGTCACTGCACTTCTTCACATTATTTCCCACCCCTGAGATCCAGATGTAGCTGGGGTAGGCAGAGTGTTGGTATCTGCGTCTCCCACCCCTCCTTTCACCTGGAAATCAGCGGACTAGGGACAATTCCGATGGTACCTGGGAACTGCCATGGTGTGCTGTGCATTTATCATGTGCAAAGATGGAGAGGAGATGAGGCAAGTGGTCTCTGGGGCAGCAAAAAAGGGAGAAATTAGTGTTGACAGGGGGGAAGCAGCAAGAGTTTACTTGTCGTGGAACCAAGTTATTTAGCTTTTAAGAACAGTCATTATGCTGATATAATAATGGCTTTTTATTGTGAGCTGTCAACAGACAGTAATAACTTTTAATGAGGCCTCTAAAATAAAACCTTTATGGTACCCATGTGTTTGGATTACTGCGATCCATTATTCTAACCTCTATTTTATTTTCCGCTCACATTGTGATTTATTATGTTTGGGGATTTAGTGATTAATTCCTTAGAGAATCTATTTTGGAGCTTAAAGTAGTATTTTAACTTTTAGTACTGCTCACTTAAATGATTTCCTGTTTGCTAAATTTGGGAGAGATGAAAAGAACTTGTTTTAACCATCAGAAATTGGAAGAAAGGGGTAACGAGTTTTTCGTTTAAGAGAGTGGCCGGTGACTGAGAAGTTGCCAGTTGAATTGTGTTGACAAGTGAGATTTGTGCGAGTCCCTTAAGAATGCAACAAGAACATAATAAGCATATAAAAGCCATGGATTGTGTGGATGAAGGAGTAGCCTGGGAATGCAAGAGGAATGGCAATTAACATATGTTGACATTACCATCCCAGAGAAACACAGGTATCCTTACAATATATGTGTTGAAATTGTCTGCCCCTAAAAGATGAAACTCAGGAGAATAATCCTAGGAAATACAGAAAGAATAATCCTTGGAGGTGTGTCTTTTTTAAAACATTTGCTTATCAGTGAATTATAGAGATGAGATAAATCATGCTTTGTAATGATATCATGAACAATCCCTAGTTCAATGGGTTTCTTGCTATTTTGCTGTAATTCCAGGTCATCCTCAGTGCCTGGTGTTTCTTAAATGAGTTCCCGATTTGATTCATTTGTTCCCTTCTCCACGTCTCTGCTCTACTTACCACGAGCAGTCAATTGTGTCCCACTTGGATTTTCAGATAGCAAGTTTTGTGAACAAGTCAGCCATAGACATCTCGATCCTGCAGCGGTCCTTGGCCATTTTGGAGTCGATGGTGCTCAATAGCCATGACCTCTACCAGAAAGTGGCGCAGGAGATCACCATCGGCCAGCTCATTCCACACCTGCAAGGGTAAGCATGCCAAGATGCTCTGGGGAGGAGAAATGCTTCAGGAAGATGGCCACGGTAATGCACTGGGAAACGTTTTATGTTGTTATAGTTTGGTTAAATGTACAGAAAAAGAATCTCAATTTGGCATATAACCAAACCACGTGTCACACTGGAATGGCATGGTTACTTTCCCTTGGCCTCTGTCCCTCACTGAACTCCAAGCTGGTTCTTGGCATTGCCTGTCCCCACGCCTGGCCCTTGGTAAGCTCTCAGTTTTAATGGATATTGGTAGATATTGGCAGAGTTTTACTTTTAAGAAGATAAAACAGGATGATTTGTTCTCTTAAGTTCTCTTTCTTAAACCATGTAAGTTAATGTTTTCTGTGATATAATGAGTATTTTCATAGTTAATTAGAAATGTAATGTTATGCATTTTTACTAGGAATTTTTAAAGGCAGGCTTCTTTCTTAGTTATGCTCAAGGTGATTCTAGTGAGCTTCTTCTTTTGTATTTTATAATAAAATGTAGGATTTTTTCTAGTGGCTTGAGCTATAAAATGGACATAAGATAGCTGCCCCTGCAGCCTGCAGTCTTTGAGGCATTTTTCCCCTTCTTTCCTCCCTGAGGTAACTAGGAAGGTTGTCTCTGACAATACCAACCTGAGAAGGACTCTATTGTACAGTGCTACCTTAGAAATTCAAGTATTTTGGATTGCAGTGATAATAAACATTATGAGCTTGCTTACACAGGAAAGGAGGTTATTGGAACAATACTGGGGTACTTTGTAGAATCCAGAAATGACATAAGTAGCTAAGCCTTGAGAAGGAGAGAAACCATAGCTTCCCCGGAGTCCTCAGCAGATGGCCTTTTCTCTAGCATTTTGGTTGGCACTACAGTGACCCAACTCCCCCTAACTGTTGCCCCTGGTCCATTAGGTCACAATTACAAATTCTCAAGAGGAAACCCAATTGGCCCATTTGGGTTGGTGGTGCAGGGTGGGAATGGTTCTCTGAAATGTTAACTGTTGTGTTGATAATATAAACTACCAAAGCAGATTATATTAGATATTATTTTCATTTGGAGGTGGGAGGATTACCAACATTTAAAATTTAAGTCACAGAAGCTGAGGATTGTGGTGGCCTCCGTGATTGTGGCCTCAGAATCATAATTCTTCAAAATGATGATAATGTAAGGTAGCTTCTCTAGAAATAAGACCAGTTTCACATTTCCTTTGAATGTGAACTGTATTAATTTATATACTGTGTCTTTTGTGGGAATCTCAAAGGCACACATCTTCATCCCAAAGCACGTTACCAAAGTGGAGAGTTTATTATTCTCCAAGTACTGTGCTAAGGATTTTACATGCATAATCTCATTTTATCTTCACAGCAATCCCATGAAATAAGTGTGTCTAACCCCATGTTGTAGATGAGGTAACTGTGCCTTGGGGGATACTCATGAACTTGTCCAAGGTCTCAGCCAGCCTGTGATGAACTGGGCTTTGCACCCTATCCTGGCCTAGTTCTAAGCTCCACCTCTCTCTCACTGGCCTGATAAGTTATTCCTAAATGTAGCTCATAAGTCACTCTTTGTTTATGCCTTGAGTCCTCCTTATTTACTGTTTACCACTTGCCTTACATTAGAGCTTTGTTTCATTTTATTATTTCTGGTTCCTTTCCAGTGAAAATCAGATTTATAAACAAACACCTGTTCTTTTTGTTATTGAAATGTTTATATTTGGAAATAGATTTTTAGAATATATAATAGAGCCATCCAATTAGCCCAAGAATGTGGAGACATCTGAAACTACTCCCTGATATATTTCATGTATCAGACAGAAAATTACACATACATACACATACACATACATACATACAGACATACATACATCTATTACTAGTAGTACATCAATTACAACATCCCCTAGGTTTATGCCTTTAATCTGAATAAGAGAGAAGGCTGCCTATATTTCTGGGCATTCTGCACTGACCAGTGTACTGTCAGCTAGTAATAGTAGTTGTATATTTACCACCTTGTGATGTTTGAAATGCATTCTCAGTGCAAAATGCATTTTCTAGGCCCTGCCTTTCTCTCTCACTTTTTTTGGGGGGAGGGGGCTGATTTTGAGCCTTTTCATGGTTTGACCCAGGGCTAGCCTCTTCTGACTTCGTGTTCTGATTTTCTGAATTGTTCTCTATCTTTACAGGTCAGATCAAGAAATCCAAACCTATACTATTGCAGTGATTAATGCGCTTTTCCTGAAGGCTCCTGATGAGAGGAGGCAGGTAAGTTGCATTTCTTTAGTCTTATGGCTATGTCAAGGCTAGGAACTTTGTGTGCAGAGAACGCCCTCTCCTTCTATTCGGGGACTCATTGGGCCTCTCTGCTATCCTGGCCACAGATGGACTCTCCAGAGCAGCTATGTTCCGCTGCACGGCTGGCCCGCTGGGGTCCTTCCCAAATCCAGGGGCAAGTGGGTAGAGATGGATAAGCCCTTGACTGATGAGGGATGCTAGGAGTGTTCCAGCAGTAGAGCCTTTTCATGAAATGAAATGCAACCTGGAAGCCCAGATGTAAAAAGATGAAAACGCTGCTGTGGTGGAAGCAGAGTTAGGAGCCCCTGCGACCTTCTGTCATTTCATGGGATGCTCACTAGGTTGAGGGAAGTGCTGTTCTCATTTTCTGTATCAGGAAACAGACCCTGAGGGGTGCCATGTTTTTCCCAAGGAAGGAGGTGATGGAAGGTAAGAGGACAGGAGGGATAATATGCAGATGGCTGCTCCTTGTGGAGATAACTGCATTCGTATGTCAGAGGGGCTCCTTGCTTGGTGAGATTACTTACTTCTGTGTGTGGATGTGGCTGGGAAATTGGAGCCATCTGTTTCCTCTCCTGTATAAAAAGAGCCGGGTGCGGTGGCTCACACCTGTAGTCCCAGCCCTTTGGGAAGCCAAGGTAGGCAGATCACTTGAGGTCAGGAAGCTGAGACTAGCCTTGTCAATATGGCAAAGCCCCATCTCTACTAAATATACAAAAATTAGCTGGGCATGATAGTGCACGCCTGTAATCCCAGCTACTCAGGAGGCTGAGGCAGGAGAATCACTTGAACCAAGCCGGGAGGCAGAGGTTGCAGTGAGCTGACATCACACTGCTGTACTCCAGCTTGGGCGACAGAGCAAGACTATCTTAAAAAAAAGAAAAAAAAAGGAAGGAACCCCTTAATATACATACATGGAACCTTTCCTCTGATGGTGTCCTTTGTCTGTAGATCCTTTATTTCTTTCTTCACGAAGGAAAGGAGCATTACAGAGGGGATGTGAAGAAGTGGAATTTTGCCTTGTCTTGGAATTTAGGTCACACCTCAAAATCCATTCATGTTTTTTTCAATCAACATGTCATGTAATATGTTACCCTGGTCACAATTTCCTTCCTTAAAAAAGTGGGTGGGAATATGAGCTCTTTCACTCACCTAGAAACTATGCTGGGGAGCTTGATGGCAGTTGCCAGTGAGTTCGTTTAGAAGAAATTAGAAAGCGAACCTGCTACTGAATGCTATGACAAGAATTTTTGGATTTTATTTTGCTTTTTCATTGCCAAGGATTTTAAACCTCAGTGACTAAACATGAGGGGTTCTGGTTTGTTTTCCATTTAGAATTTCTTATTCATCCCTGGGGGGCTGTGTTTGCACAAGTAGTGGTGTCACTTTATAGTTTCCTGGACGTTTGATTTGGTGTTCGCTGGAGCCAGGTGGAGGTGCCTGCCCTCCACAAGCCTGTGCTAGGGGCAGTCTTACCGTGGCTGGATTTTTAGGAGTGGCTTTGCAGATCTGAGGTGAAATCATCGATAGGGCTGCTTCTGTGATATTTTAGTCTAAATACCGAACTCATAACTCCCAAGCAGCCCGGAAGTTGTCTGGAAGCTCTCACCGTGTACATACCCAAGCTTGACTTGGGCATTGGAGCAACGGGGTCCTTCTGCTGGCCAGACTGGGGACTTCTGGCCCAGCCACATGGTAGCTGAGTGTAGCGTGTGGGGTCAGGAAGGTTGCATTCTGATCTCAACTCTTGGAAGTTTCCTTTCCCCATCTGTGAAAGAAGAGGATGGATTAGAGGAGGTGAAAGTTCATGCCCACTCTAAAGGCCATTTCACTTGGATCTCTGAATCTAGACATGAGTAAAATGCTTACTGCATCTTATTTTATACCAAACACTACTGTTCATTTGTTAAATTGGACTCTCATGACCATGGACAAATAGGGAATCAGGTGTCAATCTGTACTAACTTCAGGACATTGATAATAATGGTAATATAATGGAATGTCGATATAAGATTAGGTTTGGATTTTGTGAATCAAGTCTTTCTTTGAAAACTATGCAACATAAGACTGACAGGAGACAGTTTGGCTATATATTATTCTAATAAACCACCACAAAGAGTAATAAACCATGACAAAGAGTAGTCTAATAACCTTAAACCATTTAAGAAAAGATTCCAACTAAGAAAGACTGTATATAATTCAGCAGAAATTTATGAAGTATTATATGACTCATTCATTCAAGCTCTAAAAAATACCTACAAGGTATTTAATTTACTTGCCCATGGAAAAGTGATGTGGACTTCATAAACTATAAACTCTTGAAATTAAGAATGTTGTTCATCAAAATAAAGGGAGTATCATGATTTTTAAATTTAAAAAAATTTCAGTGAGTAGCGAGATAGCTCTAAAAAGGGATTTCAGATTCATAATGAAGAAAAGTTTGTTGGATATTATTTTCTGAAGGTCAGTAGAGGCCTGTAAAGCAGAAGACTGAGCTAACTGGTGACATCATGTGGGTTGCTGTGGATTTATATTAACAGCTGAGCTTGTATGCCTTAGTCTGGGCTCTATGTTCTAAGTAAAATAAAGTTTCAGCTGGTCTGAATTTGACGTTGGCATTGTTATTGGCGTATGTTCTGAAAAATTAAAAGTTCTGAATTTTTGGCAAATAGGAAAATTGACCAAAGTCAGCCATCAATGATAATATTATTGAGAGTCTGGCATGTGCCAAGCAGTGTTCAGTGTTTTATATTACATTATTTCATTTTATTCTCATATTCAGAGAAAGCCACATTATTTCTGTTTTATAAGTAAGGAAATTGAGCCTCAAAGGGAGTAAAGAACTTGACCAGGTTACTGAGCGGGTAAGAATCAGAGTTCGAGTCTCAACCTTATCCCTGCTTTTACCTGCAAAGCATCCCATCCAACGCCTGTCAGAGATGTCACTCATAGAATTCTCCTGTATTTGCCAAGTAAACAACTCCCCGAAGCCTGGATAGCACCAAGCCCATTTTCTCACTCCAATTAGATTGAAATATAATCTAAACATGTATTTACTGGATTTGCAGGAACACTATTTTTTGTTTGTTTTTTGTTGTATCTGTTTAAAGCCTTAGAACCATTGCTTTGTTTGGAGTAGCCTGATTCCACTTCAGTCAAATACTTTTTTAAAATTTCATCTTTTTTTGACTTGGGGCCAGACACATTCACAGGACTCCATTATCTGGGGTTTCTTTGAATTTGGAATGCTTTTAAACACTTATACCTTATTTCTGCTGTTACTGAAAAAAATGCCACCATGGTCAGAAGGACCTGTGCTGTTTTTTCCTTTGCATCTGTGAGGTAGGCCTTACTGAGAGAGGCCTGTGCTGGGGCCTAGGGTAAAGCTTCCTCCTCTGGGAACTCCCTTCCCTTCTAGGGTTCCCCCAGGGGTGGAGGCCTTGCTTTCCCATGCCTCTGGGATGTAGGAGATTCTCAGTTTCCTGGCACAAACGGAGGGAAGGGCTGGGCTAGTTTTGTCGGGGAGGAGGTTGCTGTTAGGCGGGCAAATGGATCCTTTTGCTTACAACTTTTACCATTATTCAGTTCACTATTTCAATGGCAAATATGTTGGTGAGATCCCTTCCAAATTTCTCTACAAATACTTATACTTTTGATAAGCACTATTTAAAAAACTTGTTAGTTAAAAGATTTGGTAGAAAAATCAGAAAATACTGACTCAAAAGGAAGAAGTTTGAAAGATTCCTGTAATTATATTCCCAGAGGCAGAACCACGGCAATTATTTACAACTCTTGTGACTTTCATGGTGCTACTTCCCTGTTTGTTCTGTGCAAATATTCTCCTAATACATCATTTTTTTTCACCAAATGTGAGCATACTACATGCATTGTAGTTTTTCTAAACTTCTTTTAAAACTAAACAATATTTTGTGGACATCTTTCCATGTCAGTATATCTGGATTCATATTTGTAGCTATCTATACTTTTACATAATTTTAATGCTATAAAATATTCCCCATGGATTCTCACATTTACTCCAATAATTCCTTACTATTAGACCAAAAAATGGAGGCATGGATATTTCTATTTTCTCTTTGACCAAGCTGCTGTTCCTTAGGAGGGTAGTATAAAATATTTATTTGTTATTTTATCAAACATTTATTGTCTTCTCGGTGTCAGACATTGTACTTTGGGCTTGGAATACAAAAAAGAAAAAGACAGTTTCTGCTCATGAGGGACTCACAGTCTTATGCAGACAATAAATATTGTAAACAGACAATTACAATGATTTCTTTAGTAGAAGTTGGACATACATTGTCCCTTCTAACTTTAAATTTTATAGACTGATAGACAAACATAGGAACAGAAATATTTTTTTCCGTCTTTATTTATGAGCAATAATTTCATCTTTTTAAAGGAAAGAAATTAAAACAGCTATAGGATCCTTTGAGGCTTTTATTTGTCATCTGGTCTAGGAGAAACAAAAAAACCACCACCAGTGGGCCTTTCTATGAAGATCAGCAAGAAAGCCCTGCTTTCTATGCCTCGTGGAAGGGAAGGTTCCTTCTGGGTTACCATTTGAGTTGTTTCTCAATGCGTCATTGCTCCTGCTTTCTTGTTTTCAAGAGTATAAGACCTAGTATTGGATGTTGACTTGAGTGCCATCTAGCTTTTTTGAGTCACCTTACAGTATTTAAGCACTTTTCAATGCAGTGGGTCAGCAGGGGCGTTCAAATACAGTGGTCAACCTCTAACAGAGTCCTCTGAATTTCCATCCCTTCTTCTCTCCTGCTTGCTTTCCTTTCTGTGGTGGCGATGACGCCGTTAGGTTGATGTAGAGAGCAATGTTGACATCCTTGATTGTCCTCTGACTGTAAGTCACCCACGTTCCCTTTGTTAGCGTAAAGTGGGCCCTGCTCTCCTGTGCTGCTCCTGTCCACCCCTGCTTGTATGCCCTCCTCAGAAATCTCCCCCACCCCCCATGTTCTTGGTTTTCTTTGCTTTCTGCAAATTTGTTTTAACCTTAGTAGAAATCATGGTTGAGTTTTTAAACCGTGGCTTAGTTTCTTCTCTACTCAGTAAGAGTAGCAACACCAAAAACACCCCCTACCACAAAACAACGGTCAAGTGTCTTCCTGAATATGAGCAGTATTTTTACTTTAAAAGGCTCCAAGTGCTCCAAGACTATGCTTGATATACTATTTTCCCTTAGTCTCCACTTGTCAATATTTATAAAGGGACTCTGTGCATCATTTCCTTTAATAAAATCACCCTTGAATCCTCCATACCAGTCAGGAGATGCCAAGGCACAAAACAACCTGCAGAAATCAGGCCTTGCAGAGCTCAGTGAGTGTAGACTCTAGAGCTTTGCATCACCCAGATATTTGCCCTTCACTTAAACTCCACTCAGATCACTTATGTAGCCTGGTATATGTATTACTCACTCTTTGGTTTTGCACAGATTAAGATGAAATGACTTTTAGAAGATACTGGAATCTCCTTGCTACAGGCATGTGTTGCCTAATAAAAGCTTTCTGCACGTACGTAGTCTAATAAAAGATGATGAGGCTTTCTAATAGCCATTGCTTTGTTTGGAGTGCCTGATTTTTATTTAGCACCCACCTTTTTCTGGAAGGAAGAAATTCCTAAAGAAAAGAAGTTTGCAGGTGCCAGATATCTTTCCTTTGCTTTTGGACATTGCTTTTACATTCTAAATAAAACAGTCAAAAAAATAATTTGAATACTACTGCCTGTTTGAGTTCATTATTTCATAAGAAATACTGCTGATATACAGTTACGAAGCACACCCCAGGATAAGGTCATTTTTGGCCATGTCGAAATGTAGCTTTCTAACCTAAGCCTTTGTGTGGGTGTGTTTTTCTTCCACAGGAGATGGCGAATATTTTGGCTCAGAAGCAACTGCGTTCCATCATTTTAACAGTGAGTACCTATGCGCTGTGACCTCTTTGTGGGGGAGGAGTGGCCTGGTGCATTTGTTAATCTCTTCTTTTGGCTTCAGTCTGTGGTTTGTTCTGTGACTTCCTTCTGTGGTGAAGCAGTAGGAACTCTAATGAAGGAAAAAGTGAGTTTTTGGAATTGGAATAAATAAAGGCTTTCCCACAGGAATTGCCTCATTGGATTGGAGGGAGGGGTTTCTGGAACTGCTCTGGAGAGAGAAAGGGGGAACGCATTCTGGCCGGAAGGGTTGGATAGCTCTCTCAGTGGGGCAGGTTAGGGAGATCAGGGCTTAAAAGATTCACCCTGATGAGGTTTTGCTCTTTCAATGAGGAAGCTAGCTGTAAACATATCAGGTACCAAGAGAAGTCCTGAGATGTTGAACATCAGTTTTGGGGGCCCGCATGCAAGAGAGAGGAAGGAAAGATATAGATAGGAGCCACTCATTCGCTGCGATGCAAGATGACCTTAAACCTTGGTGGAAAAAAAAAAAAGCCCTAAGTGTCACCTTGCAAATGTTTAGAAATAAACCAAATAACAAGATTTCCTGAGGCCTTACCCGCTATTTGACTTACCAGCTACTTGAAAGAAGCAGGTTGATTGATTGCCCTGCTTACAAAAAAGAAAAAAAAAAAAAGGAAAAGAGGAAAAGAAAGAAAAAGAAAAATCTCTGTTTGCGTGATTCCAAAGAGCAGTTCAGCAAGCTTACAGTTAAAAACACTTGGTCCTCAAATGCAGGTTTTATTATTATTCAAGTATGGTGAGGCCAACAGATCAGGAGGTGGCTGGCATTGAAAAGTTTGTTAATTATAGTTCCCCAAAGGAGGGGGCATGCCGTGCCACTGGGGGATTGTCGGGGCAGGGGAAGCTCCTGAGTCAGGAGGCAGGGGAAGCCCAAGGAGACCTGGGCGAGAGCCCTTACTGTGGTTTTTGAGGGAAGGGATATGTGAGGCCAGGTAAGCTGGCTGAGCAGGTTTAGGATTGGCTAGTTTGAATAATTTCAGTGGGCTTTGGAGTTTATGGGCTGTCTCCAGTTGTCTGGTACCTGGCCCTGGGTGGTTAGGGCAGGAGAACAGTGGTCCTAAGAGTAGGAGCCAGAGCTTGTAGAGGAGTGGGGGGTGGGTGCCAAGGCTCTGGACTGATTCATTTGCATATGAAAGGAGTCATTTATTATCTCTAGGAATTGGCTAGACCTGGGAGGAGCAGTCTCTTCAGGGTCAACAAGGTCCCAGATGTCCCAACAGCAGAAACAAATGTCTAATACACACACACACTATCCCCCCTCCCTCTCCCACCAATACAAGTAAGCCATCAAAAATTAATGTTGAAAATAAATGTTCTAGATCCCAAAGCCAGTGGTAATGCCAGCAATTTGTGACCAAGTTAGTTCAATTTTAAACTTCCTGGCTGTCAAAGATGACAAGAAATGTATGAGTGTAACTTTCATTGTTTGATAAAAAGAGGTCCCCCAGTTCTTCGGGAAAGATAAACCTTTTCCCTCTGGAACTGAAATCTGAAATGAATCTTGGGAGAGCATCTTAATACATTCTAGGTCCAATTGTGGTTTTGGAAGTGCAGAAGTATTCATAATTACTGTCCTTCTTTATATTGGCTCTCAGTAAATGTAGAAGCAGCAGCATCAATGGGTAGCTCAGTGTCTTCATATTACCTTGATGTGGGAGTCAGGGTTAGAATGCCCTGAGATATGAGTGGCATTAATGACTGTGTTCACCCTGTCTCAAAAATCAGTTTGCTTCAGTGGGACTTCTTGTATGAGATGTTGTTGATGGCTGAAGTTCGAGGTTGGTACTCTCCTGCAAGAACTTGGAGTGCAGTACTTTCGAGTTGCTAAGAAAAGAGATTCCCATACGCTTTGGATACTAAGTGTGTGCCATGAGTTAACATGCTTTTCTGAGGATTGGAGGATAAGGGGTTTGATTTGCTCCTAACCATCCGTTATCTAGCTTCCCTGCTTCCCATAATTTTGGTTTGGTGACTGTATTCTCTCATTCCTCCCTGTCCTCTTTCTTCTATTCCTCAATCTTCTCCCACCCCTCCTCCTTGAATTAGCTATTTCAGCATGGCACTGACAGCTATGGTGTGGATTGCAGGTGGATGTCAGGTTGAGAGTCACCCAGGCAGCACTCTAAGGACCTAGACTTCCTCCAATCCTGGAGGAAGATCATTTTTCTCTACAATGGGGAGCTTTGTCATTTACTGAACGGCCACTTAGAAGTTGGTTTGCAGCAGTCTGTCTACCCAGGAGCAACTACAGATTGCCAAGAGAATTGGTCTTTCAGATAACATGGCATGAGTGGGGCTAGCACAGTTGAAATAACTGATTTGATGGGTTGTTCCACCACATTGATCCATTGTTTGGCATTTTTAATGTACAGTCAGAATCTCTGTTGAAAAGGCTGTATGTTAGTCCCAAATGCTGAATGTTGAGTTGGTGGCAGCTGTCCCATTTCTGGGCAGGGGTGAGGGGATTGGGGGTGGACCTATCCAGTCTTCCTGTCCTGCCACTCCTTGTATGTTCTCTTTTCAGTTCTGTTTCTATGGGGAAAAGTCATTTTATCTTTCATTTAATTGTTAACAGTGAGTAAAGTAATTCACGAGCATTTGCTCTCTGCTTTTGATGGTAGACATCCTTGTGTAGCTCCCACAGTGGATTAAGATTTGATGGGTATTTTGCTTTTGTGTGTTCCTTCTAAAACTTTTCCCCATTTTGAAGTGGGCTCACCTGTCAGAGACAGTCCCAGGGTAAGATAATGGCAAAATTGCTTCCTATGGGTATGCATCATTGGTTTTTCTGCTGCGTGTGACAGATGCTTCCATTGTAGAAATCCACAGTTGTCTTGGAGACACCCCCATTTCAAGCACATCTTCTCTTGACTTATATGGCTGCCATCATCAGTCCCTTTCCAGCGCTTTTCCCCTTCCACTCCCTCCTGCCCACAGTAGGTTTTTTCATGGCCTGTGACCTGAAGATCAGGAACCTTACTGGGCTCTGAAATTCAAAGGAAAGCTCTGAAATTCCCTGTGCCCTCACCTTCCTTCTCCATTCCTTATACCTCCCAGTGAAGACTGTGAGAGCCTTCTTGAGTGTTAATTCTAGTTGTTTCCTTTTCTTTCTTTTTTAAAAAATTTCATTTGTGAACCATCTCCCTAGCATGTCATCCGAGCCCAGCGGGCCATCAACAATGAGATGGCGCACCAGCTGTATGTTCTACAAGTGCTCACCTTTAACCTCCTGGAAGACAGGATGATGACCAAAATGGACCCCCAGGACCAGGTGAGTGCTCATTGGACAGCAGTCAAAGCACAGGAAGGACAGAAAGTGTCATTAAAAGTCTTTTCTTGAGGTACCCTGAAACTAGGGAGTTTCAGAGTTTGATATGATGTCATTTTATTATCATCTCAGAACTTAGGGGCATGGCTTCAAAATTAGGTGAATCTAGGATCAGAAAATATACCAAATGCATTCTTCCATTAGGCTCCAAACATGCATGTTCTTTCTGCATTTATTGAATAAGAAAGTTTGATGTCACATGACCACAGACTTTAGCTCCTGGCCCCAAGTAACATTTAATAGTAGTAGCTTTGGAGTCAAGTTCCCAGACAACTAGGGCCTCTTGGTGACTCTATGTGGCATTGATTCTGTGGGGTTGAGTTAGCAATTTTCGTTCTCCAGGGATCAGTGCCAAGAGCAGGGTCCCAGATTAAACCTGATTTCTGGGCCAGCATTTCTGTCGGTTGGCTGTTGGCTGTAACTCTCTGCTGGGTCTCTTGTTGTGCATGAAAGGTTATAGCTCCATTCAGAAGGCTTTGGGGACCTTTGCTGTGTGAGGGTAGAGTGAGAGGAAACAGCTGGGAGCCCTGCCGTAGCACATTTTCAACTTAAACAGCGCTGCAGCTTTGGAAAGGAAAACACTCATTATTGGCACGTGAGGGCCTGATCTGTTGCAGATGTGAACTGCATATGTGAAGTGTGTAGCTGCCGTGGCACTTCATTCATGGAGCAAGGCCATACGGTTAAGAATGATGGAGAGGCTTTGAGAGGCGGTGAATGTGCCCCACGTTTTTGGCAAGGTGTGGTCATCCCAGGGAGAGGAGACTGTCATCTTACCACTTCTAGTGGCAGAGAGCAATGCCTCTTAATATTGAATGACATGACGCTCTTTGCTTGGAAACCCTTTTAAAAATTTATTTATGTATTTTATTGTGGTGGGATATGTATAACAGAAAGTTTACTATTTTAACCATTCTTAAGTGTACAGTCTAGTGGCATTAAGTACATTCACATTGTTAGGAAACTGTCACCACCATCTATCTCCAGAACTCTTTTTATCTTGCAGAACTGAAACTCTGTACCCATTAAACACTAACTCCCCATTCCCCTGTCCTCTTAGTCCCTGGTAACCACCATTCTAGTTTCTGTCTATGAATTTGACTACTCCAGGGACCTCATATAATTGAAATTGGACAATATGCATATTTCTGTGTCTGGTTTATTTCACTCAGCATAATATCTTCAAAGCTCATCCAGATTGTAGCATCTACTGGGATTGCCCTCTTTCAAAGCCTGGATAGTATCCCATTGTATGTCCACACCACATTTTGTTCATCCATTTACCCTTGGATGGACACTTGGGTTGTTTGCACCTTTGACCCTTTCTTTCTTTTTTGTCCTGTGTTGGTTTCCATGAAGTAACTTAGTGGGGTGAGGCACTTTGGGTGCTTCTTACTTTGTTCCCAACTGTACAGTATCCCCAGTTTCTCTAGCTTAGCTTTCTCCAATCACGACCCTTCCATCATATCTGGGCCTCTCAGTTAAGACTGCACTGGACTATCAATATTCGTGCTCCAGATAACTACTTGGCTAAGAGGACCACTGTGGAATACAGCCAGGCCTGACCAGCAGGGAGACTGACGGGGGAAGAGTGGTCTGCAAAGCCCTAACTTAGAACATTGGTTCTCTTTTATCTGTTTTTCTTTTGCCTGAATGCAGTGATTCATTTAGACCCCAGGGAAAGAGGGAGTATATGTAATGTCACACAATGAAAGCAGCTTTTTCCCCTCCCTTTTCTTTTTACTCCCTGATTCCTTCAGGCTCAGAGGGACATCATATTTGAACTTCGAAGAATTGCTTTTGATGCTGAGTCTGAACCTAACAACAGCAGTGGCAGCATGGAGAAACGCAAGTCCATGTACACGCGAGATTATAAGAAGCTTGGGTTCATTGTAAGTAAGCTATCTCCAGTATGCGCTCTCCCTCCAGCCTCCCCGGGCCTGACCTCAGCCACATAACTGATGTCTCTTCCGAGCGTGTGGTCCTCTTGCGCTTTACGGAATAGTTTCCACATTTCCAGATGTTTAGCTGGTTTAAACAGGATCACATGAAAATCTCTTCTGGCTTCAGTGAAATGGAATAACTTGCACAAGTGTGACTAATACTGCATTTGTTTATTCAGTTCTGATTAAGTGTAACCGAGAGTAGTTAGCCCGGAATGTATCTCGACTTCATTAAATCTATTTCACAAGATGCTTAAGATTTGTGTTTGCCTTAAATGAGTGATGGATCTTATTATTGGGTTATTGAGTTGATTACTTACATACATCAATTTTATATCAAAGTCAAATTGAAAGTCTCCTGAAATTTAATCCTGATGACATTAACACAATTTATGTTTTCTTAAAAGGTCTCTCTTGCTATGAATGCTAATAGGTTGTCTCCTAGATTTTTTTTTTAGTTTGCAAATCAGAACACAGCTTGTCCTGAATATAATCCATTGTTTTCATTTCTGTTTGCACTATATTCTCGATTTTCTCCCCATGAAGTCTCTGAGTGACCTTCGGCTAATATCAAATTCTGCAGTTGTAAAATTGGATTTCAATTTTAATCCCCATCATAAATGGCATTACTGAGATTTTGGCTTCGGTGATTAGAAATCACCAGGCATTATTTTATAGTTCCAAATACTCTTTCCTTGGAAAAAAATATATAAGCTATATATCTGTATGTGTGTGTCTGTGTGTGTATATATATAAGGTGTATATATTTTATATATATACATATTCATGCATATACATATATACAGACACACCCAAATATATATATATACACACAATGTATATATCTGTATATATACTAATAATAATATTTATACATAGTTTGACAAATGGTATCATGCTTTATGTGTTATTTGAGAAGGCTTGTCTTTCATGGGAATATTCTTTGAAAATGTTTTCATATTACTGTGTTTCATTACTGATTTGTTTTTCATTATTTAGATGTAATACAATTTATTTAACCAAGCCCTTTTACTAAATGATTCAATGCTTTGAAATTACCATAAGTCTATAATTAATATCTTACAGCCCAGAATGTATGCACACCCATGATCACATTATTAGGATAAATTTGTGGAACTGTACTTTGTATGAGATATGTTTTCAAGGCTTTTGATACTGTCTAATTGCTTTCCACACACAGAAAGTCATGTCCATTTTAACCAGCAGTGTTCATTTTTTTTTTAACTCTCTCCAGTAGTGTTTCTTAAACTAAAAAAACCTAAAAACCTAAAAAACTAACACTCTGTCCAGTTATTGTTTTTATAGTGTTAGTTTTAATATGACGTTTTAAATAAGAATACTTACTGCATATTCAGCTTTGCAGCTTGCTTTACAGAGGTATTCTGAAATTATTTTTGTATCATTATATTTTATGTTTCGACCTTGGCATTCCATTTTATCTTTTAGTTGAATCAATTTTTTAAAATTTTAGCAAAAAATGTCATGACTGGTGGAGCGGGTGAGTTTCCTGTACTTGTGTGTCGATGACCAAAGCTCCAGGGTGGCAGTGACCTTGCTGGCAGAGCCCCTCTGCCAGAGCGATGGTCCAGGGAAGGCGGATGGGACTCACTTTCTACCTCACCCTCAATTCCAAGTTTTACTTTTATGTGGTAAGCAAGACATATCGAGGTCACTTGGGAGGCTTTGCGAAATCACCCAATCTCTCTTACCCTCAAGTCATATCAAAATTACCAAGGAAGAATCAGGGCATGTACATTTGGAAAATACTCTTAATTGATTCCTCTTCTGAGGGAGAGCCTGGTTCTAGGGTGCTCCTGTGACTGCAATTTTATCGTCCTCCTCCTGCCAGTGCCTGGATTTCTTCTGAGCTATGTAGAAAATCCAAAACCTGAATTCTTTCCATGTGCTGCCTCCGGGATGCATGTGTCTCTGTCCCAGTAGTGATTTTCCTCGGGGGCAGTTGGATCCCAGAATGCACAGTATGGAGGGACTGTGGAGAGAGAGAGGTTGGGGGCCAACCACATGGAGGAGATAGGATTACTATAGAATCTGGGTCCCTGTGAGAGCTATCTGTAATGGGGGTGTGTGCTATGAAGCATCTCCTTTTTATTTTCAGACCCTGTTCTTATGTGAGATGACCAGGGTATTCCAAAATCAGAGTACATTTTCTCAATGTAGCTCCATCTGTCTTAACATTCTTGTTAATTCCTTGTACAGTTTAGTCTTGGTGTATCTCTGTCTTAGTTTTCCCTGTCTGGGGAGTGTTCTGCTTCATGAGTACAGAATAATAGTTTTTTTTTTTTAACTGAAAGTTAATTGGAGGTGGTTTTAAGGCCTTTAGCGCTTATGAGGACTTGAAAAGTCATCCTAGAAAAAGCAAAGACTCTGAACAGAGAATAATCATAAGAGAGTGTTGGTTTTCTTTATTTTTCCATGGTTCTTTTTTAGTTTTTGATTTTAGTTATTCCCCTGCAACTTCTCCCAGGCCAGTCTTGCATCAGAGAGTTGAGAAGTTGGAACGACTATTTAGTAATGATTTTGAGTGCTGGAAATGATCCAGTAACTTTTGACAAGCAGATATTTTCACTTTTGAATACCCAGCCAGCCAGAAATAGACAGGCCTCAGTAAACAGAACCGCATGGTCATTGCACCACCTAGAGACGGTCTTGCAAAAACGCTGAAAGCTGGCTGATGATATCAGGGTCTGGCTGCAAAATCTCTAGATGCTGTAAGCAGTCTCGTGCAGAATTCTCTCTGTACTTCCCAAAGAGGAATCATCTTGCCTGTTAAACTCCTTACTGAACTTTAAGGATTAATTTGAGGTTTGGATCATCTTTTGGATCACTTTGAAGAAAAGTTCAGTTCATAAGATTAAGACTGCTATTTCTCATGTTTCTGCTCCCAAGTAGGCAATGCCCAGCAAGCATTACATGACAAGGCTTTGGAGTTCACTGGGCCTAGATTTAATTTTAGCTTTCCTCCTTTTGAGCCATGGGCCAGTGGTTCAGTCATTTAACCTGTTTGGGCATGGGTTTTCTCAGCTGTGAAACTGGGCAGCATCTTTTCTGTTTTGAGATTATGGGAGGGCCCCACAGGACCGTCTACCAGCGACTAGCACAGCAGCTGGAACCAAGGTGCACTCAGCCAGTGCTACTTCCCTTTCTTCCTTTTGGAGAGAACACATCATAGAAATCATCTGCAGCCTTTTAAGTTTTCCAAGGTAAAAGTGGCCATTGCGCCAACAAGGCAAGAAGAACAGTTTATTAAAAGGTAATAAACCACAACACCTTTGAGGAGGCAGATGGGCATCACATTCCTTCTCAGCACAACATCCCAATGGAGCAAATTTTTCTGATAAAATAATTCTAAAGTCACAATCTAGGTGGCTGAGTGGCTTGTAAGTTTAGTCATAACACAGAAAAGCTGCTTCATCTTCTGAGATCTCGTTTTTTGTTTGTTTGTTTGTTTGTTTTTGGTAGAGTTTTGCTCTTGTCGGGTGCCCACCACCACACCCAGCTAATGTTTGTATTTTTAGTAGAGACGGGTTTCACCATGTTGGCCAGGCTGGTCTCAAACTCCTGACCTCAGGTGATCCACCCACCTCGGCCTCTCAAAGTGCTGGGATTACAAGCATGAGGCACTACACCAGCCATCTTCTAAGATCTCTTGTTATTGATTCTGTGGTTTCAAAATGGACAGGCCTTTGTAGGTCCCCTGGTGGGAAGAGACAGAGTTGTCTGGGATAATGCTATTCTTTTTTTTGAGACAGAGTCTCGCTCTGTCACCCAGGCTGGAGTGCAGTGGTGCAATCTTTGCTCACTGTAACCTCCATCTCCCAGGTTCAAGGATTCTCCTGCCTCAGCATCCTGAATAGCTGGGACTACAGGAGTGCGCCACCACACCCAGCTAATTTTTTGTATTTTTAGTAGAGACAGGGTTTCGCCATGTTGGCCAGGCTGCTCTCGAACTTCTGATCTCAGGTGAACCACCCACTTTGGCCTCCCAAAGTGCTGGGATTACAGGCGTGAGCCACCGTGCCCTGCCGGGATAATGCTATTTTTAGTGGAGCTTCTAAGGAAGGGCATATGGATTCCTGAGAGTAATGGAAGGCAGACTCTCACCTCTAGGATGACTTTATTTTGAGAACAGGGGAAATGCTGTATACAAAGTTGTCCCTCTTGATTGTAGCCGCCAAGACCTGTGCACCATGGCTTTCACACTCTGCAAAGTGTTGTGTTCCTGGCTAGAGCCCTTTCAGAATTTGTCTCTGGTTTATTTCCAATTTGTAGTCTCTCTATTTGTGAATTTTTCCTTGTTCAGTCTACCGGACAAGCATGAAAAAGGAGATGTCTGTAGTTCATCTTTCTGATCCCTTCTGAATCAAAGCAGATATTAAAATCAGACAAGGCTTTTTTTTTTCTAGCTGCTTTGTTTTCCTTTCCTTTATCTTGACTGCAGAGAAAATAAGCTTTTTTTTTTTAAAAAAAGAAATTGTTTCTCAACAATATAATGTGTTTTAACATGAAATATTTTACAAAAAAATTTCATCATATTTCAGGATCATCCTGGAGGGAAAAATGACTAAAATGTGAAGGTGGAAGAGGTTATGGGTAATGGTGAAAACATTTCAGAATTAAGATTCATGTTCAAATTTTTAAGAGGATTTTCTACCTTCTTGGGTGATGGAAGATAATTATCTGTAGTTACACAAGTATAATTACACAAAATTACATATGCAGGGGTTGGTGTCATCTTAATAATATTTTTTCAGCAAATAGAGATGGCAGGGAATGAAATGAACTGCATATTTATATTTTTCCTTCTCTATCTCTGTCCCCATCCTAATACTACGGAAGGAAGCGTCTTTGTCTAAATGCTACTAGGCTTCAACAGTCATTGTGAGAGTAACATTGTGATTAAGCTTGGGCTGTAGATTTGGGTTGCTGACATCGATTTCTGACTCTACCAATCACAGGCTGAGTGACTTGGGCAAGGTACTTGACATTTTCATGTTTCTGTTTTTTATTCTTTAAAATGAGGGATAATAATTTTCTCTATCAATATGTGTGTTGTGTAGATTAAATTAGTAGATACTTGGAAGTTGTTCAGAGCAGTGCTTGCTACATAGTCTGTGAATCTAGATGCTATTATTACGATCTTATGATTGATATTAATATTATTGGAATGGCGTCCAGTGCTCTGTGACACCGTGAGAGATGGTGATAGCAGAACGTGAGAGTTGTAGGTTGTCCCTAGGAGGGTAGTGTGAAAATCCGTGGTGAAAGTAACAGTTAAAGGTGAAAGAACACTGGGTGCTTGGGAAACTGCAGGTCATTTATCATGGCCAATGTTTATGTTGCAGAGAGGGAAGTAGAGTTGCCTTTTGGAGTGAGGGAAAGGTTATAGAAGAATTTTAAATTCAAAGGGCTTTGCAATATACAGTCAGTCCTCATTATTCATGGATTCCGTATTTGCAAATTTGCCTTTTTGCTAAAATTTATTTGTAATGCCCAAATCAATATTCAACATGCTTTTTTAGATCATTCTTGGAAAATGCACAGTGGCAAAAAATCTGAGTTGCCCAACTCAGATGTTCCAGCTGAAGTCGAACAAGACACCAAGCCACCACCCTGCCTTCCTGTTTCAGCTCTCATGCTTCAAACAGGTGTCCCTTTCCCAGTCTGTCTAGGCCACGTTTTTCTCATTTTTGTGCTTCCTGCTTTCTGATGGTAATTTCAGTTTCAAATGGCCCTTAAATGTAGTGCTGAAGTGCTGTTTTTATGTTCCGAAGTGTAAGAAGGCTGTGACATGCCACGCAGAAAAAATACGAAAATATATGGGTTTGTTAAGCTTTGTTGTGGCAGTAGTTACAGCACTGTTGGCTGAGCATTCATTGTTAACAAATCAACAACATATACTAAATAGGGTGTCTTTAAACAGAAACACACATAAAAGAAGGTTATATATTCACTGGTTGGCAAAAGCGTTATGGTCAGAGGCTCGCAGAAACAATTTAATATTGTTCCTAGGAGCAATGGTTCAGTAGTTGTTAACTTATTTGCAGCAACTTTCTAGGACATAACTACTGCAAATAAGAAGAGTCTACTATACTTGGAAGTCCCCAGGGAGCTTTTGGGCAGCAGTAAACTATGGAGAGGAGAATCCCAGAGGGTCCCGTCTGTGATAAGTGGGGAAGAGAAAGTCTGCTCTTAAATGGTAATGAGAGGTGAAGCCGGCTGGGCTTCTGGGTTGGGTGGGGACTTGGAGAATTGTGTGTCTAGCTAAAGGATTGTAAACGCACCAATCAGTACTCTGTGTCTAGCTAAAGGTTTGTAAATGCACCAATCAGCTGTCTGTGTCTAGCTAATCAGGTAGGGGACTTGGAGAACTTTTCTGCCTAGCTATAGGATTGTAAACGCACCAATCAGCACTCTGTGTCTAGCTAAAGGTTTGTAAACACACCAGTCAGCACTCTGTGTCTAGCTAATCGGGTGGGGGACTTGGAGAACTTTTCTTTCTAGCTAAAGGATTGTAAATGCACCAATCAGTGCTCTGTGTCTAGCTAAAGGTTTGTAAATGCACCAGTCAGCATGCTGTCAGAACAGACCAATCAGCACTCTGTAAAATGGACCAATGCGCTCTCTTTAAAATGGACCAATCGGCAGGATATGGGCGGGGCCAAAGAAGGGAAAAAAAAGCAGGCCACCTGCGCCAGCAGCGGCAACCCCTTTGGGTCGCCTTCCATGCTGTGGAAGCTTTGTTCTTTTGCTCTTTGCAATAAATCTTGCTGCTGCTCACTCTTTGGGTCTGTGCCGCCTTTATGAGGTGTAACACTCACCGCGAAGGTCTGCAGCTTCATTCCTGAAGTCACCGAGACCAGGAACCCACCAGGAGGAATGAACAACTCCAGACATGCCGCCTTTATGAACTGTAACACTCACCGCGAAGGTCTGCAGCTTCACTCTTGAAGTCAGCGAGACCACGAACCCACCAGAAGGAAGAAACTCTGGACATGTCCGAACATCAGAAGGAACAAACTCTGGACACACCATCTTTAAGAACTGTAACACTCACTGTGAGGGTCCATGGCTTCATTCTTGAAGTCAGCAAGACCAAGAACCCACCAATTCCAGACACATTTTGGCCACCCAGATGGGACCATCGCCCATCGCCAGGCGGTGAGACTAATGCCTATTGCCAAATGGTGAGTACCGTCGGACCCCTTTTGCTTGCTATTCTGTCCTATTTTTCCTTAGAATTCGGGGGCTAAATACTGGGCACCTGTTGGCCAGTTAAAAGCGACTAGCGTGGCTGCCAGACTAAAGACACACGTGTCAGGCTTTCTGGGAAAGGGCTCTCTAACAATCCCTGACTCTTCGGAGTTGGGAGCGTTGGTTTGCCTGGAACCAGCTTCTGCTTTTCCTGTACTTCTGGGCTGAGCCGAGGGTCGACAGAGAGGAAAGCCATTCAGCTCTGGGATCCCAACAACAAGTTGGTTGACCCTGCAGCCATGAGCAGAACTCTCAAAGGCATGTCGTCCAAGCAGACTCGCCCATCTATCCTATCTATTCTGACCCTTGCCGCCTGGGTCCTAATGCCTGCCAGACAAACTTCCTCTCGCCTCTCTTCTCTGAGGCTAGTCCCACTTCTAAAAAACCACTCCCTGTCTCTGGTGCTTTTCTAGTTTCTCCTATAAGAATTATTTCTAGTATAAACTCCAGGACTCTGTTACCTTCTTTAGGTGCCCGGGCTCACCAATCAGAAAGATGTAATTTTTGCCCAAAGCCCCATTGTAGGGGGACTATCTGGAATTTTAGGATCCCTCCTCAGACAATCAGGCCTAACAAAAGCTATTCCTGAAGCTAGGATATGGTGAGCCTCAGAAATTGTATCCTTCCTATTCATATAAGTGAGGACAAAAGACATCACTCTTCCAACTCTGGAGATCCCTTCCCTCCCTCAGGGTACGACCCTCCACTTCATTTTTCGGGCATAACATCTTTATAGGACATGGGTAAGGTCCCAATACTAACGGGAGAATGCTTAAGACTCTAACAGGTTTTCGAGAATGTGTCAGTAAGGGCCATTAAATACAATTTTGCTCAGTCCTCTTTGTGGTCTAGGAGGACAGGCAAGGGTCCAGGTTTTCGAGAATGTGTCAATAAAGGCCACTAAATCTGACCTTCTTGGTCCTCCTTGTGGTCTGGGAGGAAAACTAGTGTTTCTGCTGCTGCATCAGTGAGTGCAACTATTCTGATCAGCAGGGTCCAGGGACCGTTGTGGGTTCTTGGGGAGGGGTTGTTTCTGCTACTGCATTAGTGAGCACAACTATTCCGATCAGCAGGGTCCAGGGACAGTTGTGGGTTCTTGGGGAGGGGGAGAAACAAACCAAAACCATGGGCGGTTTTGTCTTTCAGATGGAAAACACTGAGACATCAACAGGCTCACCCTTGAAATACATCCTAAGCCATTGGGACCAATTTGACCCACAAACCCTGAAAAAGAGGTGGCTCATTTTTTTCCTGCACTATGGCCTGGCCCCATATTCTCTCTCTGATGGGGAAAAATGGCCACCTGAGGGAAGTATAAATTACAGTAAGAAGGAAAAGCTAAATAATTTCTACAGATCATTCAGTACTGCTCAGTAGTACCATGTTGGAATTCACAGGGGAAGTATTATAACTTACTGTGTTTCAATTCATTTATTTTAAAGCCAGAAACTGCCTTGAAATGGCTGCTATACCAAAATACCGCATCCCCAAAACCTGGTGAATTCTCAGAAAAATCATTCTAGGTGAAGAGAAGCCAGTCTATGGTGGACTTGCCTTATATTTCAGCACCGATCCCAGTGTGATTTTATCATAGGCTTTCATCACTAAGAATGTGGTGCAGTCTCTTGGAGTACAAGGACAGCATTAGTAAGAATCTAGAATACATTTATGGGAATTGGAGAAATTAAATTTTGACATTCACTTAATTTTTGTGGTATTCTCTTTTTGCCACAGAGCATCTCTGGAAAGCACAAGATAATGCAGGTTTTTGTCAATCGAATCACTTTTCCCTATATCCCTTATTAATAACTGGGATAGTATTCTGAAACAAGTACTTTGCTTTCAAATACATTTTAGATTTAACCCATAAACCTAAAAGTAAAATAACAGTATATTTAAAAACACACATTTACTGAAATCTTATACAGTTATAGCTATATAGAATGCAGGAGGTCCCGGGGTGCTCTGCAGGGAAGCTCTGCCAGTCCTAGCCAGTCCACCAGACCCAGTCAGCCCCTTTCACCTGAAGGATCCTTGGGGGACATGGGTAAAGGGATTACCTGGGATGGTTCAGGCTGCATGAACTCACAGAGATGTGCCTGTTCCTCAGGGACCAGATCTTACACTGTCAGCCTCCTTGACACTTTGATCAGACCGGACTCTCTCTTTTCCTATCTGAAATGCTGCAGACCTCAGTTCTAATAACTTCTGAGGCATCCCTGGCCCCAACAAGCCAGGAAATTCCTTAGTGAACCAGAGCAGAAATAGCCACCAGATGGCGCAAACACACAGCCATTGGCTCTCAGCCAGTCCCCTGAACTCTGGCTGACCAGCTGCTGGGACATTCTGTTACGTTGCAACCCTGCTTATAAGCCTGAAACGTTTGAAGTTGTTTAAAGTTTAAAGGCCAAGACAGGGGTTCTTGGGGTCTCCTTAGAGGGCTCTAAAGCTTTCATCAGGACCCGGTAGGAACTAGAAGCATTGTTGGATGTGCAACTGGCCCCCCTATTAAATGGGATTTGCCTGATGTTCATGGCAGATGGGCTTTTTCCCAGGACCTGAGTCTCCCAACTCTCATTCCCAGTTATTTTTCCTTACTCTGTCATGAAAGTATTTTAAGTAGGGCAAGCAATTTTTGCTTTCTGCTTTAACATGGAAATATAGGAAAGAATGCACTGGAAATGGAAAGTCTATGAATGTTGGCTGTAAAAACAATAATAATGTATTTGGGGGTTGAAAGTACTGTCCCATTATTAAAATATGTGACAGTAATAACGTGAGGAGGGCAGGGTAGTAAAGGGAGTTAAAGTGAACCAGCATTGGTGGGGAGTTATGCAAAGCTGTATGGGGAAGTTTGATCTGACTCTTGACATGTGGTTCTCAGGTAAATAGAATCTTTTAGAATCATTTTTCAATTTTTTAAACAGTAGCCATTTCTGGAGCTGTATGTTCAGAGGTACTGTTGAGATTTCTGTTTTAATGGTAGGGAGCATTCGAGCCTCTTGAGCATTCTTTTCTTTTTATCTCTAACTTTTCTTTCCTCACTCCTAAAAATATTAAGGGGAATTTATTTTTATTTGTATTTTTTTTTTTTTTATTGAGACAGAGTCTCACTTTGTCACCCAGGCTGGAGTGCAGTGGTGCGATCTCGGCTCAACTGCCTCCTGGGCTCCAGCTATCCTACCACCTCAGGACCACAGGCGCTCACCACCAGGCCCAGCTATTTTTTTGTATTTGTGGTAGAGACAGCATTTCACCATGTTGCCCAGGCTGGTCTCAAACTCTTGAGCTCAAGCGACCCACCCGCCTTGGCCTCCCAAGGTGCTTGGATTACAGGTGTGAGCCATGGCGCCTGGCCATAAAGGGGAATTTTAAAAGGGAAGAGAAGCGAAAGTGGGTGGCCTATGAAGCTGCTGATGGGTCAAGCAAAAACTGTCAGGGAGTTTGGTTGCACACTTCACTGATTGGCAGGTGGGCATCCTTTTCAGGTGGCCCATTCGTCACAGGTGAAGAGAGGATTGCCAGCACCCTGCCTGTACATGTTCAGGGTTGCCTCTGTGCTGTCTTTCTTGGATGCTTTTGGTCAAATGACAGAGAGAATGGCATGCACTGTCTTCATGTTTAATTTTATATGCAGAGTTGTCTTAAAGTTGTAGCTGCTAGTTGGGCACAGTGGCTCTCTCCTATAATTTCAGCAGTTTGGGAGGCAGAGGAGAGAGGATCACTTGAGGCCAGGAGTTCAAGACTAGCCTGGGCAATAAAGTCACACTCTTGTCTCTACAAAAAAAAAAAAAAAATTAATTAGCTTGGCCTGGTGGCATGCGTCTGTAGTCCCAGCTGCTTGGGAGGCTGAGGCAGGAGGATCTCTTGAGCCCAGAAGGTCAAGGCTGCAGCAAGCTATGATTACATCACTGAATTCCAGCCTGGGCAACAGAGCGAAACCCTATCTGTCTGTGGGGGGATAAAAAACAAGTTGTAGCTGCACATGTAGGAAAGAAAAGGTTAGCTTTGGAAAGCTCTCTTGAAAAACTGAAGAAGATCAGGTTTATTTCCTGTCATTGAACCAAGTGAACCAAGCACATTAAGTCATGGGGCAGGGCCTCTGCACAGTGGGCTCTTCTCAGATAACTCAAGGTCTCGTGGGGCCATTTCCACTTCAGTGTAGCATCATCATACTTCCTAGGGGTGCAGAGAGATCAAGAACTCCCACTTAGAATACTTGCAGATCTTTCTTCTGTGATCCACCTTTGCTGTCAGCTGCATTGAGAAAGGACATCCAAACTGGTGCAGTGGGGCCCCTAAGGACAGTCCTAACACAAGCTCTCTGTCACTGTCTCAGGTGAAGAGTTGGCCCATGTTTTGCTCTTGCTGCAAGGCATGTGCTGTTGCCACCATTTCCATCTGTTTGGTGACTTTCGTATGGGATATGTTACTCCCTTCTTCCTACTCCGGCATGGGGAGGGAGCAAGGAGGAGTACTTATTGCTGGGAGTAATCTAATTTCAGAAGCACCCATGACCTGTGGACTCCTTCTGAAAAGGGGATGCATGAATAATTGTACTTTTAAAACTTTGTTTTGTTTTGAGACAGGGTCTTGTTCTTTTGCCCAGGCTGGAGTGCAGTGGCATCATCATGGCTCACTGCAACCTCCACCTCCCACCTCAGCCTCCCAAAATGCTGGGATTACAGATGTGGGCCACCATGTTCAGCCCGTTTTCATATTTTTAGAGGAACTATTTTAAGGGAAAAATTTTAAAAACAAATGACCTATGATTCATTACCATGATAATACTTGACCTTCGTTCTTCTTACTTTTTACGGTAATTAACTTTAACTCCAGACACAATTTCTCAGGAATGGTTATTGAACACCAGGTGAAGAGACAGGTTTCTTCCAGTCCTGTTTTTCCAAACTCCTTTCCTATTTAGCACGCATTGTGGTGCCTTAGGAGGGACATTTGTGGGCAGTTAGGGTTGAATCTGTTCTCTGGTCCACTAGGGGGCGCGCCTATCAAAGGCATGTGTGTGAGAAACTCTGCAGGCTGATGGCACTTCAATAAAGAGCAGCTCTGATGTGTTCATGAAGTGGAGGACTTAGTGGGGACTCTTCTAAGTGGGTAAGTTTAGCAGGTTCAGAAAAATGCTTTTCCAGCCAGAATCTTCCTCCTTCCCCCTTTTAGCTCAAAATCTCCAATAACTCTGTCCCCTGGCTGTGGCGGAAGGAGAGGCAACATATTAAACAGTGTCAATCCTTCGTCCCTGAGTGTATTGTGCAAACTTCCTTGGCATCCTTTCTTTGCACATGGCGCTTTGGAGCAAAAGGGCACCATCCAGCAGGTGCAAGGGTGACACATAGGGAACCAAGGGCAAAGAAACGTCAGGGTCTCGTAATGTATAAGCAAGTCAATTGTGTTTGAGGCTAATAAAACATAGCTTTTACGAGTGCAGCCTTTGGTGCCAGACTGCCTGGTTTTGCATCCCAGCTTCATTGCTCATTAGCTGTGTGATCTTGAACAATTTACCTAAGTGTTTCTTGCCTCATTAGTGAGTTGGATATAGTCGTATCTCCCACCCAGGCTTGTTATGGACATTAATGAGTTAATTGATGTTAAGTTCTGAGAAGCCTTGGCATGGAGCCAGTTTTAGTAAGTTTTTACAATTGATGATTGTCATTTGGATCTGATGGTGGAAATGAGTCTGCAGAATGCATTTACAGTAACCCAGATGACTGGGGACATTCTTCATTTGACTATAACCAGCTGGGTCTGAGAGTAGAAATACATGGCTTCAAAAACAGTTAATTGTCAGGAGTGGCATATCCCAAAGTCCATGAATTCTAGAGAATTTCGTAAGAGTGCTTAGCAGTGCAGGACTTTTATACCCCTCAAAGAGCCTCTTTAGTGAAGGAAGCGGTGGATTTTTTGCTCTGTATTTTTGCTACTCAGGAATTAGCATGTAGGCACATGGCCGAGGATGTCCTTATGCTGCCTGCTCTTGTGCAGATTTTCAAAAGCAGATAAGACTCAAAACCACAACATATATTAAATCAATATTACTGTCCATGACAGGAAGCATTTTTCAATTGGATGACTCCATCCACGATACCCTTTGGAGAGTGCCTTGGACCTAGGCTGGACAGTGCTAGGACAGAGGACCACCAGAGTCTGGCAGGGCTGAGTGGTGATGGGGTCCTGGTACCTGGGAAAGGTAGTTATAGGCATCCAGCACCTCTTCCTCTGATGATTTTCTGTAGGTGCTTGTACTCGTGATTTTGCCTCTAGTAGGATCATATCAAAGCACCCCTGAGAATCATGCTGGTTATTCTGGGGTGCAGGCAAGAGAGGGAAGGAATGACCAGTTAAGAGTCCTGTGATCCAGTTACCTGCTTCCCATTGACCTGCTTTTGATGGCCATCAATCAGCTCCACGCAAAGCTAGCATGCCTTCTATCTTTATCCTTTCTCCTGAGACAGTGTGCTGTTGTGGTACTTTTTATTTTGTTTTCCATTTTTTCAAGTGGTGACTATTTGTCACAGTGCCCTTCCTACCTCTGAATTCAGTGTGATGTGACCTCGGGAGAGGAGGTGTGAGCACGACGTCCAGACTCGGACATGTCTGTTTCACGTCTGCCGGGAAGTAATTTTTATGCTGGGAGCTGGCTTCATGGCGTGGGATTCTAATTCTGGGGATGGCATTTTGTATGTGTAGGAAGACTGTCAAAACCTTTCCAATGGGAAGGGACAAGAACCAATTTGAGAATCACATGGTTACATAAGAACTGGCCCTGTGCGGGCATCTCTGCATACTTCCTGCACTTGTTCATTCTGAAGACGAGAGAAAGAGGAGCAGGAAGAATCTTCCATGAACTCTGCAAACCTACAAACTTTCCAATGAGAAGTGGTGCACACTCCCGAGATGGTGCTTGGGACAACATGGTTAAAAGGGTAAGGGGTATTTATTAACCCTTTGCTTTCTTGTTATTCCTGTCCCTCCTCTTTAAATGTTTACATTACCAAACTGGCTAGACTGCTGAGAATCTATCATTTTTAGGTTGCCTGCTAGGGTTTCTACTGGTCTTATCCCAGTAAATAGCTGCAGAAAATAGCTGCAGTGGCCACACCCAGCAGCAGTAGTGTCTAGGGGACTCTTTGGGACCTGAGCCAGAAAGTTCCCATATGCAGTATCTCATTCTGTCTCCACAAGACACAAGACACAAGGATTATTATGTCTATTTTAGAGACGAATAAAAAGAGGCTTACAGCTTCAGAAGATTTGAAACCTGCCCACAATAGCTGCAGTGTTTCAGCAGCACAAGGAGACATATGCAGACTTAATTTTTGTTTTCAAGTTGTTTAGTCGCAGGTTCAGACACTCATGGGAGCAAGGCAGTGAAATAGATGAAAGTAGCAGATCTTAGTGAAGCTTTATTTCTAGCCTCCCATGCCAAGGACACCCCCCACTCCCTTGGAGTCCTTGAGAAAGCCACCAAATGCTTGTCTCACTGTGGCCTTTCCACACTCAGGATGGTATTCCCACTAATGAAGACCACACACCAACTATCCACTTGCTGCTTCTTAAGGGAACATGCACAGAGCATCGTCCTTCCTGAATCTCAAGCTAAACCCAGCAGGAGCAAGGCCACGTTTCTATCTGGGGGTAGAAAGCAAAATTGTGCTTCCAGTTTTCCAGGGATGCTATAAATCCTTCGCAAATGCTCACAGCAAGCAAGTGGCAGGGCCAGTGTTTGGCCCCTTTCACCCTGACGCCAGTCCTCCCCCACCTCAGCCTCGAGGCTGTGCTGTCTTGCTATTTAAGGAAAAGGGAACATGCTGTCTACAAGGTCTCAGTCGCTCTTTACATTCAATTCAGGTAAATCCAAGAGGCCTTGTCTCCATTCTCAGCTTATTGAGCCTCTGCCTGCCTTCTTGATGTTGTTCATTTGTTGATGACCTTGCTTCATAACCAGGGCAAAGCAGTGAGGGAAAGCAAGTATTTTCATGACAGGTCCTGAGTGCTCATCTTCCTGCTTCATGATAACCCAGAAATCGGCCTTCACTTTTTGCCTTCTATTGTTCATAGATGGAGCCTGAAGTTAGCAGATTTGAATTTGGTTCTCTCCATCCCCCCAGCCCTTTAATATATTTATCTGTGATGTCATATACTAAAGCTTTTCCTTGTTTCTTGAAGGGTTCTCCCTCATTCCCACTGCAGCCTTCCCTGTGACTTATGAGCATTAGGGCAAAGGGAAAGGGCTGGAAAATGGAGACCAGGAAGAGGGAGGCCTCTGCAGTACAGCTTTTAAAGTTCAGGGGCATCTACTGGAGGTGGTCCGTCTGGGACCAGGTCTGTTAGGAGAAGAGCCACGCCAGCTTTTTCGGAGAGGAAAGCTCTGGGAGGAGGTACAGTTCTTCCTCACTTTGGGAAAGCATCACAGATTCCTGCAACTGCTGCTCAGTGCAGGGAGCCCCGCCTCCAGCCAGCTGGGCATGGCTGGGCATCCAAACAGGCATCCAAGGTGTGAGACAGGGGCCTGTGGATTTCTTCCATCTATCTGAGTGGCTCACTGTAGAATGGCGTCCCATCGGTCACCTGTAGAGCACTTTGATAGTAACGGATCATGCCAGGCAATAGGGTCATGTTGGAGTTTAATCTAGACTAAAAATAAGAGACTAATGTGTTGATTCATTTGTTCGTGCAACCAACATTTATGAGCATTTATGATATTTAAGGCAGTGTGCGGACAGGCCTCTCTCTAGTCACAAAGATGAATCGGAGAAGCCAAGGCCTTCATGGAATTGATTGTTGAGTGAACTCCTTATCACTCTGGACCTCATGTGTGCTGTTCTCTCTCCTGGCACTCTCATCCCCTGTCCTCTACAATTCTCAGTTCAGAACTGAGTGTGTTGTATTCTTAGACTAGACACAGGGAGCCTGCTGGGAGCTCTCCCAGTCCAGGTCCTACCCCCGTTTCAGCACGTAGTTTGTACTTGCTTATTAGCCTGATGTCCCACCAGAGGGATAGGTCCTTGTCTACTTAGCACACCTTTGCATCTCTTGCACCCAGCACAGTTCCTGCCACTGGATAGGCATATGGTAAGTGTGTGTTGAATGAATGAATGAATAGATCAATTAAGGATTCTACCGTTCAAGAAAGGAGACACCTTTACTTATAGGTAGAAGTTGATATATGCTATGAGAATCATACAAATAGACTATAAAGTGTTTCTGAAATTCCAAAAATGGATAAGGAGAATTTATTTGAGGACTCCATGAGATTTTACAGTGGAGAGGACGCTGAAGATGAACCTTAAAGAATAGGGAGCATTTGGACATGAGTGAGCTGGGGAGGAGGAGGAGCGTGGGTGACCAACAAGGAGTGGAAAGTGGAAGAATGTGAAGTTTCCTTCAATTTCTGCTCCTTTGAGGCTGGGCCATAAAATATTATGTGCTGCGGTGTTTGGATGATATTTGATAATTTGTAAGTTAAGAAATAATGCAGTTAAAGCTGAGGATTTCACTTCGGTGGTAGTAAAAAGATGGCAGGAAGTTGGAAGAGGCTGGAGGTGATATTGGCCGAAACTAGAAATAGAAGGGGAATAGAAAGGGAGAAAACAAATGTGAAAGAAAAGGTGTGGAGCACAGGGCTTGGTAACAGATTGGATATGGGGAGTGTTGCACAGCTTGTGTGGCCGGGAAGCTGGGTTGCTCTTTCTGCAGATAGGAGATGCAGCTTTGGGAAGGGGCTGGTTTGTTCCATTTAGGATAAAGGACATTTGAATTACTGTCAGGACTTTTCAGCTGGAGATAGCCAGAAGGCCAATGGAAATACAAATACCTAGCACAAGTTAACATTTGCTTGAGATTTACAGTAACCTGGCAAGTGTTTTGTTAGCCTATTTTAATGAAAGGGGAGCTGGGAAACTATAGAGCAGAGAATAAACTGGCCAGGACATACATCGAGTGTGTGACACATGGGACTCCAGTCTTCATGTGTCAAGTTCTGTGCTTGTTCTGGAGAATTTCTCCAGGAGAGCCAGGGCTTTCCAGAGCATTCTGGATGAGAAGTGCCAGTGAGATGTATTTAGAGGGACAAGTTGCTGAGGCAGCACCGGGTGAGATCATTTGCTGAAGCCTAGAGTGGGTTCTTCTCTAAGTGTGTACTAGAGTCACATGTTTATGTGTATGTACATGTATTACATGTGTGTGCACAAGTGTGTGTGCATGTGTGTGCTCATCTGCCAGCAGGAGAGAAAATGGTGATAAGAGAAAACTGGAAAGAGGATGGCCCGCCACGCAGGGACTCTGATTTGTTTGTAAGAGCTGGGAAACACAATTGATACTCTTCCCGTAGCAGGCCATTGGTGCAGTCCTATTTTCGCCGTTTCCTAGTGACTCACACTGTATAGATAGTGCTGCCTTATTTTTAGTGCTGAGTATGAGTGTGCTGCGGAAGGCTGCCGGTTACCAAGGAGGCTGTGCCTCTAAGCTCCTGCAGGGAGCCCCCCGAGTGGTGACTCCAGCCTCCGTGTCACTCTCTGATAACCCCTGGCAGAGCACCTCCTTAACCCGAGGGGTGACCGCTCTGGGCTGCCTTCCCTCCATCCCTGCTTATATAACGGCTTTTTGTTCTTATTCAGTTTACGTGTTAGAAAAAATTACCTCCATCTTAAAGGAGAGTTCTGGGAAAATGTTAGGCAGATCATAGAGAGCCAGGGGGCCTTGGTTGGATACAATCACTGTGCGGGTTGGGCTGCGTAGCCCCACCTGGTACAGGGGTTTTGAGTCAGCTTGGCCTCTTTGAGCCTCCCCCCTCACCAAGAATCCAGGGGGGAAGTGGTCAAAGTACTCAGGAAGTCCTCAGAATTTTTTACTTTACAAGGTAATACAAACCCAGCGAAGGGGTAATTATCAGGTTGAATTCTTCAGATCCCTCACAAAAATTCCATTTTTGGGTCTGAGCACACATCTGCAATGTTTTGTTTTGTATTTTGATTTCATGAACTTTTTCTTTCCACTCTTTAAATGTGTGTGTGTGTATATATATATATATATATATATATATATATATATATATCTCCTATATATATAAAAAATATATATGTATCTATATATAAATTATATATAATATATAAAATATATGTATCTATAGATAAATATATATCATATATAAACATGTATGTATCTATATATAAATATATATGTCATATATACATATATACACACACACACATTTTTTTTTTTTTTTTTGAGACAGAGTCTCGTTTTGTCACCCAGGCTGGAGTGCGGTGGTGCAATCCTGGCTCACTGCAACCTCTGCCTCCCAGGCTCAAGCTATCCTCCCACCTTAGCCTTCTGAGTAGCTGGGATTACAGGAATGCACCACCATGCCTGGCTAATTTTTGTAGTTTTTGTGGAGATGGGGCTTCTCCATGTTGCCCAGGCTGGCTCGAACTCCTGACCTTAAGTGAGCTGCCTGCCTTGGCCTCCCAAATTGCTGGATTATAGGTGTGAACCACTGCGCCCGGCCCAGTTTTTTTTTTTTTTTTTGAGATGGAGTCTTGCTCTGTTGCCAGGCTGGATGGAGTTCAGTGGCACGGTCTTGGCTCACTGCAACCTCCTCCTCCCGGGTTCAAGCGATTCTACTGCCTCAGCCTCCCGAGTAGCTGGGACTACAGGCATGCACCACCACATCCAGCGAATTTTTGTATTTTTAGCAGAGACGGGATTTCACCATGTTGACCAAGATGGTCTCGATCTCTTGACTTCATGATCCACCTGCCTTGGCCTCCCAAAGTGCTGGGATTACAGCCATGAGCAACCACACCTGGCCCTGGCTCTGGCCCACTTTTTACCAGTATTTATTTCTGCTAATCAATGTGACACATCCCTATGGTGAAAACTTGGGAGAGGAAATTGTGGAAAACACACACACGAGAAATCACTCATAGTCCCACCTTCCACAGGCAAACACTGCTACTGTTAGCATCTTTCTTCTTCTTCTGTGAACTCTGTCCTTTACACAGTGGAGACTGACCTCTATGTTTGATTTCCTAACATTTCCATGTGTCCTCAGTACACCTGGATAAACATCACGTGCAGAAGCCAGATAACATTTTGTGTGTGTGTGTGTGATGGAGTCTTCCTCTTTCGCCCAGGCGGTAGTCACTGGTGCGATCTTGGCTCACTGCAACCTCCTTCTCCCGGGTTCATGGAATTCTCCTGGCTCAGCCTCCTGAGTAGCTGGGATTACAGGTTCGTGCCACCATGCCCAGCTAATTTTTGTATTTTTAGCAGAGACGGGTTTTGACCATGTTGGCCAGGATGGTCTTGATCTCCTGACCTCATGATCCACTTGCCCTGGCCTCCCAAAGTGCTGGGATTACAGGCTTGAGCCACCGTGCCCGGCCGATGCCAGATAACATTTTATTAAGTGGTTGAACCAAAATTTATCTAAACATTCTCCTATATATTTATGATTTTTTTTACAAGAAGGGGTTCCATGAACATATGTGAGTAACTGTTTGTCCACATTGAGGATTATTTCCTTAGAACAGATTGTTAGATTCTTGGGTCGGTCAAAATATAAGAACATTTTTGACACAATTATTTTTGATATTTATTTGTACCTTCTATTTTTAAGTACTTCCTTGTTTCCATGAGGTAGATTTTTGTTTGTTTTTTCTAACTACTTTGATTTAGTTGGGCTTACCACAGAGAATTCAGAAATGTAGGTAATCAGAATCATTTACATAAAAATCAGCCATATTTCTATATATGTAAATAAAACATTGTTATAGTTTTGTAGTTTTGATGTATATCTTTCCAGATATTTTCTTTCTTTTTTTTTTTTTTTTTTGAGACAGAGTCTTGCTCTGTTACCCAGGCTGGAGTGCAGTGGCGCGGTCTCGGCTCACTGCAAGCTCCACCTCCCGAGTTCATGCCATTCTCCTGCCTCAGCCTCCTGAGTAGCTGGGACCACAGGCGCCCACCACCACACCCGGCTAATTTTTTGTATTTTTAGTAGAGATGGGGTTTCACCGTGTTAGCCGGGATGGTCTCTATCTCCTTGACCTCATGATCCACCCGCCTCTGCCTCCCAAAGTGCTGGGATTACAGGCTTGAGCCACCGTGCCTGGCCTTTCCAGATATTTTCTATGCTTGTATAAGTAAGTATGCTTTCATGAAAATGTGATCATATAGGTTTTTGAAATTTTTTTCAAAATGAATTTTTAAAAGAAAATTTCTGGTTGGGTGCAGTGGCTCACGCCTGTAAACCCAGCACTTTGGGAGGCTGATGTGGGCAGATCACCTGAGGTCAGGAGTTTGACACCAGCCTGGCCAACATGGTGAAACTTCATCTCTACTAAAAATACAAAAGTTAGCCGGGCGTGATTGGCAGGGTGCCCGTAATCCCAGCTACTCGAGAGGCTAAGGCAGGAGAATCACTTGAACCCTGGAGGCAGAGGTTGCAGTGAGCCAAGATCACGCTATGGCACTCTAGCCTGGGTGACAGAGTGAGACTTTGTCTCTAAATAAATAAATAAAAAAGATAACATTTCCATGTGAAAACCTAGAATAGGATAGTTTATGATGTCATCTTAGTATATGCTTAGCTTCATCTGATAGACCGTAATGAAAGATTTTCTTTCTTCATGTTTTAGGTACAAAACTTAGATTAAAAAACATATCCCTGTAGAAAGCATGTTGAGACTTCTCTCCACATTAGTCTGGGATTATTAAATAATTATTACTATTAATACCATGGAGATGAACATACATGCAACCTGCAGAACAAATGAAACGTGTTGCTCTGAAGCAAAGTAATTTTTTAATAATTAGTAGCCTATCAGCATAATGTTCATTTTATGTCTTCCTAAACTTTTTATCACTTGCATTGTGGTTTATAAATATTGACCTACTGATAAAGAGCCTTTGCTGCTGTTCTTTCGTTCAGTATAAGAATTTCTGCTAAATATCATTTCTTCTTCCTTTTTTTTTTTTTTTGGTAGGGACAAAACGATAAAATGTCTCTAGAAATCTGATTTGGCATGGTTTGTAGAGAGATTCATAGTCCAGGATTGTTTAACCACACAGAGTCTTCAGGGTTTTCTAGAGGTTTACATTCTGATGCATCCATAAAAACCAACTGATAATGTCATTTTTTAGATAAAAATGTAGTATGATAGTATTTTATTCAGCATTGTGGCTTGGGACTGACATAGGCTTTATAAATTATCGTATGATGTGGTGAATAGGTACTTGATTTGTTCCACAAAAATCTGCTGCCATTTATTTTGTTTTTTTGTTTTTCAAGTTTTGGCAACAACTTATTATGCAAGATTCCCTGAATTCTTCCCTGGAAATGTGTCTCTCATTCTTTTGGGAGATCATTGCTTAAGCTAGGTAACAATCTGATTTCACGGAGAGAGTTAGAACTCATGTCTTTGAATAACCACGGTTACATACCCATGTAGCCGCAAGAGAGTGGGCTTCTCTCCTTCCCAGAGGTCTTGATGTTCATTATCTCTGCCCTTGGGTTGCCATAAACTTCCCTGTGTCTTTCTTCAGTTATATAGCATATGTTATATACACTCATTTTTCATTAGCTTCAGAGTTCAAGCAAATGTCTTCTTTGCATAATTCACTGGGATATCCTTCGGAATGCCTTACAGAAACCAGTGTTTCTCAAAAGGATTCATTTCTTCCCTGCTCATGTTCACATTAGAATCTCCATCTGTTGATGGAGGCTGAAAGTCTGATTCTTCTAAGGATGTATGTTATGCCTGCACTGTCTGTCCATCATATACAGTTTTTTAATTCCTTTTGTCCCATGGCAATGCAGTTTGAATCTTTCATGTACATAAACATTCAAACATCATGATTAAAAGTATGGTGTTCCATACACAATTACCGAATTCTTTTAAACAATTTCTTATTTTTGAATGTATATGTTGTTACCAGTTTAAAAATTATTATATACAGTGCCACAGCAAATACACCTACAGCTTAATCACTAGAAGCACAGTTCCTTGGTTCAGGATTGGGCATATTTTATAACATAAATATAATTCAGCAGGAGGACTAAAACAGTTATTGTCAAAAAGTTAATGAAAATCTCAGAAACACATGAACTGAGCTGCAGCAATGATGAAACTTGTCTTTACTGCATATTCTCATAGAAGCTCCTCATGGAAGGCTCAGTCATGGGGTTGACTGTGGGGGACACATCCAGGCATTTCATACCCTAAACCCCAGCAAGATTTAGTGGTCGTTGGGTTGTGTTTTTAAAGATTTCCATGCATATTACAAAATATTCCAGAACCAGTGACAATTTATACCATTACCATTAGTCTTAGAAAGTGGCTGTTTCTAACGCCTAGGCCGTTTCATAACTCTAAAGATTTTCTTTTATCTTTACTAATTTTATGGTTTTAAAAAAAACTCTTAAGATGCCTTTTCTCTAAATACCCACAGCCACATTTCCTATCTCCCTATTATAGTCTTCTCTTGCTCTTAGTTATTATTATTATTATTATTATTATTTTTTTTTTTTTTTTACCTTTCTCCAGTGGCCTGTGTGTGTGTGTGTTTGCGTGTGTGTGTGTGTGTGTGTGTGTGTGTGTGTGTGTGTGTGTAACAAGAAGCACAGTCTGTATGTTAAGCACTAGCCCCCACTTTGAATAAACACTGTAAGGTACAACTTCATGTAATGAAGGATAGTGGAGTAATCCAGTTCTGCAAAAACATCTCATCAGTAAGTGTCATTTGGAACCTAAGGACTGGGGCTCTGTTTTCTGCAGCTCTTCTTGATTGGTTTTGGTCAAATCATTATTTTTTGAACCTCAGCTAATTTATTTGCAGAGTGGTGATGGTGCTTTTAAACTCCTCTCTTTAAAAAGTTATTAGAGATCAAGAAGATGTAGTGTGTGAAGTTTGTAATTTCTGAACCGCGGTAAAAGTGATTATGATTGCCATTGAAGACAAGATTTTAATGCACCCCCACCCCCCTGCTTTTTTTTAAACTCTGTGAATGAAGATTCTTGTCACAAGGTAATAGAAATGATTAGACAAAGGAAACCTACTGGCATTGACTAACTGGAGTCCTTTAGATGCCCCAGTTTGGGCTGGGATAGAAATTTCTAGAAATGGGATATTCAGGGAGTTCCCTTGAAGAATGGCCTTGTGTCGTTATTTTTTTAAAAACTGTGCTGTCTCAGTCACTGTGAATTCAAGTGCTTAACAGTTTTTAGTCTACACAAAAATTAGCTAAGGCAATTCTTTAATTGAAATAGTCAAATTATCACATTTCAGTGCACCTGCGGCCTTGTATATACAGTAATACAGTTTACTACAGTTTACCTGCATGGTCATTTTTCTTTACTATCAGAATTCATTTGGAGTAGATGACTGATAATAAAAAACTGGTTATAGTAATATCTATAGTAAACAAAGTTATTAAATGCTGTACACTAAAAGCATAATATGTTATTAGAAGAATGGGGTGAATTGGGAAGTTTTATTTAATCACTTTTACAAAATTTGTAAAACTGAGAACATAACTCATATTTTAACAGTTTTATTGATGTATAATTTATAGACCATATAATTCACTCATCTAAAATGTACAGTTTGGGTGCTTTTAGTATGTTTACAGGGTTGTAAAGCCATCACCAAAGTCAATTTTAGAGCATTTTCATTATCCCAACAAGACCCATTAGCTGTCACCCCAATCTGTTCGTCCTCCCCAGCCCCAGGCAACCAATTAGTCTACGTTGTCTATAGATTTGTCTATCCTGGATGTTTCATATAAATGAAATCATACAATACATAGTCTTTTGTTACTGGCTTCTTTCACTTAGCATGGTGTTTTCAAGTTTCATCTATGTAGTCTCATGTATCCGTTCTTTGTTTCTTCTTATTGTCTGATTTTATTCTCTCATACACACACATCCCACATTTTATTTATCTGTTTATCAGTTGATGAGCATTTGGGTTGTTTCTAGTTTTAGTTATGATGACTAAAGCTGCTATGAACACTTCTGTATAAGTTTTTGTGTGGGTGTATGTTTGCATTTCTCTTTGTTCTGTACTTAAAAGCACACTGATTGTATCACATACTGACTCTATGTTTAACCATTTGAGGAAATGCCAGACTTTTCCAAAGTGCTTGCACCAATGTATATGCTCACCAGTAGCTTATGAAGATTTCAGTGTTTTCAGGTCCTCATCAACACTTGTTATTATCTGACTTTTTGCTGATGGGAGGGAATGGGAGGGAAGTGGTATCTCATTGTGGTATTGAGTTGCATTTACCAGATGGCTAATAATATTTGAGCATCTTTTCTTGTGCTTATTGGTCATTTTTATAACTTCTTTGGGGAAATGTCTGTTCAGATCCTTTGCTTGTTTGTTAATTGGGCTGTTCATCTTTTAATCATTGAGTTGTAATAGTTCTGTATGTTCTAGATACAAGTCCTTATCAGACATGATTTGCAACTTCTCACATTCTGTGGATTGCCTTCCCACTTTCTTGAGAGTGTCTTTTGAAGCGTGAAAGTTTTTAAATTTGATTTTTATTTTGATATATATCTAGTTTGTTTTTTATTTTTATTGCTTATGCCTTTGGTGTCATAACTAAGAAATCATTGTTCAATTCCAGGTCATGAAGATGTATACCTACATTTTCTTCTAATAGTTTTATAATTTTCACCCTTATATTTAGTTCTTTGATCCATTTTGAGTTAATTGTGTATGGCATAAGGAAGGGGTCCAACTTCATTTTTGCATGTGGATATCTAGTTTTCCTAGCATTATTTGCTGAAAACTGTTCTCTCTTCATTGAATTTTCTTGACACTTTTGTCAAAAATCAATTGACTATAAATGTGAAGGCTTATTTCTGGATTCTTAATCCTGTTCCATTGCTATATGTTTATTCTTATGTCAAGTCCACGCTGTCTTGATTATGGAAACTTTGTAGTAAGTTTTGAAATCAGAAAGTGTGTGTCCTCCAAATTTGTTAGTTTTCAAGATTATTTTGGCTATGGAGGGTGTCTTGAATTTCCACATGAATTTCAGGATTGTCTTGTTGATTTCTACGCAGAAGTCAGCGGAGTTACTGATAGGGATTGTATTGAATCTGTAGATCAATTTAGGAGGAGCATTGCCATCCCAGCTTAACAAGATAAAGCCTTCTAATTCATGAACATGGGATACCCATTGATTTATTTAGGTCATCTTTAATTTCTTTCTACAGTGTTGTGTAGCAGTTTTCAGAATATAAATTTTGTACTTTATCTTTTAAATTTATTCCTATTTCATTCTTTTGTATGCTATTATAAGTAGACCTATATAAATGATCCCTAAGAAGAGTACTTCAAATTTTCTGGATCAAAAATCTTGTCTGGCTTGAGCCATGTAACCATGTTGGCACAATCAGTCACATCTAGGGTTATGTGGTCCTTCCACGTTATATATATGGTATGTATATATATACAGTGCTGTTTCTCCAACAAAAGCTTGAATCTAGGGTGATCTGAGTGGGTTTACCATGCCCACTACAAGCCCCTGCCCAGAAAGTGGACCTTTGTTTGGAACTCAGTTATCACATAAATACTCATTTATTATTTTTTCAGGACTATTCATTTACTTTATGAAAATTAAAATACAATGTTATTTTTAACAAGTAGTAAATGGAAAGAATGAGTAATATTAAAGCTTTCATTTCTATAAATGATACTACTTAGACCTCCCTATTAAATATTCTGGGCTCAGTATCAAATTCTATTGTAATATCTTTGAAAAGCATAGAAGCAGTTTCTAATTTAAAACTCTAGCTAGCTGCTGCTCTGCTAAGAATAAAGATTGACCACAAATTCAACTTAATCTGTCGATCCTTTGCATTTAGGCTATCATATTTGATTCAGAATAACTCCGCTCTTTAAGACAGTTTTTAATGACGTGATGAGAGAGGAAATGCAAAATATTTTACATTAGCCTATACTCTATTTGTCCGTCTAGTTATAATAGACAGACTCATTATAAATTATGACTTCCTATTTCATAGATATGAAGATTAGTCAAATATGTAGAACAAGAGAAAAAAGGATAGCAATGAAGTAATTCGTGATGGACTTTTTTTTTTCTTTTGAGACGGGGTCTCACTTTTTGTCCCAGCTGGCGTGCAGTGGCATGATCATGGCTTACTGCAGACTCACCTTCCTGGGGTCAAGTGATCCTCCCACCTCAGCCTCCTGAGTAACATGCCACCACACCAGGGCTAATTTTTGTCTTTTTTGGGGGGTAGAGATGGGGTTTTGCTATATTACCCAGGCCAATCTCAAACTCCCAGGCTCAAGTGATCTGCCCACCTCTGCCTTCCAAAGTGCTAGGATTATAGGTGTGAGCCATCATGCCATGACGGACTTCATAAACATAGTAAAAGGTTTCAGCCAAAGCAGTTTGATTTAAATGGATGTTTTAATCCTTGGCTTGCAATAATTTTATCCTCTGGAAAGTATGGCTTTTCAGTCAACGTATTCACTTTTGGCCTTGACCGTGTAGAGCAATTACAGGAGCCCATATCAACAAGTGTCTTCAGTTGTTGCATTAGTGCCTGGAGCCAGAACACAAAGGTAGCCAGAGAGGGTGCCCCTAAACCGTGTCTCCCCACATCTCTGACTCTGAACCACACATGCATGGAGCCTACTCAAAGCAACCTAGCTATGGACAGAAGATCTCACTAAGACCAGACTTGTAGCCCTGGAAACAGTTTGCAGTTTGTGCACAGACAAGAGAACTATCTGCTAAAACAAAGGAAGCAACACTCATTGGAGAAAAAACAGAATCCAGAATCTTCACCACCTAACATTCATAATATCTGGAAAAGAATCCAAAATTCCCAGATCATGGAGAATGAGGACAAAAGAAAATCAACTCCAGCTCTCAGATGAACCAGATGTTGAAACTAACAGACAAAAGGTTCAAAACGACTGTGATAACTATCCCCAATGAGAAAAACAAACCATGTTTTCAATGAATGAGAATCTTAGCAGAGAAATTAGAGGTGTTGGTAGAGAAATGGAAAACAGTAGGAAGCAACCAAATGGAAATTCTAGAAACAAAAAATAAAATTTCTGAAGTTGTATGTAACAATATATAATAGATCTTTTATAAATGTAAGCTATTATTATTATATAAGGGTAAAGATAAGGTATTTTGCCTTTATTTTATTATACGTTTACCAGTGAAATCGAAGCAGATAGGACAATTCTATCCACCTTTTCATCTTCTAAACCTTATTCTCTTTGGCCTTGAGAAAAAAAAAGTCTGGAATATACTTAGTGAAGTGAGAAAGTTGAGGGAGGTGGGGGACATAGACTATGGCCCTTCCCTCTTTCCTGCTACTTCTGTCCTGCTGTGAGCACATCTGTGCTGTTGTGCTTTATAGAGAAAATTCCAGTTTACCTCCCTATTTCTCTCTCTCTCTTCTGGGTCCTGAGTAACAGGAGGTCAGCTTTTCTAGGCCTTTCTTATCTCTTCCCCTGATAAAAGTTGGATTCATGTGTAGTGCACGAACAAATAAAGCTTTGGGGCTCTGGTTCCCTCCTCTTCTCCCCCTGCCTCTTCCTCCTCATTGTCACATCCTTATTGTAAATACTTTAGGGGCAGTGTATAAAAAATGGCACTAATTACTGAAACAATGTTATTTACCACATACACTGGCAGAATGTTTACTATGTTTCTTTACAGCCGGGGTTTATTTTTGTTTGATGTATTTAGTTGCTGTGAAAATGAACGTGTTGCTCACTCTCGATAGACCTGTTCTTCCTCCTCCTTCCTCCTTCTCCTTCTGTGCCAGATCGTCCTCCTCTTCAGCAGCTTCTCTTCCTTCATTAGGCCTTCTGGGCAGTTTTTAGGATGTCTGCTCCTAAACTATTTCCATTTAAAATTGTTCTAGTGTATCAACACACCAATCACTTTGACTCCATGCAAGCTGGTCTCTGCATTTCAAACCTAGCTTCCGTGTGTTAGTCCTTTTTGACATTTTTATAGGGTTTCTCCAGGAAAAAAAAGAAGAGCATAGCAAAGGTATGAGCCATCCTTATGGAGTGCCAGCCTAGAGGGAAAGAGGAACTAAACATTGTTTGTATACTTACCACCTATGAGGGCCCCTCCACCATGTTTGACACACTCTTCTTGCAGCTAACTGGTGAAATAGATGTTTTGTCCCTGGTTTTATATCTAAAAATACTATACTGAGGTTAAGTAACCTGCCCAGAGTCTCACACGGGGTAAGAAGGGACACCAGAATTCAGTGATAATTGTATCATTCCCAAGCCTCTTGGCTTTTTAAATTTATTTACTCTAAACCATACTGCACCTCTCTAAGTAAAAGGTTAAGAGAACTCAGGAATGCAAATGAAAAAGCGCTTGTCAAGGGAGAGAGAAGAGAGAGAGGAGGGGGAGGGAGAGAGAGAGAGAAAGAGAGAAAGAAGGAGAGCGAGACCGATCGTGCCATTGCACTCCAGCGTGGGCAACCAAGCGAGACTCCGTCTCAAAAAAAAAAAAAAAAAAAAAAAAAAGTAGAGCACAAGAGCACTCATGATCTTCCTATGTTGTCATTTTTAGCCTTTTTCCACCTTATATGTGCTGAGAGCTGTTCTGCTGCCATTTTCTCTCCCTGCCTCAAGAGCACATTTAAGTGCAAGTGAATGGGGTGGGATTGTGATTGTTACACTGAGTGATTGCTTAGAATCTGCCCTACCGTATCTGCCGGTGTATAAAACTCTACCGATGTTACCAAACTCTGAGAGGATGTGAAGCTCTAGTTTTCACTGTGCTGAGCTGATTACCTCATGTCGTCACCAGGGGGCAGCACCTTCCCATGCCTTTGGACTTAGGAGCCTCGGGGCGGTGGGAAGCCCACACCAAACCCCATGCCTTAGCTGGTCACCTCTTACCTTCCAAGCCTGATCCAAGTTTGGGCAAAACGGATGTAAATGTGTTTTTAATTTTTTTTTTCTTATTTGAGAGGGGGGCAATTGGAGGGAGGAAATACAGCTTATATGTTGGCATACACATTTGAAATATTTGGTACTTTCTAAGCAGGAGTTTTATGTGTATTCTGTGTTCTTTTCTCTACTGAGAAAATAACTATTTCCTTTGCTAGGGATGCAGTAATCAGCAATGCCTGTTGCAACCATAAGTTACACCATATTTTCTCAAAGAAACATGGTAGTAATCAGAGGCCATTGTTCAAAGTACTGACTTTAGTCAGCTGACCTGCAATCAAACCTCAGTTTAGGCACTTACTAGCTGTGTGACCCTGGGCAAAATACTTAACCTCTCTGAGCATCACATACTCATCTGTGATATGAGGACTGCAATACATTCCTGCTTTCTTTTTTTGACAAATATTTATTGAGAATTTCTTTACTTGTGGAATGTGGTATTATGTCCTGTGTTTAATGGTCTTTATATGTATCTCCCAGTTCAGTTTCATATAAATTGGCCTCTTGTTTCTGTAACTAGGATTGCATTTCTGTCAAAAGTCTTGGCTTATACAAGGACGCTCAAAGGCCATCCAATCTGCAAATACAAGACAGAGCTGCCTCAGGAAATGCCCGATGATTTAATTAAAATGTGAAGAGTAGCCCACAGAGAGGGCAGGTGTGGTGTAACCCCACCCTGCAGGGATGAGGCGGGCATCCTCCTTCTCGGTGACTTAGCCTGGAGTACTACCTTGGAGTAGTTTCAGAGACGGTTCTCAGGACAAAAAGTTGACCCCTGTTTTAGGGAGGCTGCCTTGTGGCCACTGGGCATGCTGATGGTTTGCCATCTAACACTTTATGCCTCTCACTTGTCCCCATTTTGAGTCCAGGCAACTGTGACCCCTGGAATTATGGAGAGTCTCTTGGGACTGTCGTTATTATTTTTATTCTTACTGAGGTAAAATTCACATAACATAAAATTAAGCATGTTAAAGTAGACATTTCATTTAGTACATTTATAATATTGCACAATCACCCACTATCTAGTTCCAAAAATCATTTTTTTGAGTTTCTATTTTGATATGATTTTAACCTAGGAAAAAAATTACAAGAATTGTACAAGGAACTCTGCATAACCTTCCACCAGATATATTCACTGTTGATGTTTTGCCTCATTTCCTCCCTGGTGTTTGCTTTCTCTCTTTCTCTGTTTGCGTGTGCATGTGTGTGTGTGTGTGTGTGCGCATATGTGTGTGCATATGTGCATATGTGTGTGTGTATATATACATATTTTTCCCCAAAAAAACACTTTAGAGCATGCTGGAGACATTGTGTCCCTTTAGCACTAAATACTTAGTAGGTACGTATTTGCTAATATGGCCCTATTGTACAATTATAAAAACCTGAAAATGTAACATTCATACAATTCTATTGTCTAATCCACAGTCATGACTCAAAATTCATCAAATTTCCTTTACACTTATTCTTTCCTAGACGAGGATGCAGTCCTCCATCCTGTGCGGATTTAGCTGTCTTTCTTTTTGCTCTCCTTTGATCTGGAATAGTGCTTTGCCTTTCTGTGTGTTCTTTGACCTTGACATTTCTAGGAGAATACAGACCATGGTTTTGTGCATCATCTCTCTCAATTTGGATTTGGCTAATGCTTTTCATGATTAGATTCAAGTTCTTATATATCATCTCCCTCCCAAGGGAAAATGGGTCCTGATTTCCACATGCTAAACTTAGGAGCATTGATTATCCTATTACCCCTACAAAAACCAGTGATGGCACGGAGACGGCATTTTTCAGCCTTACATTGTAAAGCTGTCCCAATTCTGTGGGCTATAGTGATATGAGGGTCAGTTTCCTGAAGACCATGGAAAATCTGCTGCTATTCCTTTAGTTTCGGGCATCATAGAATGGGAGGTTTATGGCTTCAAGACTGGAAGATGGTGATGCAGAAGCACATTGTGCAGCCCTTTGGGTTAAAAATCATTCTTTCATATTGTGTGGCAAAATGGAATTTGCTTTATGTTCATTCACTTGTCAGATGCTGAGTGAGAAAATGACAATTTACAATGTAAATTCTTAAGATAATTAAGTCAGTCTTCTATGGCATGGTGAAAAATTCCCCAGGCTGCCTACTGGGCTCCTGCACACTTTGCCTAGAAGGATGAATTCTTCTCTTTACCTCGCTGTGTAACTTCCCTCTGCCAAGCAAAAGCACCTCGCTACCTTGAGAATAAATTGACAATCTCAATTTTGATATGTTGCTGATTTCTTTTGTGTACATGATTATTAATGTACAGCTTATCTTAGCAGCAGATCCAAGGAAGTGATTCTTTCTTTCTACTGTTTCCATGTAGCCAGCCTTGCCCAAGTCTTTGTTCCTCTTTCCCCATTCACATGTATTTGATAATTCAGCTTTTCCTAAAATATTTTGCCTTTTGTTTTTAAAGTTGAAAGAGCTATATGCAAGGCCGGGCTCGGTGGCTCACGCCTGTAATCCCAGCACTTTGGGAGGCCGAGGCAGGCGGATCACAAGGTCAGGAGGTCGAGACCAGCCTGGGCAACATAGTGAAATCCTGTCTCTACTAAAAATACAAAAAATTAGCCGGTCGTGGTGGCGGGCCCCTGTAATCACAGATACTCGGGAGGCTGAGGTGGGAGAATCACTTGAACCCTGGAGGCGGAGGTTGCAGTGAGCCAAGATCGCGCCAGTGCACTCCAGCCTGGGTGACAGTGTGAGACTCCGTCTCAAAAAAAAAAAAAAAAGAGCTATATGCAAACATTCAGATTAAATTTGGATTACTTTTAAGCCACATGAACAAAATTCCCCTCGCCAGTCTGTTCCCTCTAAGAAAAAAATTATCTGTTGCCTTTTTTTCTTAAGCTATCTATTTGGAAATAATTTGGGGTTGACTGAACTGTCGCAGCCATAGTACAGAGTGTTACCCTGTTCCCTTTACCTAGCTTCCGGCAATGCTAATATCATACACATTATGTCTTACACAAAGTATATTTATCAAAACCAAATATTAACAGTGTGTGATCCTGTTAACCAAACAGCAGAGTGTTTTAGGATTTCACCAGGTTTTTCCCTGATGTCCTTTTCTTTCCTCAGATCCCAGGTAGCATTTAGTTATAGTCTCATTCAACCTGCGACAGCTTCTCAGTCTTTCCTTATTTTTAATGGCCTTGATATTTCCTAGCAAGTCTGGTCATGTGTTTTGTAGACTGTTCTTCAGTTTGGGTTTGTCTCATATTTCTCATGATTAGACTGGGGTTATAGGTTTTTGGAGAGAAACTTACAGAGGCAAGGTGCCTTGCCACCTCGTATGAGGAGGTACGTCTCTCCTGACTTTTACAATTTTTATTCTCTACTATTGTGTGGTTTTAAATATCTTTCTATGGTGCTAATACTGTTTTTTTTCTAATTAAAAAAATTTTTTTGAGACAGGGTCTGGCTTTGTTGCCCAGGCTGGAGTGCAGTGGTGTGATCTCAGCTTACTGCAACCTCTGCCTCCTGGGCTCAGGCGATCCTCCCACCTCAGCCTCCTGAGTAGCTGGGACTACAGGCGCCACCATGCCTGGCTAATTTTTTCTTTTTTTTTTTTTTTGAAGAGATGGGGAATTGTAGCTCCCATGACTCCCGTGTGTTGTGGGAACAACTCAGTGGGAGATAATTGAATCATGGGGGCAGTTTCTCCCATGCTATTCTCGTGGTAGTGAATAAGTCTTACAAGATCTGATGGTTTTGTAAGACGTTTCCCCTTTGCTTGGTTCTTATTCTCTCCTTGCCTGTTGTAGTGTAAGACATGCCTTTGACCTTCCGCCATGATTGTGAGGCCTCCCCAGCCACGTGGCACTGTGAGTCCATTAAACCTCTTTTTCTTTATGAATTACCCAGTCTCGGGTATGTCTTTATCAGCAGCATGAAAACGGACTAACATACTGCTAATCCCTCCCAGAAACACACTCACAGACACACCGAGATAATGCTTCACCAGCTATCTGGGTGTTCCTTGGCCCAGGCAAGTTGACATGTACAATTAACCATCACAGGAAGTTCCCCAGTGCCTAACTCCCTCCTGAATCATGCATTGGCTGTCTTGAGTTTGGGGGAGGGGCATTTATTTGGTTTGATGGATCTGTGGATATTTTAGAAAGCTGATTTCAATCTATAAAGTAAACCTCCCCTTCAAATACAAAGAGTAACATAGATACAGATTTTATCTAATTTCCCTTCACTGATGACCTCTCTAGGTCCCAGTATATACCACATAGTAAGCAGTGAGTCAAGGAAAAGAAGGGCCAGAGTAATCCACAAACCTTAATCAATCCATGACCACCCAGCAGCTGGAGCAATCACTCTCTAGCTTTCTCTCATTAGGTACACACTAAATTAGAAATCTTTAAGTAGTGTCCTCTTGAACACAGAGTGACAGGAATGAAATGCGACACATAACAGAGGAAAACAAATACAAATAGTTTTCAAAATAAAGTCAGTCTTTAGAAGGAAGGTCACTTTTGTTTATTTCCTAAGATTTAATTCAAATTATTCTCAGAATACATTTTAAATTATTGTGCTGTAACTTGAATATTACTAATTACTATGCTTCCAATTGGGGAAAACAAAGAAATTTAATTAGCTCTGAAGTTTGAGAACTATTGAAAGAAGCACTATTCCCATGCCACTTCTTTGTACTTTCTTGTGCTCATGATGTTTTTAATTGCTAGTATATTTTGCTTTATGTGTGAATGTGTTTGGCAACCATTGACACAGAGTGGAGTATCATGAGTTTTACAAGCCACTCATAGCAGAAAGTTTTCTTGACAGGGCACAGAAAATGAAATCTCAGATTTGCTTTATCTGACAATCTTCTGCTAGAACATGCTATGTTTAGAGTTCTCATTCTGAGAGTGTCTAATTGGAAAGGTGGTCTTCTTTAATTCCTTGAAGCTCTTAATTTCAGTTCCACTGGAAACTCTTCTTCCCACCTTTTATCTAGTTTGTAACATACAATGTCCATTTCTGCTGGGTCACTTTTCCCACTGGAAGATACATCTACAGTCCTTCCTAAGCATTTTTAATGGCTACACCATATCCGTACTTAGGCATTGAGCTGTGTCTTCCATATTGGTCTATGCCAGTATTGTCTGACGTTGATTATATAGTCGTCTAAAAGCTATAACTGTGTTTTCCTTTTCCCTTCTTTACTTTGTCTTCTAACTTTTGTTTACTGCAACCAATATCAGCATAAAAGTAATAGAGAAATAAAAGAAAATGTGTTCCATGTTTCCATGACAGTGCATCCGTTAGTTATTTTTGTTTCCTGTTTGCTTCCAGTTTTTGGTCATTTTGTAAATGGTCAAATAATTGTAATAGGAGGGAAAAGATTATTCTATGTTTTACTTGAAGCATTATCTCACAAGCACTTTTTCATATTGTTATACCACAATTACTTTTATGGCTGTTCATTCCATTGGGTTGATGCATTGTATATATTTTGATATTTTTAAGTACTGGACATTCAATGTTCTAGTATTTTTGTAAGCAATATTATATTGTACATTTTTATTCTTACAGCTTTCTGTTTCCTTTTCAGTTATCTCACTGCGATAGACCAAAATATTTGGAGACTTTCATGGTCGTTAGGCTATATGTTGCTTTTTGTTTTGTTTTATTTGTGACTATTTTTAGCACATTGTCATTTATAAGAAAGTACTTTGTCAATGCATAGGGAGGAGGTGACAATAAGGAAGCAGTCCTTTTCTTTGAAAGTATTGTTAGGATTCTGAGGAAGCTTTTCTAGGAAATGACAGTGAAAGTATAACAGTCGATGAGTCTTTGGGGAGCTTGGGAAATTGTTGAGATGTTAAAGGTCATTCTGAAATTAATTTGCCTAGCCCATTGTAGGCTATACTGAAATTATTATCTCTAGTAAATGACAGCATATTCTCAGCTATATCCAAAGACTGTTGTAGAACCAGCCACGATCTCCTGTATATCATTCCAAACATCACTTGAAAGTTCTTTCTTGTGTCTAATCTGAATCCTATGCTGCTGTGAAAATCATTTTCAGGTATTGCAGTTCAACTTGGAACTAAAAGTAACTATGTTCTTATACACTGAGAACAGAGACACTGTCCATTCTAAAGTGATCATGAGTCGTTTGTTGGTTTTGTTTTGTTTTGTTTTTTCTTTGAGACAGAATCTCACTCTGTCGCCCAGGCTGGAGTGCAGTGGTACAATCTCGGCTCACTGCAACCTCCGCCTCCTGGGTTCAAGTGATTCTGGTGCCTCAGCCTCCCGAGTAGCTGGGATTACAGGCGTGCACCACCACGCCCAGCTAATTTTTTGTATGTTTAGTAGAGACAAGGTTTCACCATGTTTCCCAGGCTGGTCTCGAACTCCTGAGCTCAGGCAATCTGCCTGCCTTGGCCTCCCAAAGTGCTAGGATTACAGGCATGAGCCACAGTGCCCAGCCTGTTGGGTTTTGAGTTGGGCATGGGGAAGAGTGAAAGCCAAGTGTCCCCAGAGGGTTAAGAAACCTGTTGGAAGGTGACCCTGGGTGTAACTCCATGGTGGGCCGCCCGTCTCAACTGCTGTTTGGTTTCAGCTGTCCTAAGGGGAGGACTGACTCTGCAGCCTGACAATACTTTCTGTGATGTGTTACTATTGGCATGCCGTTCCAACTGGACATTGAAAATTTGCAGACAAATGTAGAGATTTGGTAGTGACTAATTTGCATTGCACAAGGTGTTGGTAGTAGTGAACAGCTTGCTATGAAGCCCGTATTCAAAATTTGGAAGGAACAAACACTATGGATATGCTCATCTCACCAAACTACCCAACCTATTTTTCTTTCACTCCTTTTCTTTGTCTCCTTATTATTCTGCTGATCATTTTCTCTTTGCAGTGTTTCAAATGCTGTTTCTCTTTTCTTTTCCCGCCTTCCTTTTTTCCCTTCCACTCCTTTTTTCTATATCACCTTTCTCTCTGCCCCCTCCACTTTATCTCGGGTCCCACTTCGCCATTGATTTTTTACCATTCTTAACCCCTTTCCTCTTTTATTGAGAAAATAGGCTTTAAATTTGGAGTGTGCTAAGAAAATGTCGCTTTATGCTGAAAAACTGCAGGATTCAGGGACTGCATTTGTGGTGTGGCTTATTGATAGAAGAGAGGCTATGAAAGCTAGTGCTTACAAGTGATTTAAAGGTGACGGCTCAGTGTCTCAGGTGGACGTGATTATATTGTGGGACAGCTGGGTTCCATTTTAGCTTGATATTGACCTCTCCTTGCCATGTAATTAACAGTGTGCCAGCCACAGATCATAAAGTGAGTGCCGTTCAATGAATAACATCATGTACTGGTGCCTGGAGTTTGTTGTACCCATGGGACCTAGTGGGCATGGGGCATGCCTGGATATCTAGCCAGGAGTGACACTTAAGCTCAATTGCTGGATGCTGGATTACAAGAGCTCTGACATGCATCCTCAGATAGCCCGCTCGATACAGATGGCTGATGAGTTCTGAAGCTTCATGCTGATGTGTCCAGGAGCCCAGGGGCAAACTGACCCTTTCCTCTTTAGGCACAATGCCTGCGTCGGCTGTTTAGAAATCATCAGAAAACATTTTAATCTTAGGGGGCTCGATTTTTGGTGATTAAACTAGACCCCTAAATAGAGTTCTCTAAACCCCAAACACAATGAACAGAGATTCATAGTGAAGTAGGTTTGCCTCCGTGAATGAGTGTTGCAGTGAATCTCGTCCTTTTCTTGGCTTTGGTGTTGTGTAGTGATTAACAAAAACGTGAGATGACCGCTGGGCATCTTTATAGGAAAAAGGAAGTGGGAGGGTATTAAGCATAGAATGGATGCTCTCATTTGCTTGAGATGTGTAAAATAAGTTGGGGTAGAATGGGGAAGGGCAGAAGACTAAAGATTTAAGCCCCCCAGTCATGGTTTCATTTAATACGTTAAGGAATTTGATGAGGTAATTGGGCAGATTCAAGGCAAAGAGAGAGCAGGGCTGAGTATCAGTGATCTTCAGATAATCACTAAGGTATTATTCAGGACACAAGCCAGATGACGTTAGCTTCACCAGAAGATGGGCTGATGTGGCCATGGATTCAGTTAGTAATTCTTGGAATTGCTGGGGCTTGGGGCAGCCACCACCATGTGGTTTATCTTTGTCTAACCTCACTAAAGCCAGCCGAGCAGACACTGTCTGTTTGGGGCTTTCAGGTTTGGGGTGGTGGTTCTCAGTAGAGGCTGAAGAGGAAAGAGAGACCTTTTAAAAAGAAAATATTTCTTTTCTCTTCTCTATATAAGTTTTGAGCTTAACAGGCTTTGATCAAGAAGAATTTCACCTTGGGTTTCTGTTTTGAGTTACATCTCCTCAAGACGCTGCCATGGGGCTGGAGGAGAAGGTCAGAGAGAGGGAAAACTTGGACTGTGCTGAAACCCCTTTAGGCTCACTTATTTAGTTATTCACTCAGAAACAGCAGCATGGACTAGGAGCTATCTGTGCTTTTGCAATGTAGCTTCACTACTTAATTTGAAATAAATTCCCTTATAATAGGTCCAATGTATAATCCGAGGCAGATTTGAAATAACATTCAAAGAGTTTTTGGCCATCTACTCCATTGCTTCCTTCCATCAGTGGGGATCTCTGTGACGTGGCTTGTACTCCCTCAATGGTCCTTTTTCTTGGAACCTCACATGGTCACTTTGGGCCAGAAGATGGTATAGCATGAATAAGAAGAGGTGGCCTGCAGTCCTAGGTGCTGGTCCATACTGGCCAGGACAGAGAATACAGGATATCACATAGTCTCTAAATACAATTTCAAAGAGTGCATCTCTAGAGTTAAGTGAGTTTGCCTTAAATTCTGTGCAGTTGCAGATGATGTAATCCATTTATAAACATTTTATTAGGCAGATTAAATTAAGATACAGGAAATGCTATTTCACATTTCGTTGAAGAGGAAAGTCAAGTCTTGTGAACGTTGTTTACTATAACAGAAGGTTCTTACATATCCATCTCAACTCAATTTTCTTATTGTTTCAGGATCCGAGTTCCCTGCTGACTTCTACTCCTTGCACAGTAAAAAGTCAATCTGCTAGGAGCTTGCTGAGATGAGTAAGAGCCGTCTGCTAGTTAAGGGAAATTTGGACTCAATGAAAATAGTCAATGGAAACCTCTGTTTGCTGTATCAAGCATGCAGTACTTATACCCGTACATGGAACAAATTTTTTTTTAGCTTCAATGTTGTAAGGAAGATAGCAATTTTCCTTCTCAGCGTAACATATAAATGTACTACTTGGAAATCGAGTAGTTGGCTTGAGTTCTAGTTCTGGTATTGTCGGCAATGTACTCGCCTAAGACAAGCCCTTTGACCACTATCTATAGACTCTAATATCCTAATCAAGGTTATTAGTACCTTCTGATAGTAGCTTAGCTCCTCCATTTACAGCAAATCTTACTTTTTCTGCATTCAGCTGATGAAGTCTATGAAAGAATAGCAGGAATAATAAGCTAGTTTTGGTGTTTTGGCCTTTTGGATAGGAATGCAGGGAGGAAATGAAATGAAGGATGTCTTGAAATGTCTCACTTAGACTTTCTTATGTTCAGAGAAATACAGAGAGAACATTTCCTAGATATTGAGGGTAAATTTCTCTTCTTGAACTATCTTAAGTGCCTCAGAAGAGGACTTCAGTTTGAGATGACTTTTTTTTTTTTTTAATGTAAGCACAGACAATTCTCTCTCCACCCTCAACCCTTTACACAATTTCTGAGAACAGCGATTTTCAACGAAGGGGAGGAACAGAAATGAAGTTGACAAGAGAAGCCATCTAAAATTAAAACTCTCCATATGGAATTGCTTTTTCTTTTCCTCCAGAGAGTGTACTCACTCTAAGTCAGCTCTGTCTTTGAACATTTTCTTACAGGATAGTCATTGGAGGCTCTGATAACTCCTAGCTTCTATTATTGTCCAGCTTGTATCTTTTAAATGTCAAAACTATGTTCTTCCAAATGACAAATTTTTATTTTTAAAATATTTTTACTAACTTTACTTGTATGTTGAACAGATAATAGTACAAAATTCAAAAACAAAAGACCCAACTTGGTGAATTTTGTTGATTTTTAGTCTTTGGATTGAATCTGATGGTGTTTAGAAGTTGATGGGGTATAAGTAGCTCTCTAAGCTAGATCCTTTATTGCTTCCCATCAGTCTAAAATGTATTAGAAGAGAAAGGCGGCCAGGCGTGGTGGCTCACGCCTGTAATCCCAGCACTTTGGGAGGCCGAGGTGGGCAGATCACGAGGTCAGGAGATCGAGACCATCCTGGCTAACATGGTGAAACCCCGTCTCCACTAAAAATACAAAAAATTAGCTGGGCATGGTGGTGGGCGCCTGTAGACCCAGCTACTCGGGATGCTGAGGCAGGAGAATGGCATGAATCTGGGAGGCTCAGCTTGCAGTGAGCCGAGATTGTGCCACTGCACTCCAGCCTGGGTGACAGAGCGAGACTCTGTCTCAAAAAAAAAAAAAAAAAAAAAAAAAAATAGAAAGGCCTGGTTACAAGAATAAACTAATGGATAATTTTTAGCTAATAGCAAGTTTACCTAGAAATCAGATATTTAAATACTGCTGCTGTATCTATATTTTTATGTCCATATTTTATTGCCCATGACGCCACTGATTGGTAGATACACATTTTATGTACAACTGAGAAAAAGAAACCTAGCCAGTTAAACTATTTCCCAGCACCTCCTGTTATTTAAATGATCTCTTAGGAAGGAATTGAGTGTATCTAATATATTTTTAAAATATATTTATTGAAAGAACTCTTCTGGACTTAACGATATATAGGCATTTATCATTTAACAGTCTTATAAACATATAAAAAATACAAGAAAAATACATCAGGTAAGTTTTACTCCTGAAACTTCTGTACAAGAAAGTTTAAGTCTTCTGAATCACTTTCAACTCAAGACTTCAGTGTCTCTATTTTGCCACGCAATTTGCCCTTTGTGCTATAAAGAATATTGGTGAAATAGTTTTAAAAGAATTTTTTTGTTTATTTTGCATTAACATCTTCTACAAAGTTTCTGGGAAAAATAAATTTATAAAATGAAAGTTCAGCCAGGCATGGTGCCCACACCTGTAATCCCAGCACTTTGGCAGGCCAAGGTGGGTAGATCACTTGAGGCCATGAGTTTGAGACTAGTCTGTCCAACATGTTGAAACCCCGTCTCTACTAAAAATATAAAAATTAGCCCAGCAAGGTGGCACATGCCTGTAATCCCAGCTACTTGCGAGGCTGAGGCACAAGAATCGCTTGAACCTGGGAGGCAGAGACAGTGAGCTGAGACAGCGCTGCTGTACTCCTGCCTGGGTGACAGAGTGAGACTCTGACAAAAAAAAAAAAAAGCAAGCAAGGAAGGAGAAAGAGAGAGAGAAAGAAAAAGAAAAACAAAGAAGGAAATAAAAGAGTAAGTTAGTTCACTAATGCTGAGTTCTTAAGCTGTTTACCACTGCAATTTTGTCATGTTAACACAATTCTGACTGTTGCTGGGCTGGAAATGTAGAGGAACAGATCCCAGCACTTCCAACCACCATTTGGTGCCTAGGGTTAGTAACTGCTCTGGTATATCTCAGGGTTTTCATTACAGTTGCTGAGACCCATTCTGCTAATTCAATTCAATGCTGAATTTTTAAATATTCACACATGAAAATTGCTTTGCGACTGCTGTCCATCTGACTGCAATTGAAAGATGCCATTCATTGTGAAATTCTACCCAAATTTAGAATTGGAAATAGACGAAAAGAAATGTGCATCTGCGCCAGGCGCGGTGGCTCACGCCTGTAATCCCAGCACTTTGGGAGGCCGAGGTGAGTGGATCACCTGAGGTCAGGAGTTTGAGACCAGCCTGGCCAACATGGTGAAACCCTGTCTTTACTAAAAATACAAAAAAAATTAGCTGGGCATGGTGGCGTGTGCTTATAATCGCAGCTACTCGGGAGGCTGAGGCGGGAGAATCGCTTGAACCCAGGAGGTGGAGGTTGCAGTGAGCAGAGATCCTGCCATTGCACTCCAGCCTGGGTGACAAGAGTGAGACTGTCTCAAAAAAAAAAGAAATGTGCATTTTAGAGTTAATGAAAGATAATGATTAAATATAATTTCTAGAATTTTTAGTGTTTCAGATGAGAATTGTGGACGTTCACTGTGCTCGTAAGCCAAAATGCCAAGTCAAAAGCAAAAGCTCTTCCTGTTGGTTCCTAAGTGTGATGATTGGGTTTTCACATTCATGTGTGACATGTGCCTCCCTCAAATCTTGTGATGATGTCGGCACGTGACCCATCTGACGTGGGAAAAAAAGTGAAAATGTAAAAAGAAAAAGCAAAAGCTTGAAATTTTGAAATGTCTTAATTTCTTAGCGTGATTATCCCCTTCGTTAGAATGCTCGCAAATCTTAACAATACATTTTTTTCAGGACATCTAAAGTGACTCAATTTGAACATTTGAAGTGGCAGGTTAAAAAAATTTTTTCCCAGGGAGGAGCCAAGATGGCCGAATAGGAACAGCTCTGGTCTACAGCTCCCAGCGTGAGCGACGCAGAAGACGGGTGATTTCTGCATTTCCATCTGAGGTACCGGGTTCATCTCACTAGGGAGTGCCAGACAGTGGGCGCAGGTCATTGGGTGCAGTGCACGATGCACGAGCCGAAGCAGGGCGAGGCATTGCCTCACTCGGGAAGTGCAAGGGGTCAGGGAGTTCCCTTTCCTAGTCAAAGAAAGGGGTGACAGACGGCACCTGGAAAATCGGGTCATTCCCACCCGAATACTGCGCTTTTCCAACAGGCTTAAAAAACGGCGCACCAGGAGATTATATCCCGCACCTGGCTCGGAGGGTCCTACACCCACGGAGTCTCGCTGATTGCTAGCACAGCAGTCTGAGATCAAACTGCAAGTCGGCAGCGAGGCTGGGGGAGGGGTGCCCGCCATTGCCCAGGCTTGCTTAGGTAAACAAAGCAGCCGGGAAGCTCGAACTGGTTGGAGCCCACCACAGCTCCAGGAGGCCTGCCTGCCTCTGTAGGCTCCACCTCTGGGGACAGGGCACAGACAAACAAAAAGACAGCGGTAACCTCTGCAGACTTAAATGTCCCTGCGTGACAGCTTTCAAGAGAGCAGTGGTTCTCCCAGCACGCAGCTGGAGATCTGAGAATGGGCAGACTGCCTCCTCAAGTGGGTCCCTGACCCCTGAACCCTGAGCAGCCTAACTGGGAGGCACCCCCCAGTAGGGGCAGACTGACACTTCACACGGCAGGGTACTCCTCTGAGACAAAACTTCCAGAGGAACGATTAGACAGCAGCATTCACGGTTCACGAAAAACCGCTGTTCTGCAAACACCGCTGCTGATACCCAGGCAAACAGGGTCTGAAGTGGACCTCTAGCAAACTCCAACAGACCTGCAACTGAGGGTCCTGTCTGTTAGAAGGAAAACTAACAAACAGAAAGGACATCCACACCAAAAACCCATCTGTACATCACCATCATCAAAGACCAAAAGTAGATAAAACCACAAAGATGGGGAAAAAACAGAGCAGAAAAACTGGAAACTCTAAAAAGCAGAGCACCTCTGTCTCCTCCAAAGGAACACAGTTCCTCACCAGCAATGGAACAAAGCTGGACGGAGAATGACTTTGACAAGTTCAGAGAAGAAGGCTTCAGACGATCAAACTATGAGCTACAGGAGGAAATTCAAACCAAAGGCAAAGAAGTTAAAAACTTTGAAAAAAATTTAGACGAATGTATAACTAGAATAACCAATACAGAGAAGTACTTAAAGGAGCTGATGGAGCTGAAAGCCAAGGTTTGAGAACTACGTGAAGAATGCAGAAGCCTCAGGAGCCAATGCGATCAACTGGAAGAAAGGATATCAGTGATGGAAGATGAAATGAATGAAATGAAGCGAGAAGGGAAGTTTAGAGAAAAAAGAATAAAAAGAAATGAACAAAGCCTCCAAGAAATATGGGACTATGTGAAAAGACCAAATCTACGTCTGATTGGTGTACCTGAAAGTGACGGGGAGAATGGAACCAAGTTGGAAAACACTCTACAGGATATTATCCAGGAGAACTTCCCCAATCTAGCAAGGCAGGCCAACATTCAGATTCAGGAAATACAGAGAACGCCACAAAGATACTCCTCGAGAAGAGCAACTCCAAGACACATAATTGTCAGATTCACCAAAGTTGAAATGAAGGAAAAAATGTTAAGGGCAGCCAGAGAGAAACGTCGGGTTACCCACAAAGGGAAGCCCATCAGACTAACAGCTGATCTCTCGGCAGAAACTCTACAAGCCAGAAGAGAGTGGGAGCCAATATTCAACATTCTTAAAGAAAAGAATTTTCAACCCAGAATTTCATATCCAGCCAAACTAAGCTTCATAAGTGAAGGAGAAATAAAATACTTTACAGACAAGCAAATGCTGAGAGATTTTGTCACCACCAGGCCTGCCCTAAAAGAGCTCCTGAAGGAAGCACTAAACATGGAAAGGAACAACCGGTACCAGCCGCTGCAAAATCATGCCAAAATGTAAAGACCATTGAGACTAGGAAGAAACTGCATCAACTAACGAGCAAAATAACCAGCTAACATCATAATGACAGGATCAAATTCACACATAACACTATTAACTTTAAATGTAAATGGACGAAATGCTTCAATTAAATGACACAGATTGGCAAATTGGATAAAGAGTCAAGACCCATCAGTGTGCTGTATTCAGGAAACCCATCTCACATGCAGAGACACACATAGGCTCAAAATAAAGGGATGGAGGAAGATCTACCAAGCAAATGGAAAACAAAAAAAGGCAGGGGTTGGAATCCTAGTCTCTGATAAAACAGACTTTAAAGCAACAAAGATCAAAAGAGAAAAAGAAGGCCATTACATAATGATAAAGGGATCAATTCAACAAGAAGAGCTAACTATCCTAAATATATATGCACCCAATACAGGAGCACCCAGATTCATAAAGCAACTCCTGAGTGACCTACAAAGAGACTTAGACTCCCACACATTAATAATGGGAGACTTTAACACCCCACTGTCAACATTAGACAGATCGACGAGATAGAAAGTTAACAAGGATATCCAGGAATTGAACTCAGCTCTCCACCAAGCAGACCTAATAGACATCTACAGAACTCTCCTCCCCAAATCAATAGAATATACATTTTTTTCAGCACCACACCACACCTATTCCAAAATTGACCACATAGTTGGAAGTAAAGCTCTCCTCATCAAATGTAAAAGAGCAGAAATTATAAGAAACTATCTCTCAGACCACAGTGCAATCAAACTAGAACTCAGGATTAAGAAACTCACTCAAAAACGCTCAACTACATGGAAACTGAACAACCTGCTCCTGAATGACTACTGGGTACATAACGAAATGAAGGCAAAAATAAAGATGTTCTTTGAAACCAACCAGAACAAAGACACAACATACCAGAATCTCTGGGACACATTCAAAGCAGTGTTTAGAGGGAAATTTATAGCACTAAATGTCCACAAGAGAAAGCAGGAAAGATCCAAAATTGACACCCTAACATCACAATTAAAAGAACTAGAAAAGCAAGAGCAAACACATTCAAAAGCTAGCAGAAGGCAAGAAATAACTAAAATCAGAGCAGAACTGAAGGAAATAGAGACACAAAAAACGCTTCAAAAATTAATGAATCCAGGAGCTGCTTTTTTGAAAGGATCAACAAAGTTGATTGACCGCTAGCAAGACTAATAAAGAAAAAAAGAGAGAAGAATCAAATAGACGCAATAAAAAATGATAAAGGGGATATCACCACCAATCCCACAGAAATACAAACTACCATCAGAGATTACTACAAACACCTCTATGCAGATAATCTAGAAAATCTAGAAGAAATGGATAAATTCCTCGACACATACACTCTCCCAAGACTAAACCAGGAAGAAGTTGAATCTCTGAATAGACCAATAACAGGAGCTGAAATTGTGGCAATAATTAATAGCTTGGCCAACCAAAAAGAGTCCAGGACCAGATGGATTCACAGCCGAATTCTCCCAGAGGTACAAGGAGGAACTGGTACCATTCCTTCTGAAACTATTCCAATCAATATAAAAAGAGGGAATCCTCCCTAACTCATTTTATGAGGCCAGCATCATCCTGATACCAAAGCCGGGCAGAGACAGAACCAAAAAAGAGAATTTTAAACCAATATCCTTGATGAACATTGATGCAAAAATCCTCAATAAAATACTGGTAAACCGAATCCAGCAGCACATCAAAAAGCTTATCCACCAAGATCAAGTGGGCTTCATCCCTGGGATGTGAGGCTGGTTCAATATACGCAAATCAATAAATGTAATCCAGCATATAAACAGAACCAAAGACAAAAACCACATGATTATCTCAATAGATGCAGAAAAGGCCTTTGACAAAATTCAACAGCCCTTCATGCTAAGAACTCTCAATAAATTAGGTATTGATGGGACATATCTCAAAATAATAAGAGCTATTTATGACAAACCCACAGCCAATATCATACTGAATGGGCAAAAACTGGAAGCATTCCCTTTGAAAACTGGCACAAGACAGGGATGCCCTCTCTCACCACTGCTATTCAACATAGTGTTGGAAGTTCTGGCCAGGGCAATCAGGCAGGAGAAGGAAATAAAGGTTATTCAATTAGGAAAAGAGGAAGTCAAATTGTCCCTGTTTGCAGATGACATGATTGAATATCTAGAAAACCCCATTGTTTCAGCCCAAAATCTCCTTAAGCTGATAAGCAACTTCAGCAGAGTCTCACGATACAAAATCAATGTGCAAAAATCACAAGCATTCTTGTATACCAATAACAGACGAACAGAGAGCCAAATCATGAGTGAACTCCTATTCACAATTGCTTCAAAGAGAATAAAATACCTAAGAATCCACCTTACAAGGGATGTGAAGGACCTCTTCAAGGAGAACTACAAAGCACTGCTCAATGAAATAAAAGGATACAAACAAATGGAAGAACATTCCATGCTCATGGGTAGGAAGAATCAATATTGTGAAAATGGCCATACTGCCCAAGGTAATTTATAGATTCAATGCCATCCCCATCAAGCTACCAATGACTTTCTTCACAGAATTGGAAAAAACTACTTTAAAGTTCATATGGAACCAAAAAAGAGCCCGCATTGCCAAGTCAATCCTGAGCCAAAAGAACAAAGCTGGAGGCATCACACTACCTGACTTCAAACTATACTACAAGGCTACAGTAACCAAAACAGCATGGTACTGGTACCAAAACAGAGATATAGATCAATGGAACAGAACAGAGCCCTCAGAAATAATGCCACATATCTACAACTATCTGATCTTTGACAAACCTGAGAAAAACAAGAAATAGGGAAAGGATTCCCTATTTAACAAATGGTGCTGGGAAAACTGGCTAGCCATATGTAGAAAGCTGAAACTGGATCCCTTCCTTACACCTTGTACAAAAATCAATTCAAGATGGATTAAAGATTTAAATGTTAGACCTAAAACCATAAAAACCCTAGAAGAAAACCTAGGCATTACTATTCAGGACATAGGCATGGGCAAGGACTTCATGTCTAAAACACCAAAAGCAATGGCAACAAAAGCCAAAATTGACAAATGGGATCTAATTAAACTAAAGAGCTTCTGCACAGCAAAAGAAACTACCATCAGAGTGAACAGGCAACCCACAAAATGGGAGAAAATTTTCACAACCTACTTATCTGACAAAGGGCTAATATCCAGAATCTACAATGAACTCAAACAAATTTACAAGAAATAACAAACAACCCCATGAAAAAGTGGGCAAAGGATATGAACAGACACTTCTCAAAAGAAGACATTTATGCAGCCAAAAGACTGATGAAAAAATGCTCATCATCACTGGCCATCAGAGAAATGCAAATCAAAACCGCAATGGGATATTATCTCACACCAGTTAGAATGGCAATCATTAAAAAGTCAGGAAACAACAAGTGCTGGAGAGTATGTGGAGAAATAGGAACACTATTACACTGTTGGTGGGACTGTAAACTAGTTCAACCAATGTGGAAGTCAGTGTGGCGATTCTTCAGGGATCTAGAACTAGAAATACCATTTAACCCAGCCATCCCATTACTGGGTATATACCCAAAGGACTATAAGTCATGCTGCTATAAAGACACATGCACACGTATGTTTATTGCGGCACTATTCACAATAGCAAAGACTTGGAACCAACCCAAATGTCCAACAATGATAGACTGGATTAAGAAAACGTGGCACATATACACCATGGAATACTATGCAGCCATAAAATGAGTTCATGTCCTTTGTAGGGACATGGATGAAATTGGAAATCATCATTCTCAGTAAACTATCGCAAGAACAAAAAACCAAACACCGCATATTCTCACTCATAGGTGGGAATTGAACAATGAGATCAATGGACACAGGAAGGGGAACATCACGCTCTGGGGACTGTTGTGGGGTTGGGGGATGGGGGAGGGATAGCATTGGGAGATATACCTAATGCTAGATGACGAGTTAGTGGGTGCAGCACACCAGCATGGCACATGTATACATATGTAACTAACCTGCACATTGTGCACATGTACCCTAAAACTTAAAGTATAATAATAAAAAAAAAAAAAAAGAACACTGGCTTATACCCTATAATACCTGATATTTAATAATAAAAAGAATTACAGGAGAGAAAAGTCTCTACACACAAACACACACAAAAATTTTCCCATAATAACTCAAACATTTGTTTTACTGTAAGAAATTCAGAGGTCTGATTTAAGGATGACCTTCTAATTGAAAAGAGGAAAAGCAATGGAAAGATATCTGTATTTGTAACTGAAACTGGCTCAAATCATAGCTGTATTCTCCTTTCTTTGAAATGTGTAGAATTATAGCCAATGGGTTAAGAAAAATTATTTAAAACTTGAAAATAAGGCAACCAAGTAGAGCAGCATATCCTTTCAATGTCATATTGGAACATTTTTAAAATAAATAAACCTGAACAAGGATTATTTATTCAGGAGAACTTCTTTAACTTTTGTTTTTTACTCTTAATTAGAGTCTAGACACTGGGAAGTTGTGTGTTAGTGTTTAGATTTTTGGCAGTAGATGTCTAGTGGAAAAAAGAACCCTATGTGTTACACATTTTAGGACATTAACCAGCTTTGCATGTAACCTAGCAATTTTATACTAAAATTTTCAAAGGCTAGAAACACCTTCTCCATCAGCTCTCTTTGGATCAGCCTTATTTTTTTGCCGGTTTCTTCATTATTGAGTTGAGTAAATCTTGACATATATTTATTCTGTATTTTTACAAGTCCTGTTTTCAACTTTAAAAAATTTTTTCACTTTGTCAAGATTCAAACGTCTCAAGTGAAATAGTTACTACTTGTCATTATGGTATATATTTGTAGGTTGACAAGTGCTCCTGGTGGTAGTTCATAGTGATCTGCAGAGATGAAAATGCATGTTTACGACGTTTAAAAGTAGATTGCTGAGCCTGTGCATGACTTAGACTTCATCAAGTGACTCGGATGTGATTAGCAAATGATTCTACTTGTGTGGATGGAAGAGTTTCAGGGGCCAGAGCTGGCCTTGTGCAAGGAATCTAGCCAGAACATTTCAGAAGAGCCTAGGGATGCAGTGGTGCCCCACGAGGCAGCTGTTCATCTTTGCCCCTCCAGCACCTGGTGTGGGGTTTTTTAAGCTCTCAACCATGTGTGTGGTAGTTTCCTGGAGTTACCATCCTTGTCCTTCAGGGGATTTGAGGATTTGAGCCTCTTTTTGCAGAGGCTCCAGAAACGCAAGGTTGGGTCTTCAGAATGATCTCTAGGAAGGAATTGAGTGTATCAGACATTAAATTTACTTAGTTCCAGTTTACCCCCACCGTGCACTTTTTCTTATCTCTCTCCCTCTTCCATTAATCCCATTTTTCTCCCTCCTTTCCTTCCCTCCTCCCCTTTTTTTTTGTGTTGACCTATTTACAAACTCACCTCACTTGAGATGATGTGGAAGATTACATCACGCTTAACATATATATATATATATATATATATATATATTTGATTACCTGAAGGCTTTCTATAATGCCTTAGTGGAAGCCTTTATGGTAAATGCCAATCAATGAAACACAGGGAGTAGAAGTTTCCTGTGTATTTGAATGTTGCATTGATCACCTTATCTAGTGTACCTAGCCATTTTCTTAAGGTAGTAATTAAAGTGTTTCATACTTGAAGTGGTTTAGGGTCATGAGTTTTGAATTGACAGAATACTCAAAGTACAGTGCTGTATTTTCTTATGTAGCTCATGTAGGTCAGCACTCAAAAGTCAGGTAAGATGTTGCTGAAAGTATAAATGAGTGGAAAACAAGAAAGGCTGTTAAATTCTTTGCCAGAGAAATCTTCATAAATAGAACAAGTGACCATCCGGGTGGGAGACTGAAAATGTCTGTTCCTGAATTCACTGAGATAGAGAGGTAGAATATCCCCACAATATTTTGGGGGACTTTTGCTTCTTTAATTCATTGTCTGATTATGTTGATAAAACCCCGGGGATGGAGATATGTACAGTTCAACAGTCTCAGGAAGGAGGCCCCTTAAGTACAATGTTTAGGGGATTCAAGATAAGTGTGGGCTCAGAATGGTGTCAGGAATCAGAACCCTGGAGCCAGTGAGAAAGCCAGACTTCACATGAATGACATCTGAAGTCTAGTAAGAGCTCAAGGTCAGTTGATGTCTTGAGGGGAGCCAGGCATGGTGTAAGAACCAGGATTTCTTCAAGAGGGAACTTTAGAAGAATGTAGTGGAGAATGCTGACGCCACTCCAGACTGAAAGCTCATAGTCGACAGCTGCCTCCTCACAAGAGCCCACCTGGTTCTGGGTCCTGTTCACAGCATTTTCTGGGCATCATGTCATTTAACCCTCACAGCAGGCCAGTGAGAGAGTAATACTATTACTTTCCAGTGTTGTAGGGGAAGAAGTGGCCTTAGAGAGGTGAACTTTCCTTCTAAGAGTATCAACTGATATTGAAGCTTGCATTGGAACCCAGGTTGGTCTCTCTCCACCTCTGTGCTGCCAGTCGTGACCCTGTGCTGCCCCCTATGTCTGCTCCTCCCACCTGTTGCAAGTAGCCAGCCTCTTACCTGATGAAGACCATCAGGCCTGAAGGTCCAGGCTCTTTGGCTCCTGCAGAAAGCCCAATTGGGGTGGGACATCTGGTCATGCAGAAGCCACGTGACTGGTGGGCACAGGACTCCCAGGCACCTGTTCTCTCAAGGGTGGGCTCTTCTGGGGACATTTGGGGGCTACTTATGATTCTTTTGAGCTGTCCTTTGACTTATTCCTTCCAACCTCCAACATAAAGGGCCACTCAGAGAAGCAGTACCTATGGCAGCTTTAAACCGCCCTGCTCCTCTGCTGTTCTGTCTGACAGCATGAGAAGCCAGCAAAAGCTTCTTCACATCAGGGTGCCAGTGGGGAAACAGGAAGGAAAAGGGGGAATAAGAAGGAAAAGCATGCTATTTTCTACACAGGGGAGGATTTCATACCAATGTGTTCAGAATGGTTTTACAAAGACTGTGCATATATGCTCCAGGTCTGTTCAGGAAAGATTCATTTGTGGAGGATTGAAATGTTCCTATTAATATTTCTTAGAGAAACAGAGGCATCTACTGAATTTCACAAAATGTAATATGAAAACTGATCTCCAAGGGTCAGCTTTAATATTTTACTTCCTTCTTCATTGTTGAAAATATATTTCAGCTCTCTTTTACATACCAGCATACAGCACAGGGAGAAGATAGCATAATCACTGTGAAAGTATTATCAAATGCAAGCACGCATTTGCATTTTTGGCAAACAACCACTTTTGATTTTACATTGTATTGTTCCATAATATTTAAAGCACAAAGTCCTGAAATTATCAAACCTACTTGAGTTTGCGATAGTCAGATACTAGTTTCATTGTGCTTTTAATTAATAAAATGTGGATTGTCTAAATTAAAATTTTCATTATGAAATATTTTGGCCATAAGGGAAAAAACAGAATTAAATGGTATTCATGTATGTGCCTACCACTCAGATTTTACAGATACTAACTTTGTGCTGTATTTTCTTCAAACGTGACTTTATGTTGTGACTATTAATAAAATAGCACATTACAGGTGTAGTTGTTGTACAGCCCCGTTCACGTCCTCTCTTCCTCCCTTTCTCCTTTCATGAGGCTGATGTATATTAGTCCCCTGAATTATTATTATTATTATTATTTTTTGAGACAGAGTCTCGCTGTGTCACCCTGGCCGGAGTGCAGTGCCATGATCTTGGCTCACAGCAACCTCTGCCTCCTGGTTCAAGTGATTCTCTTGCCTCAGCCTCCCCAGTAGCTGGGACTATAGGTGCACACCACCACGCCTGGCTAATTTTTGTATTTTAGTAGAGACGGAGTTTTGCCATGTTGGCCAGGCTGGTCTTGAACTCCTGACCTCAGGTGATCCACCCACCTCGGCCTCCCAAAGTGCTGGAATTACAGGCATGAGCCACCGTGCCCAGCCCCCTGAAAGTTTTTATGCTTTGACAACATGGTTGTGAAAATACTAAGTGAAATTTTCTTTAGAGCTGTATTTTGAAGTAACATTATCAATTTAGAGCCATAAGCCTATTCTTTTATTATTATACTTTAAGTTGTAGGGTACATGTGCACAATGTGCAGGTTTGCTACATAGGTATACATGTACCATGTTTGTTTGCTGCACCCATCAACTTGTCATTTACATTAGGTATTTCTCCTAATGCTATCCTCCGCCAGCCCCCCTACCCACGACAGCCCCAGTGTGTGATGTTCCCCTCCCTGTGTGCATGTGTTCTCATTGTTCAACTCCCACTTATGCGTGGGAACATGTGGTGTTAGGTTTTCTGTCCTTGTGATAATTTTGCTGAGAATGATGGTTTCCAGCTTCATCCATGTCCCTGCAAAGCACATGAACTCATCCTTTTTTATGGCTGCATAATATTCCTTGGTGTATACGTGCCACATTTTCATTATCCAGTCTATTATTGATGGATATTTGGGTTGGTTCCAAGTCTTGCTATTGCGAATAGTGCCACAATAAACATACATGTGCATGGGTCTTTATAGCAGCATGATTTATAATCCTTTGGGTATATACCCAGTAATGGGATGGCTGGGTCAAATGGTATTTCTAGTTCTAGATTCTTGAGGAATCGCCACACTGTCTTCCACAATGGTTGAACCAGTTTACAGTCTCACCAACAGTGTAAAAGTGTTCCTATTTCTCCACATCCTCTCCAGCACCTGTTGTTTCCTGACTTTTTAATGATCGCCATTCTAACTGGTGTGAGATGGTATCTCATTGTGGTTTTGATTTGCATTTCTCTGATGGTCAGTGATGATGAGCATATTTTCATATGGCTGTTGGCTGCATAAATGTCTTCTTTTGAGAAGTGTCCATTTATATCCTTTGCCCATTTTTTGATGGGGTTGTTTTTTTCTTATAAATTTGTTTAAGTACTTTGTCAATTCTGGATATTAGTCCTTTGTCAGATGGATAGATTGCAAAATTTTTCTCCCATTCTGTAGATTGCCTGTTCACTCTGATGATAGTTACTTTGGCTGTGCAGAAGCTCTTTAGTTTAATTAGATCCCATTTGTCTATTTCGGCTTTTGTTGCCATTGCTTTTGGTGTTTTTAGTCATGAAGTCTTTGCCAATGCCTATGTCCTGAATGGTATTGCCTAAGTTTTCTTGTAGGGTTTGTATGGTGTTAGGTCTTACATTTAAGTCTTTAATCCATCTTGAGTTAATTTTTGTATAAGGTGTAAGGAAGGGAATCCAGTTTCAGCTTTCTACATATGGCTAGCCAGTTTTCCCAGCACCATTTATTAAATAGGGAATCCTTTCCCTATTTCTTGTTTTTGTCAGGTTTGTCAAAGATCAGATGGTTGTAGATGTGTGGTGTTATTTCTGAGGGCTCTGTTCTGTTCCATTGGTCTATATCTCTGTTTTGGTACCAGTACCATGCTGTTTTGGTTACTGTAGCCTTATAGTATAGTTTGAAGTCTGGTAGTGTGATGCCTCCAGCTTTGTTCTTTTGGCTTAGGATTGACTTGGCCATGCAGGCTCTTTTTTGGTTCCATATGAACTTTAAAGTAGTTTTTTCCAATTCTGTGAAGAAAGTCATTGGTAGCTTAATGGGGATGGCATTGAATCTATAAATTACCTTGGGCAGTATGGCCATTTTCACGATATTGATTCTTCCTATCCATGAGCATGGAATGTTCTTCCATTTCTGTCCTCTTTTATTTTGTTGAGCAGTAGTTTGTAGTTCTCCTTGAAGAGTTCCTTCACATCCCTTGTAAGTTGGATTCCTAGGTATTTTATTCTCCTTATAGTAATTTGAATGGGAGTTCACTCATGATTTGGCTCTCTATTCTTGGTACATAGGAATGCTTGTGATTTTTGCACATTGATTTTGTATCCTGAGACTTTGCTGAAGTTGCTTATCAGCTTAAGGAGATTTTTGGGCTGATACGATGGGGTTTTCTAGATATACAATCATGTCATCTGCAAGCAGAGACAATTTGACTTCCTCTTTTCCTAATTGAATAGCCTTTATTTCTTTCTCCTGCCTGATTGCCCTGGCCAGAACTTCCAACACTATGTTGAATAGGAATGGTGAGAGAGGGCATCCTTTTCTTGTGCCAGTTTTCAAAGGGAATGCTTCCAGTTTTTCCCCATTCAGTATGATATTGGCTGTGGATTTGTCATAAATGGCTCTTATTATTTTGAGATACATTCCATCAATACCTATTTTATTGAGAGTTTTTAGCATGAAAGGCTGTTGAATTTTGTCAAAGGCCTTTTCTGCATCTATTGAGATAATCGTGGTTTTTGTCATTGGTTCTGTTTATGTGATGGATTATGTTTATTGATTTGCATATGTTGAACCAGCCTTGCATCCCAGGGATGAAGAAGACTTGCTCGTGGTGGATAAGCTTTTTGATGTGCTGCTCGATTTGGTTTGCCAGTATTTTAATGAGGATTTTCACATTGATGTTTATCAGGGATATTGGCCTAAAATTCTCTTTTTTTGTTTTGTCTCCACCAGGCTTTGGTGTCAGGATGATGCTGGCCTCATAAAATGAGTTAGGGAGGATTCCCTGTTTTTCTATTGATTGGAATAATTTCAGAAAAAATGGTACCAGCTCCTCTTTGTACCTGTGGTAGAATTCGGCTGTAAATCTTTCTGGTCCTGGACTTTTTTTGGTTGGTAGGCTATTACTGCCTAAATTTCAGAACCTGTTATTGTTCTATTCAGAGATTCAACTACTTCCTGGTTTAGTCTTGGGAGGGTGTATGTGTCCACGAATTTATCCATTTCTTCTAGATTTTCTAGTTTATTTGTGTAGAGGTGTTTATAATATTCTCTGATGGTAGTTTGTATTTCTGTGAGATTGGTGGTGATATCCCTTTATCATTTTTTATTGCATCTACTTGATTTTTCACTCTTTTCTTCTTTATTAGTCTTGCTAGTGGTCCATCTATTTTGTTGATCTTTTCAAAAAACCAGCTCCTGGATTCATTGATTTTTTTGAAGGGTTTTTTTGTATCTCTGTCTCCTTCAGTTCTGCTCTGACCTTAGTTATTTGTTGTCTTCTGCTAGCTTTTGAAGTTTTTACTTTTCTCTAGTTCTTTTAATTGTGTTGTTACGGTGTCAATTTTGGATCTTTCCTGCTTTCTCTTGTGGGCATTTAGTGCTATAAATTTCCTTCTACACACTGCTTTAAATGTGTCCCAGAGATTCTGGTACGTTGTGTCTTTGTTCTCACTGGTTTCAAAGAACATCTTTATTTCTACTTTCATTTTGTTATGTACCTAGTAGTCATTCAGGAGCAGGTTGTTCAGTTTCCACGTAGTTGTGCAGTTTTGAGTGAGGTTCTTAATCCTGAGTTCTAATTTGATGGCACTGTGGTGTGAGAGACAGTCTGTTGTAATTTCTGTTCTTTTACATTTGCTGGGGAGTGTTTTACTTCCAATTATGTGGTCAATTGTGGAATAAGTGCGATGTCGTGCTGAGAAGAATGTATATTCTTTTAATTTGGGGCGGAGAGTTCTGTAAATGTCTATTAGGTCTGCTTGGTCCATAGCTGAGTTCAATTCCTGGATATCCGTGTTAATTTTCTGTCTCGTTGATCTGTCTAATATTGACAGTGAGGTGTTAAAGTCTCCCATTATTATTTAGTGGGAGTCTGAGTCTCTTTGTAGGTCTCTAAGAACTTGCTTTATGAATCTGGATGCTCCTGTATTGGGTGCATATATATTTAGGATAGTTAGCTCTTCCTGTTGAATTGATCCCTTTACCATTATGTAATGGCATTCTTTGTCTCTTTTGATCTTTGTTGGTTTAAAGTCTGTTTTATCAGAGACCAGGATTGCAACACCTGCTTTTTTTTTTTTTTTTTTTTTGCTTTCCGTTTGCTTCTTCCTCCATCCCTTTATTTTGAGCCTATATGTGTCTTTGTCTTTGCACATGAGATGGGTCTCCTGAATACAGCATACCAATAGGTCTTGACTCTTTATCCAGTTTGCCAGTCTGTGTCTTTTAATTAGGGCGTTTAGCCCACTTACATTTAAGTAATTGGTGTTACTTATGTGTGAATTTGATACTGTCATTATGATGCTAGCTGGTTATTTCGCCCATTAATTGATGCAGTTTCTTCCTAGCATCAGTGGTCTTTACAATTTGGCATGTTTTAGCAGTGGCTCATATCAGTTGTTCCTATCCATGTTTAGTGCTTCCTTTAGGAGCTCTTGTAAGGCAGGCCTGGTGGTGACAAAATCTCTCAGCATTTGCTTGTCTGTAAAGGATTTTATTTCTCCTTCACTTATGAAGCTTAGTTTGTCTGGATATGAAATTCTGGGTTGAAAATTCTTTAAGAATGTTGAATATTGGCCCCTACTCTCTTCTGGCTTGTAGGGTTTCTGCAGAAAGATCCGCTGTTAGTCTGATGGGCTTCCCTTTGTGGGTAACTTGACCTTTCTCTCTGGCTGCCCTTAACATTTTTTCCTTCCTTTCAACCTTGGTAAATCTGACAATTATGTGTCTTGGGGTTGCTCTTCTCAAGGAGTATCTTTGTGGTATTCTGTGTATTTCCTGAATTTGAATGTTGGCCTGCCTTGCTAGATTGGGGAAGCCCTCCTGGGTAATATCCTGCAGAGTGTTTTCCAACTTGGTTCCATTCTCCCCGTCATTTGCAGGTGCACTAGTCAAATGTAGATTTGGTCTTTCACATAGTCCCGTATTTCTTAGAGGCTTTGTTAGTTTCTTTTCACTCTTTTCTCTGATCTTGTCTTCTCGCTCTTTTTCATTAATTTGATCTTCAATCACTGATATCCTTTCTTGCGCTTGATCAAATCGGCTATTGAAGCTTGTGTATGCTTCACGCAGTTCTCGTACTGTGGTTTTCAGCTCCATCAGGTCATTTAAGCTCTTCTCTACACTGGTTGTTCTAGTTAGCTATTCATCTAACCTTTTTTCAGGGTTTTTAGCTTCCTTGTGGTGGATTAGAACATGCTCCTTTAGCTCGGAGAAGTTTGTTATTACCGACCTTCTGAAGCCTACTTCTGTCAGCTCGTCAAGCTCATTCTCCATGCAGTTTTGTTCCCTTGCTGGAGAGGAGCTGCGATCCTTTGGAGGAGAAGAGGTGCTCTGGTTTTTGGAATTTTCAGCCTTTCTGTTCTGGTTTCTCCCCATCTTTGTGGTTTTATCTAACTTTGGTCTTTGACGTTGGTGACCTACAGATGAGGTTTTGGTGTGGATGTCCTTTTTTGTTGATGTTGATGCTATTCCTTTCTGTTTGTTAGTTTTCCTTCTAACAGACAGGCCCCTCAGCTTCAGGTCTGTTGCGGTTTGCTGGAGGTCCACTCCAGACCCTTTTTGCCTGGGTAACACCCCTGGAGGCTGTAGAACAGCAAATATTGCTGCCTGATCCTTCCTCTGGAAGCTTTGTCCCAGAGGGGCACCCACCTGTATGAGGTGTCTGTCTGCTCCTACTGGGAGGTGTCTTCTAGTCAGGCTACTCGGGGGTCAGGGACCTGCTTGAGGAGGCAGTCTGTTCATTATCGGATCTTGAACCCTGTGCTGGGAGAACCACTGCTCTCTTCAGAGCTGTCTGGTAGAGATGTTTAAGTCTGCAGAAGATGTCTGCTGCCTTTTGTTCAGATACGCCCTGCCTCCAGAGGTGGAATCTAGAGAGGCAGTAGGCCTTGCTGAGCTGTGGTGGGCTCTGCCCAGTTTGAGCTTCCCTGCTGCTTTGTTTACACTGTGAACATAGAACCGCCTACTCAAGCCTCAGCAGTGGCAGACACCCCTCCCCCTGCCAGGCTCCAGCATCCCAGGTTGATCTTAGATTGCTGTGCTAGCATCCCAAGGATCTGTGGGCGTGGGACCAGCCAAGCCAGGCACAGGAGGGAATCTCCTGGTCTGCCGATTGTGAAGACTGTGGGAAAAGCACGGTATTTTGGCAGGAGTGTACCGTTCCTCCAGGTAGAGTCACTCATAGCTTCCCTTGGCTAGGAAAGGGAAATCCCTGGACCCCTTGTGCTTCCCGGGTGAGGTGATGCCCCACCCTGCTTTGGCTCGCCCTCCATAGGCTGCATCCACTATTCAACCAGTCCCAGTGAGATGAACCAGGTACCTCAGTTGGAAATGTAGAAATCACCCGTCTGCTGCGTCAATATCACTGGGAGCTGTAGACCGGAGCTGTTTCTATTTGGCCATCTTGGAAGTGACCCGTAAGTCTATTCTTAAAGTCATTTTTCTGTGAGATATAATTCCCGAAGTGCCTACTTGTTGGAGGAGGTTGAGGTTAGTATAATTACTATCAAAAAATACACTTTCAGAAATTGGTTCCAGCTTTTCCTGCCCCTCACTCCTTCTCTGAGCAGCTTGATGGATCCTTCCCCACGTGTGTCCCTTATAGGTGTCCGCTCCGGCAGATACCCCTTGGAGACATATGCAGAGATAACTACCATTTGTTTGGATTTTGCTCCAACACAACCAGCTTATACACATTATACAAAAACTTGCTTTTTTCATTTCTCAGTTCATCATGAACATGCTCACATCTAAGTAGATTGATAATCTGGTGCTTTCTAATATATTTACATAGAAGTTTATATCGCAAATTCTGTTCCTTTCATTTTCTTCTTTTTTAAACCAGAGCCTTTTCTCCTTAACTTCACTAAATGAAGCTACCCCTCTCTTTTTCAGCCTCCCTTCTTTCCGGTGCTGAGTGTTAGCCATCTGAGTGTATGCTTCCCACCATTTCTAAATGCTTTTACGATCGTGTGTATACATGTGCACATGCACGTACACACTCATCCACACACATGCACACATAGGTATATTTGATCATTGCTGTACAAAAACGGGATCACACTTGCTACATTCTATAAACTAAGTGGCTGTTACTGTTGAGGTTTGAAAAACATAAAAAAAAAAAAAAAAGCCCCAACATTGCTCAAGGTGCCAGAACATACCTGGGAGATCCAGACCTCTCACCCAGGTTTTCTCAGGCAGTCACTTTCTCTGCACCCAGCTTCAAATGAAGACCAGTCCCACACAGCCCTGGCAGCTCAGGGCAGCGTTCGTGGGCCAGGCCTTCCCAACCTCTGCTTTGGGTTTGCAGGAGAACAGCCACCTCCTATCATCCAGATTTCAGGCACCGCTTCCTCTGATATCCAAGGTCATGTTAGACTGTACCTGGAACCATGACTGCATGAGGTTCACAAGGACACCAAAGCTTTATTTTTTATTTTTTAACATAGTAGTTTTTGACTCCATCTAATCTGTTTGCTAAGGTTAGGGGCAATGTGGCATTCACATGCTATTTACCTAACATTTCCAATACTTTCATCCTTCATCAAGGTTATTACTTTTCTGGTTGGCAATGGACTCAAATCCTCATTCCCAAAAGCTTGTTCTCAGGGCTGGGAAAGGCACAGTTGCTCTGTTGGCAGGTGGGCAGATTTCCATGGGCTAAAACAAAACTGAAGCAGAAGTCACCGTATTTCTGTTGCTCCTGACCCTTGACAGAGAAAGAGAGTGGAAAATTTCTCCTCGGTATTTGTTAGCTTTATCGTGGGGTGTCACACGATGCATTTGAAAAAAGTTAATTTGAAATTTTAATTTCAACACTGATTTTTAAACCAGAACTATGTCCATCTCTCTTGTCTTTTTATCCTCAGCTCTGGCTGATTCCCGCTGGAATTATTTCCAATATGTTCTCCAGAAAACCATCTCCTGTCAGAAACTTTCAGGATCACAGGGGCCGAATGCGTCTGTTTAGCTATTAGGTTGAATCATATGATAACATTACATTTTTGTACGTCAAAAATGGCCAGATAGTGTCACTTAAGTGGTTCAACCCAATATGTTTACCCTGAATATTTACAGGTCGGAAGGCTTGGGAGCTAGAAGGCCCCATTAGGATTTTGTTACCCAGTTCTCAATATTTACAGGGGACCACCGGGAGCCGGCCTAATTGCCCAGTTGGTGATGAATTGATTCACCTGTGCTGAAGCCGTCCTCATACAGTCCCCCTGACGAACTGTGAAGTGTAGTGTGAACGGTCAGGCTCCAGGAGGTGTAGGCTTCAAGGATTACAATAAAGGATGGGGGTTTTTTAAAGCCCAGAGGGCTATTCCCTGGCAGGAAAGGAAAGTTGGGCAAACACCCTGGAGGGGCCCAAACCCAAGAGACCTCAGGACCTGAGATTGCCCCTGACTCTGAGGATTCAAATCAGACAGATCCTCTTCCTGGCCTCTTCTATCCACACCCTAGTCTCCCCACACTGTTTGAAATGATGTGGGCAGAATGCAGGCCACTCACACTGACTGCAGAGGGCTGACTTGGGCAGGTGGGCATGAGCCTTTCTGCCCAGCGTGAGTCCCTCTGGCACAGCTGGATGCTGACCTGCAGGGAGGCGCTTCAGCGAGTACTTGAGCAGGGTCGAGGATGAGAAGCCAAACTGTTTCTCATGTTCTCCTGCAAAATGAATTTATTTCCTTGTTAGAGAACAGTGGGCATACCCCTAGTCAAATATAAGTGAAAATCGATGCATCTTTATTTACAAAAAGTTAGAAAGATATGGACAGATAGAAAAAAATTACCTGTCTTCCCACCACTACAAATCATTATTACTACTACTTTGGCAAATTTCCTTCCAGATTTTAATGCATTCAAAAAATACATAATTATGCTAAGTCTTTGTCTTGATACTGCTAATCCATGTATACTTTATATAATAATACATAGAAAATATTCTATATAAAACATATATTGACAAGGACTATATACTACTATAGAGATTGTATACAAAATACAACTAGCATGCATTTTATATTTCTACCCTTTTCATTCATCATAAGTAAATACTCTATGCACATAAATGTTGCATAGTGTTCCCTACAGTCGATTTTCCATCATGTAGTTAACAATTTTTTTTTTTTTAGTGTAGTAGTTAAGTACGTGGACTCTGGACGGTTGGGTTCAAATGTCAACACACTGATTGTGTGAATGTGGGCAAGATGTTTAATCTCTGTTTGTCTCAGTCTGTTAATCTTTAAAATAGGTCTAAGAGTTATATGTAGCCTGTTAAAGAAAAAAAAAAAAAGAATTCCGCATAGCCTGTTGTAAAAAAGAGACCAAAGTCTTCAGATGTTGCCATTTATAAGAAGTATATTGAAGGGAGGTAAGCTATGTTTACCAGCCATGGCTCAGATCCCTAGCATGTCAAAATTAGATGTTGTCTTTTATGTCTGAATATATCAAAGGCCCCATCTGAGGTTTGCCTTTAAAAAAAAGAGGAGAAGAAATTTTGTGCCTAAGACACAAAATTTGGGCATTGAGTCACTGTGATACTAGCTGGCAGGGGAATGGGGACCTTCTAGCCATGAGCTAAGGTTACTGAAAACATTCCTTTCAACATAACATTTGCAGGACAGATAATTTGTTGAGTGAGACATTTGGGAGTCTATAAAATCATTACAGTATCCAGGGGAACAAAACATTAAACATTTACAAAGGGGCCACTGTGTTGTTCAGGGAGCAAAATATTAGCATTTCTTTGTTAATTAAGATTTTGAACTTTTGATTAAGGAGTTTTTAACTTTGTACAAGGACTGATTTTCTGATTAATTCATGGGTCGCTGGGAGGATCAAACACTTAGAACAAGAGTCTGCAAATGTTTCCCATAAAGGGCCAGGTAGTAAATATTTTTAAGTTTTGTGAGCCATATGCAAGGCTGTGTCACAGCTTCTGGATTCTGCTCCCTGATGTGAAAGCAGCCACAGACAGTATGCAAATCAATAAGTATGACTGAGTTCCAATATGACTTTTGTTATGGATGCTGAAATTTGAATTTCATGTCATTTTCACATCACAGATTTTTTTCTTTTGATTAAAAAACTATTTAAAAATGTAAAAGAAAAAACATTTTAGACTCTCAACTGTACAAAAAGCATTTGGCTCCTGGGCTGTAGTTGGCTAACCCCTGGCTTAGAGCAGTACTTGGCACTAGTGACTGCTATGTATGTGTTGGCTCCTACCCCCACAATTGCAGCTGTTGTTATCACCATCGTCACCATCTACATCCTTCTGCTATTATAAATAAAGCACTGAAGAACATCTTCAGGGAGAAAGGTTTTTGTCCCTCCCCTGCTTTTGCAGTTACTAACTGTGCTGCAGCCCTATGCTAGGGCCAGATGGTGCTAGGTTCTGGAGAAATCTCTGCATGCCTTTGACTTCCTGGGAGTCCATGTGTAACAGCTGCAGCTTGATCAGCTCCTCACTTCACCATGGCAGAGAGGTTTCCCCTCCCATGCTGATGGTCGTTCCTCACCAGAGGCTGCCTGGAAAGCTGTGCTGGGCTCCAGGAGAATGGGCTTCATGATGGATTATCAAGACCCACCTTGGAGTGATGTTTGCACATGTGCTGTGTTCTTTGTTGGACATCATAGCCTGTGCTCTCCCTGGGGATGAATGAAAAAGGGAGACAGAGATGCCTACTGTACATGACATGTATTTATCCCTTGTTTTAAAGTGACGAGAGGTGGGAGAAAGGGGGTCATAAAAGGAGTGGTACAAGGAGGAGCTGGGAAGTAAGGGAAGAAAGAATAGGACATTGTTGCTAGAATGAGCCATGATATCTGGATTGTTCCAAATCCCCCATGCACTCAGCTGAGTAGAAAAATTGCAAATATCTTTATAAACCTTGACAATACTATTTCATTATTCATAAAGACTTTTTTAAAAATCATAACCAGCTTCAATTTTAAAGGAAATTTATTCCCAAAGCATTTTTTAATTGAGTTTTTATGGTAATTCTTTGTATTGACTGTTGAATCAACATACCAAATAAAATATGTTCCAGTGTTTTCTTTTATTCAGGAAGTCTTAATTCTGCTTCTTCAAAATAATGAAGTGGCGAGAGTCAATTCAGATTTTCATGAATTACATACCTGGCAGTACACGGCCTTTTCTAAGAGTAAATTTAAAAGAGTATTATTTTTTAACTAGGAAAGTTTGCCTTAAATTCAGAATCGTTGGTGTATGATCTTTCATTGTGTTTTCCTGTGTAATTTATGAGTGTGTGTGTGTCTTTCTGTATTGTTAAGACTTTTAATAACTCACTTCTGAAATAGAAGTTACTTGAAGGCAGGTACTATTTTTGTTTTAAACACATCTTTGGATGAAATGTATCATTTCTGTCTTGCACAGTGCCTTGCGTAGTAGTGGACGTCCAAAATTGTGTGATGAGAAGAAGGAACTCTAGGGGTTGCAAGGCATCTAGTGGTTATTTGCCTTTCCCTTCCCTAGACAGTGTCTCTGCTGTATACAGCCAGCCCTGACTACAGTATTGCTCAGGACAAAATCTTCTCTGCTATTCCTGTTTCTGTAGTGGCACAGAATACTGTCAATACCCTTTCAGATGCCTGAAGACGTTGTTAGTCCAACTAACAACGGAAGTTAGTACAACTTCCATCTCAGTTAATCACTGCACCTCACACACCTTTCTTTTTATTTCCTGGGCTAAATAACTGGCTTTTTTTTTTTTTTCCAACTTTTCTGACATGCCTCTCTCCTCTGATATATCTGCTTCTTTCTGGCCACTCTTGTGTGCACGATTTCTTGTGTATCAGGAACTGGGTTGCATTGTGGCCTGCAGACTGTGCATCGTGTCCACATGTGACCTGGGCAGGGCCCAGTCCAGTGGAACCTCTTCTGTTCTTGTTGTGCTAATATTAATAAAACCCAACATGGCATAGCCTTCTGGCTGCCACATGAAGTTGACTCCTCTTGGACTTGTTGGCAGCTCCAACTCTTAGTTGATAAATTGAACGGTCATGGACTCTGCTTGGTTTCAGAACATTTTCAGGGAGGATATTCCCTTAGTGACACTTGGAGGTGGTCTTAGAGCTTCATTGAACCTGGGGTATCACACCAGGGGTAAAGTTGTGGAGTTGTCCAGCCCAGAGAAACAGAGCCAAGGCTGGGACCAGGAGGTAGCAGGTGGGTGAATGGAATGAGAGAGATGAGCGGAAGTGTTAAGGAGGCCAGGCAAAGAGAAGAGGATGTCCATCAGAGAGGGAGGTACACTGGGGAATCCAGGGGGCTTAGAATCTATTGGCCTAGATCCCTAGCATCTTCCTGGGTGTTTCTTTCATGAGGCACCTTTGTGCCTCACCTTAAAGAATCAAATTTTAATGATGAGGAGCTGGGATATCATGAATTATTCATGAGCCAGATTTCCCTTAATCTCTAGACATGTGCTTGAATTTCTAAAACTCTTTTTTATGGGACTTCACATTTCTCTGATTAAATTTCTTCTTGCTAATGGACCCCATATTCCTAGTCACCAAAGACCTTTTGAACCTAAAGGGGAAAAAAGCTGCAGAATTGAAGTGGTGACTCTGCCACTTACTAGCCATTGTCTTGCCCAAGTTGCAAGTTCTGACCTCATCCATAGGATGAGAACCATAACAGGTACCTCGTCACTTGTTTTGTTGGGTGGTTGGGAAGATAATTGGAATTTTGCATTTGGAGTGCCTGGTGTGAAGCCCATCAGTATCAGTGCCAACACCTTGTCACAGTTATTTTTCTGCTCTCAGGATATTCACCATGTCTCTCTCTTAGGTCAGGTTTGATAGACTGTCTTCTCTGTTTTCATCCAATCTATTGATTCTTATTAATAAATTCCTGTTACATATGGAGAGGGACCAACAGCAGAATCTGAAGATTCCTAGAGGCTACTTGTAAGGATCTTTGGGACACTGGTCCATGTTGGGGGTTACAAAGTCAGAGGCCTTCAACAGCCTCATTATTCAAATGTGTAAGCAACCAGGTGAGGAGAGAGTGGTGGGGCCCATGTCAACTCAAAGAATGTATGTCCTATCTAAAGCAGTCATTTCACTAAGAGTCACTGCCCAATCCAACACCTAGTACAGGGGGAGTCAAGGGCACCAGCTCCATGGGCTGCTGTGAATAGCTCCCTAACATGCGCTTGCATTTGGTTAATGTGGCTTTGGAGCAGTGGTTCTTATAGTATGGTCCAGAAGCCATCGGCAGCACCTAAGAACTTGTATGAATGCACATTCTTGGCTCCATTCCAGACCTACTGAATCTGAAGCTCTTGAGGTGGGGCCCAGCAACCTGGGGTTTAACAGGCCCTCTAGGAGATTCTGATATTCTTGAGAATGATTTGGAAAGTGGTTCTCAACCTTGGAAGGACACTGGAATCAATGTTCTGGGGAGCTTTAAAAATCCAACCGCCTGGCTCCCAACCACAGAGCTTCTCATTGAACTGATTTGGGCTAGAACCTGGACACCAGGATTTTTTTTAAAGCTCCCCAGGGGATTTTCAGGTGCATCTAAGACAGAGAACTGCTGTTCTCAGGAGCTTATTGAAACACCCACATATTCATTTCTCCTGGGTGAAGAGGTGAGGAGAGGGAGGCATGTATCATTTGACAGAGTTCCTAGATGACCTCTTTTCCCCTTACAGAACATGACCTTGAACCACCAGCCTCAAGAAATAGCCTTGAATAGGGCTTTTCATAGATTAAGTGAATATTCACTCAATGTGATTTGTTTTAAAGGTTGCTTTTAATGCTGTATTTGTTCAGCAAATGTAGACGCTATTATAACACAAATATTAACTCCTGAATCCTCAAAGGCTTTCCCCACGCTATGCCATCTGGCAAGCATTGTTATCATCATCTCTTTATTATCCACGCTAATAAAGGACTAGCATGGCACTGGTAATTGAAAAACACGTATCATTTAAAAATCATTCAGGCTAGTGCCAGTACTGTTTTCCCAACCAGGAAGCATTCAAGAGTAGAAATATTGCCTGATTACAGTTTGCTACTTCCCTGCGGAGGTGCTAATACATATTATTTTAGTGAGAAATTTGAGTCATTGGAGTGAGAAGCTTCTAAATTATAATTCCTGTTTCTGAATAAAGGGGTTTGTTTTATTGACAAGAGTCCTGAGCACAGAGACAAGGAACAGCAAGTATATTTAAAATGCATGTGCACCTGGGAACCAGTGGATTAAAGCGTGATATAATATAGAAGCTGCATGGGGATTTGAGGAATGGTAGATCTGGATTCTAGATCTCCTGACATTACCTGTGTCATTTGAGATGAGCTATCCTCTCTACCAGTGGGTCTCAAAGAGTCCTCAACTAGCAACATCTGTATCACCTGGGGATTTATTAGAGATGCAGATTCTTTGGCCTCACCCCAGGCCTACTGGATGAGACTTGGGGTGGGGCCAGCAATCAGTGCTTTAACAAGTCCTCCAAGAAATTCAGATGCCTGCTCAAGTTTGAGCACTGCTACTCTCCACCAGGGGCTCAGTTTTTTTGTCTATAAAATAAGAAGACCAGCCTAGATTATATTTAAGGTTTACTCTAGCTCTCCAGTGGCCATGGTGTATGGGCACAGAATAAGTTTAGAGATTTTCTGTCTTAGAGCTTATATTTTCCCTTGGATGTGTGATTGAAATCATTCCGCTGAAAAACTGACAGGCAGGTAACAGAAAAGAAACTGATTTCCAGGAACTAGATACTCAGACTAGATACCCAAACAGCGCCTTGGGTGCTCACTACAAAATAACTCATAATATTTTCAGCTGGTTGGTACTACTTTCCCAAAGTGAAAAAACTCTGGTGTTTTGGAAAGGGAAGTAGCCATCTCCCCTTTCTCTAGGGGCTGAGAGCTGTCTGCTGTGATTCACAGAGCAGCATTTCAACAGAAACTAACAAATGGCATTTCAGAAGGATGTACAGAGGTACACAGGCTTTGCAGTAAAACAAGGGAAAATTTCAAGCCATTTATCAAAGCCCCTGCAGCTTCCATTTCAAGACAGGTGGAAAAAAATAACATGGAACAAGAAAAGAAAATAAATCTGTATCCAAAGCATCTCATAAATAAGAAAGGAGTGGGGGAGTTGCTGGGCTTGCTGGGCTCTCAGAGTATTTTTGTCACAGTACAGAAAGCTTTTAAATGTTTTGGCGTGAAATTCTTTTCCTTTTCTTGTTATTAAAATTTGTGGTTGTAAAATTATTTCACTGGCTATTAAAACCAAAAAAGGAAAGCTGAGAAAATGATACGTGGAGTGAGAGAGAGAGAGAGAGAATGAGAACATAGTTCATTCTGTACCCCAAAATATTTTTTATTTTTATCTGAAATGTAGTGATGCTCCATAATTTAGGCACGTCATTGAAAATCAAAGGCAATTTTCTAATTGGCTTTTGTTCAGTAAGAGCCTATTTGCTGCAGAAAATTAGGATGTGGTTTATTGAACATGAGAGAGACATGGGTCTGTTATAATGTCTGAGGGGGTGGAGAAATTATAACTTTTACTAAAAAGATAGGCCAGTCGCGGTGGCTCACACTTGTAATCCCAGCACTTTGGGAGGCCAAGGCGGGTGGATTACCTGAGGTCAGGAGTTTGAGACCAGCCTGGCCAACATGAGGAAACCCTGTCTCTACTAAAAATACAAAACTTAGCCAGGCATGGTGACGCATGCCTGTAATCCCAGCTACTTGGGAGGCTGAGACAGGAGAATTGCTAGAACCCAGGGGGCAGAGGCTGCAGTGAGCCGAGATCATGCCACTGCACTCCAGCCTGGGTGACAGAATGAGACTCCATCTCAAAAAAAAAAAAAAAAATCGACCGGCTGCAGTGGCTCACACCTGCTGTAATCCTAGCACATTAGGAGGCCAAGGCTGGCAAATCACTTGAGGTCAGGAGTTCGAAATCAGCCTGGCCAGCATGGTGAAACCTCATCTCTACCAAAAATACAAAAATTAGACAGGCATGGTGGCAGGCATCTGTAGTCCCAGCTACTCAGGAGGCTGAGGCAAGAGAATCGCTTGAACCTGGGAGGCGGAGGTTGCAGTGAGCCGAGATTGCACCACTGCACTCCAGCCTGGGTGACAGAGCGAGACTCGGTCGCAAAAAAATAAATAAATAAAAAGATGGATCTCAGGCCCACTCTGCCAGAGGGAATAACGTTGATTGAGGAGAACCTGCATTGAACATCTTTGTGAAATTCCCAGCAATGTTGGGTTGTTGATCAACCTGGTTAAAAGCCCATGCTCTGAGTTCACAGTCTGGCTTTGCCACATAACTGGCTCTGAAACTTTGGGCAAGCTACCCAATTGTCAGTGCTTTAGTTTCCTTTGGGGGATAATGACAGCATCTACCCGGTGGGAGTTTTGTGAGGATTAAGAGCTCCATATGCAAGACACTTTGCGCAATGCCTGGTGCATAGCAGGCATTCTTTTATTGAGACTATTTGCTAATTAGTCACGTAGTTCTTTAAAGGAACCCTAAAACTCAATTACTTTGTTTTTTAACTGTAAGGATTTTTTGAAAATAGCAAATGAATGCCTGTGGAGGGGTGTGATTGATAAAAGGAGGCTTGAAGGACATATTGGGTGCAAAATTCAAAGAAGATTGATAACTCTTGAGCCATGGGATCTTCTCCTCCATCAGCTTCACTAACATATAGCTTTGGGGAATTGTTAGAATTAGGTTCAGAGATACTAATTTTTTCCCACTAGATTTCCTTTCTTACGTATTTATTTTTGAAACTCATATAGCAACACTAGAAATAGGTCTGAACTAAGTATCATGTGTTTCTCTTTTACATTTGGCTCCCCTCCTGTGTCAGCTGGCCTATGATGCACAGTGGCTAATATTGATTAGCCTACATTTTTCTTAAATACAGTTTTCTCAGTCTATGTAAAGTCTAAATGCTAGCAGTACCAAAATAAACGCATTCAACTTCTAAACTGGTGGTAAGGAAAAAAGTAGGAACAAAACATAGTTGAGACATATTGTCCAATGAAATCATTGCCTGTGATGCCACAGCCAGGTGTGAGGTCTGGGGCAAGCTTCCAAACTCATCTGAGCGGCAGTTTCCTCATCAGTAGAACCGGGATAAGAATAGCACCTACCAGGTGTGAGATTTAATACATGTAAAGTACAAAATAGTGCTAACACCCAGAATGTACTTAGCAAATGTTAACTTCTTAAATGTTACTTGTGTTCATGAGAATCCAATGTATCAAAGTGAAAATAATCAATTTGTGTGTAATGGGGAGGAAGTTTTACTATTCTTTACTAAATAACTAAAAACATTACAAAATATTTAATGGCAAGTTACTTTTTAGACTTAATCTCTGGTCATTTATTTCCAATTAAGACTGGACCCCACTGTATTTGACATGCGGAATGGTTTTTATTTTTGTTACGATCATATTTATTTTGAGATGTATCCTTCTTATCATTAGTAGCAGTTCTCTAGTATTTTAAAAACTTTCCAACATTGGAATAAATGAATCAGGATAAAATGCTAAAATAAAATACTCAAATCATTGCACTTATTCAACCTCTAGTTGTGGACAGCGATGCTCTTTAAACTGTGGACTGTGGCCAGTAGGCAGCACTACTCTCTCATAGTTTCAGATATTGCCTATTAGCTTATAAACAAAATTTCAGATCAGCATGGGTAAGACAGTTTAGATGTATTCTTGAATAATGTAGAAAAGTGTGGGTTGTTTGATCCTCAAACAAGTGAACAGAAAGGCCTTCCAGCACCAAAGTTAGAAAAAAAATTGCCTTTAACCAAAATTGCCCTGGAGAAACAGAGATTCATGCTGTTTATCCAGGGACAAAATGAAAGTATGTTATTTCATACAAATTATCTGGATCATGAGGCAAAAGCAGTTTTCTTTCATACCTCTTTAACTTTTCTTTTTCATCTGTTTAACCTGTGGGAAAAACAACTTGTCTTAAATTATTCACCATTTAGATCTGAATTTTTAAATTTTCTTATTTTCAGTTTTTTTTGGTTTATTTCAGTAGGGTTTTGGAGAACAGGTGATGTTTGGTTACATGAATAAGTTCTTTAGTGATGATTTCTAAGATTTTGGTGCACCTGTCACCCGAGCAGTGTACACTGTACCCAATGTGTAGTCTTTTATCCCTCACCAACCCCCATTCTTTCCCCTAAGTCCCCAAAGTCCAGTGCGTCATTCTTATGCCTTAGCTCCCACATGAGTGAGAACATACGATGTTTGGTTTTCCATTCCTGAGTTACTTCACTTAGATTAACAGTCTCCAATTCCCTCCAGGTTGCTGTGAATGCCACTATTTCATTCTCTTTTATGGCTGAGTCATATTCCATGGTGTATATAAATATGCCACGTTTTCTTTATCCACTCATTGATTGATGGGCATTTGGGCTGGTTCCATATTTTTGCAGTTGCAAATTGTACTGCTGTATACATGTGTTTGCAAGTATCTTTTTCATATAATGACTTCTTTTCCTCTGGGTAAATACCTAGTAGTGGGATTGCTGGATCAAATGGTAGATCTACTTTTAGTTCTTTAAGGAACCTCCACACTGTTTTCTATAGTGGTTGTACTAGTTTACCTTCCACCAACAGTGTAAAAGTGTTCCCTTTTCACTGCGTCTATGCCAGCATCTATTGTTTTTTGATTTCTTGATTATAGCCATTCTTATAGGAGTCAGGTGGTATTGCATTGTGGTTTCGATTTGCATTTCCCTGATTATTACTGATGTTGAGCATTTTTTCCGTATGCTTGTTGTCCATTTGTGTATCTTTTGTTGAGAATTGTCTATTCATGTTCTTAGCCCACTTTTTGGTGGGATTGTTTTTTTCTTACTGATTTGTTTGAGTTCTTTGTAAATTCTGGATATTAGTCTTTTGGTCAGATGTATAGATTGTGAATATTTTCTCCCATTCTGTGTGTTGTCTGTTAACTCTGCTGATTATTTCCTTTTCTGTGCAGAAGCTTTTTAGTTAAATTAAGTCCCTTCTATTTATGTTTGTTTTTGTTGCATTTGCTTTTGGGTTCTTGGTCATTAAGTCTTTGCCTAAGCCAATGGCTAGAGGGGTTTTCCAGTGTCATCTTCTGTAATCTTTATGGTTTCAGGTCTTAGATGTAAGTCTTTTTTTTTTTTGAGACGGAGTCTCACTCTGTCGCCCAGGCTGGAGTGCACTGGCGCCATCTCGGCTCACTACAAGCTCTGCCTCCCAGGTTCACGCCATTCTCCTGCCTCAGCCTCCGGAGTAGTTGGGACTATAGGCGCCTGCCACCACGCCCAGCTAATTTTTTGTATTTTTTTTTTTTTTTTAGTAGAGGTGGGGTTTCATCATGTTAGCCAGGATGGTCTCGCTCTCCTGACCTCGTGATCTGCCCACCATGGCCTCCCAAAGTGCTGGGATTACAGGCGTGAACCACCATGCCCGGCCTTAGATTTAAGTATTTGATCCATCTTGAGTTGATTTTCGTGTAAGTTGAGAGATGAGGATCCAGTTTCATTCTTCTACATGTGGCTTGCCAATTATCCCAACACCATTTGTTGAATAGGGTGTCCTTTTCCCACTTTATTTTTTTATTTTCTTTGTCAAAGATCAGTTGGCTGTAAGTATTTGGCTCTATTTCTGGGTTCTCTATTCTATTCTATTGGTCTATGTGCCTATTTTTAAACCAGTTCCATGCTGTTTTGATGACTGTCGCCTTATAGTATAGTTGGATGTTGAGTAATGTGATACCTCCAGATTTGTTCTTTTTGTTTAGTCTTGCATTGGCTCTGTGGGCTCTTTTTTGGTTCCATATGAATTTTAGGATTATTTTTTCTAGTTTTCTGAAGAGCAGTGGTGGTATTTGGATAGGAATTGCATTGAATTTGTAAACTGCTTTTGACAGTATGGTCGTTTTCACAATATTGATTCTACCCATCCATGAGCATGGGATGTGTTTCCATTTGTTTGTGTTGTCTATGATGTCTTTCAGCAGTGTTTTGTAGTTTTCCTTGTAGAGGTCTTTCACCTCCCTGGTTAGGTATATTTTTAAGTATTTTATTTTTTTGCAGCTATTGTGAAAGAGGTTGAGTGATTTGATTTTCAGCTTGATCACTGTTGGTATATAGCAGAGCTACTGATTGGCATACATTAATTTTGTATCCTAAAACTTTACTGAATTTATTTGCCAGTTTTAGGAGCTTATTGGATAAGTCTTTAGGGTTTTCTAGGTATACAATCATATCATCAGCAAACAGTGACAATTTGACTTCCTCTTTATTGATTTGGATACCCTTTATTTATTTCTCTTGTCTGATTGCTCTGGCTAGGACTTCCAGTACTATGTTGAATAGTGGTGAAAGTGGGCATCCTTGTCTGTTCTAGTTCTCAGGGGGAATGCTTCCACCTTTTGCCTATTCAGTAGAATGTTGATGGTGAGTTTGTTGTAAATGGCTTTTATTACCTTAAGGTATATCCCTTCTATGCAGATTTTGCTGAGGGTTTTAATCATAAAGCGATGTTGGATTCTGTCAAATGCATTTTCTGCATCTGTTGAGATGATCATATGATTTTCGTTTTTGATTCTGTTTATGTGGTGTATCACATTTATTGACTTATATGTGTTAAACCATCCCAGCATCCCTGGTATGAAACCCACTTGATCATGGTGGATTATCTTTTTGATACGCTGTTGGATTTGGTTCACTAGTATTTTATTGAGGATTTTTGCATCTGTGTTCATCAGTGATACTGGTCTGTAGTTTTCTTTTTTTATGATGTCCTTCCCTGGTTTTTGGTATTAAGATGATACTGGCTTCATAGAACGATTAAGGGAGGATTCCCTCTCTCTCTATCTTTTGGAATAGTGTCAATAGATTGGTACTAATTCTTACTTGAATGTCTGATAGAATTCAGCTGTGAATCCATCTGGTCCTGGACTTTTTTTGGTTGGAAATTTTCTTTATTACCATTTCAATCTCACTGCCTGTTATTGGTCTGCTCAGAGATTCTATATCTTCCTGGTTTAATCTAGAAAAGTTGCATATTTCCAGGAATTTATCCATCTCTTCTAGGCTTTCTAGTTTATATGCATAAAGGTGTTCATAGAAGCCTTGAATAATCTTTTATATTTCTCTAGTATCAGTTGTAATATCTCCCATTTTGTTTCCAATTGAGCTTATTTGGATCTTCTCTCTTCTTTTTTTGGTTAATCTCACTAATGGTCTATCTTCTTTTTTTTTTTATCTTTTCAAAGAACCAGCATATCGTTTCATTTATCTTTTGTATTTTTGTTGTTGTTGTTGTTTGTTTCAATTTCATTTAGTTCTGCTCTGATCTTCATTATTTCTTTTCTTCTGCTGGGTTTGGGTTTGGATTGTTCTTGTTTCTCCAGGTCCATGTTTGTGCTCTTTCAGACTTCCGATGTAGGCATTTAATCCTATGAACTTTCCTCTTAGCACAACCATTGCTATATCCCAGAGGTTTTGATAGGTTGTGTCACTATTATCATTCAGTTCAAATATTTTTTTAATTTCCATCTTGATTTCTCTGTTGACCCAGTGATCATTCAGGAGCAGGTTATTTAATTTCCATGTGTTTGCATGGTTTTGTGGATTCCTGTTGGAGTTGATTTCCAATTTTATTCCACTGTGGTCTGAGAGAGTACTTGATATAATTTCAGTTATCTTAAATTTACTGAGACTTGGGCCAGGCACAGTGGCTCACGCCTGTAATCCCAGCACTTTGGAAGGCCGAGGTGGGTGGATCACCTGAGGTCAGGAGTTCAAAACCAGCCTGGTCAACGTGGCAAAACCCTGTCTCTACTAAAAATACAAAAAGTAGCCAGGCATGGTGGCACGTGGCTGTATTCCCAGCTACTCGGGAGGCTGAGGCAGGAGAATTGCTTGAACCTGGGAGGTGGAGGTTGCAGTGAGCGAGATTGCACCACTGTATTCCAGCCTGGTGACAGAGTGAGACTCTGCCTCCAAAAAAAAAAAAATTACTGAGACTTCTTTTGTGGTCTATCATATGATCTGTCTTGGAGAGCATTCCATGTGCTGATGAATAGAATGTGTATTCTGCAGTTGTTGGGTAGAATGTTCTGTAAATATCCATTAAGTCCATTTGTTGTAGGGTATAGTTTAAGTCCATTGTTTCTTTGTTGACTTTCTGTCTTGATGACCTTTCTAGTGCTGTCAGTGGAGTATTAAAGTCCCCCACTATTATTGTGGTGCCGTCTATATCATTTCTTAGGTCTAGTAGTAATTGTTTTATAAATTTGGGAGATCCAGTGTTAGATGCATATATATTTAGTATTGTGATATTTCCCTGTTGGGCTAGTCCTTTTACCATTATATAATGTCCTTCTTTGTCTTTTTTAACTGCTGTTGCTTTAAAGTTAGTTTTGTCTGATATAAGAATAGCTACTCCTGCTTGCTTTTGTTGTCCATTTGCATGGAATATCTTTTAACCTTTACCCTTTACCTGAAATTTATGTGAGTCCTTATGTGTTAGGTGAGTCTCTTGAAGGCAGCAGAAACTTGGTTGGTGAATTCTTATCCTTTCTGCCGTTCTGTACCTTTTAAGTGAAGCATTGAGGCCATTTACATTCAATGCTAGTATTGAGATGTGAGGTACTGTTCTATTCATTGTGCTATTTGTTGCCTGAATACTTTGTGTTTTCTTCATTGTATTATTGTTATATACACAACATGTATGTATTGTGAGATTTATGCTTTAAGGTCCTCTGAGATATATGCTTTAAGGAGGTTCTATTTTTTTCTTTTTTTTTTTGAGGATTTGTTTCAAGATTTAGAGCTCCTTTTAGCAGTTCTTGTAGTGCTGGTTTGGTAGTGGGGAATTCTCTCAGCATTTGTTTGTTTGGAAAAGACTGTATCTTTCCTTCACTTATGAAGCTTAGTTTCACTGGATACAAGATTCTTGGCCGATAATTGTTTTGTTGAAGGAGGCTAAAAATAGGACCTCAGTCCCTTCTAGCTTGTAAGTTTTCTGCTGAGAAATCTGCTGTTAATTTGATAGGTTTTCCGTTATAGGTTACCTGATACTTTTGCCTCACTGCTCTTCAGATTTTCTTTTGTCTTAACTTTAGATTACCTGTTGACTATGTGCCTAGGTGATGATGTTTTTGTGATGAATTTACCAGGTGTTCTTTGGGCTTCTTGTATTTGGTTGTCTAGATTTCTAGCAAGGTAATTGAGGGAGTTTTCCTCAATTACTCCCAGAAATATGTTTTCCAAACTTTTGGATATCTCTTTTTCCTTAGGAACACCAATTATTCTTAGGTTTGGACGTTTAACATAGTCCCATACTTCTTGGAGGCTTTTTTCATTTTTTAAATTCTTTTTTCTTTGTCTTTGACGGATTGGGTTAATTCGAAAGCCTTGTCTTTGAGCTTTGAGGTTCTTTATTTTGCTTGCTAATTCTACTGCTGTTACTTTCCAGTGAATTTTGCATTTCTCTAAGTGTGTCCTTGGTTTCCAGAAGTTCTGATTGTTTTTATTTATGCTGTTTCACTGAAGAATTTTTCTTTCATATACTGTATCCTGTTTTTTATTTCTTTAAATTGGACCTCAACTTTCTCTGCCGCCTCCTTGAGTAACTTAATAATCCACTTTCAGAATTCTTACTCTGGCAATTCAGATATTTAATCTTGGTTTGGATCCATTGCTGGTTAGCTAGTATGATCTTTTGAGATATTAAAGAACCTTGTTTTGTCATATTACCAGAATTGTTTTTCTGGTTCCCTCTCATTTGGGTAGACTAAGTCAGAGGGAAGATCTGAGACTCAAGGACTACTGTTCAGATTCTTTTGTCTTACAGGGTGCTCCCTTGATGTGGTGTTCTCCCCCTTCTCCTAGGAATGTGGCTTCCTAAGAGCCAAGCTGTAGTGATTGTTTTTGCTCTTCTGGGTCTAGCCACCCAGCAGAGCTACCCAGCTCCATGCTGGTACTGGCAAGTGTCTGCAGAGTCCTGTGATATGATCGGTCTTCAGGTCTTGCAGCCATTGATACCTGCACCTGCTTCAGTGGAGTTAGCAGGGGAGTGAAGTGGACTCTGTGCGGGTCCTTGGTTGTGTTTTTGTTTAGTGTGCTGGTTGCCTCCCAGGGAGCCTGCGGTGGTGATCCAGTTCCTTCAAAGGGTCTGTGAATTATCTCAGCTTTCCTGGTATGTTCCTGCGGTTGTTCTTGGAACAAAAGTTCATGATGTAAGTCTCCACATGCTACTCTATCCTTCCAAATGGAAGCTGCAACTAGTCCTTCCTCCTATCCACCATCTTGGAAAAACTGGCAGATGTGCATTTTCAGGATAGTTCCTGGTCATTGTTTTCAGTAATTAATGGTGAAGAGTAGATTGCTAATCTTAGTAAGAATCTAGTGATGTTTTTGCTGGGTGATCTCAAGTAGATGGAGAGTTCAGATCAGCCCGGCCTTCTCCTCTTAGGCATATTTGTAACTATTTTTTATTTGGGTAAATTTATGGGGTACAAGTATAATTTTTGTTGCATGGATACACTGAATAGTGGTGAGGTCAGGGATTTTAGTGTATCCATCACCTACATAGTGCATTGTACTCAGTAAACAATTTCTCATCATCCCACCAATTCCCAGCCTTCTGAGTTTGCATTGTCTATCATTCCACACTCCATGCCCATGTGTGCAAATCATTTAGCTCCCACTTCTATGTGAGAATATGTGACATTTGACTTTCTGTTTCTGAGTTATGTCACTTAAAATAATGGCTTCCAGTTCCATCCATGTTGCTACAAAAGATATGATTTCATTCTTTTTTTATGACCAAATAGTATCCCATTATGTGTATGTACTACATTTTCTTTATCCAGTCATCCATTGGTGGACACATAGGTGGATTCTATATCTTTGCTATTGTGAATAGTACTGCAATAAACATACGAGTGCAGATGACTTTTTGGTATAATGATTTCTTCTTTTTTTTTTTTTTTTTGAGATGGAGTCTTGCCCTGTTGCCCAGGCTGGAGTGCAATGGCGTGATCTCGACTCACTGCAACCTCCGCCTCCCAGGTTCAAGCTAATCTCCTGCCTCCACCTCTCGAGTAGCTGGGATTACAGGCGCGCGCCACCACACCCAGCTAATTTTTTGTATCTTTAGTAGAGACAGGGTTTTACTATGTTGGTCTCAAACTCCTGACCTCATAATCCACCTGCCTCAGCCTCCCAAAATGGACTACAGGCATGAGCTACCATGCCCAGCCAATTATTTCTTTTCCTTTGTGTAGATAGCCAGTAATGGAATTGCTAGATTTAATGGTAGTTCTATTTTTAGTTCTTGAGAAATCTCCATAGTGTTTTCCATAGAGGTTGTACTAATTTACATTCCCATCAACAGTATATAAGCATTTTCTTTTTTCCCTTTTCTTGCCATCTGTTATTCTTTGTCTTTGTACTAGTAACCATTCTGACTGGTGTGAGATGGTATCTCATTGTAGTTTTCATTTGCATTTCTCTGATGATTACTGACGTTGAGCATTCTTCCATATGCTTGTTGTCCATTTGTATGTCTTCTTTTGAAAAATGTCTATTCATGTCCTTTGCCCACTTTTAAATTGGATTGTTTTTTGTGTTGCTGAGGTGTTTGAGTTCTGCATATCTGTAGCTATTATTTAATCTTTGGGGTTCTGTGTGTTGTGTGTGGTGACCCTAAAGACCAGACAGGAAGGTTCTCAGACTTCCTGAGAGCAGGCAGATGTCAGGACCCTGTGGATATCTGAACTTTATCCAGTGTCTGTGCTCAGAGGCCTGTGGACTGTGTAGCCCTGGACAGTTCACAAAGCCCATCAATGTATGGGGCTGTATTTAACCTCCCACGTAAGGATGCGGAGTCAAGGTGTGGGTAGGTCGTGGTTTCCTTGGAGTCAGCTTCCAAATTAAATACCAGAGGTGTGGCTTTATCCCAGTTTTTTTCTACCCAAATGCTGTTGGTTTCATTTTAGTGCAGCCACCAGAAATAATTTTTGCATCATTTTCTTTTTCTCACAATGTCACATGTCTAAGAATAATCCTATGTTTGAATATTTAGCTTGGTTTCCTAATCCCAGGTATAAAATCTGGTTTTGCTGTCCTGAGGAGCAGTAGAAAGAAGTCCCTGCATCCACCTCAGTAGGTTTACATGGAGATAGAAAATGTCATCATGTTTGATTATTTGGACCTTACCTTGTAGCACTTCACTCTTGAGGAGGGAAATCAGATCTCTGGTGGTTGGTAAAATCTGCTGAAGAATTCACCTTATCATGATTTTGTTTTACTCACAGAATCATGTCAACCCTGCCATGGACTTCACGCAGACTCCACCTGGGATGTTGGCTCTGGACAACATGCTGTACTTTGCCAAGCACCACCAAGATGCCTACATCCGGGTAAGCAAGAAGCCCCTTTTCAGATATTGTGTGTTTCCTACTCAATGTTAATTTCAAACTCACAAATACGGAGGGATTACCTTTAGATGAGTGACCCCATATTTTCTGTCTTTCTTAGTAAACTAAAAAAAAAAAAAAAATCAGAATTAAGTGAGATCAATCAGGGGACTGAAATGAGGATTTTAACTTTTAATTTTTTTATTTCGATGACATTAAAAAATACGGTAGATACTAGGAAAACATTTCATATAGTCCAATATTGAATTATGACAAAAACTCTTAAATAACAAGGAACAAAAATGAACTACCTACCAAAAACTTGCATGACTCCAAATTCAGAGGCTGTTGAGTCTGACACTGGAGGAACAATAAGATAAACAGAAACAAAGAGAAAAATGGGAGAGATGGGGAAGGCAGAGAAATGCCTTCTTACATTTCACGTCAGACTCGTCAAATTCTAGTCACGAAGGTAGATTAATTTGTGGGTGGAGCAGAAGGAAGTGGGGGACTCTATTTTCTCTGTGAAATGGAAGATGCCACCTGCTGAAGATGCCATCCGCTGACTGGGCATTGCTGGCATGGAGAATAAATGAATGGAAGCCTAAGGCGACAGTGGTGGAGAAGGCTCTCATCTATCAGGGCTGCTCGGTTGGAGCCCTGGATTTGTGCTGACACCTCTCCCCTGTCCTCAGGGTGAAGAACCCAGATTCAGTCAGGATGAGGTAGATCCAAGATTGAGATCAGGGAAGGATATGAATAAATGGGGCAGGGGAATTGGTGAGTGGTTAAAATGATGACTAGATGTAAGCTTAGAAAGTATTTGATGAACAAGTTGCCTAAATCAGGAAGAGTAAGGCTGAACTTAAAATATGGTAAGAGCATGTCCATTAATCTCATATTCTCTGTTGGATTCTCTGTAGCACTGGCTCCCTGGAGACCTGGGTTCGAGCCTGGCACTATCATCATCTAGTGATGTCAGTGTGGGCATTTCCTTTGGTCTGGCCTCATGTTTCCTCTGTAAACCAGAGAGACTTGATGGTTCTTAGCTGGGACAGTATTTATTCCCCTAGAGAGCATTTGGCAATGTGTGGGCGTGTTTCTTCAGTTGTCACCATGCCTAGTGGTGTGCTACTGGCCAAAATCTGTAATCTATGGGACCGTCGGCACAGTGAAAAACTGTACCACCCAGCAGTGACCTCCTTGAATAAGGCCATGCCAGATCACTGAGTTCTCTTTAGGAAATATATTTTAAATCTGTGTGTTGTTCTATATATATGGAGTTTGGGAAGCTTTGACCTATTCTGAAATATTATTTGTAATCTGAATATATAGAGAATTTTATTGTCATTTCTCTGAAAGGTTTGGGATCAGGTGTTTGGTCAGAAATACAGTCCCACATAAGAAAATTGTTTTTCCATAAAACTTTGGTTTGACTTATATGCGAATATATTTTTTGCACAGATGATTTCTAATAATGTAATCTGCTTTTGTAGTAAGTAAATTAATATTTTTGAGATACCATGTAGTATAGCCTTGGAGAGTTGAGCGTGAAAAGTAGAAGCTAAGTAGAAATTGAATTTACCACTAACTGATTAATGTTCATGGATGAGTGTTTCTAAAATTGGAGCTTATTGATGCTGAATGTATTGTTAATTGCATAAGAAGCATATGTCTCATGAAAAGTAATTTAATGTTTTAAGCCTGTTTTCCTCAATGTGTTCTTTAAACATTGTAAGTGAAATGAATACCATGGCAGCCTGACAAAACTTTATATTTGATCAGGACTTAAAAGAAAAAACCTATTTGTAAAGAGAAGTGTGGCTTTTGGTCCACATGCACTTTTCTTTATTGGTTAGACTTTCCTGTATCTCAGATGACTTTGTTGATTTCTCAGAAGTGTCCTTTCCCTAATTTTTTCTGTGTCCCATTTGACTTTGGGGCATTTACTAGATAGAAAGCTAAGGCTATTTATGTGAATGCATGGGGTTAGTAGAGCATATATAAATTCTGAAGATCTCTGCAAGGAAATTTTAGGGTGACTTTGACAATAGATATCTCCATGATATGGCAGTAGTGCTGTAGGTAGTGAAAATAGTGATCTGGGCAGCTAATTAAATTTTGATTCATGAGCTCAATGGTCTTTTCTGAAACATAAAGATGGGCTCAATCTTTTCAATTTGCATTTTGATAAAAATCCGCCTTTTTGAGGATGTATATCTTCTCTATGAATGCAGTTTTTCATTTATTATTTATATCTTTCATTTGATAAATGCTTATTCTGTACCTGAATATAGCCTCACTATTCACTCTCTTTGCCAGTCAGATTTATAGTTGAGATTAAAAAAAAATTGTAACACACACACACACACACAAACACATGTATATATGCACAAATATTCCCTCGTTGCCCTTGTCACTCCCAGGTATCATGGTCCCTCACCCACTTTCTAGCCATATGTTCCCAAGTTGTTTTTTGCCCTGTGTTCAACTTGCCTGCCACTCACTTTTCAGCATCCTGCTCCAAGACTTCTCTCCATTGCTTTCTGGAAGCTGTATTGCCAAATGCAGAGCACTTTCCTCATCCTTTGTCTCGTTGGCCTTGCCCTTGACACCTGACACTCTCTAGTGACCAGTCCTCTCTTGCCCAGCAGCCAGTGATCTGTCTTGGCTCTGTTGCTGACCGTTGCTCTTAGTCTCTCTGGCAGGTTTCTCCTCCACCTGCCCATGAAATGCACAGGCCCCCAGGACTCTGTCTCTGGACCTTTGCTTGTCTCAGTCCCTCAGGCTGCACATTTCCTAAGTAACCATCAAATGCCCAGCCATGAGCCAAAGGATGGGGATTCCTCAAGAAAACAAGTTGCTCATGGGTCCTGACATTGAGGAGTTCACTGTCTAGAGATCAAAAGTAGAGGTGGTGGTGGTGGGGTGGGGGGTGAAGAGACAAATACCAGGCAGTTTCCAAGTCACTTGTCATGTGTCTTGATTGAGTATGCTGGGAACACAGAGGAAAGTCACCAACACAGATGTGGGGGTCAGGTCAGGAAAGCTTCCTGGAGGAAGTGACATCTAGGCTCAGAACTGTTGAATAGTACTAGTTAACTAGGTGAAGGGAAGAGATGGAGAGTACTACCTCATGTGGATGGAACCATGAGAGCAAAGGTACAATGGTGCCTGCTTTGTTCAGGGAGCCACAGTAGTATAGGATGGCCAGGGCAGGGACTGGCAAACGGGGCATGGCTTGTGAGGCAAATGTGCTACTTCAGTGGGGATGTCTTAAGCCATCTGAAGAGGTCTGTTGGACCTAAAGGCAGTGAAGAATTTCTGAAGTGTTTTAAATGAAGATGAGAATTAAGTTTAGACAAATCACTGTCCCGCTAGAAAACCAATGTGAGAAATCAAGACCAGAGGCAAAAATAAAATGTGGGAAATTATAGAGAAATGGAGATAACTTGAACTAGGGTAGTGGGAGTGGCAATGAAATGGAGCAGTTTGAATGAGTTACTTTGGAACTAAAATCAACTTGACCTTCTCCGAGGAAGAGGGAGGTTTCTGCCTTGAGTGGGAGGTAGACAGTGGTGCCATTAAGGAAACAGATAATGCAGGTCTGTGAAGGGGCAGGCATTTGGACCATCCAGACTCTTACATGCATGTGGGACATCTGTCTAGGAGGACATATGCCGTAGGCAGTGAGATCTGGGTGGCTGAGCTGAGACCCACGTAGACATCACAATCTATATTCTAACTCCTTAAGCATTCTTATTCCCTCCAATTCATTCTTCTGTATTGTCACAATATTATCTTAGTGGCCTCCTTGCTAATGTCTGGAACCTTCAAACCCATCTTCCGTGCCAGTTGCTAGGATGATCTTCCTAAAGAGTTCCGAGTGCTTCAAGGGACCATGCCTGGCCCACAGCCTATCTCTGTGGCTTTATCTCTTGCTACCAACTTCCCTTTCCCTCTTTCCATCCCCCCACCACCATAGTAGCCTTTGTCTATATAAATGATGGTAGGCCAAACTAGCCAGGCAAGTCTCTACCACTGTGTCTTTGCTCCCGTTCTTGTTTCTGCTTGAGTGCCTGTCCCACATCATGTGCCTGTTGGACAGCCCTCATGGCAAAGGCCATGTTCTGTCTGAAGAAGACTTCCTGACCCTCTACCCGGATGACTCCATCCACTCTCTTTGCACCGTGGACACACAATTTAAATCCTAGAACATTGTACAGCCTTAAATGTATTTACTTTCTATTTCCCCTAATTGATTGTAAATGTCTTGTGAGCAGGCACCAAGGTTCATTTATATTCTAGCCCCTGGCACAGAGCCTAGCACATAGTGGCTTTTAATCATTTCTTGTAATTCACATGAGTAAAGAGCTTTTTTTAGTTCTGGTTTAAATAGTCTCTTGACCATGATAAATGCTTTTTTTACCATTGGAGAATCATGGCTTTTGTTCCTCCTAACAGTTATAAAGGTATATTTTTGATATGTGAATTTTGTGATGGACAGCCTGGTTTCTCATGTTATATTTGAATAAAGTTTTGTAACTGTGTACTGATGAAAGCAGTGGGTGTAACTGAATTACCCCAAAACTTGGACGGGCACAGAACATGAGGAGGAATTGCAAATCTGAGTATCCTACTGTGCATGGAGTAAAATCTGGAGGCATAGCATGATTTCAGACTTCCGAGTCTTACTTACTCTGGGTATAATTGCTTTTACTTTTTCTAGAAATGTTTCACTCCCCAGCTTTCCAGACCAGAGGAATGGTACAAGGCTGTCTCAATAAGGAGACAAGTGGAGGGAGGGTTCTTGGCTCATGCCCATGAGCCTGCTGTCATTATTTTCAGAGACAAGATAATGGTACAGAGTTGAGCGTGTTGTAGATGTTTTGTTTTTCTTTTTTTATGTTTATGTTTTTTGTTTGTTTGTTTGTTTGTTTAAGATACAGTCTCACTCTTTTGCCCAGGCTGCAGTGCAGTGGTGCATTTTCAGCTCACCACAGTCTCCGTGTCCTGGGTTCAAGTGATTCTCATGCTTCAGCCTCCCAAGTAGCTGGGGCTACAGGCACGCACCACCATGCCCAGCTAATTTTTGTATTTTTAGTAGAGATGGGGTTTCGCCGTGTTGGCCAGGCTGGTCTTGAACTCCTGACCTCAGATGATCTGCCCGCCTTGGCCTCCCAAATTGTTGGGATTACAGGTGTGAGTCACCGAGCCCAGCCAAATTTATGTTCTTGATGTATTTAATTTTATTCACTGGGAACTACTGAAAAACCCAAATTACCTGGTTTTAGCTTGGCTGAAGACCTATGCTGGCCAATGTGGGAGCCAAGATTCAACCACAAAGCAGGAAGCAATGGCAAGGAAACCTAGGGCTCTCTCAAAGGTGGAACTGGAATAATAAGAAATACTTAAGAAAAAGGCTATGACTAGCAGATAGGGTGATCTCAGGATAATGTAATTCTTCATGGTAATATTCACCTTCCCGTTTGGCCAGAGCAAATGAATACCTAGTGTGGGTTTGGTAACATGCAAGACAGGCTGCATAGTTGAGCTCAGTCTTCAAGTAATCCCTAGGAACAAGCATTGTTATCACCATTTTATAAATTCAGGAGCTGGGACTTAGAGAGGTACAGAGAGTTTGGTCTGTCAAACAGCCAGTAGACAAGCCTCCAAATCTCAGGCTTCTTCCAGTTCTGTAGCCTCGTCTCTGGGCTTGGAGTATGATGAGGGAAACAGTGTTGTCATTCTTGGAATGGAGGGAAAGGGGACAGAGTCAAAGAGAGAATAATTAGAAAACATGGAAAGTCCACAGGACTATCAAACAAGTCGTCATATTCAGTTAAAGATCTTCTGAAGTCTAGCATGGTCAGGAAGCCATTTCTAAAGATACTTGATTGACACCCAAAAGATGCTATTTTAAGGAATAAGTGGGCCCAGGGAAGGTATCATTGCAAAGCTTTTCATGTGTCAGAGATAGTCTTTAGTTTCAGAGTAGTGATAGGAGAAGTAACATGCAGAAGTATTCAGATGTTCAGAACCTATTGTCAGTCATCTGACCCCTCTTGGCATTACAGTGAGACAGAAGCAAACTGTGCATTAATCCCAGGCTCTAAAAAAGTTAGATAAACATTTAACGCCCAACAATAAAATCCGAATGCATGCAAATGAGATGTTTCTATTATTGATTACATCTTTTTCAGAGGGAAAAAATACACATAGAAAACAGAAACAGTCCATCTTCTTAGGCGCTAAAAAGTATCCAACTAAAAGAAGAAAAATCCTTTTAACATTCATATTCATTCATTCATTCATTGACTTTTTCATGAAATATTATCAAACACCTACCACGTGCCTGCGTGGAGCCATGCGCAGTGGCTGTGGTGGTGAAGAAAGGCAGGATCTGATTCTGAAATACCTGACATGGAAAAGCAATCAAGTGAAGGCAGTATTTGTTTATTTGTTTTTTACTTGAGAGTTTCCTTGTTTCCTTTGGGATTTTTAGATGTGACTTATGCTGGGCACAACTATCAAGTTATAAAAACGTTGCTTGATACTTCTTTGCAGTTTTTCACAATATATTGAGCAGGTAAATATTTCATTATTTTGTAAGTTATTATACTGTTTATATCAGAATCACTTAGGCTTGCCCCCTTTCCCAGTGACCTAATTTTAAACAACGGCACTGCTTCTTAGAGAAGTATTCTGTTGGGCAGTCAGTATGGAATAGAACAAGCCTGACCCCTTTTCTCTGTTTGATTCGGCATGGTGCTATGTGATAAATAAAATATTTTCTTTTCTTTTATATATATATATATATATATATATATATTTAAATTATACTTTAAGTTCTAGGGTACATGTGCACAACATGCAGGTTTGTTACATATGTATACATGTGCCATGTTGGTGTGCCGCACCCATTAACTAGTCATTTACATTAGGTATATCTCCTAATGCTATCCCTCCCCACTCCTCCCACCCCACATCAGGCCCCAGTGTGTGATGTCCCCCTTCCTGTGTCCAAGTGTTCTCATTGTTCAGTTCCCACCTATAAGTGAGAACATGCGATGTTTGGTTTTTTGTCCTTGCAATAGTTTGCTGAGAATGATGGTTTCCAGCTTCATCCATGTCCTTACAAAGGACATGACCTCATCATTTTTTATGGCTGCATAGTATTCCATGGTGTATATGTGCCACATTTTCTTAATCCAATCTATCATTGTTGGACATTTGGCTTGGTTCCAAGTCTTTCCTATTGTGAATAGTGCCACAATAAACATACGTCTGCATGTGTCTTTATAGCAGCATGATTTATAATCCTTTGGGTATATACCCAGTAATGGGATGGCTGGGTCAAATGGTATTTCTAGTTCTCGATTCTTGAGGAATCACCACACTGTCTTCCACAATGGTTGAACCAGTTTATAGTCCCACCAACGGTGTAAAAGTGTTCCTGTTTCTCCACATCCTCTCCAGCACTTGTTGTTTCCTGACTTTTTAATGATTGCCATTCTAACTGGTGTGAGATGGTATCTCTTTGTATCTCTTTGTGCTTTTGCTTTGCATTTCTCTGATGGCCAGTGATGATGAGCATTTCTTCATGTGTCTGTTGGCTGCATAAATGTCTTCTTTTGAGAAGTGTCTGTTCATATCCTTAGCCCACTTGTTTATGGGGTTGTTTGATTTTTTCTTGTAAATTTGTTTGAGTTCTTTGTAGATTCTGGATATTAGCCCTTTGTCAGATGAGTAGATTGCAAAAATTTTCTCCCATTCTGTAGGTTGCCTGTTCACTCTGATGGTAGTTTCTTTTGCTGTGCAGAAGCTCTTTAGTTTAATTACATCCCATTTGTCAATTTTGGCTTTTGTTGCCATTGCTTTTGGTGTTTTAGACATGAAGTCCTTGCCCGTGCCTATGTCCTGAATGGTAATGCCTAGGTTTTCTTTTAGGGTTTTTATGGTTTTAGGTCTAACATTTAAGTCTTTAATCCATCTTGAATTAATTTTTGTATAAGGTGTAAGGAAGGGATCCAGTTTCAGCTTTCTACATATGGCTAGCCAGTTTTCCCAGCACCATTTGTTAAATAGGGAATCCTTTCCCCATTTCTTGTTTTTGTCAGGTTTGTCAAAGATCAGATAGTTGTAGAAGTGTGGTATTATTTCTGAGGGCTCTGTTCTGTTCCATTGATCTATATCTCTGTTTTGGTACCAGTACCATGCTGTTTTGGTTACTGTAGCCTTATAGTATAGTTTGAAGTCAGGTAGTGTGATGCCTCCAGCTTTGTTCTTTTGGCTCAGGATTGACTTGGCAATGTGGGCTCTTTTTTGGTTCCATATGAACTTTAAAGTAGTTTTTTCCAATTCTGTGAAGAAAGTCATTGGTAGCTTGATGGGGATGGCATTGAATCTATAAATTACCTTGAGCAGTATGGCCATTTTCATGATATTGATTCTTCCTACCCATGAGCATGGAATGTTCTTCCATTTGTTTGTATCCTCTTTTATTTTGTTGAGCAGTGGTTTGTTGTTCTCCTCGAAGAGGTCCTTCACGTCCCTTGTAAGTTGGATTCTTAGGTATTTTATTCTCTTTGAAGCAATTGTGAATGGGAGTTCATTCATGATTTAGCTCTCTGTTTGTCTGTTATTGGTGTATAAGAGTGCTTGTGATTTTTGCACATTGATTTTGTATCCTGAGACTTTGCTGAAGTTGCCTATCAGCTTAAGGAGATTTTGGGCTGAGATGATGGGGTTTTCTAGAAAAAGAGTCATGTCATCTGCAAACAGGGACAATTGGACTTCCTCTTTTCCTAATTGAATACCCTTTATTTCTTTCTCCTGCCTGATTGCGCTAGGCAGAACTTCCAACACTATGTTGAATAGGAGTGGTGAGAGAGTGCATCCCTGTCTTGTGCAACTTTTCAAAGGGAATGCTTCCAGTTTTTGCCCATTCAGTATGATATTGGCTGTGGGTTTGTCATAGATAGCTCTTATTATTTTAAGATACGTCCCATCAATACCTAATTTATTGAGAGTTTTTAGCATGAAGGGCTATTGAATTTTGTCAAACTTTTCTGCATCTGTTGAGGTAATCATGTGGTTTTTGTCGTTGGTTCTGTTTGTATGCTGGATTATGTTTATGGATTTGCATATGTTGAACCAGCCTTGCATCCCAGGGATGAAGCCCACTTGATCATGGTGGCTAAGTTTTTTGATGTGCTGCTGGATTCGGTTTGCCAGTATTTTACTGAGGATTTTTGCATCAATGTTCATCAAGGATATTGGTCTAAAATTCTCTTTTTTTGTTGTGTCTCTGCCAGGCTTTGGTATCAGGATGATGCTGGCCTCATGAAATGAGATAGGGAGGATTCCCTCTTTTTCTGTTGATAGGAATAGTTTCAGAAGGAATGGTACCAGCTCCTCTTTGTACCTCTGGTAGAATTCAGCTGTGAATCTGTCTGGTTCTGGACTTTTTTTGGTTGGTAAGCTATTAATTATTGCCTCAATTTCAGAGCCTGTTATTGGTCTATTCAGAGATTCAACGTCTTCCTGGTTTAGTCTTGGGAGGGTGTATGTGTCGAGGAATTTATCCATTTCTTCTAGATTTTCTAGTTTATTTATGTAGAGGTGTTTATAGTATTCTCCGATGGTAGTTTGTATTTCTGTGGGATTGGTGGTGATACCCCCTTTATCATTTTTTATTGCGTCTATTTGATTCTTCTCTCTTTTCTTCTTTATTAGTCTTGCTAGTGGTCTATCAGTTTTGTTGATCTTTTCAAAAAAGCAGCTCCTGGATTCATTGATTTTTTTGAAGGGTTTTTTATGTCTCTATCTCCTTCAGTTCTGCTCTGATCTTAGTTACTTCTTGCCTTCTGCTAGCTTTTGAATGTGTTTGCTCTTGCTTCTCTAGTTCTTTAAATTGTGAAGTTAGGGTGTCAATTTTGGATCTTTCCTGCTTTCTCTTGTGGGCATTTATTGCTATAAATTTCCCTCTACACACTGCTTTAAATGTGTCCCAGAGATTCTGGTATGTTGTGTCTTTGTTCTCACTGGTTTCAAAGAACATCTTTATTTCTACTTTCATTTTGTTATGTACCTAGTAGTCATTCAGGAGCAGGTTGTTCAGTTTCCATGTAGTTGAGCAGTTTTGAGTGGGTTTCTTAATCCTGAGTTCCAGTTTGGTTGCACTGTGGTCTGAGAGACAGTTTGTTATAATTTATGTTCTTTTACATTTGCTGAGGAGTGCTTTACTTCTAACTATGTGGTCAATTTTGGACTAGGTGTGGTGTGGTGCTGAGAAGAATGTATATTCTGTTGATTTGGGGTGGAGAGTTCTGTAGATGTCTATTAGGTCCGCTTGGTGGAGAGCTGAGTTCAATTCCTGGATATCCTTATTAACTTTCTGTCTCATTGATCTGTCTAATGTTGACAGTGGGGTGTTAAAGTCTCCCATTATTATTGTGTGGGAGTCTAAGTCTCTTTGTAGTCTCTAAGGACTTGCTTTATGAATCTGGTGCTCCTGTATTGGGTGCATATATATTTAGGATCGTTAACTCTTCTTGTTGAATTGATCCCTTTACCATTGTGTAATGGCCTTCTTCGTCTCTTTTGATCTTTGTTGCTTTAAAGTCTGTTTTATCAGAGACTAGGATTCCAACCCCTGCCTTTTTTTGTTTTCCATTTGCTTGGTAGATCTTCCTCCATCCCTTTATTTTGAGTGTGTGTGTGTCTCTGCATGTGAGATGGGTTTCCTGAATACAGCACACTGATGGGTCTTGACTCATTATCCAATTTGCCAGTCTGTGTCTTTTAATCGGAGTATTTAGCCCATTTGCATTTAAGGTTAATATTGTTATGTTTGAATTTGATCCTGTCATTATGATGTTGGCTGGTTATTTTGCTCGTTAGTTGATGCAGTTTCTTCCTAGTCTCAATGGTCTTTACAATTTGGCATGATTTTGCAGTGGCTGGTACCGGTTGTTCCTTTCCATGTTTAGTGCTTCCTTCAGGAGCTCTTTTAGGGCAGGCCTTGTGGTGACAAAAATCTCTCAGCATTTGTTTGTCTCTAAAGGATTTTATTTCTTCTTCACTTATGAAGCTTAGTTTGGCTGGATATGAAATTCTGGGTTGAAAATTCTTTTCTTTAAGAATGTTGAATATTGGCTCCCACTCTCTTCTGGCTTGTAGAGTTTCTGCCGAGAGATCAGCTGTTAGTCTGATGGGCTTCCCTTTGTGGGTAACCCGTCCTTTCTCTCTGGCTGCCCTTAACATTTTTTCCTTCATTTCAACTTTGGTGAATCTGACAATTATGTGTATTATGTGTCTTGGAGTTGCTCTTCTCGAGGAGTATCTTTGTGGCGTTCTCTGTATTTCCTGAATTTGAATGTTGGCCTGCCTTGCTAGGTTGGGGAAATTCTCCTGGATGATATCCTGTAGAGTGTTTTCCAACTTGGTTCCATTCTCCCCGTCACTTTCAGGTACACCAATCAGACGTAGATTTGGTCTTTTCACATAGTCCCATATTTCTTGGAGGCTTTGTTCATTTCTTTTTATTCTTTTTTTCTCTAAACTTCTCTTCTCACTTCATTTCATTCATTTGATCTTCCATCGCTGATACCCTTTCTTCCAGCTGATCGAATTGGCTACTGAAGCTTGTGCATTTATCATGTGGTTCTCATGCCATGGTTTTCAGCTCCATCAGGTCCTTTAAGGACTTCTCTGCATTGGTTATTCTGGTTAGCCATTTGTCTAATCTTTTTTTGAGGTTTTTAACTTCTTTGCGATGGGTTCGACCTTCATCCTTTAGCTCAGAGAAGTTTGATCGTCTGAAGCCTTCTTCTCTGAACTTGTCAAAGTCATTCTCCGTCCAGCTTTGTTCCGTTGCTGGTGAGGAGCTGCGTTCCTTTGGAGGAGGAGAGGCGCTCTGATTTTTAGAATTTTCAGTTTTTCTGCTCTGTTTTTTCCCCATCTTTGTGGTTTTATCTACCTTTGGTCTTTGATGATGGTGACGTGCAGATGGGGTTTTGGTGTGGATGTCCTTTCTGTTTGTTAGTTTTCCTTCTAACAGTCAGGACCTTCAGCTGCAGGTCTGTTGGAGTTTGCTGGAGGTCCACTCCAGACTCTGTTTGCCTGGGTATCAGCAGCGGAGGCTGCAGAACAGCGAATATTGGTAAACAGCAGATGTTGCTGCCTGAATGTTCCTCTAGAAGTTTCGTCTCAGAGGGGTACCCGGCTGTGTGAGGTGTCAGTCTGCCCCTACTGGGGGGTGCCTCCCAGTTAGGCTACTTAGGGGTCAGGGACCCACTTGAGGAGGCAGTCTGTCCATTCTCAGATCTCAAGCTGCATGCTGGGAGAACCACTACTCTCTTCTAAGCTGTCAGACAGGCACATTTAAGTCTGCGGAGATTTCTGCTGCCTTTTGTTCGGCTATGCCTTGCCCTCAGAGGTGGAGTCTACAGAGGCAGGCAGGCCTCCTTGAGCTGAGGTGGGCTCCACCCAGTTTGAGCTTCCCGGCCACTTTGTTTACCTACTCAAGCCTCAGCAATGGCGGGTGCCCCTCCCCTAGACTCGCTGCCGCGTTGAAGTTTGATCTCAGACTGCTATGCTAGCAACAAGCAAGGCTCTGTGGGCGTGGGACCCTCTGAGCCAGACGTGGGATATGATTTCCTGGTGTGCCGTTTGCTAAAACCGTCAGAAAAGCGCAGTATTAGGGTGGGAGTGACCCAATTTCCCAGGTGCTGTTTGTTACCCCTTCCCTTGGCTAGGAAAGGGAATTCCCTGACCCCTTGCGCTTGTCGGGTGAGGCAACGCCTCTCCCTGCTTCGGGTCACGCTTGGTGCGCTGCACCCACTGTCCGACAATCCCCAGTGAGATGAACCCAGTATCTCAGTTTGAAATGCAGAAATCACCCGTTTTCTGAGTTGCTCACGCTGGGAGCTGTAGACTGGAGCTGTTCCTATTTGGCCATCTTGGAACCTGGACCCCAAATATTTTCTTAATTAAACTGCTACACAACCAGTTGATAAAATCCTACTCAACAAAGCTGTTACCCAACGGAATTTGTATAATCTTGAGGTTTCCAGGAAAAAATTTAAAAGTAAATCTTGGAAACTGTTTGTTCCTTACATATCTGGCAATTCTTTTTTGTTTTCTAGTTTTATCGAGATATAATTGCTTACCCAAAAAATCACATAATTAATGTATACAATCTGGAGACAGAACCTTGCTTCAGCGTCCCTCATAATTTATGATTAACATTTCATCTAGTTGGAAAATCTTTGCATACTGGCTGACTGTTATAGAAGATAATGAATTTCCTGAGGGGGGAGAATAGAAATGCCTTTAAAAATAAGATTAATCACAATGTTTTCGTGCAGTTGTGAGACAGAGCATATATATGTTTCTAATATTATGCCAAATCAGAAGACAAATATTTGTAATATGTCAAGTAAATAAGTCTATGAGTAAAGATGGCTATTTCTACTGAAGAATTGTTTTCTCAAGATTGTTTCATTATAGCCACTTTTTTAAACAGATGAAGAATTTAAAGTATGTTTAGTTTACACTATTTTAAAACCTTTAAGTGGGTTTTTCCTCCTCATGATGCAATGCATATTACATCATACTTACAAAAAATAGTTGGGAGAAATAATGATTTAGATCCTAACTAATGGTTGGGACAGGGAGGCCTGGATTTTTTGAGGCAGCAACCTAAAGAAAATGCTCTGAAATTACCTAGCGTGAGAAAAGCTACTATCTTTTGAGCCTTTACTATGTTCTGAGTACTTAACATACATTATTTGTAATTTCCCTTCAATGTTCCCAGACATGGGAAGATAAAGAAACCTTATGCCCTTTCCTTCCAGTCTGTAGATCTCTCTGTTCTTCTCCTCAAGGCCCACCTCAAGTTCAGAGTCATTTTGGGGAATCTCTTTTCAGCCTTTCCAGTCAGGGAGCTAAACATCAATGATCACAGCAATCACATGTTTGGAGCTCACTAGAACAACTAAGCTGAGTATTTTCATTTATTTCTTGCACCACCCCTCTGAGGTTGCCACTGTTACTGTTTGCATTTTACAGACGAGGAAACTGACACATGGAGAGGTTAAGTGGTTTGTCCAAAGTCACACAGCTAAGGTAGTACCAGAGCTGAATTTTAAATCCAGATAATATGTGTCCATTGTCCATACTGTGTGCTTTTGAGAGGCTTATAGATTCATATGGAGGTGGTAGCCACAGTTCAAATGAGTCCTACAGATGTGTTTTGCTTCACTGACCCAGTGTTATTAAAAAGAAGAGAATTTGATTGCCTTTTTTCAGGGCTTACACTCCCTCCCCAATTAACTTAGAGCCCCAGACACCTTCTTGTATTATGGCTGACTGCTTCATGCTTTCTGGTTATCTGCCTGGTACTTGAAGGCACTCGAGTTAGTGCCCGTTGATGATGATAGTCTGTAATAACATTTGTGAAGTTCTGAGCACACCGCCAGCACATAGAAGGTGCTTCAACCATTTGAGTTGATTGTTCCCGTTCCCACTCCTTAAAGTAGTACTTGATTGATGTACAGCCTTCTGAGAGTTTCATATGTATTTGCTCGGTGTTTATCTTTTCATCCTTGTAAACTCCCAGAAAGCAGGCATTTCATCTTTGGTTGGGTGTTTATTCCCTGGCTGAGAATGAAGGACTTTAATCCCAACCTCCTGAGACTGAAGAAAAGGAAAAGGCATGTTTCCCAGTTTCTCCTGTTGTGAGTTTTAAAGAAAAAAGTCACACGAGTATATTATAAACAGACTGCACTGGACCAGTGCTCTGGGAGCTCTGAGCATCATCAGCCCTCTGTACCAGGAGTCAGACCATAGAGTGGATCCCTCGCAGGACAACAGTATGCATTGAAGGGAACAGGAACCAAGTAGCCTCTGTGCATTAAGGCAGGGTGCTGGTGGAGGCGACGCCAAGACTTTAAAATAAACTAAGGGACTTCTAACATTTCAAGGGGGAATTTGGCGGTTCCCCAAGCGACATAATTACAGGACAGTGTGTAATGTGCAATTAAACTTAACTATGAAGCAAATGATTGGAATAATGCTTAGTGCACAACAGTTTTTTGTTCCCATTGTGCTGACAGAGCCTCCCCTTCTCTCGTCCCTGAAATGGCTTCAACAGCAATTGCTCTTCATTTTTTTAAAAATAAAATTATATGTTGCCAGTTAAACACACAATTCCATGTAAAGGAACCTTTTTTTATCTGAGTGACATTTTTCTTCTAGGTGATGTGGAGAAAGGATTCAGTTTAGAATAACAAGGACCCCAAAGGCACAGCCTTGTTGGGACGTTTGAGTTTGAAATGATTCTTTGTCTCATAATTCATTTACTTTTTTCCTGGCTTTAATTTTTGTTCTTTCTTTAACCAAGGTCCACAGCTTGGAGGCTTGTTTGTATATACAGGATTTTTTCATGTTTTAAAAATAGTGGCATTAATTTCGTTGATTGTGAATAACCAAGCTGTTACTGCCAAACAATCGGGACCCCTTGAGAGTGTGAATATGTGATTAGATTTACTAATTGAGCTGGAAGGAAGAATTTCTGACTTCCAAAGCCAGTGATTTGAATGGAATGCTTCAAGCATGAGGATGAGATCATTGTTAAATGTGGGCTTGGTTTTATCTCAGAAGACCCCTTGTCCCAGGGAGGGAGGGCAGATTCCACAAACCTCTATTAGCTGACTGTAGCAGTGCCTGCGTGGTGTGCTCACACCACCTCGGATGCTCACCTGTGTTCTTGTGGTGCTGGATGAGGTGTCTGAAATCTGAAGCAGACCTGAAAGCTGGTAGTTATCTCCTTGTCTCTCTTGGTACCACCCCAAGCTGAGCATTAGGTTCAGAATGCTTGCTTGTTTGTTTGCCGTTGTCTCAGGTTAACTGAAAATACTACAGCATTGCAGAAAAATCCAAACAGCTCCACGTGGTGTTTTGAAATTTATCCCAACTGTAGGCTGAGTGACCCGCAGGTTGGACAGTCTGTGAAAGCCCCAAAGTCTCAGTGTTTCCTCAGTGTCAGGACCTACTTTAGTGATCTCCAGGTCCAGGGCTAAGATCTCAGGAACATAATTATCTCTCCTTTTTTCTCTCTCTTCCTCCCACAACTTGATGGAGATGCCTCTCACTGGGCCTCTCCAAATATCCTCCATCAGATGCAGGATGTAGCCTGCCCTCTTGTTGCGGAGCTTCTTGCCAGAGATAATGGTGATCTCCTTGCCCACACACTCGTTCCTGTGGAAGTCATTGCCGAGGCACATGTAGTACTTTTCTAGGATGACCCAGGCTGCCTTTCCATGGTTTTGATGCAAAAGCAGCCCATCTTGGAGAGTCCTTGGTGAAAGAGGTTTCAGACTTTCTTACTTAGCATTCTCCAAAGGTTTTTTGTTGGTGGTGGTGGTGGTTTTTCTCTTTTCTTTTTTTTTTTTTAATTTTAAAACACAGTGGGACTTTAAAACAGTGATGGATTTGTTGAGAAAAAAGTGAAGCTAAGCTGTATAGTGAACTATATGTAGTTGACATATTGTAAACACAAGTCTAATGTGAATTGAAAGGTTAAAAACTTCAGAAGGATCACATGTTCCTGACTCCCTCACTGAGGTACCAGCCAAGACTTAGCTCACAGTAACTGTTGTGGTTTCTCTATCTTAGATCCAGTTAGTATCTTTCCATTATTTCTCCAACCCAGTTCTCCAAATTCAGCCCATATTGTCCATTTTTATGTCTTGTTTAGCTAGTTAAATATTTATTGAGTACAGTACCTGCTCTGTGACAAGCCCTCTTTCTTTCTGCTGTAATTGACCAAGCTTCCACCTTTAAATGTGCATTTTTCTACCTTAGCTGTGCAGAGCTCAGCAGCTGCTGTGCTGGGGTTTCGCTATTTCTTCTCCCTTTTCTGCTTTAATTGTTGTAATGCAGGAGTTCAAAGAACTGCAGCTCACTTCTTATTTCTTTGAAGGGGAAAGGTTTCTGGGACTCCTCTCTCTTCTGTTTTTCTCAAGAGAATGCAGACCTCTCTGCCTTTTTAATTTTTTAATTAATAGACATTGTGTTTTAGAACAGTTTTAGGTTTACAGAAAAGTTGAGCAAAAGTACAGAGGGTTCGTATATATCCCATCTCTCATTTCTCCCACACACAGCTTTCTCTGTTATTAACATCTCACATTAGAATGGCTCATTTGTTACAATTGATAAGCCAATATCTTGCAGTCTTGCTGTAATTGTTTATTAGTTCCAAGATTTTATGTATTAATTCCTTGGAATTTTCTACATAGACAATCATGTCCCCTGTGAACAAAGACAGTTTTGTTTCCTCCTTCCCAGTCTGTACACCCTTTTTTTTTTTTTCTTATTGCACTAGCTAGGACTACCAGTAAGATGTTACATAGGGGTGATAGGAGCGACCATCTTAGCCTTGATCCTGATCCTAGGGCAGAGTCAAGTTTCTCATCATTAAGTATGATGTTAGCCATAAGTTTTATGTAGATGTTCTTTATGTAGCTGAGGAACTGCTCTATTCTTAGTTTGCTGAGAGTTTTTTTTTATCATGAATGAGTGTTAGATTTTATCAAATGGCTTTTCTGTATCTATTGATACCATTATACAACTTTTCTTCTTTAGCCTGTTGATACAATGGTTTACATTAACTGATTTTTGAATGTTGAATGAGCCTTGCATACCTGAAACAAATCCTACTCGGTTGTGGTGCATAATTCTATTTATAGATTGTTGGATTCTATTTGATAATTTTGTGAAGGATATTTACATTTATGTTCATGAGAGCTATATAGATCCGCATTTTTTTTCTTTCTTATGCCTTTGGTTTTGGTATTAGGGTAATACTGGTTTTATAGAATTA